>NC_000004.12:65171381-66421381 GCF_000001405.40 Homo sapiens
GAGAAAGTGAGGCAGACAATAAAGCAGGAGCACTGGTTCTTCACTTCTTCAGCCCAGAAGTAACACTCCTTTTCCTCTGGTAGAACTGGTTAGTGTTATGTAAGTGCAATATCCTTTTCCTTCATGCACAGGAATTAAAAAAAAAAATACGAGATTTGGTGATTACATGACTTTTTCCCTGACATGGTGATTGCTATGGGCCAGAAAATGTGCAAATTATTTTTATACATGATTTCATTTAATTAGCTCCCAAATATGATAAAGTAGGCACATTTAACACTTTTCATGTAAAGGCAACAAAGTAAAACATATTGAGAAATTAAGAGCTCCTCTATTAGGTGGAAGAGCTGTAATCTAAATCTAAAGCTATCTGATTTTAATACTAAATTTTAATGTAAAAAGTACTATTTTGGAATATAAACGTCATTGTTTAGGATATAAATCTTAATCAACAGGTGATATGACTGATGTAAATAGGCAACTATATCATGTAAACACTGGGTTTTGAAAACATATTCCATTATTGAGAACTTTTTTTAAAATTTTAATCTCACTAAAAATTATACGAAAATTGATTTCTCAACAGTTATTTTATAAATTTAAGCAACATTTTTATAGCTGCCTGGTTATTTATGTTGCACAGATGAGCAATTGTAAATTATATAAAATCTTGATTTTAATTAAAGTTGATGTAATAGAAATATTTCAGTGTAGTTAAAGAAAAAAAAAAAAAAAAAAAAAAACTTTGGGAGGCCAAGGCTGGTAGATCACGAGGTCCAGAGTTCCAGATCAGTCTGGCCAATATGGTGAAACCCCATCTCTAGTAATAATACAAGAATTATCCGGGCACGATGGCATGTGCCTGTAATCCCAGCTACTCAGGAGGCTGAGGAAGAAGAATCGCTTGAACTCAGGAGGCGGAGCTTGCAGTGAGCAGAGATCACACCACTGCACTCCAGCCTGGGCGACAGAGCAAGGCTCCGTCTGAAAAACAAAACAAAACAAACAAACAAAAAAACAAACCTTGCTACTAAATTAATTTAAAAAGAATCTTGATAAAGAAAAACTGTTTCTAAAGGTTTTTATATGGATAAGAATGAAGAAACAAAATAACCTTGCAAGAGACCATGGAAATATAAAATTTTCATCTTGTACCAGAAAGACCAGATAACAATAACAACAACAATATACTATAAGTTGTCCCAGTAATACAGAATATAATACAGAGATCCAGTTTCTAGTGTTTTTAATAGGCCTATTGAGATCCTAAACACTAGATGTATCAACTAAATACTGTATAAAGAAAGGTGATAAACTATAAAATGTTTATTAAAAATGCATTGTTGAGTCAATGAGTGATAATTCCACAAATGTCAAATCTAGTAGTTGAACCATGAGTACGGATTTTCACATGGAATTAAAAATTTAATATTATTACTAAAAGTAATTTTAATACCTAACTTATGTTAAGCACATTTCCAAAACAATTAATTTTAATTACATAATTTAAGAATGCCAGACAAGTTGGAAAAATAAAAATATCAATGTCTTCTATTTTTAATTCTGTTGGTTGATTAATGAAGAATGCCTGTTTGTAAATTTGTTATTTTGAATTTGAGCTAAAGTCAATCCCTTATATACTACATGTAATCATATTTGTTTGTAGTAAATACTTTTACTGAAATTCCTCAAATAATGTTATATACAACATAGTAAAGGTTGAAATTAGTATTTTATCTATAAAACATTTAATAATTTATATTTTAGTGTTGTTTTAATAAAATTCAGACTTAATAATAATGGAATAGCGCAATACATTTCACTACATGAAAATAAAGAATGTAGACTTGCTTAAATTAGTGATGAAGATGATGGTGACGTTTCAAGTGAATTAAGGAGTTAGTTATATAATTCATGAGTTTGAGATGGAAGAAGAGAAGAACCAGCAACTACCTAGATAATGTAGAAAAAGCTGTTGGTAAAACTTTTATGTATTCATAGGTCAGGTTTCATTTTCATTATGATATCCAGGTTGCAGTGTCTAATATAATACTTTGGGGTCTCAAAGGTTTTTTTTTTTTCAAAGAAACATTCAGTAACTCTAGCTTTCATTTTATATAAAGTTGGCTTTTTAGGAACTTAGGAGAAACCAAGCAAACCTCAAAAGCATCTCTAAACCTTCTTTGCCTCCGGATAGTGTCCTGCCTCTGTGATACAAGGACACTGGAATACAGCACTTTCTCTAATCTATTTTAATACAATACAAATTTCCAACTCTCAGGCACAGCACCTCTTAGAGATTTCTCATATAAAAATATACTTTGTATGAATTCAAGACATAGGGCTGGATTCCCATCCTTTGTATCTCCAGGGGAAAACTTACTCATCAAATTTACTTAAACTGAATTTCCCTAGAGTTAGGAGAATGTGAATATGGCAAGTAGTAGTTTGTTCTCTTGCCTAAGAGTGTTCTAAATTTTTTTGGGACTTCATAATTTAAAACTCTTATTTAATCAATCTTCCTTTCTTTCTTCTTTTTTTTTCTCCGAGTCTCTCTCTGTCGCCCAGGCTGGAGTGCAGGGGTGGGATCTCCACTCACTGCAACTCCGCCTCCTGGGATCAAGCGATTCTCCTGCCTCAGCCTCCCGAGTAGCTGGGATTACAGGCATGCAACACCAGGCCCAGCTAATTTTAGTTTAGTTTAGTTTACTTTAGTTTAGGTTTTTTTTTTTTTTTTTTTTTTTGGTATCTTTTAGTAGAGACAGTGTTTCACAATGTTGGCTAGACTGGTCTCCAATCCCTGACCTCGTGATCCGCACGCCTCGGCTTCCCAAAGTGCTGGGATTACAGGCGTGAGCCATTGCACCTGGGCCCAGTTTTCTCTTCTAACATATTTCAGCTAAAGTCTGAGTCTTATGATTTTGTTTGCTTTAACTTTTATCAGTGGCTTTTTGGCATGCAGTCCTCTCTGCGGTATGACTGATGCTCTGAGCTGCAGGGTTATTTTTTTCTTTCTTTCCTAGTTAGTCCATATGTTGAGACAAATACTAGTAACAAGTAAAAGGAAATGATTGATTGATTTCTTTTTTCAGTAAACATAGAATTTTGATGTAATTTCTTATGAGAGAAAGAAAGGTAAGATCAGATTTTTTTTCTAAAAACTTATACTTAAAACAAAAAATTATATTTTACTTAAAATAAATTTCTGTTTATGTGGGAAGAACATAGCAGCAATTCAACTGTTCTTTGGTAAATAATTAAACTGATAAGAACAAAAAAAATGGCAACTCATTGAAAAAGACTAACCTCCCACTGCAATATTTTTAACTATATTGGCAGCTGCTATACATTATTCTCTAACTGAAACAATATTGCATGAAAAAATGTAGATTTTTAAAAGTAACAAATAGATAACTTTTCTGGGTGTGAAAAATGCTGTCATGGCATATAAACATATTTTAAGTTTTATTTTTTTTTTAGTTTGAGTTGTCTTTATCTCTGAATGTGTCATTATGTTTGTGTCTTACAAAGTAATGCACCCATCTCTTTCTGTAGACCAATTAACAGGTGATTAATTCAATCTATTAAGTGCTACTCTGTGACTAGTGCTGGTGCTGCTCTAATCAATTGGGATATATGAGTAGAACTATCAGTAAAATTAAAAAGATAGTCTCCTTTATGGAGCTTACAAGAGAGGATAGATAAGAGTTTTTTAGAAAACATGTAAGTTAAAAATAAGATATGACACTACTTAATAAGTACAATGGAAAACGATAAGGCAAGGAAGAGAAAATACGCAATTTTAAATAGGAAGATCAGAATTCATTTTATTGGAAAATTGATATTTGAGTCAGGACAAAGTAGATGAAGTAGATGCAGGTATGTGCAAGAAAAGCACTACAGGCAGAGTGAAAATCCGGTGTTAGCATTCCAAAGGACTTCCTGCTAAGTCCTTACTTAACACTGTCCATAGTTTCTTGGAAACTGTGACTTTAAGTGAAAAGATGTACAGCAGAGCATTAAAAAATTGATGAAAAAGTATATTGTCTTTGTTATATGTCATTTTGCTTAAAGTTGTAGTTTCCAATAACATATTAATGGCACTGAGGGAGGACTTACTCTATTGAAAACATTGAGAAGAGCAGTGTGGTTACAAAAATGACCAAGGAGAGAGAATTATGAAATAAAGTTGTCAAGATAGAAAGGTGAGGATCACATTGGGCTTTAGAGGCACTTTACGTATTTTGGCATTTTTATTGAGTGAAATGAGCTATTGTAGGATTTTGAACATTGGAGTGACACGATCTGACTTATATTTTCAATTTCACTGTGGCTGTGGTATTGAGAATAGACTATAGGTACAAGAATAGTATCCTTGTGGCCACTTAGAGGATGATTAATAATCCCTACGAGAAATGATGGTGACTTGTACACAGCTCTAGAAGTGGTGATGGAGAGAGTGGTCAGATTCTGTCAGTATTTTGAAACTGAGTCAAACATAGTAAGAAACGGTTTTTGGAGAATGGTGTAATAAACGTGTCAAGGAAAGCTCCACATTTTTTAAATTAAAAAGTGAAAAGTTGTGGTTGTCAAAAACTGAGATAAGAAAGGCAATGAAATGAGCAAATATTCAGGAGATGTCCAGAAATTAAATTATTTATGTGTTTAGTTTAAAACTTTTATCAGACATCATAGCAAACATGGAAAGTAGGTTCTTGCATATACAAGTGGGTGTATGGGAGAAAAGGCTGAGTTGGAAATAGAGTTGTGGATATCATTTGCATAGTGATTA
This sequence comes from Homo sapiens, assembly GCF_000001405.40. Lineage (NCBI taxonomy): Eukaryota > Metazoa > Chordata > Mammalia > Primates > Hominidae > Homo > Homo sapiens. The sequence goes on from NC_000004.12 coordinate 65,176,174, forward strand.
TATTTAAGGCCAGGGATTTAAATTATTTTACTAAGCCAGTGAGTACAGATAGAGAATAGGACCAAGGTTGAGCATTAGGTTCTTTTTTTCTTTTCTTTTCTTTCTTTTTTTTTTTTTTTTTTGAGATGAAGTCTCACTCTGTCACCCAGGCTGGAGTGTAGTGGTGCAATCCCGGCTCACTGCAACCTCTGCATCCCGGGTTCAGGTGACTCTCTTGCCTCAGCCTCCTGAGTAGCTGGGATTACAGGCAGGCACCACCATGTCCAGTTAATTTTTGTATTTTTAGTAGAGATGGGGTTTCACTATGTTTTCCAGGCTGGTTTTGAACTCCTGACCTGAAGTGATCCACCCGCCTCAGCCTCCCAAACTGCAGGGATTACAGGCATGAGCCACCGCACCCAGCCAGGTTCTTTCCTCATTAAGATAAGAAACAAACATTAGGAACAGCTCCGGTCTACAGCTCCCAGCTTGAGCAATGCAGAAGACAGGTGATTTCTGCATTTCCATCTGAGGTACCCGGTTCATCTCACTAGGGAGTGCCAGACAATGGGCGCAGGTCAGTGGGTGCACGCACGGTGCGCCAGCCGAAGCAGGGCGAGGCATTGCCTCACTTGGGAAGGGCAACAGGTCAGGGAGTTCCCTTTCTGAGTCAAAGAAAGGGGTGACAGACGGCACCTGGAAAATCGGGTCACTCCCACCCGAATACTGCGCTTTTCCGACGGGCTTAAAAAACGGCGCACCACGAGATTATATCCCGCACCTGGCTCAGAGGGTCCTACGCCCACGGAGTCTCGCTGATTGCTAGCACAGCAGTCTGAGATCAAACTGCAAGGCGGCAGTGAGGCTGGGGGAGGGGCACCCGCCATTGCCCAGGCTTGCTGGTAAACAGAGCAGCCAGGAAGCTCGAACTGGGTGGAGCCCACCACAGCTCAAGGAGGCCTGCCTGCCTCTGTAGGCTCCACCTCTGGGGGCAGGGCACAGACAAACAAAAAGACAGCAGTAACCTCTGCAGACTTAAATGTCCCTGTCTGACAGCTTTGAAGAGAGCAGTGGTTCTCCCAGCACGCAGCTGGAGATCTGAGAACAGGCAGACTGCCTCCTCAAGTGGGTCCCTGACCCCTGACCCCCGAGCAGCCTAACTGGGAGGCACCCCCCAGCAGGGGAACACTGACACCTCACACGTCAGGGTACTCCAACACACCTGCAGCTGAGGGTCCTCTCTGTTAGAAGGAAAACTAACAAACAGAAAGGACATCAACACCAAAAACCCATCTGTACATCACCATCATCAAAGACCAAAAGTAGATAAAACCACAAAGATGGGGAAAAAACAGAACAGAAAAACTGGAAACTCTAAAAATCAGAGCGCCTCTCCTCCTCCAAAGGAATACAGTTCCTCACCAGCAACGGAACAAAGCTGGATGGAGAATGACTTTGACGAGCTGAGAGAAGAAGTCTTCAGACGATCAAATTACTCTGAGCTACGGGAGGACATTCAAACCAAAGGCAAAGAAGTTGAAAACTTTGAAAAAAATTTAGAAGAATGTATAACTAGAATAACCAACAGAGAGAAGTGCTTAAAGGAGCTGATGGAGCTGAAAACCAAGGCTCGAGAACTACGTGAAGAATGCAGAAGCCTCAGGAGCCGATGTGATCAACTGGAAGGAAGGATATCAGCGATGGAAGATGAAATGAATGAAATGAAGCGAGAAGGGAAGTTTAGAGAAAAAAGAATAAAAAGAAATGAGCAAAACCTCCAAGAAATATGGGACTATGTGAAAAGACCAAATCTACGTCTGACTGGTGTACCTGAAAGTGATGGGGAGAATGGAACCAAGTTGGAAAACACTCTGCAGGATATTATCCAGGAGAACTTCCCCAATCTAGCAAGGCAGGCCAACGTTCAGATTCAGGAAATACAGAGAACGCCACAAAGATACTCCTTGAGAAGAGCAACTCCAAGACACATAATTGTCAGATTCACCAAAGTTGAAATGAAGTAAAAAATGTTAAGGGCAGCCAGAGAGAAAGGTCGGGTTACCCTCAAAGGGAAGCCCGTCAGACTAACAGTGGATCTCTCGGCAGAAACCCTACAAGCCAGAAGAGAGTGGGGGCCAATATTCAATATTCTTAAAGAAAAGAATTTTCAACCCACAATTTCATATCCAGCCAAACTAAGCTTCATAAGTGAAGGAGAAATAAAATACTTTACAGACAAGCAAATGCTGAGAGATTTTGTCACTACCAGGCCTGCCTTACAAGAGCTCCTGAAGGAAGCACTAAACATGGAAAGGAACAACTGGTACCAGGCGCTGCAAAATCATGCAAAAATGTACAGACCATCGAGACTAGGAAGAAACTGCATCAACTAACGAGCAAAATCACCAGCTAACATCATAATGACAGGATCAAATTCACACATAACAATATTAACTTTAAATGTAAATGGACTAAATGCTCCAATTAAAAGACACAGACTGTCAAATTGGATAAAGAGTCAAGACCCATCAGTGTGCTGTATTCAGGAAACCCATCTCACGTGCAGAGACACACATAGGCTCAAAATAAAAGGATGGAGGAAGATCTACCAAGCAAATGTAAAACAAAAAAAGGCAGGGGTTCCAATCCTAGTCTCTGATAAAACAGACTTTAAACCAACGAAGATCAAAAGAGACAAAGAAGGCCATTACATAATGGTAAAGGGATCAATTCAACAAGAAGAGCTAACTATCCTAAATATATATGCACCCAATACAGGAGCACCCAGATTCATAAAGCAAGTCCTGAGTGACCTACAAAGAGACTTAGACTCCCAAACATTAATAATGGGAGACTTTAACACCCCACTGTCAACATTAGACAGATCAACGAGACAGAAAGTCAGCAAGGATACCCAGGAATTGAACTCAGCTCTGCACCAAGTGGACCTAATAGACATCTACAGAACTCTCCACCCCAAATCAACAGAATATACATTTTTTTCAGCACCACACCACACCTATTCCAAAATTGACCACATACTGGGAAGTAAAGCTCTCCTCGGCAAAAGTAAAAGAACAGAAATTATAACAAACTATCTCTCAGACCACAGTGCAATCAAACTAGAACTCAGGATTAAGAATCTCACTCAAAACTGCTCAACTACATGGAAACTGAACAACCTGCTCCTGAATGACTACTGGGTACATAACGAAATGAAGGCAGAAATAAAGATGTTCTTTGAAACCAACGAGAACAAAGACACAACATACCAGAATCTCTGGGACACATTCAGAGCAGTGTGTAGAGGGAAATTTATAGCACTAAATGTCCACAAGAGAAAGCAGGAAAGATCCAAAATTGACACCCTAACATCACAATTAAAAGAACTAGAAAAGCAAGAGCAAACACATTCAAAAGCTAGCAGAAGCCAAGAAATAACTAAAATCAGAGCAGAACTGAAGGAAATAGAGACACAAAAAACCCTTCAAAAAATTAATGAATCCAGGAGCTGGTTTTTTGAAAGGATCAACAAAATAGATAGACCGCTAGCAAGACTAATAAAGAAAAAAAGAGAGAAGAATCAAATAGATGCAATAAAAAATGATAAAGGGGATGTCACCACCGATCCCACAGAAATACAAACTACCATCAGAGAATACTACAAACACCTCTACACAAATAAACTAGAAAATCTAGAAGAAATGGATAAACTCCTGGACACATACACTCTCCCAAGACCAAACCAGGAAGAAGTTGAATCTCTGAATAGACCAATAACAGGATCTGAAATTGTGGCAATAATCAATAGCTTACCAACCAAAAAGAGTCCAGGACCAGATGGATTCACAGCCGAATTCTACCAGAGGTACAAGGAGGAACTGGTACCATTCCTTCTGAAACTATTCCAATCAATAGAAAAAGAGGGAATCCTCCCTAACTCATTTTATGAGGCCAGCATCATTCTGATACCAAAGCCGGGCAGAGACACAACCAAAAAAGAGAATTTTAGACCAATATCCTTGATGAATATTGACGCAAAAATCCTCAATAAAATACTGGCAAAAGGAATCCAGCAGCACATCAAAAAGCTTATCCACCATGATCAAGTGGGCTTCATCCCTGGGATGCAAGGCTGGTTCAATATATGCAAATCAATAAATGTAATCCAGCATATAAACAGAGCCAAAGACAAAAACCACATGATTATCTCAATAGATGCAGAAAAAGCCTTTGACAAAATTCAACAACCCTTCATGCTAAAAACTCTCAATAAATTAGGTATTGATGGGACGTATTTCAAAATAATAAGAGCTATCTATGACAAACCCACAGCCAATATCATACTGAATGGGCAAAAACTGGAAGCATTCCCTTTGAAAACTGGCAGAAGACAGGGATGCCCTCTCTCACCACTCCTATTCAACATAGTGTTGGAAGTTCTGGCCAGGGCAATTAGGCAGGAGAAGGAAATAAAGGGTATTCAATTAGGAAAAGAGGAAGTCAAATTGTCCCTGTTTGCAGACGACATGATTGTATATCTAGAAAACCCCATTGTCTCAGCCCAAAATCTCCTTAAGCTGATAAGCAACTTCAGCAAAGTCTCAGGATACAAAATCAATGTACAAAAATCACAAGCATTCTTATACACCAGTAACAGACAGAGAGCCAAATCATGAGTGAACTCCATTCACAATTGCTTCAAAGAGAATAAAATACCTAGGAATCCAACTTACAAGGGATGTGAAGGACCTCTTCAAGGAGAACTATAAACCACTGCTCAAGGAAATAAAAGAGGATACAAACAAATGGAAGAACATTCCATGCTCATGGGTAGGAAGAATCAATATCGTGAAAATGGCCTTACTGCCCAAAGTAATTTACAGATTCAATGCCATCCCCATCAAGCTACCAATGACTTTCTTCACAGAATTGGAAAAAACTACTTTAAAGTTCATATGGAACCAAAAAAGAGCCCGCATCGCCAAGTCAATCCTAAGCCAAAAGAACAAAGCTGGAGGCATCACACTACCTGACTTCAAAGTATACTACAAGGCTACAGTAACCAAAACAGCATGGTACTGGTACCAAAACAGAGATATAGATCAATGGAACAGAACAGAGCCCTCAGAAATAACGCCGCATATCTACAACTATCTGATCTTTGACAAACTTGACAAAAACAAGCAATGGGGAAAGGATTCCCTATTTAATAAATGGTGCTGGGAAAACTGGCTAGCCATATGTAGAAAGCTGAAACTGGATCCCTTCCTTACACCTTATACAAAAATCAATTCAAGTTGGATTAAAGACTTAAACATTAGACTTAAAACCATAAAAACCCTAGAAGAAAACCTAGGCATTACCATTCAGGACATAGGCATGGGCAAGGACTTCACATCTAAAACACCAAAAGCAATGGCAACAGAAGCCAAAATTGACAAATGGGATCTAATTAAACTAAAGAGCTTCTGCACAGCAAAAGAAACTACCATCAGAGTGAATAGGCAACCTACAAAATGGGAGAAAGTTTTCGCAACCTACTCATCTGACAAAGGGCTAATATCCAGAATCTACAATGAACTCAAACAAATTTACAAGAAAAAAGCAAACAACCCCATCAAAAAGTGGGCAAAGGACATGAACAGACACTTCTCAAAAGAAGACATTTATGCAGCCAAAAAACACATGAAAAAATGCTCATCATCACTGGCCATAAGAGAAATGCAAATCAAAACCACAATGAGATACCATCTCACACCAGTTAGAATGGCAATCAATAAAAAGTCAGGAAACAACAGGTGCTGGAGAGGATGTGGAGAAATAGGAACACTTTTACACTGTTGGTGGGACTGTAAGCTAGTTCAACCATTGTGGAAGTCAGTGTGGCCATTCCTCAGGGATCTAGAACTGGAAATACCATTTGACCCAGCCATCCCATTACTGGGTATATACCCAAAGGACTATAAATCATGCTGCTATAAAGACACATGCACACGTATGTTTATTGCGGCATTATTCACAATAGCAAAGACTTGGAACCAACCCAAATGTCCAACAATGATAGACTGGATTAAGAAAATGTGGCACATATACACCATGGAATACTATGCAGCCATAAAAAATGATGAGTTCATGTCCTTTGTAGGGACATGGATGAAATGGGAAACCATCATTCTCAGTAAACTATCGCAAGAACAAAAAACCAAACACCGCATATTCTCACTCATAGGTGGGAATTGAACAATGAGATCACATGGACACAGGAAGGGGAATATCACACTCTGGGGACTGTTGTGGGGTGGCGGGAGGGGGGAGGGATAGCATCGGGAGATATACCTAATGCTAGATGACGAGTTAGTGGGTGCAGCGCACCAGCATGGCACATGTATACATATGTAACTAACCTGTACAATGTGCACATGTACCCTAAAACTTAAAGTATAATAAAAAAACAAAACAAAACAAAAAAAAAAAAGAAGAGAAAAAAACAGTCTTGCAGCGTGAGCAACAATGTACTAGAAAAACCAGGAGCCTGTGTTAACATGAAAACCAAGTGAGGAACGCTTTTCAGGAAGTAAGGTAGGGTCAACTTCATCAAATGCTACTTAATAAAAAAAAACAGAACTGATCATTGGCATTAGCAATGTAGGGCCAACAGTGACCCCGGCCAGAGCAGTTTCAATGTGAAGACGATATGGAGGCAATATATTGATTGGAGTGTGTTCTGGGTTGAATTGTGTCCCTCAAAAAGATGTTAAAATGCTAACATCCATTGTCTGTGAATGCGGCTTTATTTGGAAATTTTGTCTTTGCAGATGATCAAGTTAAGACGAGGGCATTAGAATAGGCCGTAATACAAAAGGACTATGTTCTTATTGAACAGAGAGACAGACACACATATAGGGAAGAAATGTGAAGACATAGATAGGGAGAATGCCATCTTTATAAGCCAAGGAACACCTGAGGCTACCAGAAGCTAGGAGAGAAGCATGGAACAGATTCCCCCTAATAGCCTTCTAGAGAAGCCAATGCTGCCATTACATCGGTCTCTGACTTCCAGCTACCGAACTGTGAGACAATAAACTTCTGTTTTTTAAGCCATCCAGTTGGAGGCACTTTGTTACCACCCCCAAGAAACATCCCAAGAAGCTAAAACAGAGCACATGTAAGAAAGTTTGAAAGAGGAATTGGTAACAGATTACAGTCCACACGTGGCAAATTTACAGGTATGGTTACAGAAGAAATTATTCACATGGTCTCTAGGCCCTTCACTGCAAGCATTTTCAATCCATTCATTTTCCAATAATTGTTTATTGATTGACAGTTATATACATTCAGCTTTGATAAATGCTGCAGTAGAGAGCTGAATTGCATGACCATGTTATGAGGCCCTCAGGGACTTAGAAACTTTTCTGTATTTTTCTATTTACGATCCGTTAAAAAAGTAACATCCTGCTTTCTGTGTATCCCCCGACCCCGACCCTACCAAGTCCCCTACTCTCTGACTCTGTCTCTTGCCTCTCTTTCCTTCACTCTGTTCTTAAATTACATCAGGTTTCATGCACGTGATGCTTTCTCTGACTAAAATGTTCTTATGCCAGGTACTACGTGGCTTCCTCTCTCCCTCCCTTCCTTTAGGCCTTAATTCAAATGGCATATTCATGGTGAGGTCTGCCCCTACCAGGGCCTACCAAAAATAATAACTTCCCTTCCCCTTCCAACCATGGGAATATAAGCAGGTAGAAATAGAAACAAATCAGTAGTAGAAGACTACAGGCAAGACAGAACAAATATACAGAGAGAAGTAATTATATGATATACATAGCAGCTAGATAGAATAAATGAGTAAATGTAATACATATATTTCAGTACATACATACATATATGTGAATGTATATACACATATAAATATATATTATAATTATATAATTATATATTTACTAGTATTAATATAAATTATATATTATACTTATTAAAATATAAGATAAATACTATTATATAATGTATTTTATATAAATAATTATATTATATTATTATAATATAATTATATATGTATTAATATATGTATGCGTATATACATTCATATATATTACATGTAATGTATGTACTGAAATCTAAAGCTATTTTCTTTTCAAGTCCTCAGAATGCGTTCACACACACACACACACACACACACACACACACACACAAATTGTATATTAGGCCACAAAATGAATCTTAGTAAAATTTTCCTCCCCTGCCAGATTCTATGTACCAAATAGATTGCTGGGGAGTGTGCAGCAGGTACCAGCTACCAGGAAGGTAGTGCTTTGTGATCACAACAGCAGCAACTCCCTTGTAACTACAAATTGAGAAGAGCAGGAACCTGACCAAGTTCTGTGTGTTTTTTCTGAAGCTCCATATTCTCCAGGTACCCAGACCAGTAGAACATAACTACAGCAGTGAAAAGGGAGGCTTCATTAAACAGTTACAAAATCTTGTTTTTTTTTTTAGTGAACTATATTAATTAGTGCTGAATGCTGGAAAGTAATTGCTTTGCATCTTGTTTTTTTTTTAACCTTAAACTTGTCAGATTGTTGCTTAGAATTAACATTATAAATTAGAAATGCTGATAAAATAGAAATCCTTAAAAAAATTAGTTAATAAAACTTGGTTTACAATGTTAGGTGATATCCCTTCATCTTGACTGAAAAAAAAAATATTGACAAAGCTCTGACCTTTTCTTCCTGTTGCCATAATGCCCCTAAGAAACCAGATCTATTGCTTTAGTGATTTTCAAAAACATTTTTAAAAATATAATAAATAGATTAGTAGAAAATATATTTGGTTATCCCAGACATTTACAAATTTGTAACCCATAGACCAACACAGGGATAAATCTGTCAAGTTAGCGCTGCCACTCATCAAACACAAGACAGGTTTTAGAGAAATTGATATCTGGAGGAAGAAAATTCCAAACTCCGTTACCACATGAAACTTTTGCTAGAAACAGGAAAGTTTCCTTTTGCTATAATTTGCAGTCATATTTGTGGCTTAGAAAATATCTAATTTTTTTACAATAGTATGTAACTTGTATGTAAACATAGCAATGGTTTTTAATATCTTTTTTTATGTGCTGAGGACTTGATTCCTTCCATTGCAGAAGAGGTCATATGGTAAACAGGCTGCACATATTATAAGGTTATATTACTGAGTGGTGGCCAGGATGCTTATTTCACCCTTGAGTCTTTCTGTGTTATTTTGGTCCTTCATCCCTATCATCAATTCTAGTCAGCAGGTTTTTGTCCTTCTCCCTAGGTAGTAACCTGACCAGAGAATAATCATTTTAAGCAAAGATCAAATTTAGTTGGAACTTAAATCACATCTGCCACTGTTGTCTAAACCATAATGGTATAGGTTAGCCAAAAAGAGTTGTAATTCAGCTTTTGAAGCTTGTCAGTTTATTTTTGGAATAAACTAGAAAGTTAATCACAAGTATATTTATGGGTACAATAATATATAGTTGCATGTCACAACATTTTAAATTGTATTTTGTTAAGAAAAGAACACTAGTTTTTGTTTGTTCATTTTTTTCTTAAGAATAATACTACTTATCTATTTGTACATAGAAAAATGTAAACGGGATGAAGGAAATTTTTTGAATAATAATCTTCCCACTGAGTGACAAATCTTAAAAGAATTGGGCTTGTGTCTATAAATTTTTAAATCAATAAAACCAATGAGCTCTTCTCATTTATGGAAACATGCAACTGCTGCACTGAATTCATACTTTATAAAAAATTCATATTCTAATGATATTAGAAATGAAGAGATCAGTTAGTTGCTTAAACCCTGATCATGTGTCAGGCACTATTCTAGATGCTGGGGGTTAGAGCAGAAAGGTAGATTTCTTGTCCTCACGGGGCTTGCCTTCAAGTGGCAGAAACAAAGTAAATATGCACACAACTATATGAGAGAGATGATATATTAAAAATGACTATGAAGAAAATTAAAGACATGCTAAGGAGTGACTGACAGCTGCTTATTCAGACAGCTGATTTGAGGAAGGGTAGTGGGTAAAGGCCTATCAAAGGGAATTATATTTGAATTAATACTTCAATGATGAGAAGACAGCAAAATGAAATAATCTGTGAGAATTACATTTCAATCAAAAAAAAAAAAGAACCAGGATAAAACTACCTAATTACTCTGAATTTACAATGACTCCAGTCAGAACTCTTAAGTAATGATTGTACCCTAATTGAAATGCAACATTGAAACCTTAAGTTGGAGACATTTACCTGATTGATTGATAAAGAAATATCATTAAATATCTAGCAAGTATTTTCTTTATGTTACAGGTATTAGATCCATAAGAGTCTATGGTTTTTAAGGGGAGAAAATAAAGTATATCCTCAGGAGCTATAGAAAGTGTGAAACCAACAGGCCCCAAAGCAGTATAAACACAGAACTGAGTTTAACAGTATTTACAAAGTCTAGGAAAGTTAAAAGGAAAGAAAAAGAAGGAGGAGAAGAAGGAAGAGGAAGGAGAAAAATAAAAGTTGAAAATTAGAGATAGGAAAAGGATAAATATGAAATGTATATTTTCAAGAATTAAGCAATTGTAACAATTTGAGAGATTCCTGGAGGATGAGAAGAGCTCAATCTAGAGACTATAAACTTTATATTTGCAGATCTGATTTAAGGTAGAGATTATCAAACAGTAAATAAAATATTATTTTTGGGGGTTTCAAAACTCTTCATTTTATGAGAAATCTGTAATGTTTTTCTGGGTTTTTGTTTTGAAAGAGAATAGGATAATTGGTGCACAGAAAAAATAAAAATAAGTGAGTGAAAGATTATATAAGTAGTAATGAAAACTAGAGAGAGGAACTGAAATAAACAAACTTTTAAAATTTGAGTGGTTAAAATGTTTGTTTTCAATTTTGAAACCAAAAGAGAAAAATATGATTAAAATATGGTCAATTACATGACGACATTTTCAAAAAGGAGGAAGTAACTTCATCCTTTAAGAAAGACCAAACTTTTCTAAACACCAAAGTTTAAAGGAATACTTTAATTCCTAATTTTTTTCAGTAATACTACAAGGGTCAATATACTCGACACTCATTCCTTTAATAAAAAAGGTGAAGTATTTCATCTGGATCTTCTTACAATATTCTATTTCATATGCTTATTCTTATGATACAGATAAAAGTCAAGGACATAATATAAAATGCAACATACTCAAATAATTTTCTGTAAAACTGAAATATTATACTGGAAATACTTGATTTTTTAATTGTCAGGCTTACTAAAGGAGAGTGAGAAGATTGTAAGGACTGCACATCTTTCAGAAATTTCCCCTAAATTCTACCTTCTTAGTGAGATTTTGATCAAAACTTGAGAGAAAACACCTTAGTCTCTTCGAAAAAAAAAAAAAGACTTCAATTGTTAATATTTTGAGTTGTGAGTTAAAGTTGGAAAGATATAGCTTGTAAACATTACATAAATTTCCAATAAAATAAACATTACTTGGTGAAAAGTTAGGAATCTTATCAAAATTCTCATTTAGAACGAAGTATCATCCATTTCTACTTGAGCTTAGTCCCGAGTTAAAGCCAGAATTTCCTTAAATCATCCTCAGTTGAATACAGTATATTAACAAATTGTCTAGTATCTCTAAAATTATCCACAGGAAAGCAATGATTAAATAATTTTATTCCAGTAAACATTTTTGTAGCTTCACCATGAGAAGTTGTAAAATCTCCGTGGAATGTTGGCTTTGAACACACACCATGCTAGTGGACCTATCTTGGTAAATTAATTGCAAAATATTCTTCCAATAACTAGTCAAATCTCCAATAATTGTGTATGAAATCAACAATAATTTTGGAATATAATATCAAATATAATAATAAGGATAAATACTGAAGACATTTTGGTATTAAATTAGTTTTTATTATGCATTATTTTGAAAATAACAAATTATTTTTAATAACAATTTCAAAAAAAATATGACCAATATACTTATAATACCAGAATTGAATCCATTCAGACCATCTAATAGTCATTAAATCTGCAAATTTACGCTAAAAGCTATAGTGGTCATACCATATTTCACTTGATATTGTTATCTGATCTATCAGGAGATTTTTATTGGTAAGGCTGTTGCAAGGATATTAGAATATGAGTTTCATATACGGCTACATGAACATCAATAAGTTAATATTTCACATATAACCAATTGTTTTTATTTTCAATATCTAATACTTCATATACTTCATAAAATTATAGTGATCATAGAAAGTATTAATAGTAGTCATTTGCTTTTTTTGTACAAAATATTGCACCTTGAAACCCCAACATAGTAAGAAGGAAGATAGCACAAATATTGATGGAATGAACAGTTGATGATAGATGGTAGGACTATGGATGAAAATTATGGCAAATGGTAGAAATATGATCCAAATATGAGCCAAACCTCATTGGAGTCAATCACAAGGTGGCTGGCCTCTTCAGAGTGATTGGCCTTTAATCTTTTAGAAACAAGTTAACAGAGAAGGACCATATTCCTTGGGATTTATTAAGATAAAATATTTAATAATTGTTATTGCCTGTGGCATTTATTGAATGCAAACCACGGATAAAGCATTTCACGTAAATTCTCATTTATCTTCATCAAACAGTTTCAACATAAGCATTACTATACTCTTGTTACAAGTGTATAAACCTATTTCCAAATGTTAATTTGTTGAAACTCTTTGAATCAATACTGCATCAGGGATTGGATGTTTGGAGGATTCATATAGGGAGGTTATAAAGGAAGCAAAGCAGGCCTATCAGTTAGCTATTGTTAGCTATTATTGTTATGTAATAAACCATCCAAATCTTCAGTGGCTTAAAACGACATTTTTCATAGTTCAAGTGGTTGGGCTTGGCTGATCTCTTTTGAAACACCACTCTTGTGTAGGTTAACTAGGGAATTTATCAAATGGAGACATTCCCCAAGAATGTAAAAATATATTTATTCTTTACCAAAAGAAGATGTACAGATGACAAATAAGCACATGGAAAGATGTTCAACATCATCAGACATTAAGGAAATGCAAATTAAAACCACAATGAGATCACTACATATGTATCAGAGTGGCTAAAATGAAAAATAGTGACAACACCAAATGCTGGCAAGGGTACAGAGACACTGGATACCTCCTACATCATTGGTGGAAATGTAAATGGTACAGCCACTCTTTCTTCTTTTTTTTATTTTTTTATTTTTTGAGACAGAGTCTCAGTCTCACTGTTGCCCAGGCTGAAGTGCAGTGGTGCAGTCATGGCCCCCTGCAGCCTTGAATTTGCCCAGGCTCAGATGATTCTCCTATCTTAGCCTCCCAAGTAGCTAGGACTAAAGGCTTGCGCCACATGCCGAGCTAATTTTTTTTTGTTTTTTTTTATAGTGAAGTTGTTTTGCCAGGCTGCTCCGGCTAGTCTTAAACAACTTGGGCTCAAGTGATCCGCCTGCCTCAGCCTCCCAAAGTGATGGGAGCCACCTCGCTCAGCCAGTAATCTTTTTTAAAACAACAACTCAACTCAACTAAAACTGCAACTACCATATGACTTGACAATTCTACTCCTGGGTGTTCATCACAGAGAAAGGAAAATTTATATTCATACAAAAACCTGTATATGAAGGTGTGTGACAGTTTTATTTGTAATAACCAAAAACTGGAAACAGCCCACATGGTCTTAAACAGATAAATGGTTGAACAAACTGTGGCACATTCATACATTAGAATTGTACTTGGAAAAAAAGCAAATAAACTATGAATATGCCAATATCTTATATGAATCTCTAGGGAAACATGCTGAGAGAAAATATAGAAATGGTTGTAAAAGAACAGCATGAGAGATCCTGGAAATGTAAATGGTACAGTCATTCTTTCTGAAAAAAGGATCAGTAATCATTACCACTAATCTTAGATAACTGTTTACGTACTTAATACACACATAACTGTTACATACAAAATTATAAAAGATCCCAGTGGTTTTGGAACTGTACAGTATCATAAGTGAAGAGATGCTGGTGGTTTTGGAACAGTACAGTATCTTGAATGTGGTGGTGTACATGAGAATAGACAAAGGTAATAAAATTGTATTGAACTTAGTACACATACGGGCATAGCTTCCAACCAACTGCAAATAAAACTGGGAAGGTATGAATACGATTAGTGGATTTTATCAATGTCAATAGCCTGGTTGTAATATAATATCACATATAGTTTTATAAAATGTTGCCTTTAGGGAAAACTGAGAAAAGTGTACACAGTGTATTATTTCTATAGTGACATGGGAAACTAAAATTTTCTCAATTTTTTAATTAAAAATGCATTTATTGATATTTAGAAAATAAAAATTTTAAAATGCAGAAATCAATAAACAAATCTAACAATAAGTAAAATAAAGTAAAACATTTAGAAAACAAAACATGATCTTGTAAGAATACAAGGACAAATACAAATTATTGGTAGAATTTTAAAGTAAAATTTAAATAAGATTTATTTCTAAAACACAACACAAAACAAAAAATATTTAAAACCTAAGTAAATTTTAAAAATTTTAGTGCGTTGGTTTTATTAGTTAATTATTTTAACTTGTTTATTATTTATTATTCTAAAATAAGTAAACTTTATTATTTCACTAACTTATTCTTACAAATAAATTTAATAATACCAATAATAAAATTTATACAGTCATGAGTCACTTAGCAATGAGGATACATTCTGAGAAATGCACCCTGTGGGCAATTTCCTTGTGCTAACATCACAAAGTGTAAACAATCCTAGATGGTATAGCCTACTGCACACCTAGGCTATGTGGTATAGACTATTGCTACTAGGCTACAAACCGGTACAACATGTTACTATACTGAACACTGTAGGCAATTGTAACACAATAGCAAATATTTGTGTATCTAAACATATAAAAGATAAAGTAAAAATATGATATAAAAGATTTAAAAGGATACGCCTTTGTATTTTAATTTTTTTATTTTTAAAAAATTTTTATTTTAGTTTCAGGGGTACATAAGCAGATATGTTCTATAGATAAATTGCATGTCACAGAGGTTTCATGTACATATTATGTCATTACCCAGGTAATAAGCATTGTACCCAATAGGTAGTGTTTTGATCCTCACTCTATTCCCACCCTGCACCCTCAAGTAGGCCCTGGTGTCTATTTTTCCCGCCTTTGTGTCCATGAGTATTCAATGTTTAGCTCTCACGTATAAGTGAGAACATGGGGTATTTGCTTTTTTGTTCTTGTATTAGTTTGCTTAAGATAATGGCCTCCAGCTCCAACCATGTTGCTGCAAAGGACATTATCTCATTCATTTTCTATGGCTTCATAGTATTCCCAGGTGTATATGTGCCATATTTTCTTTATCTAGTCTACCATTGATGAGCATTTAGGTTGATTCCATGTCTTTGCTATTTTGAATAGCGCTGCGATAAACTTATTAGTAATGTATCTTTATGGTAGAACAACTTATATTTCTTTGGGTATAATGGCCTTGCTTGGTCAAATGGTAGTCCTGTTTTAAGTTCTTTGAGAAATCACCAAACTGCTTTCCACAATGCCTGAACTAACTTACATTCCCATCAGCAGTGTATAAGTGTTCTCTTTTATTGACAGCTTTGCTAGGGTCTGTTATTTTTTGGCATTTTAATAATAGCCATTCTGACTGGTGCGAGATGGTATCTCGTGGTTTTGATTTGTATTTCTCTAATCATTAGTGATATTAAGCACTTTTTCATATGTTTGTTGGTCACATATATGTCTCCTTTTGAAAAGTGCCTGTTCATGTCCTTTGCCCATTCTAGGCATAGGCCCTGGTAAGTATTTCATGATGAAGATGCCAAACAAAATTGCAACAAAACTAAAAATAGACAAATGGGGCCTAATTAGACTACAGAGCTTCTGCCTAGCAAAAGAAACTATCAATAGGGTAAGCAGACAATCTGCAGAATGGGAAAAGAAATTTGCAAACTGTGCCTCTGATAAAAGTCTAATATACAGAATCTATAAGGAATTTAAATAAATGAACAAATATAGTACACCTTTATGGGGCATTTACCATGCATGGGGCTTGCAGGACTGAAAGTTGCCCTGGGTGAGTCAGTGAGCGAGTGGTGAGTGAATGTCAAGGCCTAAGACATTACTGTACATTTCTGTAAACTTTATAAACACTGTATATTTAAGCTACACTAAAATTATAAAAAAATTCTTTCTTCAATAGTAAAATAACTTTAGTAGCTTACTGTAACTATTTACCTTATAAACTTTTAAATTTTTATTAACTTTTTGTCTCTTTTGTAATAACACAGTTTAAAACACATGTTGTACAACTGTGGAAAAGTATTTTCTTTTAAAAATGTCTTTATTATATAAGGTGTTTGTTTGTTTTTAGAGATGAAGTCTCACTGTGTTGCCCAGTCTGGTCTCAAACTTCTGGCCTCAAGATACCACCCAACTTTGGCCTCTTAAAGTGTTGATTACATGCATAAGCCATCACAAAGGGCAAGTTTATTTTTTCTATTAAATTTTTTTTAATGTTTTGTTAAGGTACAAACACATACATTAATCTAGGCCCGCACTCGGTCAAAATCATCAATATCACTGTTTTCTACCCCAACATTTTGTCCCACTGAAAGGCCTTCATGGACAACAGGCATAGAGCTGTCAATCTCCTCCCTTCTTCTGGAGTGCTTCATGAAGTACCTGCTGTTTTACAGTTAATGTTTTTTTTGTTTTGTTTTTCAGATAAATGTAAGAAGTGCACTCTAAATTAATAAAAAGTATAGGAAATACATAAACCAATACATAGCCATTTGTCATTATGAATTATGTACTGTACATAATTGTATGTGCTATACTTTTATGCAACTGATAGCCCATTAGGTTTGTTTATACCAGCATCACCACAAACACATGATTAATGCATTGAGCTGCAATGTTATGATGGCTTCAGTGTCACTAGATGATAATCTATTTTATTTATTTGCTCAATGTTTGCCTAACTACTTTACATGTATTATCTTATTTAATGCTTACAACAATCTGATAAGTAATTTAAATTACATTCACTCCTATTTGAAGATGAGTTCAAATCAAGAGAGGTTATTTAACTTGCACAAAGTAATCTTATAGATGAGAAAAATGTTTATATGGAAAAGTTAAGTATAATTGGTTTATGTATAAACATATAGATGGATGCTACATTGTAAATTCTTAGCACTTTGTATGCATACTTAAGTTTGTGTATAAAGAAATAAAACCACAAGTACTGTCTTACAAAGTACTTATTTCCACTCAGAAATATTATATCCTTATTTCTCATGTTTTAAATGGTTTCGAGGAGATATTTTATGTATGCCTTAACCCACATAAATGTACCACCTACAGTAGTCCTCCCTTATCCAAAGTTTTGCCTTCTGTGTTTTTAGTTACTCTAAGTCAACTGTAATCTAAAAATCTTAAATGAAACATTTTAGTAATAAACAAATCATCAATTTGAGATTGCACGCTGTCTTGAATAACATGATGAAATCTACCTGCGATGTGAATCACTCTTTTATATGGTTTATCCCTGCTTTAGACACTTCTAGTCCATAGTCACTTAGTAGCATCTCGGTTATCAGATTGACTTTGGAGGTATCATAGTGTTTGTGTTCAGTTAACCCTTGTCTTACTTGATAATGGCTCCAAAGGGCAAGAGTACTGTGACTAATTTAAAAACTAAACTTTATCATAGGTATGTATGTGTAGGAAAAATATCGTGTTACAGGATACTTGGGGTGTCGTTTCACCAGCTGAAAACCTTTGTGGCTGGTGGCATCTTTGCCTGAGTTTTGCACTGGCCCACTGGGCTTATTCTGCCACTTAGCCTGGCAGGCTGAGCTCGGATTGCACTTCTGGCCTGGATCCCACGCCTGCCAAGGGCAAGCCAGGCAAGGAGCAGCAAGGGGTGTGTGAGCGAGCTTGGGGTTCATTCACTGCACACAGCCAGGCATGCCGGCTGCAGCAGGGCAGACAGCTCCAGACGCTGGCACAGGCACTGGCTCCCTGCAAGGCTGCAGCTAGACCATGTATACCACAAGCAGCTTCCATGGCTGACACCAGGGAATGTGGTGGTACCCGGAAGAGATCCCTAAAGAGAGTGTCACAGTAGATCCCTAAAGAGAGTGTCACAGCCCTGGCTCGAGGAGCTCCTAGGTCAGGGCTCCCCAAAGGCCTGCAGCTCTTCTCTCCTCTCTTCTCTCCATCTTGTTGCCTGAAATGTGGTGAGCAAGAGGCATGTTTCAGTACTGTTTGTGTTACAGCTCGTTCGGCCCTGCCATTCGGTGGGTCCCACGTACTTGTCCTGCTTCCAGGAAGAATGAGATACACAGACAACTGGAGGGTAAGCAAGACCAAGACAGGCTTTATCGAGTGCTAGAAGAGCTCACAGGGGACCTACAGTGGGTAGCTCTTCTCTGCAGCCAGGGTATTCCAATGAGTGTTCAGCTCTTAGCAGAGAGAGTAACTCCTCTCTGCTATGCAGGTCATCCTGATGATTGTTCAGCTCTCAGCAGAGAGGGTAGCTCCTCTCTGGAAGCAGGTCATCACCAGGAATGTTCAGCTCTCAGCAGTGAGGGTAGCTCCTCTCTGCAGTCAGGTTGTCCCGAGTGTCCAGCTCTCAGCAGAGAGGGTAGCACCTATGTGCAGGCAGGTTGTCCTGTCAACTATTCTGGTCTGGCTAAGTTCAGGGCTTTTCATGGGCCTCAGAGGGGAGGAAGTGTATGCTGATTGATTCAAGGGTAGCCATGGGTGGGCTCAGAAAAAGCACAAGTTTCCACTCCAGTCCACCAGAGTGGCAGCCCAGGCCTCAGGCTTCAGGCCCTCCCCAGCTTGAAGGTGGGGCTTCACCAGGAATCCAACCCCTCTGCCCAGAAGCCTGTCTGCCTCCTTCTGCTGTTCATGCCACCCAGGCTGTTCTTGCCAAGAGGCACCTGCAGGCCAGTGCTGAGCTGCCCTCAGTGCCCCCTTTAGTCTCCCTCCCATGGTCGTTGGTGCCCAAAGTCCTGAGGGTGCTGAGGAAGAAGGGGGTTGGTGTGTCAGCACTGCCCCAAGCGTGTGCACACCTAGACAGATTGTGACAATGCCTGGGCTCAGTCTCAACTTTGTTCCCTGACTACAGTGGGTGCTGACATTGGGGAGAAGCCAGAAAGTAGGGGCAGGCACTTGGAGCCTGTAGGTGCTGGGGAAGCCTCCCTGCGCCCCCAGAATGTGGAGATGCCTGGGTCTGCGGCTGCAACTTGGGCAGCTGCAGCTGCACCTGGGAGGGTGGAGCTCCTGCCTGATCCTGACTACCAAGAGCACAGGGTGCCCAGGTCACGGCCACAACTTGGGTGGCTCCAGTTGTGTCTGAGAAGCTCCCACTGCACCAACTTGAAAGGGGCAGCAAGCTCCCACTTGTCCCTGGCTCCCATCAGCTCAGTCAAGCATGTGGAGCATGCAGCCCTGGCCTTGCTTCCTCTCTGTTTTCCCTGCAGCAGCAGTGGGTGAGGTACAGATGGCACCTCACAAATTAATCTGATGCTCCCAAGGCCTGCCCTGTGAGTCCCGGGATGCAGCAGGGAATGAAGTTGAGGCCGCAGAGGAGGCTGTGGGCCTGGGAGCGGGTCCTGCCTGGCCATGCAAGAGTGGAGGTGGCACAGTTTACTGCCTCAGGGACGCAGGGCAGAGGGGACCCACTGCTGCTCCAGCAGCTGTTTCTGCCACCACTGCCCATGTCTCCCTGCTTCAGCCAGTGTGATGGCAGCAGCCACTCCAGATGGCCCGCTGCTGCCATCAATAATATATAGAGGGTTCAGTACTATTTGCAGTTTTAGGAATCCACTGTGGGTCTTGAAACACATACCTTGAGGATACGGGAAGATTGCTGTAAATTGAATTATTTATTGGTGGGTGATTATATTATTATTTTCCTTCTCTGTATCTCCTTACCTCTCTTTCTTCTGGACTCCCTCTTTTTTCCTCCCTCCCCTCCTTCCTCCCCCAACTTCTTTTTTCTTTCTTTCATTTGTACTGTGAAAGGCAGTTATTTCTTTCTCTGAAATTGTGAATGGCACTGCAGTTAGCCCTGACATCTGTCTTCTCCCTTTCTTTCTCTCCTATCTTGGCAATACTAGTTGTGGAAGAATAATGGATATGAATCATGTGAATAGCCCTGACCACTAATCAGTTACTTTTAGATGTCAGTTTGACTGAATTTAGAGATACTTAGAATGGCTGATGAGGCATTGTTCCTAGGTGTGTTCATGAGAGTGTTTTGGGAGATTGACAAGCAATTTCATGGACTGAGTGGGGAAAATCTGCCCCAATATGGGAGGGCATCAATCAGCTGGAGGCCCAGACAGAACAAAAAGGTGGAAGAATGGTAAATTCTCTCTCTCTATTTCTCTCTCTCCCTTACAGTGCTAGATACCTTCTTCTGCTGTTCTTGCACATCAGAACTCCAGATTCCTCAGTCTGGATTCTGCACCTTGCATCAGTGGCCTCTAAGGGCTCTCAAGCTTTCAATTTCAGACTGAGAGATCACCAGCTTTCTTGGTTCTGAGGCTTTCCAAGCTGGATTGAACAATACTATGGGCTTCTCTAGTTCTCTAACTTGCACATGTCCTATTGAGGGACTTCTTAGCCTCCAATATCATCTGAGCCAATTCGCTTAATAAAAACCCTCTGATATAGCTATATCATCTATGTGTGTATCTATAACTATCTATATATCCATTGGTTCTGTCTCTCTGAAAACTCTGACTAATGCAGCAGGAGAGGTAGTGGCCACCTTTCTCATTCCAGAATTTCCAATTTCTAAGACTTTCAATCAATGATGGCAGAGAAAAAAACACATACTACAATGTAATTTGCAACTACGCCTCATGGCTTATTATATAACATTGACATTAATCAAAACCAGCAGGAAAAGCACTAGGTGAGTTCTGTGAGCAAGAACTCTCAAACAAACACATTGCAAATGGTTTCCTTATTCTTGTAGCATATTTTTCACCCTTGGTACAGTCCTTTGGCTGTGGTACAATAATTTCAAAATTTTTCTGCCAACAATTCCCATGAGGTGTAGATACTGGGACTATATTTGGCCTCACTAATAATTATTCTTCACTTCATTTGCATGTGTTTTTATTATAACTTTATTCCATAAATTAAATTTCTGTATTTCAAATTTGATTGATAAGTTTAATTCTATCTTGTTAGCTTTCGACCATCTTCTTTTCTTCCCTTAATGATGCACTTAAACAATGTGCATCTTTCCATACATCTGCTTCTTGTCTCTTTCTGTTCTCTCCTGCTGTCACTCACTTGCCTTGTTTTGCACTTTTTCTTTCCTCTCCATAAGATCTGTATCTTTTTTATATCTGGTTGACATTAATAGATTCCTGTAAATCTGCAGTTTAACTGTGTTCATTTATACCACTAATATTAACGTCTTTCTTTTCTTCTATTCAGTGAATTTGCTTTTGCTCCTTAAATTCCACTCTCAACAATTGCCTGGGAATAAAATCCTTTACATGAATAACTCTGTGAAAGAATATGAAACATATGGAGACCTTTGATGCACATTGCCAATTACATTAAAAAAAGGACAGCATAGTGGTCAATAGCACTGGCTCCAGACCATGGTAACTGTGTTTGAATCCTGATTCCTGTATTTGTTTGCAATGTGACTTAAGGAAAGTTACTGAACTTCTCTAACCGTCAATTTTCTCATCTTTAACGTGTGAGTAATAATAGAAGCTACCACATACGGTTGCTGTTAAGATTATATGAATTGATACATGTAACTAGAACAATGCCCAGCATAAATTTGAGTGGTTATTATTATAATTTCTGTTTCTAAGACAATATCTGTTTATTATTTCAAGAAGAGTTAATTATTTCATGTACCTTCTTACAATGCTTATCTCTTAACAAAGTATTTCTAAATTTACAAAAAAACCTTCTTTTTTAAAATTTATTTTTCAAAGAAAAGTGTTAACAGCAGCCCTGTAATCTCTTCTGTCCTCGAGGCAGATAAACACCAGGGAATAAATAGCCTAGAGGAGATCTACTTATAAACAAGCTGATGACTTTAACTCATCTCATAAACATGTTAATGGTTCTTATTAGGGGAAAGATACTAGAGTCCTCATGTATAAAATATTTTGAGAAAGATATACCTAGTCATTCTAGACTCCTCACTGTAAATAATTCTGAACTTCGTGGATTCATGCAACGTGGCTAATTAGAGAACAGAAGCATCTTTGTAGAAACCAGCTTCTATTTATGTAATCAACAGGGTATAAATCATAACTGTTCAGAAAGGAAAATGACTTCTTTTTCTAACCAGTATTTATCCTTATCTTGTTCATAATCCTCACTGCTAATCTAGAACCAAAATATTTTCCCAATGTGAGTAAATAGAGGTGACTTTAAAAGCTGCATTTAAAGATTTCAGAATACAAGAGAAATCCCTCATTTATACATGATGTTTGTTTATCTCTTTTGAATCACTAGATATGTTATATGTTGATATATGGTGTGTGTGTGTGTGTTTGTGTGTGCATATGTATGTTTATATGTTTTTTATGTCAATAATATAAATATAAAATTATATATCTATGTAATAAATATATAAAAATTATATTTTACTATGATTTTATATATAATCATATATGATTATACACATATATATCTATAGAATCATATATAAATATATGTAAATTGCCTAATTCTGATATGGCAATTCAACCTTTTGTGATAAAAGAAATGTGTATTTGTTTTATTGTGTTTTATTTCTTTGTTATTTGTAAACCATCTATCATAAGCTGTCAATGAACACCTTAGGCAGTAAATATCAGGAATTTGATTAAGTGTGTGATCTAAGGTAGGCTTCACCTATAAAGCATTTGTTATTTCTACTTACCATAAAATATGGTAAGTTTAGTATGTCTTTATGACTAACATTCTCTCAAATCAAGTGTTCTAATCATAATGCATGTAACAGTCATAGATTGTTACTGATTTCTGAGTTATCTTCATGTGGCCATAATTTTGAACAGTTCTTTCTTGTTTTTGTTTCTCTATTTTTCATGATATATCAATATAAATTTAGCCACATTTTTGTAGCTTTGTCTCGTTTGAAAGCAACTCATTGTCTTAGTCTTATATAAGTGATTTTTTTTTTCCTTTGGCATCATGACATCTTTCTGTCCCTGCTCTCTGAATATAGATACAAAAAACTGATACAGGTCAGACTGAGAGGAGCTTCTAAGGATGATGCAGGATTCTGGGAAAATCCATCCGCGTCTGGTGAGGAAACAACGAGTTAATGCCAAATATGACACCCTTAAAAGCATTACATAAATAGAGGCAACCAAAAAGTAATCAACATATGTCAAAAGTAGAGACAACTAATGCACTATGTAGACAAATATAGTGATGTCTTTTATGGATCCTTTTTGAAAAGGAGAAAATGCAGCAGAATCTCTCTTCTCCAAGTCTTAGGTACCCTTCCCAAAAGACTTCACAGTTGTTTAATTTTTTTCAAAAACTGTGGGAAATAAGTAAGGAAAATACTAAGCCAAAGTTAAATAAGTTACTGTATTGTAGAATAGTTCAATCTTTAAAGTGCTAATATATTGTTGGAGTCTTCAGGATGAGAACCATAAAATGTGGCTTTTCCCAAATAAAATACTTCTCTTTCATATGATATCCAATAATATCTCATAGAATTTTATTGTTTCATGGAACACATTTTGAAGAAGTTAACTTTAAAATATCTGGGAAAACTGGCTAGCCATATGTAGAAAGCTGAAACTGGATCCCTTCCTTACACCTTATACAAAAATCAATTCAAGATGGATTAAAGACTTAAACGTTAGACCTAAAACCATAAAAACCCTAGAAGAAAACCTAGGCATGACCATTCAGGACATAGGCATGGGCAAGGACTTCACGTCTAAAACACCAAAAGCAATGGCAACAAAAGCCAAAATTGACAAATGGGATCTGACTAAACTAAAGAGCTTCTGCACAGCAAAAGAAACTACCATCAGAGTGAACAGGCAACCTACAGAATGGGAGAAATCTTTTGCAACCTACTCATCTGACAAAGGGCTAATATCCAGAATCTATGATGAACTCAAACAAATTTACAAGAAAAAAACAAACAACCCCATCAAAAAGTGGGTGAAGGACTTGAACAGACACTTCGCAAAAGAAGACATTTATGCAGCCAAAAAACACATGAAAAAATGCTCCATGATCACTGGCCATCAGAGAAATGCAAATCAAAACCACTATGAGATATCATCTCACACCAGTTAGAATGGCAATCATTAAAAAGTCAGGAAACAACAGGTGCTGGAGAGGATGTGGAGAAATAGGAACACTTTTACACTGTTGGTGGGACTGTAAACTAGTTCAACCATTGTGAAAGTCAGTGTGGCGATTCCTCAGGGATCTAGAACTGGAAATACCATTTGACCCAGCCATCCCATTACTGGGTATATACCCAAAGGACTATAAATCATGCTGCTATAAAGACACATGCACACGTATGTTTATTGCGGCATTATTCACAATAGCAAAGACTTGGAACCAACCCAAATGTCCAACAATGATAGACTGGATTAAGAAAATGTGGCACATATACACCATGGAATACTATGCAGCCATAAAAAATGATGAGTTCATGTCCTTTGTAGGGACATGGATGAAATGGGAAAACATCATTCTCAGTAAACTATCGCAAGAACAAAAAACCAAACACCACATATTCTCACTCATAGGTGGGAATTGAACAATGAGAACACGTGGACACAGGAAGGGGAATATCACACTGGGGACTGTTGTGGGGTGGGGGGAGGGGGGAGGGATAGCATTGGGAGATATACCTAATGCTAGATGACGAGTTAGTGGGTGCAGTGCACCAGCATGGCACATGTATGCATATGTAACTAACCTGCACAATGTGCACATGTACCCTAAAACTTAAAGTATAATAAAAAATAAAAAAACAAGAAAAAAAATAAAAAATAAAATATCAATTATCTTTCTTCTGACTTTCTCTCCTGGTCATCAAGTTGCTATCAGGAACTCCCAGAGTCTAGAGAGAGTTTCCATTCAGCTATTTGTCATTTAGTTGACTGAATAAAGAAATTGAGTTTTTTTGCCATATATAAAGGCTTGCATGAATATCAGAGAGCAGTCTAAAACGTATCAAGAGATGAAAAAAGTGTTCTCTTTCATAATTTCTGATTCAGCACCCACTATACACAGAAGATCACGGTTTTTGTCTTTGAATGACAAAAAAGTGATCTCTTTCCTCTCTAGGCTTCTGATGTACTGTAACTTTCACAATATAAATCGCTCATTTTATGTATTAATAACATTTACCTAATTTTTCTCTCACCTTTAAATGACCATAGAATTTATACTGGTGAAAGTTATTTCAGTGATTTTTGAGAGCCACAATTTTATCCTGTCATTCCAAAACATGATTTTAACTGTACCTCCCATTTTTCATCTTTATAATCTAAAAGAATATTTGTTGCATAGTAGGTGGGGCCTCATTCATATCAATAGTTACACATTGCTTTACAAAGTTGCCTGCTCCTATATTGCCATATTTTCTTTATCAATATTCTATTTGGAAATGTGATTAATTTGTCTCACCATGTTTATGGAGTTAATAAAACTGCTTAAAATCTATCACTTATGTTAACTTCTTAGTTAAGTCCTCCAGCACCTGTTACTAACCACTTTCTCCCAAAATATGTTACATTTTACCAAATTTGTTGTTTTTTGTGTCTTCCGTATTTTGTGCTATTTTAAACTAATATATATTCTTGAACCAAAACAACGATGAAAAATATTGATCAAGTGTTCTTTAGATTTTTTCTTTCAACTATTTAAAGACTTATATAAATCTGTATTTTCTCTAGAATTCTTTAAATCTTGTATATCCCAAGTAAAGGACATATAGTCACTTCTATCCTTAATTGACACTTCTTCCTGAGAAATGGTTGAGTCACAAATACATATGCTTTTCAGGAAGTACAGTTTTATTTCAACCAAGTCCTTGTGAGATATTTCTAGTCCTTCTGAGAATGCAAGTCTTTATGAAACAGAACATATGTTCCATTTTACAGCCTGTCCCACTTTCTTGGTAGTTGTATTATTTTCTGTAGATTTATTTTCTTCCAAGCCACCTGATACATTTTCCAAATAGTTGCTCACATATATAGAATGTTTCAATAGCTAGGTAATAAAAATTATTATAAATATACATGTGTATTAAGAAATTATATTAAAAAGACTTTTGTAAAAACATGGTGTTCTCTGAAAGTGGGCAAAAGCTCATTTTCAGATTTTAGTTGTTATCTAAACATATTTGAAACCAGTATCATTCTCACTTGAAGCGAAAGTGTGAAATGGTAAAATGCTAAAACTAAAAAGAGTTCTTTTTAGTTCTCAAGAGCAGTAGATGAGCATAAGTATCTGAAGAACAAGTCAAACGAATGAGCTTATGAATGATAATAATCTAAATTCAGGAATCAAATTTACTTATCTTTGTTTTACCCTCATAACTTCCTTCAGTGTCCTGTCCATAAGAGGTGAGTAATAAATGCTATTGAGTAACTGATTAAATAAATGAAAGGGTGAATATATCAAAACATATGACTTATCTCTCTGTACATATACATATACACACATATGTATGTATATGTAAATATATATGCATGTAAAACAAACTCATGGCTGCTAACATATATACATATGCAAGTGTGTATGTATAGCAGTCTCCCCTTATCTGTGACACTGCTCTCTGTAGTTTCAGTCACCTGCAGTCAGTCAGCCATGGTGCAAAAATAGGTTAGTACACTACAATAAGATATTTTGACACAGAAATAAAGAAATCACATTTAAATAACTTTTGTAACAGTATACCATATTTTCTAAATTTTATTATTAGTTGTTAATCTTTTATTGTGCTTAATTCATAAATTAAAATTTATCATAGTTTTGGGAAAACATATATATAAGATTTGGTAGTATTCATAGTATCAGGAATCCACAGGGGGTTTTGGAACATCTCAATCATGAATCAGGGGGAGCTATTCTATAGTGAGTGTGAGAGAGAATCTCAAATCACATTAAGGATTATATCATCATAAAAAATAAATATGAGAAACATACTGAAAAAAATACTGAAAATCTACCACATGCATGACATATATATAGGCTTATTGCTTACCAAGATGTATAGGATGAATATCTTGCCATTAATGGATTCCCTGTCTAGTTTTATAGACTCCAGGAGAACATACACACACACACACACACACACACACACACACACACTCTCTCTCTCTCTCTCTCCTATTTTGCTGAGTGAAAATATCTTCTCAAAAGAAGATATTGATGTAAAGCTTAATAAGTCATTCTATCCTAAGGCTAAATGAAAATAAATGAATAATTTGACAACTTCAAAAATGCAAAGTCGATAAAAGATTCCAATCTCAACCAATGTTGAAATGAAAGCTATTGGAGACCTTGTAATGCTTAGAAATATATGTGCAGCCAAGCACTATCCCGCCTCTCAAGACATGAGCAAAATTCTTCTCTTTGTAGAATATAAATCCAGACCATGTTCCCATTGGCAGCGTGGATCTAAAGCAATGCTGGAGATTCATTAAGTTCCCAAAGTGCATCACTCCATCCTCAAAAATCCTGTGATGGGAACTTATGAGGTTAGATTCTCTTCAAGTTCACCTTAGTGGTTTTGATACTTTTGTCAGCATTACAGCTAGAAATTGCATTGAAATATCTTATGATTGATTTTTTTGTCAGATAATAATGTTATTTTCATGAATTTTACTGAATCTAGATAATATTTGTTGCCTCTCTATGGTGTTTGCAATAGAAGTGCTGAAGGCACTGTGACACTTTGGTTAAAGGGATAATAGAAAAAGGTTACATGATGACCAGTGCCTGTGACAGTTCTTGAAATTTTAACACAAGTAACTGTCTGATAGCAAGGCTGATATCTGACAGCTGCTATGATGAGGAAGGCCAGACTCTTGAAAGTATGTATAGCTTCTCTCCATTGCCCTTCAGGTATAATAGCACTACACACTCCTGCATGACAATTCTGAATGGACAGCTTATATGTAATTGATATATTCAGGGTGGTGGATTTTAAGTTTTGATAGCTTCCATAAAGCAGTAGCTGTATTTTATTCAAAGTATCTTCTAAAATATGATTATTGTATCTCTTAACAACTAAAAATGTGAAAACATTTACATACATGTATGTTTACATATTTAGATAAGTATAACTTAACTATAAATAATAGAAGTGGAGTTTCTGTTTAAAGAAGTATATTTAACATTTTTATATGTCATAATATGTTTCTCTACCAGATAGTTGATAAGGACTTTCAATTCACAAGAATGTTAAAAAGAGGATTGGATCAAACTTTTGAAGAGTTTCTCAAGCTACTTGGTGAAAAAAATGCTATCTATACTTTAAATGTTTATTTATCTAAAGATGAGTGTGATAATCTTTTTCATATTTTACTGGATATTTGTAATTATTTTTCTATTAACAACCTGCTAATGATATTTGGATAGTTTTCTGTTGGATTATTATTTATTTTTATTTATTTATTTATTTTGAGATGAAGTTTTGCTCTCCTTGCCCAGGCGGAGTGCAATGGTGCGATCTTGGCTCACTGCATCCTTCACCTCATGAGTTCAAATGATTCTCTTGCCTCTGCCTCCCAAGTAGTTGGGATTACATGTGCTCACCACCACGCCCAGCTAATTTTTGTATTTTCAGTAGAGACAGGATTTCACCATGTGGGCCAGGCTGGTCTCAAACTCCTGAACCTCAAGTGATCCACCCACCTCAGCCTCCCAAAATGTTAAGATTATAGGCATGAGCCACCGTGCCCAGCCTTAAGTTTTTTATAATAGGTAGAAAACTAGAAACTGCTCAGTCTACCTCTCCATAACTACTTGCTGAAGAGACAAAAAATAAAAACAACCACACGCAGAGGAGCACACACAGAGACAACCCTACCAACTTTTCTTGGGTCGGAGAACCCAAGAAAAAGACATGGTTTTGAGATTAAAATCCCAGAAGTTTAATCCTTAAAGGAAATAAAGAAACAATGATTGTAAAAGTAATAAGATATGCTGGTAATTATATTTTTTGTTTGTGTATCCCATTAATGAAGAGTTTCAAAGGATTAGACAAGGAAAAGTATAGATGGTCCTTTCACTTCATCAGAACTGCATAGGAAATATGATTATTAGATTCCAGGAGTCTTAATGGATGCTATGTCTGTTCTCCAATTATGAGTATTAAAAATAGAATATTTCACACATTTTCTATAAGAAAAGCCAAGGGAAACTCATGTGATCTCTCTGTTGGCAAATAATAAATCATGATATTATAAGCATCTTCTTATTCAGGAAAAAACAGATACATAATAAAACATCCAAACTATACACACAAAACTATAGAACAGAGTTTTGGGCATTCTTGTAAAGCAATCAAATTTACACCCTCAATATATTCCCAAAGCGGTGTGGAAGAGAGTGAGACTAGCATACATATGGGAAAACCTCCTAGAACAATATTCTAGAAGCCCAAGCAAAAAAGAAAAAGAAAGGTGAAAATTTGAGGTTGTTAAAGGTAGACTGAAAAATATGGGCATATTAAATGTATTTTAAGATGGAATTAGCAATACTTGGTATTTGAAAGGATCTTAGTGGTAAAGAAAAGGGAAGCATCATAGATGATGCTGATGATATTCCAGGATGAACTAGTAACTAGGTGGACTGGAATGAGATAGGGAACCATGAAAAAGAAGGAAGATTTCTGTGTTGGCCATGTTCTGAGGTAGGAGAGAGATTATAAAATCAGTTTTCGACAAGATTTCAAGTTTTGTGTGAGAGATCTGGGTATATCACTTAACATCAAAAGAGTGTTCTGAATTGTTTATATACATTACTAAATATTAGTCATATTTCACTGATAGTATGGGTCTGAATATGATCACTGAAAAAAACAGTGTAGTGTGAGAAGGGCCAGTGATTAAGCCCTTTAGAGAAACAATAACACTGAAGCAGTAAGTAGAAAGAAGGAGCCAAGAAAGAGACTGTCTTAGTTTGTTCTTGTTGCAGTAATAAAATGCCATAAGGGGGGAGCTTGTAAACAACAGAAATTTATTCCTCACAGTTCTGAAGGCTGGAAAGTCCAAGATCAAGGTGCCAGTAGATTCAATATCTGGTAAGGGCCAACTTTCTAGTTTATTGATTACGATCTTCTTGCTGTGTCTTCAAATGGTGAAATGGATGAGGGAGTTCTCTGAGGACTCTTTTATACGGGCACTAATGCCATTCATGAGGGATCTGTTCTCATGACCTTATCACCTCCAACGACTCCACTTCCTAATGCCATCAAATTAGGGGTTAAGATTTCAGCAATTAAGTTTTTGGAGAATGTGAACATTCAATCTGTAGCAGGACCGACCTAGAAGAAGTTGAGAAGTTATTTGAAGAAACGAGAGAAAAAATATGAAGTTCTAGTGTTACACAAGCCAGGAAAAGATAACTTTCAAGGAAAGACAACATTGTCAACCTAAAATAAAATAAAATAATTCTGCAAATTTGATTAGAATAACTGAAAATATGTATTTTTATTGAGTACTATATAATCATTTTTAAGTTTAGCAGGAACATCTTGAAATTCTTGTTATTAGTACATGCATCAAACCAGTGAAATAATGCCTAAATACTTTAAATCATTAAGAAAATAATGTGTATCACAACTAACTTATTTTGCAGTTAGGACAATTTAAAATATTTTAGATATGCCAGAAATAGTAAAACAGCATCTATGCAACATTTTTGAAAATGACTATAATACTGGTGCTAAAATCAACAGATAGATTAATGGAACAATATATACAGAGACCTGAAATTATCTCTAGGATCTTTAAGATCTCAATACCTAATAAAGGAAGCATCACTAATGAATAAAAAGTCATGCATTCCTTCAAAAATGTAGACATAAATTTTGACTATCTAAAAAAATTTAACTCAATATATTATAAGATCATTTCAGGAGAATTACATATTTATTCATAAAATTACTATAATTAAATTCATTGGAAAAATTTAAGTAATTGCTTACCAAATTTAAAAAAATCACAACTGGACACTGAAAAATATTGCCAACTGATTTCATGCATTTGCTATTTTTTCCAAAATTTTTTAAGAAAAATTCAAGAAAATGTAAGTATATATAATTAAGAGAGAAATGAAATATTAACTAAGAAATTGTAACAATATATTATAAAGTAACATTTCATGACCAAGTACATTTTATCTCAGAAATACAAAGATCATTCAACATACAACATAATTCCATATAATTTTTTGTTAATACATCAAAGACCAAAAACATACTATTACCTCAATAGATATAAAAAAATCTTTTAATAAAGTTATTCAACTAAGTAAAAACATACTTGTAAACTAAGTAATGAAAAGATTTGAGTAAACTCCAAATTAAAAATCGTAAGGCAGAAAACTGATTATTATAATAATTGTGAAATTAAGAATCTAATATTTAATAAAGATCATAAAATACAAAGAAATGAAAAGAAGACAAGTTTTAAAAGATATTTACAATGTTTATAATAAGCAAGGAAGTTAAAGAGACTCCTGAAAATTGGCACAACAACAAAGGGAAGCTGTGGGAGAAGACTCTCAATGGAAAAATAAACAAAGATATAAACAGATTCACAGATAGGGACAACCAAAAGGTAAATAATAATAGAAAGAAATAGTCAAACTCATTAGAAATTAGAGAAATGAGAAAAAACAAAAACAGAACATAACTTTGCTTCTAAAAATTAACAAAAATTACAAATCTGATAAGTGTAGGCAGATATTTGGTATTCAGGAATTTTTGTCTACTAAAGTTGGAAGTGTAGATTAGTATGTTCATTATGGAGAACAATCCAGCAACATTTAGCCAAATTAGAAACAAATGTATTATTTGTTTCAGATTTTTTGCTACTAGTTATGGAGGCCTAGGAAATTCTCACATATATCCATAAAGATATGCACACAATGAAGTTCACCTCATTGTTTGAGGCTGTGAGGTATTGGAGGCAATCTGCGCCACCTTCTCTGGGAAAATGGATAAGTAAAATATGTTGAATGTATATTAAGGAATATTACGCAGAAATTAGAATCAATTATGTTAGAAACTACATTTAGAATGCAGTGTGAACACAAGGAATTAATAAATTCAGGTTTATAATGTGATTTCCCTAAAGTTACAAAAAATACATATACTATATATAGTTTTATGTACATATATATCACACAATATATAACATAAATACGTATATACATGACACATATCAGAATGGCTTCCTTTGTAGAATTGAGAAGTTAGAGTGAAAGATTAGAAATATATTGGAATAAAGTCATATTACATACACCAATGTTGCCATATTGTAAAGATTCAGATTTATTAACTTAATTCTCCCTACCTAAAACTTTCTCTCTCTTTATCTAACTGATTTAGTTTACAGGAGATTATAAGAAAAGTTCTAAAGAATATCATTGATATATGTGACTTCATAAAAATGTATATACAGTCAAATAGCAGATAGACATATGACAAACTGAAAACACACTTTGTAGTAAATATGACAGGCATAAATTTAAATGCATTGACATGTAAGTTTTACACATCAATAAATACAAACATAGTTTCTTTAAATTATATGTAATAGCCTTTTCACATAAAATAAATACAAAGTCCAATAAACATATAAACAATATTCAATCTAATTCAAAGTCATGCAAATTTTTTAAACTATGTGGTATTTTTTAACCAAGGAATAAGAAAATATAACGTTTTCATAGTATGGAATGCTCCTTAAATGATGGTTGAAAAAAAGAAATTAATAAGTCTATATGAAAATTTTTTGCATGGCTTATGTCAAGCACAAGTGCCCAAAATGATGAGCAAAAATGAAGGCTCTTTTTCTGGCAATAGTGTGACGATAAAATTTTATCACATGAAAAACAAGAAAAAAAGAAAGCAAAAGTTCTCATTTCACATATGTCAAAATGCTAAGAGCCATCTATGACTAAGCCACAGCCAACATCATACTGAATGGGCAAATGTTGATAGCATTCCCCCTAGGAATTAGAATAAGACAAGGATGCCCACTCTCACCATTCCTATTTAACATAGTACTGTAATTCCTAACCAGAGAAGTCAGGCAAGTGAAAGAAATAAAAAGCATCAAAATGGGAAAAGAATAAGTCAAACTATCTCTTCTTGCTGACAATATGATTCTATGTCTAGAAAACCCTAAAGACTCTGCCAGGACCTCCTGGCAATAATAAATGACTTCATTAAAGTTTCGGGATAAAAAATTAATATACAAAAATCAGTACATTTCTGTGAACCAGAAATGTTTAGGCTAAGAGCAAAATCAAGAACAAAATCCTATTTACAATAGCCACAAACACACACACATATGCAAACACACACACAAAAAAAAACACCTGAGAATAAATCTAACCAAGAAGGTGAAAGATCTCTACAAAGAGTACTACAAAACACTGTTGAAGAAATCATAGATGACACAAATACATGGAAAAATATTTTGTGCTCTTGGGTTAGAAGAATTAATATTTAAAATGGTTATATTGCACACCATAATGTAGAGATTCAATGCTATTCCTATCAAAATACCAATGTCAAACTACCAGCATCATTTCAACAGATTTAGAAGAGAACTATTTTGTAATTTAGATGGAACCAAAGAAGAGCCCAAATAGCCAAAGCCATCTTAAACAAAACAAACAAACAAACAAAAAAATGGGAGGCATCAGGTTACCTGACTTCAAACTATATTATAAGGTTACAATAACCAAAACAGCATGGAATTGGTACAAAAAGAGACACAGAAACCAATGGGACGGGATAGAGAACTCAGAAATGAAGCCTCATAACTACAACCAACTGATCTTTGAGAAAGCTCACAAAAACAAGCAATGCGGAAAGGACTCTGTATTTAATAAATAGTGCTGGGATTACTGGCTAACCATATACAGAAGAATGAAACTGAACTCTGACCTTTTACCATATGCAAAAATTAGCTCAAGATGAATTAAAGATTTAAATATAAATCCTCAAACCATACGAATTCTAGAATAAAACCCAGAAACACCATTCTGGACATTGGCCATGGGGAATAATTTATGACTAAGTTCTCAAAAACGATTGCAACAAAAAAGAAATTAACAAGTGGGATTTAAGCAAACTAAAGAGCTTCTACACATCCAGAAAAACCTAACAACAGAGTAACAGAAAACCTACAGAATGGGAGAAAATATTCACAAACTATTCATTTGAAAAAAGTCCAATATCCAGAATCTATAAGGAACTTAAACAACTCAACAAGCAAAAAACAAATAAGCACATTAAAAAGTGGGCAAGATACACTAACAGACACTTCTCAAAAGAAGACTTACAAGCAACCAACAAACGTGAAAACGCTCAACATCACTAATCATCAGAGAAATGCAAGTCAAAACCACAATGCAATACCATCTCACGCCAGTCAGAATGGTGATTATTTAAAACAAAATAAAATAAACAGATGCTGGCAATGGTGTGGAGAAAAGAGGAAGCTTGTACACGGTTGGTGGGAATGTAAATTAGTTCAGCCACTGTGGAAAACAGTTTGAAGATTTCTCAAATAACTTAAAATAAAACTACCATTGAACCCAATAATCCTATTACCGGATATATATCCAAAAGAAAATGAATTATTCTACCAAAAAGACACATGCACTTGTATGTTCATCACAGCACAATTCACAAAAACAAAGGCATGGAATCAACCTAGGTGTTCATCAATGGTGGATTGGATAAAGATAACGTGGTACATATACACCATGAAATATTACACAACCAAAAAAATGAAATCATGTTCTTTGTGGTAATATGGCTGCAGCTGGAAGCCATTCTCTTCAGTGAATTAATATAGGTATAGAAAACCAAATACTGCACATCTCACTTATAAGTAGGAACTAAATATTGCATTCTCGTAGACATAACAATAGCAACAATAGAGAGTGGAGACCACTAGAGGGGGAAAAGAGGAGGTCGGTAAGAGTTAAAAATAACTATTGGGTACTATACTCAGTACTTGGGTGAAAGAATCAATCATTCCACGAACCTCAGCATGACACAATATACCCATGAAACAAACCTGCAATGTACCTCCTGAATCTAAAATTAAAAAGTTGAAATTTAAAATAAAATAGGTCCTCATTTCTCTGCAACTAAACAATGGAGGTTGTTAAATAAACATTTTTAAAGTAAGGAGTCTGAAATTTTATAAAATAATCAATTTTGAATTATTCCCCACTTTTGTCTAGATACAAAAAAGATCAGCATTTAAACAAAAACAAAATACAACATTTGCTTTATTTTCCTGGTTATTTGTTTGTTCATTCATACCAAATATTAAAAATTATTTTATTTGAGTGGTATTGATGTGTGATTTTTATTTGTGCCTTTGACATTTCTTGATTATGTAAATTTTCAACTATGCACACAAATTACATTTATATTTACAAGTATATTTAGGAGAATATTTTGAGAAAATTCAATCCACAAAAGCCCGTTACATGAAGAATGCAGTTAACTTTAACCCTTGTAGTTTTCTTGTGTTCAAATTTGAAACATTTGATTTTTATTGGTAGTGTTTGTTGGGTGGGCTAGGGAGAATCTCCAGAACCGAAGAATCTTGTGAAATAAAGAGAAGTAATAAGAGCTATGTCTGTAGTTATAATTCATCTGAGAAGTAACACCATTTGAAATGAACAAAAAAAAACTTGAAAAAATTTTATTTAATATATGTAGGATAATATGGAACATGGAAAATTCTATTCAAAATTATTTAAGATAATTTTACTTTCCCTAGACATTTGTGAAGTCCTTCTGACACCTTTGGAGATAGTTAGGTACAAAGTAAATCTTTGAGCAAATCATGCATTTTAAGAATATTCAGAAAAGTAAAGTGTATTGCTGTGGCATGTTAAGTAAACCAACCATGTGATCAGAGGGTTGGAACTTTCAGCCTCACCCCTCAACCTCCAGGGAGGTGAGAGGGGCTGCAGGTTAAGCTGATCACCAATGGTTAATGACATAATCAATCATGCCAATCTAATGAATCCTCCATAAAAAACAAAAGGAGAGCTTCTGGATAGCTGAACTCACGGAGGTCCCTGGAGGGTAGCAGCACTTGAGAGGGCATGAAAGCTCCACAACCTTTCCCCCTACCTCACCCTGTGCATCTCTTCCACCTGGCTATTATCTGCATCCTTTATAATAAACTGATAAACTTAAGAAAACTGTCCATTTATTTTTTTAATTCAGAATTTTAAAATATTATTAAACAGTACTATAATACTTTGGGGAATTAAAAACAAGAGAAGAATGAAAATTTTGCTAATAAGGGACAAGAGTATTGAGTGACAGGCAATTTCAAAACCAAATGATTCTATCTTTTCACATAGCTGTCATAGCTTCACCACCAAGAAAATTGTCACATTTTTAGAGAAGCCCCTAATTTCAAAAGAATTTCTGCCAACTTCTTTCACTGTGTTTTATTTCACCTGACAAAAGTGTTTACCTCATGTGATTGGAACAGTTTCATAGCAGTAATTAAGAAAATGTAATGAACAGAGGTTGGTAGCAAAACACTTTATTATTGAGTTTTGCTTATGTCTTTTCACCGTGTGGTTTATAAATTCAAAATATTATTGGCATTTATAAATAAAATAGACTCTCACATAAAAATAATAATATCTAGTAAGTACTAGCTCATAAATAAAATTTCTTATATTTTTCAATGAAATGTATTCCTTAATTGCGAAAATCACCAACCTGAATTTAGCACACTAAATATCTTCAGGTGCAATTTTTATTTGAGTCACCATTCTTCTTTCTTCAACTACATGTTTCTGTTACTTGTTGTTTCACCTTCCTTCCTATAAATATATATCACAGCCTATATTTCCATGGCAACACTGCTCTGTTCTGCCAGTTATCATGAAATAAAAAAATGGGAATGTGTTCCCTATGGTAAACAGTTAGCTCAACAGAAACTATCAACCATGGGTGAGAAATTTACTGGTATATTATCTATGCCATGTGATCATGGAAAACCTGAGTTTATGAAAAAAACAGAAATTTTGTATATTTACCTGAGAACTTTATCATATCAAATTGCATTTTGGAAGATCAAGCAGTCAAAAATATGCTACTTACCTGTATTAAATCAGAATATCCCACTATTTGTTATGCAATGAGTTTGTGGTATACTAATAAACTTACATGTTAAGAAATGTTTCAGGAATGAAGACATTTGTAAATGCTTATTTAAATAATGTAAGTCATTACTGAAGAACTTAGAATATTTTCAAAAAATGTGAAGGTCTGGGGTTTTATCCCACTTGCAAGCTAACAAGTTAACTTGACACAGTTTCATGGATGCTGACAAAAGTCATTAAAGTCCTGGGTCAGAGACAAATTATTTTATTATTCATGGCCCACCAGGAAGCATGAGCATCAGCATATTTTTGATAGTTGCCTTCGTTCTTATGTTTCACAGAAGCAATGTGAATACGCCCAGAGGCAGCCAGCATATGCAGCAGGTTGCATTACAACAGAAGAGCTCTAAGTTTAGGAAACCCAAATTTCTTATAATGGACAGTAAGCATGCTTTTTCTTTATTGAAGAAGTATTATATTGAATAGCATCTATGCCTTACATTTGCTCCAGAGGAAGACAATATGTCTATTTCCCAAGCTGTTCACTATAATAACGTATTTGAAAAGATAGTCCAGATTAAATGGCATCCTGTGTCTCCACTCAGAAGACATTCAGAAATACAATAGTCTATGGAGAATTGTCTCCTAACAGTCCTTCCATATGCTTATTTCCATTGTAAATCTTTAAGGAGTAAGATGTTCTAAATCTAATTTGCATATCAAAAGTGTGTGTGTGTGTGTGTGTGTGTGTGTTTGTGTGTGATGTGTGAAATCTTAGTAAGAGGATGTAGAAATCAAGAAAAAATTGAAGTAAAATTTTTTTCAGTGCTGGATATTTTCAAACAACTTAACATTCCTCTACTGTTGCATTCTCAATTATTTTAATGTGTAATGGGAAATAGGAGCATAGGAGCTTTTCATTCGATTTAGTAAAAATATTTATTTAGGTATAATGGCCTATATTTGAATACCATCTCCAATATTAACTGTTTAGATGTCAAGAAAAAAAAAAAAGAAAAACTCTCTGAACTTCAGGCTTTTCTTCCTGTGGAATTTTACCATATGAATTCAATTTTTTGACTAAATGAAATAATGCATGTAAATAACTTAATGTCTGCCTAATAAATACATATTTTCTATATAATTATATTAATATATTATTATAGAATACTATATCTTATATTAATTTCTATGGTATTATAATTTGAGTAATTATGAAATAAACCTGAAAATTATAAAATTAAAGTAAGGGTAAAGTAAAAACTGAATTAAATATTTGTGCATGCACAGAGGCACATGCATATATATATATATATAAGACAATATTCATTAGAAAATATCAAACAGGGACATAGAAGAATGCTGTCACCAAGATGGCAAAGTACCAGCCCTCAATCCCACCACATAAGAACAAATATAGACAGCTATCCAAATATCAAAATAGCCCCAAAAAGGCTCAAGGATCCATTAAAATCTGCAGCAACACAGTAGAGTGAAAAACTGGAGAATATCCACATAGATTGCTGGTGAGATTCACATACCTTAGACACCAAGAGACAGCTAGGAGCAAAATAGAAAGGCAAAAGCTATTGGTATCAGTCATGCAGCAGGAATCACTGTGGTCCTCAGTGGCCTGCTCCACAAAGGACACTGGCATCTTTTGCTATGAAGGTAATCAACATTCATTTCTACCAGAAAACCCCAGAGATGGAGATATGGCTGCCTCAGTCCTCGCCTACCCAAGGAGTGGACACCGTTGAGCTGCTTTGAGAAATAAACCACGACCTCTCCCAAACCCATGAGTCCCCTAACCTTGGAGCCATGGCTAAAATGAGAGTGCCCACACTCTCAACCCAGGCTCTGTGGCTGTGGTGAGCCAACCCACCTTTCAGACACTAGGGCCATTATCATAGTATGCTAGTTTGCACTATGTGTTCCAGAGGCTAGTTCTTGTTACATGTGCCAAACTCCAGGCACCAGCTCAGCTGCCATCAAAACTAGTCCCTGCCTGGACACCAGACCCTTTCTAATACTGCTCATGCCTGAGTTCCTGTTCTTGGCTCCCTCATTACTTCACAAATATCCATGTTTTGCATACTGTTACCAGTGCAGTAGGAGGGATGCCTGTGTCTTAGACGTCAGTGCCAATACAGACATGGATCTCCAGAGTTATAGTCTTCCATGCATGACTATACTTCAGTCCTCAGCTGTGTGGCTACTCAATGGACACCACTCATCAAAGACACCAGGTGCTACTGCCACCAAAAGTGAACCCATAAGTGAGACCCAATGCCAAGAGGGGCCACATCAGCCACAACTTTCCAGTGGGAGAATAATTGATTGGGAGGATGTTAGAAGCCACTGCCACTAAAGACCCCAACAACCCTTGCTGCCACTGAAGACATCCACAGCATTGGTGCCTGAAGATCCCTGCAATCTTCATCAATACCATCCACAACTCAGAGCTACACAAAGACTACACCTGTGTCCACACAGGTGCCAGAAGCCCTACAACAGATCTAGCAAGTGCCCTTGCATCCATCCACCCCAAAGGGGAGAGAAGGTTTTTCCTTGGAAAAACTAGCCTGTAAAATGCTAGACATCAAAGTAAGGCAATAAAAATCCATGAAAAAAACACACAAACAAAGAAACATAACACCACTAAAATAACACAATAATTCCCAGTATCTGACTCCAAAGAAATGGCACTATATAAACTGCCTGACAAATGTTTAAATAATTGTTTTTAAAAGCTAAACAAACTTTTTTAAAAATGCAAATAGATGATTCAACAAAATTACAAAAACAAAAAAGGTCTAAAATTAGAAATTAACAGAGAGAATATATATATATATTTCCAGAATTTCTGGAACAAACAGAAATTCTGGAAATAAAAATAAATAGAATGAAGTGAAAATGTGAAATAGAGTGTTAAAGGCAGAAACCTGTTTCCAGTTTGTTAAAGAATATAAACTGGTACTTTCTATCACACTAGTACCTGATATGTCCAGGTGGAGTCTCCTGAAGGTAGCAATTTTAAGAAAGAGATTGTTGTTGACTTATAGGGCTATCTGCTGCTCATAAGAGATGAAGAGGGGCCCCTAGAAGGCGTAGTTTGCCATGCAGGTGTATGCTGTTATGTTTTTCCACAGCTTGGAGAATGTGGTAAGCTTGCAGACTGTTTGCCACTACTACAGTTGAATGGCCAACTACCAGAACACAAGGGAGATTCTTCTAGTTCTGATGGGAACTCAAGATGCCATAAGTTCCACTAACCCAAAGGTCATCGATGACACCAGGGTGAAGAAGCCCTCTAATGACCTAAAACGGTGCATGTACTACGAGATGTGTGCTACACACAGGCTAAAAGTGGAGAAGGTCTTCCAGGACATTGACCAAAAAATTGTTGCCACAAGGAGCTATTTCTCCTCTGTCCCATCAAATCCCAGCACCAGCCAGAAGGAACTTTAGATTGACGTTCCTTCTACTGCCAACAAGCCTATGCCCAATCATAAGCAGTCCAAGTGCCAGTCCAACCTTTTCACCTCTTGAAAATGGAGTGACCCAGACAAAGAGAAGAAAGGCCTGAAAAGTCACATGGACAGCATGGGGAGCAGCTGAGCCATCCCAGTTAAACAGGACTTGCCCTTCTTTGTCTTTGCACTGAGAGCCAGTACTTATCTCCAGCCTGCTGTAGCCTATGTCCATTATCCTCCCCCTGGCCAGGGCCGAGGGATGGTCAGACCAGCCTGCATTGTGCTGAAAGCCCACAATCATCCCAGCTTTCCAGGCCTTAATCAACTGGTGGTGGGAGTGAACTCTGGATTGGCTGATTGCTCCCAGACTGCCACTGTTTGTCCTGACTTCAATGCATCTCTGATAGACCTTTGACGCCTTGCAACAAAGAGTTTATAGGAGGGAGAACTGTAGAAATGGAGTGCTCCTCAAGAAAGCTGGGCAACTCACAAAATACCCCTTAATTTCTATAACAGGCAATTCACTCCACAAAGGAAGGAAATCAATGAGAGTTTACACTTTTTCTTTGAGGAAACTTTCTTTAAAGAAAAAAATCATTTACAGGAGCTTTGCATATTTTGGGTACAAGCAATGGTAGAAACATAAGACATTAAAAAGCAAAAGAAAGAATCTCTGAACTAAATGATAGTTTATTGAAATACATACAGCCAGAGGAAAAAAAATTAAAAAGGAATAAAGAAAGCTCATGGAATTTGTGGGACAGCATCGAAAGAACAAATATTCAACTTACAGGAATTCAAAAAGAAGAAAAGCACAAAAGTGCATAAAGCTTATTTTAAAAAATCATAGCAGAAAACTTTCCAAATCTGGGGAAGGGTATAAAAATCCAGTTACAGCAAGATAAAAGTTTCCAAACAGATTCAATTCAAAGACTACACTAAGGCATATTGTCAAAAACCAAAGACAAGGAGAGGATCCTGTAAGCAGCAAGAGAAAAGATGCAAATCACTTATGAAAGAGTTGTAATAATGCTAACAGCAGATTTCTCAGAAGAAATTTTGCATGTTAAGAGAGAGTGGAATGATATATTCAAGGTGCTGCAGTTAAACTGTCAATCAAGAGTATTTCATCCAGGAAAACTATTCTTCAGAAATAAGGAGGGATAAAGATGTCCCCAGACAAACAAAATCTGAGGGAAAATATCACCAACAGACATGTCTTTTAAGAAATACTAAAGAGTCTGGCATGGTGACTCGTGCCTGTAATCTCAGCACTTTGGGAGGTCAAGGCAGGCAGATAACTTGAGGTCAGGAGTTCAAGACCAGCCTGGCCAAATTAGC
The DNA here is from genome assembly GCF_000001405.40 of Homo sapiens. Taxonomy (NCBI): domain Eukaryota; kingdom Metazoa; phylum Chordata; class Mammalia; order Primates; family Hominidae; genus Homo; species Homo sapiens. Next base: position 65,218,449 of record NC_000004.12, read on the forward strand.
AAAACCCTGTCTCTACTGAAAATGCAAAAATTAGCCAGGTGTAGTGGCACACACCTGTAATTCCAGCTACTCAGGAGGCTGAGGCATGATAATGGCTTGAACCTAGGAGGCAGAGTTTGCAGTGAGCCAAGATTGTGCCATTGCACTCCAACCCTGGTGACAGAGCAAGAGTCCGCCAAAAAAAAAAAAAAGGAAGGAAGGAAGGAAGGAAAGGAAGGAAGGAAGGAAAGGAAGGAAGGAAAGGAAGGAAGGAAAGGAAAGAAGGAAAGAAAGGAAGGAACGAAGGAAAGGAAGGAAGGAAAGGAAGGAAGGAAAGAAAGGAAGGAACGAAGGAAAGGAAGGAATGGAAGGAAGGAAGGGAAGGAAGGAAGGGAGGGTGGGAAGGAAGAAAGAAAAAGAAAGAAAAGAAAAACTAGAGGGAGTTATTTAGTTATTTCAGCTGAAAGAAAAGCATGGTAATTAGTAAAATGAAAACATATAAAAGCAAACTCTTACTAATAAAAATGAGTACACAAATTCAAAATAATCTAACTCTCATGGTGGTGCATAAACCATTTCTGTCTGAAGCATGAAGGTTAAGAGATAAAACAATTAAAAAATGACTGCAATGATACATTAAGAAATGTAAAATTTAAAATGTAATTTGTGACATAAATCATAAAATGTGGAGTGATGGAGTAAAAATGTACAGTTTTTTAAATGTAATCAAAGTTAGTTAATTTATCATCAGCTTAACTAACCTGTTGCAACTATAAGATATTTTATGTAATTCTTACAGTAAGAAAAGGCAAAAACATATAGTAGATATATAAAACACAACAAGTAAGGAATCAAAGCATACCACTATAGAAAATCACCTAAATACAAAAGAAGATAGGATGATAGGACAAGAGGAAGAAAGGAATAAAGAATCTACAAAACAACTGAAAAAGAATGAACAAAATGACAGTAGTAAGTCCTTACCTATCAGTGATTACCTCGAATGTAAATGAATTAAATTATCCAATAAAAAGACATGGAGTAAAAGAATGGACATTAGACAAAAGAGGTCAATCTATATGCTGGCTACAAAAGACTCATATCACCTTTAAGGACAAACACAGATTGAATATGAAAAGTTGTAAAGAATATTCCATACAACTAGAAACCAAAAGATGCGGAGGTAGTTATATTTATATCAGACAAAATAGACTTTAAGTAAAAAATTTTAAAAATAGAAAAGGTTATTACATATTGGCAAAGGAATCAATTCATCCAGAAGACATAAAATTATAAATATGTATGTACTCAACACCAAAGCACTTAACTGTATAAAGCAAATATTAACAAATTGGGGCAATACAGTAATACTAGGAGACTTCAAAACAAGATTGTTAACAATGGCCAGATCATCCATACAGAAAATCAGTAAAGAAATATTGGATTTGAACTACATTTTAGATCAAATGGACCTAACAGACACATAAAGAACATTCCATCCAACAACTGTAGAGTACACATTGTTCTCAAGTGCACAAGGAACATTTTCCAGGATAGATCAGATGTCATGCCACCAAATAGGTCTTAACAAATTTGAAAAGACTGAAATTATATCAAGTATCCTTCTTAACCACAATCATATTTAACTACAAATAAATAATAGAAATATTTTTGTAACATTCATGAATATGTGGAAATTAGATGCCATGCTCCTAAACAACCAGAGTCAAAAAATCAAAAGCAAAATTTAAAAAAAGAAAAAGTTGAAAAAAACAAAAAGGGAAAAAACACACAAAAACTCATGAGATATAGAAAAAGCAGTCCTAAGAGGTGCTTTATAGCAATAGACACCTACATCAAAAAATAAGGACAATTCAGAATAACCTAATATTACCTCAAGAAACTAGGAAAAGAAACTAAGTCAAAAGTTAAGGAAGAAAATAAAGATCAGAGCAGAAATAAATGGAACAGAGACTAGAAAAATGATAGAAAATATCAACAAAACTAATATTCAGTTTTCTGGAAATGAAAAAAATTGACAAAACTTTAGCTAGACTAAGAAAAAATGAGAGAGGGTGTGGATGAATAGAGTTCAAAATAAAAGAGGAGACATTTCTTTGATACCATAGAAATACAAATGATCATAAAAGACTACTATGAACAATTATATGCCCATAAATTGGATAACCTGGAAGAGATGAATAAAGCCTCAGATGCATACAATCTAATACACAAAATCTACTAAGACTGAATCATGAAGAAATTTAAATTCCCAACAGAACAATGAATAAGGAGATTGAATCAGTAATTAAAAAGTTTCCCATCAAAGAAAGCCCAAGACCTAACAGGGTCACTGAATTCTACTGAACATTTAAAGAAGAAGGAAAAAAAAGCAATCTTTCTTAAACACTTCCAAAAAATTGAATTGAAAGGAACACTTCCAAATTTATTTATTACAATGACACTAAAGCCAGACAAAGACACTACAAGAGAAAAAGATTACAGGCCAATATCCCTGATGAACACACATATATGCAAAAAAAAAAAAACAACAAAATTTCCATTTCAAATAAGGACCAAATATAAGATAGAAACAAACATCAAAAAATAAGACTCAAAATAAACTTTAATTTTCAATATTTCACGTTTGTTTTTAAATTAGCTATACATTTATGATCACAAAGTTGCTAACTGGTCCATCTTACTTACAGTCTGGAAGCAAAAATTGACATAGTGTTACAATTAAAAGCTGTAGTAAGGACAACCTTTAGAGAATAAAATTGACTGATCACATATTTTTTTCCTGCTCTAAATAGTTCCATCATATAGACACAGCATTGGCACATCTTTCCTATTAGCTCATATTCTCAAGAGTGTATGAAAATAATGCCAATTATCAGTTTATATTATTTTTATTTGGTAAGAATGAATATTGTAATTTATAGAAAATGCAATGTATTAACATTTAATTATATAGTAATATGTTAAATAATTTATAACTAGAAAAAATATTTTTCCTTTATTAACATCAGAACAATGTTTCAACCAAATTCCTTTTAAGAAGCATAGGGCTTAGATTAAAACTGACTTTAATGAAATCAGATTAATGGCATCTAAGAATGAAATTCAGACTTAGTGTGCTCATTACTTGTGTTGTAGTCAATCGTTATACCCTATTTTTTTATTTTTCTATAGTAATTAATTAACACCAAAGAGTATTTTTTCAATTTTTAATGTTGATTGTCTCTGCAACGTTTTTTTTTCTGTCTTTGAGATGAAGTTTCGCTCTTGTCACCCAGGCTGGAGTGCAATGGTGAGATCTCAACTCACTGCAACCTCCACCTCCCGGGTTCCAGTGATTCTCCTGCCTCAGCCTCCCAAGTAGCTTGGACTATAGGTGCCCGCCACCATGTCTGGCTGATTTTTGTATTTTTAGTTCAGACGAGGTTTCACCATGTTGGCCAGGCTGGTCTCAAACTCCTGACCTTAGGTGATCCGCCCACCTCGGCCCCCGAAGTGCTGGGTCTGTTACATATTCTAATAAGTAAGTCATTGTCAAGTATATTTATTTCAATGATCCATTTTTTTAAAAATTCATATAAAGAAATTGGACTGAAATTTGTGAAGTGTTAAACTACCAAAGCTCCAAAACACCTTGGCAGTGTTGCACTCATTAACGAGTTTGGCATAAAAATTCTCCAGATGAGATGTCAAACTAAGGTATTTTCTGTAAGTCAAAATTTTTACTTGTGCTCTTTCCAGATGGCCTTATCTAAGCCATTATTTTTCAGTTTTCCATGGAACTAATGCTGAACTACACATTTGCTTAGAAATTACTTTGTTAGAATCATTAATATAAGAGAAAAAGACAAATTTAATCTTGAAAGAGCTGAATTTGAGGTGTGTTGCAGACATCCAAGAGGTACTCCCAGCGAGTTAGGCAAATATGTAGGTATGTTGTCCGGAGGCTAGGTCTTGATTGACACAATCTGGAAGTCATCTGCATATAGATAATAATTAAAGCTGTGAGTAAAGATGAGACTTCCTAGTGTAAGCATAGGGAAAAAAAGGTTTCAGATTCACTTGAGGAACACAAACATTTGGTAGAAAGAGAGGAACTGGCAAAAGTGACTGACATATGTGATCTGAGAAGTAGGAGGAATCCAAGGGAAGAAAGTGTTACAGAAAGAGATAAATTGGTAAATGTAGTAAGTGTTGCTTGGAGTTGGAATATAATGAGGCATGAATAACATCTTTAGAATTTAATGGTACAGAAATCATAGTTAGCTTAGTGATTCTGAAATATTAGAAAAATGGAGATGAAACTGCACAAAATTATTTGAGTATATTAACATAAATTTTATCTTCAGAGAATTAATGAATTTACTATATAATGTGAAGTGTAATGTAAAGTGGGAAAATGTTCCATCTCATCAGGCAGAAATTGATTCTTTTACCTAATAGGTTAACTATTTAAAATTGACAATTCTCAAGTATTTGAGGCACATAATTTTATATTGTGAGGAACAGCATACCATGATGATTAGAACCTTGACCCCAAAGATTTTTGTTGTTGTTGTTGTTGTTGTTGTTGTTTTGAGACAGAGTTTCGCTCTTGTTGCCCAGGCTGGAGTGCAATGGCGTGATTTCCACTCACTGCAACCTCCGCCTCCCAGGTTGAAGCGATTCTCCTGCCTCAGCATCCCGAGTAGCTGGGACTACGGGTACCTGCCACCACACCCTGCTAATTTTCTGTATTTTTAGTAGAGACGGTATTTCACCAGGTTGGCCAGGCTGGTCTTGAACTCCTGACCTCAGGTGATCTGCTCGCCTCGGCCTCCCAAACTGCTGGGATTACATGTGTGAGCCATTGCGCCCGGCAGCCCCGAACTTACAACACATTGAGTCCAAGCTAAACTTCCTCAAAGTATGCATCTTTCGTGAGTCTCAATATCTTCTTGAGTAATTTAGGTTTAGTAGAATAACTAACTTATTTCTCAGAACTGTTTTAAGGATTCAAAAATGAAAAAATTAGGATATGTACAGGATAATGTTCTTTATCTACAACGTCATAGGCAAATAAATTATATAAGAGACAGACTGTCTGGTTGTATGTAATAATGATCTGATATCATTATCTCCACTTCTGGTCTTGCTACCCAGTATTCAATCCTCTAAACTCTGCCTTGAAAATGTGTTATTTACATCTCCACAAAAAGATAAACGTATTGTACATTACATGTTCATACATACCTAGAACCTTCCATTTAAGTACTGTCATGTCTTATTGTGGTCACGCAATAAATATTTCTTCCACTGGCTTTTAGAAATTGTAATTACTTGAAGTAAATAGTTACAAAGCAAATGAGTCAGTATTGACAGTTGCATCCTTTAAACCATGTTGAATCAGTGTAATCTGTACATTAATCTGAAGTCAAAATGCTGACAGTTATTAAATACACTTATTTGATCTAGCTCTTTGTAAAACACAATTGTATTTTCTTTTCTTTCCTAGCTGCTTTGTTTTCTCCTGCTGCCTCTACCTTGGGTAAGTTAAGGATGGTCATGTTTCACTCAGTGCTAAAGGATATACAGACTTAGCTTAATAAATACCAAGTTGAAGCCTGACAGAAATCAGCTGTGCTCCTCTCCAGTTTGATGGCCCCTTTCCAGGTAGGTTTAATGTGCACATAAAATGTCAACTCTCTGAAATAATTTGTAGAAGATTAGTTCCATCGTGATTCAATTTGATAAGAATGGGTATTAAGAACTACCTCAGTGGACTTATTTGCACTAGTCTGGCTTATTGGTCATTTCCATAAAGATCTCTGAAGTGTGGATGATAAACTAGCAGGAGGAAGAGCTCTTGAATCAGCAGCCCCCAGCCCTCTCAACCTGCCAGCCTTGTGGTTGCTGAATGTTTTCCATTTCCCTAATGTATTTATCTGTTACACTTATGACCCCGGATTTAAATAGAGGGCTCTCACTGCTGGTCTTTGGCCTCCAGTTACAGCACCTGACTTCTAGTTGTCTTCATCATATTTTATTTGTTTTAAAATAAGAGAGCTACACTGTTATTTATCATTTTAAAAGTGATACGCTGGAGGAAAATATATTAAAATAGGAAACATTTTTGCCCCTGAATGATGGGATTATAGGTAATGTTTCTGTTTTGTTTTTGTTATTTTCTCTACTTTCAAATTCTTTAAATAACAGAAAAAAATTTCACATGAAATATATTTAAAATGAACAATGAAGACTAATGCACCAGCCCCACAGATCATTAAAAATACCCCAAAATATTAAAACAAGAGTCCGTGTCAAACCTGGAAAAGATCCATTATCATTTCAGTTGAGATTATGAGTGTCATCAAACTATAACACTTAACATATGAGAAAAATGTTAAGCAACTATACACATGGAGAATATTTCATAGTTCACAATGAGGTAGCTTCAACTCAAAATACCCAAGGATTGAAAGTTATATTTTTCAAATAACACTTAATGATTATTTTGTGGACTGGAGCATTTCTGTAAAGCATTTGTTTTCACCATCTAATATCTTTAGAACACAACTCACATTCATTTATTTTACCCTCTTTTTTACCTCCCTGTTTTATGTTCTCTTTGAACTTAAAGGGACTAGTTCATATTCTCTAAAATTTTCCTTTTTTTCCTCCACATTGCCCTCTTCAAATGTTTTTCTACTTAAATCTTAGGATATACATTGAAACAGATTTTACAAACTCAGATAACTAAACTACAAAATTAGATGTTTAATATATTAGTATTCAGTACTTGGGTGACAAGACTGAATTAAGTTAGAAAAAAATGGGTTAGAAAAGTTAAACATAAGACAGGATTGCCATTTATACACATCTGATGGAAATGAGTATGGTGACAATGATCTTAGATGAAAATATTATATAACTGTATACTCATGGAACTGAAAGCTGCATAAAGAAGAAATTTTAAATCCATGTTTACTTATCTTCCTAAGTATAAATGATAGACTAGTACCAAAGTATGTTAGAGTTTCTCCACTAGATTTCTGATAAGATACATGAGAAGTAGAATCCCTTCCAAGTGGTACTTACCTTATAGTGTGACTATTTTCCCTAACCCACTGACCACCCTTACTATTACAGGGAAAACACACAGTTGTTTCCTGCTTTGCACTATCGACTCCTGGGCACTGCTGCTCCTGCTGCAATGCCGGCTTCCTCATAGTACCACAACACTTCAACTAGCCCTACTTATGCCTTTTCATGGTACTCCATTCTTCAATGTGCTGAAGTTACGTTTGGTTCATTGAGGGCAAAAGCTAATGCTTATTTATTTTTTATACTATGTTTCATAAAGCTTATTTTTACCCCCACCCCAATTTTAGTAAATTTTTGGTTAAAAAGCACTATTGTAGATTTAACTTACTGATTCCTTTTTTTCCACGAGTACAGGAGGTAGATTGGTGAAGGATTTAAGTGACAGACACCACTTTGTGTCTCGCAATAAAATTATTTCTTCTCTCCAAACATGATACTCTCTTATGCAGTCAAGTTTGATATCCTTGAATTCATCTTAACTGAAAAACAATTGTATAGCACTTAATTTGTGCCAAGTGCTGTTGTAAATACTCTCTTAACATGAACTCATTTAATTCTCACTACAATAACAGAATCAGGTACTGTTATTAGCTTCATGTCACAAATGAGGAAGCTGTGGCACACAGAGGTAAGCAACTTGCTCAAGGTCACACAGCTAATAAAATAAAGACTTATACTTCAAACCCAGGTATTGTGTGCCCTTACTGCATCACTGAAACAGGCTGCCTCTTTCTTCACAAGAAAATACTTCAGTACCTCAATAAATGACATATAGTAAGCCTGATTTACCAGTTCACTATACATTCCAGGTTAGTCTGAAACTGCAGCCCACAACATAGACACCGTGCACATGAATAGGCTTCAGTCATAAGAAATTGACTACATATGTTCATCAGTCCTTTTTCATTTTATTTCAAAGCTGAGATAACTGTGCAAATGCATATGCATTATCTTTCCTTCTGTTTCTAAACATTCATGTTCTTAAAATAGCTTTGCACTTGTAATCATATTATTTTGTTTTTTGTACAATGTTAGGCAAGTAGCAAGAAAACCATTTAAGAGCCTGTGTTTTGCTGCCAGACTGCATTGGTATGAATCCAGATTGTCACATAATATGTGACCTTAGGCAAGTTACATACTCTGTTGCTCAGTTTTCTCATATGAAAAATAGAGATTATAATACAACTTACTTTATAGGGTTGAAATGAGAACTAAATTAGCAAAGAATGTAAAGCATGTACACAGTGTTTAGCATGTGGTAAGCATTATGTCAGTGTATAGGTTATATACAATTTGCAAAGTATGCTACCATTCATATATACTTCAGTTTGGTCTTTTCTCATTTTTGGACAATTATTGATATATTTTTATAAATCTAGAGGTGCCCAGAGTTTGATTCTTAAGCCTCATTAGCATTCTCAAAGAAAAATTACATATTAAACCCATTTACCCATACATTGTTGAGAAGTAGCAAGTTAGAAAGTAAAAAATTAAAAACTTCAACATAGCACAAATTTATTGAATTCAGTTACAGCCCTGGCTCTGTGGAATTCCTGCAAGCCTTTAGTCTTCCTTCTAATTACATGGGAAACACATCCATTAAATTACAAGGGTAAAATACCAATGATAATTTGGAAATTTGTATAGATTTCTTAACTTTTTGGCAAATACACACATAAATTAAGAATCAAGGAAATTTCAGTATCCTAAACAAACATATCATGGGTCATATTTCTATACATTTTAGCCACTTATTGTATAATAGTTTGACTTTTGAAATGACAGACAAAATAATTTATATGTGTATATTATTTTACCTAGCATATGTAGGTATAGAGAATGCTTAGTTTCTTATGGGGATCTTATTATTGAATGGTATTTTGAAACTCTGATAGAGTAATAGGATTTGAAGACATGTGATTACAAATGTGCTCACAAATTGAGGTCAAATGTAAGATGATTAGTCAAGTTATATCTAATGTTGTTATAATCCTGTGCTATTTAGAAATGTCAACTGAGTAGTGACTTAGAAAAAAACTGACACTCCATTTTCTTATCTTTCTTTTAAATGTCATACTGAAGAGCAAAATACATGTGGGCCAGAGGGTATTTTGAGTTGTTTTTGAACTAAGGTTTTTATATATTGAAGTCAATATATACTTTGGTCTCATTTATATGATAACATAACACCTTATTTCAATGAAACATAGAATATTAACACATTGAAACATAGCATAAAAAGGGAAAGCTCTAGAGAGGGGGCAGTGAAAGAGGAAGTTTAACCCTTCAGTGCTTCTTCATGGGTCATTGAAGCTGTGATGTCAGTTTTCCAATGTACACTCAACTGGGATAGACTGCTAGAAAAAATTATCCTTTCATAAGTCCTCTATTACTTGTTTTTTTTTGTTTTGTTTTCATGTTATTCCACACTTTCAGATTCAGAATTCAGATTCAGATCAGATTCAGGCTTTGTTAGCTCCTGACATGCCTTTACCAAATTTCTACTGGACAATGGAACTTCCTCATATTCGTGTATATTTATTGAAGTCGTAATATATGACAGTCTGGCAGGTTCTGAGAAAGTATGTACTATAGTAATGTTTACTGATCACCTAGAAAAATATACAAGTAACTTCACAGTCTCAGTCAATATGATGAATTCTTGTCAGAAATATCTACAAGATTGATTGAAGCTTGTGGAGAGGTACCCAATTCAGAGGGGCACACTTAGAAAAGGAATTTGTAGGAAGAAGAGACAATCAATCTGAAGTTTGAAGTATTCACTAGAGTTAGTTGAGTGACAAAAGAGTGTAGTAGTGACAAATACACGTATTGGAAGAAGTGAATCTCAGTTTCATCAATAACAGGTTGTGTGACCTCAGTAGGGACATCATGCAGAGTTGTTCAGGGTGATCTTCATACCAATGTTTTGGGCCAAAATTGCTAATCAACATGAAAGCCAGCCAGAGGTCTGCTTGCCCACCCACAGACCACACTAATTTCTATGCCTGCTTAGGGCAGACATATTTTTCTAATCCACAGGTACAATGCAGCTCTAGACCTTAAATTAGTTACTTAACATCACTAGCCTTCAGATGCTTAAAGTGGAGATTATAATAGTAGCTACTTCATAGTGTTGTGAGAATTACATGAAACAATTCTCATAATTTGTTTTAATGTGCTTAAATAAGCTCAGGAAATTTTTTGTCATCATGAGAAAAGATGAAGTCGGGGAGATAAACATGGATAAGAATGATTACCAACACCAATATTTTTCCAAGTGGAAGTCTCACAATATGAAATAAAACAAGATTCTGAGATATGAGATAATATCAAACAAAAACTATATCTGACATCTTGAATTTAGAATAAGTTACTTCTCACTAAATGAAACTTTTTGTTTAATTTTTATGGTTTAAAAAAATCTCTATTCACATTATATTTCTTCTTTTCACTTTTTTTTCTTCTCCTTTTCCCTTTATATTCAGTGTATAAAGAGACCTGCCGGTCTTGTCCATAAATATTGCTTGTAGCAAGTAAAAAGCTTCAAAACCACAAAACATCTGCATGGTTACCCATTGAATTTATTTTTCATATAAACGGCTTTGACTCTGCTAATAGATAAATAAATTAACTGTCATTTTAATTTTCAGCAAAATTTAGAGAGAATTGATGTTTCAAATATCATACACTTTGCCCCTGCTGTTTCTGTTTCTTCCTTCTGAACTACTCAGACCAGTACCAGCGACAAGGAAATGACTCCTTTTGATTACAAAATAAATGAAAATTGAAGATCTGTCAAAATGTATCCAGTAGAATTGCACAGAGCAAAATAATTCTTCAACTCTGTGATGAAAGGATGAGCTCCCTCTGTGATCATCACTTACTAGGATTGAAGAATTCATGGTTGTGTGGTTTGAAATTAAACTGAGTTCAAAAGTCTGAAAGAATTTTTTTTTCTTTCTGGTTATCTCCTTGAAAACAAACAAACAAACAAACAAAACCTGAAAAGTCCGTACCAGTAAGATATTTGGATTACTATGCAGCAAAATTCACTATTGAGCTATTAAGTAAATGAACGACAGTGGTTGTTAAAATTTTCTTATATCATTATATTATCCAGATATCCATAAGTTATGCTAATTTTAACCTACATATTTTGATATTTAATTCTCTGTTATTAAACTCATGTTGCTACAAATATTTGAAAAATTCCTAACTGTATAGAGATTTTGATGTATGGCAATTATGACTAGCTTATGTAGAATATAAACTAAAAATACCAGAGAACATGGACACATAGCAAATTAAATAATAGGTTAGGAATCTTTCAGAAATTTGTTAATTTTAAGATTGAAAAACAGGTATTATTCATCAAAAACTCACAATATCATAGATGAGAAATTACATGTATCTGATTCAAATTTCTGCAATAGAAAATATATATCAGCATAAAACATGATAAATAATTACACTGCAAAAATTTCCATGGTAAATTATACCTTTATTTTACAACAGTGAAAACTTTTCATCAAATTAGAAATTTAAAAAAACATAGAACATAAGCCTTTAATTTTTTTATAGAATTTTTGTACTCACTCTTCATTCAGTGTTTTAGTCATGATCTTTTATGGTTATTATCTTCATTCAAAATTGACCCCAAAATAATATGCCAATTATTTATTTACTTTTTATCTTTCAATACTTTTTTGTTCACTCCTCATTTCCATTATCATTTTGTATAAGGATTATTGGTTAACTTTCCAATGCTTCTTTTAGGTTTCATGATATTAGGGTGGGATTGTAACTAAACAAGAAGAGGATGAACATGAGTGCTGGGACTGAGGCCAAAGATAGATGCCATGATTGTTAGGAATTTGCATCTGGCTTCTTGTGGAGAGAGTGAGAGAGATTTATTTTGTACTGGGGAGAGTCGCATTTTGTTAGGCAGAAGCATGTTGCTTGTATTTGCTACATCAACACAAATGGCTGTAGACTGGTATAGTCTGTATTGTTTGTCAATTTTCTCTCAGCTCCAAATACGACAAAATAGAAGGAGATTGGAATGCAGGAAGAGAAAGGGGGACAAGGTCCTACTAAATGCTTTGTTTACTATTTTTGCCCAGAAGTAGACCTTTCCTCCTAGAGCAGCAGGTAGTTCTCCACGAGCTTCTTCAGACACTCTTTGAACCAGTCTCATTATTCTTCCTTAGTGGAACCAGCTACAGATTAGTTTCTTCTTCAGGAAGAAGTTCCAGATCTGTGTTGCTCTTCTTCCCAGACTCTAGGATGTGACAAAGTAACTTCTTCCTTTTGTTCTGCAAGTCATTTTTTTTCTTTTTTTTGAGTTATTATCTCTGGATCCTGTTTTCTCTTTTTGCTTATACAGCCTTCCAACAGCTTTGTTACAAATTCTCTATATTAAATATAGGGAATTTGTTGAAATAGGTAGTGTGATTTCTTTTTGTCCAGTTGTGTGTAGCTCAATAGAAATATTAAAACCATATTGTCATATCATTTGCTAAAATATTAAAGTTCAATTTATCTCATATTTTTATGGAATCTTGATATTTTGAACTTCATAGATTTTACTTTCTGTTAGTTCTGAAGATTCTTGTAGTCCCTGAAGAAAAATTCTTGCTAGAGAACTAGCTAAATACAAGGTTACTATTTTAAAATGTCAAAAGTAAACAGAAAATTTCAAATCAGATGTATTATCTTGAAAACAGTATAACTTGGAAGTGAATATTAATGTCTTGGAAAAACTTTTTTTGTTCACTAAAAATAATTGGAAGAAAATAAAGTGATGGGGAATCACTTTTTTTTTTTTTTCTTTGAGATGGAGTCTCTCACTCTTGTCACCCAGGCTGGAGTGCAGTGGCACCATCTTGGCTCATTGCAACCTCCGCCTCCAGGGTTCAAGCAATTTTCTGGCCTCAGCCTCCCTAATAGCAGGGATTACAGGTTCGTACCACCATGCCCAGCAAATTTTTGTATTTTTAGTAGAGACAGGGTTTCACCATGTTGGTCAGGCTGGTCTCGAACTCCTGTCATTAGGTGACCGCCTGCCTCAGCCTACCAAAGTGCTGGGATTACAGGCACGAGCCACCATACCCGACTGGGAGTCACATTTTAAGGTATTTCATTTCTTGTAAATGTTCTTTGATACAAAAATGAAAATTAATTTTATGAATAGGGTAATTTGGAGAGCTATTAAAAAACAGAGCAAAAAGTAAAGGAGAAAGCATCCCAAGTTATTTGTCCATTAATTTATATCTTTAAAAGTAGACAAATCTAAATAGAAGTAGTACAATAATGAGGACTAAATGTTCCCAGTTGTTGTGAATCAAATCAATGTCTCCCATAATACTTCACTAATGTATAATGAGGAAACAGGCAATAAAATAACAATATGTTATAAATAACCAAAATGCATGAAGTACTATCATAATTAAAGAATGTTTCTTGGATCTCATAAACATCAAAAAGATATTTGACACCACCTTACACATGGTTATAAAGCAGTGGTCCTCAATGTTTTTGGCACCAGGGATCAATTTCTGGTTGTATGAAAGACAATTTTTCCATGCTTGGGGCAGGACGATGGGGATCCCTGTTACAAAGAATACATTTTCAAAAACCAAAAGCAACTGCACACAAAAATCTGTGGTTGATTTAATAGAAAGTATGGTTCTGTCCATGATAATGACAATGGGAAAAAGGACTTCTAGTAATGACAGCAGAGTGGCATGTTTGCATTAACTACTTTCAGATTATAACTGTAAACATTATGTAAACTTTTTTGAAATATTATTTCATTTACAGCGTACAAAAAAAAGTAAAGCAAAGCTAGGAAGGGGTTAATTTCAAAAACTACAACTGAAAGGAATAAAATAATTGTGATTTTCTTCCTTTTGAAAATTTATAGAAAATTGTAGAGTCACATTGGTCTAATAACAGTAAGTGATTAGGAGATGATGCCATGTAAAAATTTAGAAATTATTCTTATTCCTAATATTATGTGGTTTATTATGTTTTAATTTTTCACCTACTTTGATTTATACAATTGTACATTTTATGATGCAATCCACATTAAGTATTTTTGGAAGTAATTTCCTAAATATGTAAATATATAAAAAGTATTCTGGGTACCTCAAAAGAAGTAATGAAGTGGGTCCACTCCCATCAAAAGGAAGTAGAAGTCATGTACAGCATTGTTATGCTTGTCACTAGTAGGAATACTCGTTATATTTTATTAAAATGACAACTTTTCTGGCCTTGCAATGGTCAGGTAAATAAATCCTTATCACTACCTAACTGAAATAGCTCTGTAACTGAATTCATCACTCTTTTCTTCCCTGAGTCACTCCCATCTTACACCATCAATAATGGTTTCCTCTCCCATATAGCACAACTCCATTCTTTTAAAACTGTTATTTTAATCACTTACTTGATTATTTGTTATCCACTCCTTCTTTCAATTACTGTATCTAATATATCATCTTTGGGTACTTCTATTTTTATGTAGATTTGTTCTTACTTATCTCAATTTAACAAAGAACTATTCATATACTTAGCGCCTTATGACTTCATTATTTCTTTCTAAAATGACTGTTTTCTTCTCCTTTCAAACTTTTAATGTCTTAGATTAGAGTCCTCTCATGGTTGTCCAGTGTGTATAAACACTGATACAAAATTATTTTTAAAACAAAAGGTACGCTATTTTTAATCTTTTGATGTTTCAGTTTTATCCACTGTAAAATGACTGACACTTTCAGCTCCCTTGTAATAGTTTCCAAAATCTGACCTGACTCTAAGAAGACAACCATAACTCCTGCTTTTCCCAAGACAAATCTACTTCTTCAGCCTAACCATTCTCCTCATCTTTCTTATTCTTCACCACTCCTAACAACAACAAGAAAAAGGGATATGCTCTCTAGGTTTGAGGTGCTTGTCTTTTTCTGCTATCTATATGAAAGCAATATATTTTATCAAAGACAAATTCAGTTCCCACTTTCTCTAGCATCCTTTGTCAAACTACATCAGTAACATCTGTGATACTGTACCATGTTATTTTCTTTATTATATATTTGATTACTTAAATACATGTCTATATATTTTTCACCTTAATCGTCAGTGCCTTACCTCTTTACCTTGGTGGAAGCTCCTCCAAGGAATTCATGGAGGTAACCATTTCTTACATTTACATATCCCCTCAGTGATTAGTAAAATGCTTTATGTGTAGATGATGTCCAATGAATATTTGCTTGAGCACAGTGCTTATATATTTCCAGTTTGTTAACCAGAAACATTCGACAATAACAATTTATTTTTTCAATAATCATTTGTTTGTGCTGATTTGCAATGGACATCCAAATGAATCTTTGGGACGACTTTTTTTTGTGTCAAAATTATCAAATGAAGAGCCACAGCAAGAGGTCTTCCAAATGTGCTTTCAGAAAAAATAAAATACCGTATGGTTTTAACAACAACAAAATCCAGTTCCAGACAATTTTGTGTGCCTAACAGATTGGAGTTTTATCGCAAATATGTTGGTTAGTTAATGAATTCATTTGAGTGTGATTAACTTCTGGATTGCCGCAAACCTGTTTATGTATGAAATTATGGTTTGGAATGATCACTTGTTGGCTTATGAATCAAATAACTTGGTTTGTATATAGAAAATCCAATGTGCATATGGTGTGAATACCACTTGTAAAAATATAATTCATAGGAAATGGATAGTGTGAATTTGTGGTGACTTTGTAAATTGGCTGACAACTTGTTTTGTGACATATGCCCAGAAGGAATGCTTTATGTATCTCACAAAAGAGAGTTTTAAATTTTAGGTTTTATTCTCTTTATAGATTATAATCAAAGGGGTATGAAATTATCTCCTTTGGATTCTTCTTTCAATACTTCATCTTAATCATTGCATATAATTATAATAAAGCCTTTTGATTTTAAGAAATTAATCTATGTTTTTACATGTAGCATTTTGTAATAGCTGCATAATATGAATTTTTAAAGTTGTAATATAGACAAATCTTCACTGCACTTATGAATTTTTAAAAGTTGTTTTAAAATAGACAAATCTTCAGTGCACTGATATCTGTGTAACATTGGCTAAGAGAAAGAGGAAGCCTTTGAACTACATGTTTACTAAGCCTTTTTATTTTTAAGCTACCATTTCCTTTAGTTTCATCTACCAATTACCATTTTGGTCAGTTAATTGGAAACTATTTGTAAAGTCTTTTATTTCTGAGAAGGTAGAAGAAGAACAATCTGAAAGAATTCAGACAGAAAATACCTAGAAATGTTTGACTTGATGTTATGCTTTCAAGCTAATTATAAATCAATGATATAGCATACGAATTTTTGAATTTTCTAATGCAGGAATCATATTTTACCACAAAATTAAATGTGTTGCCTACCAATAGCTATATGCCTTAAACATAATATACACTGGTGGTTTCTTCTTTTCCATTAGTGTTGACGATAGAGTGATTCTCTCATAGTTTCATGATGCAGTATATTTTTATAACAAAGGTGTGACAAAGAGAAATTCTTCAACCTATTTTAATATAAGAGGATAAATTGAATTTTAGTTTTGTGTTTTTACCTTCCTTAGTTAAAATCTGACAACCAGCAAAACTCAGGAAGAGCCAGAGGTAATTAATTAAACAGTTATTGAGTGCTTATCATATGCCAAATAATTTTCTTAATTTTAGAATGTACAATTACAATCAATGTTTACTTATATAATTTCTAAATGCAATCAATAATGTTGCCTCTTCTGACTGGACATCTCCCCTGGTATGTTCCCAATAGTGTCAACTACATCTCCCCTGGTATGTTCCCAATAGTGTCAACAATTAAAGAAAAAATATATGCCACAACAAGTATAAAGCCAGGGAACTGCAAACTTGTTTTGGCAAAAGTACAATGTCTGTTATCATGGAATAATTTTTAGTATTTTAAAATAATTTAATTTTTAATATTAAAACTCATCAATACATAATTCCCATAAATTCAGAATTTTGTACTTAATTTCAAAGTTTAGATAAAGAATGAGGGCACTCAAAAATAATACCAGATATTTGACATGAAAAATAGGAAGTAGTCCGTGAATCTGAAAGATTAATAAATGCATGTGGTTTAAATGTTTAAATGCAATTTTCAAGAAAGAGCAAATTTCACATTGGAAATTTAAAAGACTGAAACAGAACAATCTATGTATCTATCTATCTATCTATCTATCTATCTATCTATCTATACTTAAATTCTGATAATGCCAACAAAGATGATAAGAATGATTTTAAAATGATGACACATTTAGCATTGCTCTTAGAGTCACAGGTTTTAGGTATCTAAAAGGCACATTCAACATAATTATGACTCCAAAAGCTTTTATAATAATAATGATTCCATGCCAGGCTTACTGGCTCATTCCTGAAATTCCAGTTATTTGGGAGGCTAAGGCAGGAGGATTGCCTGAGGCCAGGAGTTTGAGCCTGGATAACATAATGAAGCCCTGTCTCTACAAAAAATATATATATTTTTTTAGATAGCCAATATCTAAAACTCTTGTAGGCCCAGCTACTCAGGAGGTTGAGATGTGAGAATTGCTTGGGTCCAGGGGTTTGAAATTGCAGTGGGCTATGATGGCACCACTGAACTCTAGCCTGGAAGACAGAATAAGAACCCATCTCTAAAAATATATAGATATATAATAATAATGACCCCACCTTAGGTTTATACTGAACTTTGCAGTTTGCTAAACTCTTTTATAGATAATATCACATTTTGTTCTTATAAGTCTAAAAGACTAAAAAAATTGTCTTACACACACACACACACACACACACACACACACACACACACAGGCTTACTTTAAAATTAAGAACGATAGTACATGTTCCATAGTAACTACTGACAACTAAGCTCTTTCCATATGCTGTTGTGATGCTTAATTTATGTGTCAACTTGGAGGGCATTTTGGATGAAATTAGCATTTAAATTGGTAAACTTTGACTAAACAGACTGTCCTCCATAATGTGGCTAGGGCTCATCTAATCAGGTGAAGGTCTGAAAAGGGCAAAAATATCA
Organism: Homo sapiens; assembly: GCF_000001405.40. NCBI lineage: Eukaryota > Metazoa > Chordata > Mammalia > Primates > Hominidae > Homo > Homo sapiens. The sequence goes on from NC_000004.12 coordinate 65,236,641, forward strand.
GTCTCCCAAAGCAACAGGGAATTGTCCAGAAGACAGTCTTTGGACATCACCCTTGCCATCAGTTTTCCAGAGTCTCCAGCCGGCCAGTCTTTGAACTAGAACTGAAAAATGGGCTTTTCTTGGTCCTTGACCTGCCAGCCCACACTGTAGATTTTAGAATTGTCAACTTCAATTTATTTTTAAAAATATCTATCTATCTATCTATCTGTCTATCTATCTATCTATCTATCTATCTATCTATCTATCTACCTACGTATCTATCTATCTGTACATACATACACATCCTAATGGTTGTTTCTCTGGAAAACACTGACTAGTACACCTGCTCTCTCATTAGTACACATTCCAAACATGATGCATATGTATTATGTGCATATGTGCATATATGTGTTTATGTACATGTTTGAATTTGTGTGTACATGTACATACACATACATGCATACAGAACTAGAGATAGAGATAGAAATAGAGATATATCCAGGGACACTTGAATAAGCCTGCATCTAGTGGACTGAGGGATTTGAGGCCTTTTCCATGTAACAATACTTTATCATCTATGAATATTTGAAATTGGTAAATTATTACAAGAAGAGCCTATTAGAGCCAGGCTTAAGCCATTCCATTCCTATGATGCAATTTAATTCAGTTATAACAAGAAAATATAATACAATGTTCTTTTGTCTCTGTTTCCCCTATTTTGAGAAATTCTTTCTTGCTTGTCACCTTGTGATATCTCTGAGGGTGAATAGACAATCTGGTTCTTTAGTGATGCAAATGAGAATGAAAGAATTGTAATTAGGTGCCATCACAGTCAATCATTGTAGGCTTAATGGAGGAAGGGAGACTATCTCAAGGAGGAGAAGTGACATATGTCCATAAAAACATGTCCCAGAATATGTCCCAGAATATGTCCCATATGTCCCAGAATATGTCCATAAAAACAAAAACCTTTTGTTCACCCCTTTTCAAACATGGTACCTGGAATCTAGGATTGGTAACTTAAAGTATTAAGAGAAAAGACTTAAGCATCAGAAGATTAGGAAAAAGGGTCAACAGCTATATTTATTATTCCATATTAGCTTTGGTAGAGGGAAAAAAAAATCTTCATAAAAAGTTACTTCTGACTGATCTTCCTCAGCTTCCTAATGTCTTGGAGTTCAAATTGACAAAAGACACTGATTTATTAATATAAACCTTGACAAGTTAAAAGATATTCTTCTTAATCTTGTCCCAAATTCCCCTAAGACAATATGACTATCTGAGTTCTAAAGATAAAATTTATGAGTTGGAAGGATTAAATTACTTGCCCCAGGTCATTCAGCTTCTAAATGGGCATGCACTGGTTTCCAATAGAATCTGATTCTGAATCCTTTTGACTGGAGCACACTTATCACTAAACCACCCACCCCTTGTCTCTCCCTGCTGGAATGTAAGTGCCATGGGGACAGGGAGTATTATGCGTATTGCTCACTATTAACTTTTCAGTACCCAGGATAGTGCCTGACATGAAGCAGGCACTCAATGAATATTTGTTAAATGGTATATATTTGGACCAGTTTGAAGTGCCTCACTAGTATTTTTTATTGTGTGTGTATATGCATATATACATATATGAGTAAACACTAAGTTAATAGAGTTTTTCTGTGTCTTTTATTGTATAATTTATCTCATCCATATTGTTCACTAGTAAATCAAATAAGCAAGCAAACAAAAATAATTTTTACTTTAAGCAAAATATTGTACCTTTAAAGTTCATGATTGATTCAGGATTTTAATTCTTCCTTTAATATCAGTCTTAGCCACAGGCCACTGCGAAGATCAAACCTAAAAAAAGTCATTTACTTTTGTCAAGATTCAGTCCTTAAGTATGTAAATATTTCATATAATATTTTATTGATATTAGAATAATTGGAATAACTTATTTATGTTCCAAATGAAGTCAATAATCTGTGATATTCACTGCTAGAAAGATAAAGATAAAATAAAGTAATTATGATAATGAAAATTTGAATACCTACAGTATTGTGTTAGATTTCTTCAGAGTTACAGAACCAACAGGATGTGTGTTGTTGTGTTGTGTGTGTGTGTGTTTGTATTATACACACATATATACATATATGTGTATATACACACATATATACATATGTGTGTATATACACACATATATACATATGTGTGTATATACACACATATATACACATATACATGTATAACATGTATAATATGCAACATGTATCTGTATATAATATATGCATACATGTTATATATGTATATAGGTATTATATATTATATAAAGAGAGACAGATAATATATACATACATATGTACAGAGAGTGTGAGAGAGATTTATTATAAAGAATGGACTCATGCAATTATGGAGGATGAGAAGCCCCATGTTCTGCAATTAGTGCACTGGAGACCCTGGAGGGCCAATAATGTATTCCCAATGTGAGTTTGAAGGCCTAAGAACCAGGAGGGTTGATGGTATCAGTTCTAGTCTGAGAACCAATGTTTTAGTTCAAGTCCAAAGACAGGAAAAATCTCTTGTTCTTGCTCAAGCAATCAGACAGAAAAAATACCCTCTTACTCATACGAGGTCAGCATTTTTGTTCCATTTTGTGCCTTATCTGATAACCTGAGGTTTACTTACATCAGAGAGGGCAATATGCTTTACTTAGTCTAACAATTAAAATATTAATTTCATGCAAAAGCACCCTCACAGACACACTGAAATAATGTTTGACCAAATGGGCACCCATAGTCCAGACAAGTTGAATCATAAAATTCATCATCACAGGCATCTTTTCTTCTAATCCACTACTAGAAATGCTCTTCGATAAATGCTTTACTCACAGAAGGTCTCTTTATTCCAATACTGCAGTGTTTTATCTCTGTGAAAAAACTACATTTCAGTTTAAGAACATTATTAAACTGTGGGTTTATGTTTAAATGTCAACCTTGAAATACATTGCATTTCAAAAGATCAATAGAGTTTTAATTTATTTTTGATAAATGTCTTTCATTGAAAGAAAAATAAGAAACTGTCAATGATCTGTTCTCATGTAGTTATTAATGTAGTAATTTTTTAATTGTTGTAGAGACTTAAGGAAGGAACACTTTCTCAGTCAGTATCACATTTTTGGATTAGTGTGTGTGTTTCCAAATTCTCGACAATCAATCCTGATCATTTTTTTTCTTAATGGCTAGATTGTTGAGCCATGGTTTATTTATTTACCTGAGCCACACAAAATCAGATATTCTAAACTTAAATGATGTATTACATACATTTATAAAATTGTCTTTCTAATTATTTTATTATCTGAAAAAATATAACTTTGTTTTCTCTTTGTGTGTAGCTGTGTGCTCGTGTGTGAGTGTGTGTGTGTGTGTGTGTGTAGAAGGGGAGTAATTTATGTGCTTAGAGAGATTTGTTGTTGTTGTTTTTTAATGTTTTTAGCTAAACAATACTGTTGTCTGACTTCAGTCTTTTTCAAGAGCAAAGAAATGTCAATCCATGAATCCAGAGAGATAGAGTTCAGGGACTTGTTTCTTCTGATAAACCTGCAGTTGACTCTCATGGTGTATTTGGAATAAATGGGTCAGATTAGTGAAATGTCATTTTTGTTGTTTCTATTTTGCAGTTTATAAACTTGGAATGCTCCAGAAGTTTAAGAGCCAAGAACAATGCTGGCATGATCATAAGGTCAATTACATCTTAACATTTGCCAAAAATAGAGTAGTGGCCTCAAAATAGTTTCATTTCAGAGAAAGGGATATAAAAAGAGTGGGTACCAATAATTATATAAAAGTATTATACTAATCTAAACCATGATCATCTGATGTCCCATTTCTATGGCTCCTGAGTTTTTCTCCAACTTGAATAAGCCTGAATCTAGTGACATATGCATTCTATGTGTTAACTAAATATCAAGGATCAATAACACTGGGTTTCCACTGAAGAGCCTTTAGGGCTACTAAGAATTTAAAGGTGAAACAGAGTCTGCCAGCACTCCTGCTCCAAACAGAAACATGTGCTGTCTTAACTATTTTAAATTCTGGGATTTGACCTCAACATTTTATTATGCAACCCTATTATACTGTCTAAAAATAATATTTTCAAGCCAGTGACTCTCCAGCAAGTCTGTGTAACTACCACCACCACCATCATCAAGGTTAATTACAATATTTCCCAAGACTCTTCCAAAATCTTTACATATATTATACATTTGTGGCAAAGGTTAAATGTATATATGAGGAAAATAATACATTAACTGAAAAGTATATAAACATTATATCTAATGCTATCCAAAAAGGTTGCTCTAGAAATCTAAAAATTACTTTACTTTGGCTCAACTTACTTTATTTCCAACCAGATTAACAAGACTTATGACTCCATTAACACTGAATCGAAAATGATTCACTGTGGTGACCTTTCTAAGCTGAAAAGAGGACTATAGCATCTTGAATAGTCAACGCCTATATTGTAATTTAAAGGCTAAACAATACGTAAACTAGATTTTAAAGTGTAAATGCCATCCTTACCGTGTCACTTTTTCAGTTGGAAACCTCTGCGGCTGGTGGTGCCTTTGCCTGAGTTTTACACGGGCCCGCTGGCCTCTTCTGCTCACTCGCCCCAGCAGGCTGTATTTGGCTCATAATACTGACCTGGATCCCACACCTGCCAAGGGCGAGCCTGGTGAGGAGTAGCAAGGGGTGTGTTAATAAGCATGGGGTCTGGCCACTGCACACAGCCATGCGTGCTTGCTGCCACTGGGCAGGCAGCTCCAGGCGCCAGCACAGGCGTGGGTTCCGTGTGAGACTGGCTGGACCAGGCGTTACCACAAATGGCTTCCACTGCAGGCACTGGGAAATACGATGGCACCCGGAAGCTTGGAGACACCAGAAACTGCGGAGCCCCAAAGAGGGTGTCACAGCCCTGGCTCAGGAGTCTCTAGGTCTGGGATTCCTGAAGGGCCACAGCAGTTCGTTTCTCCTCGTCGCCCACAAAGTGGCGAGCGGTGGGCATGTTTCAGCCCTGTTTGTGTTACCGCTCTTTCAGTCCCACCATTCACTGGGTCCCAGGGTCTTGTTCCACGACAAGAATGAGGTACACGGACAAGTGGAGGGTGAGCAAGGCAGAGAGGAGCTTCATTGACAGAACGGCTGCAGAGGACCGGAAGTGGACAGCTCCTTTCCGCAGGCGGGTTGTCCCAATGAGTGTCCACCTCAGCAGAGAGGAGACCCGTAGTGGGTGGTTCCGCTCACATGCAAGTTGTCGTGATGAGTGCAGCTCTCAGTGGAGCGGAGAACCAGAATGGGTAGCTCCTTTCCACAGGCAAGTCATCCTGATGTCTATGTGAGTTTGGCTGGTTTCGGGGATTTTACGGTCTCAGAAGGGAGAAAGTACGTGCTGATTCATCCATGGGCAGCCATGGGCAGGCTGGTAAAAAGCACCATGAGTTCCCACTCCACCTGGATCTGACAGCCCGGCCACCAGGCTTCAGGCCGTCTCTACCTTGAAGGTGGGGCTTCACGTGGGACTAATCCCTTTCCACCCAGGAACCTGTTTGCCTCCCGCCATCAACATGCAGTCCACAGTGCCCAGGCTGTTCTTACCAAGCAGTGGCCTTTGCCAAGCTGACTTCAGCCCCTCCTCAGCCTCCATCCCATGTTCGTCGGTGCCCGAAGTCCAGAGGGGGCTGAGGTGGCAGAAGGCTGGCATTTCAGTGTCACCCTGAGCGTGCGCACACACACCCGGTCTGGTTGCAACAGCACCCAGGCTTTGCCACAACTTTGATCCTCACCAGAGTGGGCGCCAGGAGTGGGGTGAGGTCAGGCAATGGGAGCAGGAACTTTCAAGCCTGCGGTGGCAAGGAGCTTCCTGGGCCCCTGACAATACAGGGATGCTCGGATCTGAAGCTACAGCTGGGCAGCTGTAGCTGCGCCCAAGACCACAGGGCTCCCACTCTGCCAGCTCTGTAGGGGGATGGGCTCCTGCCTGTTCCCAGTTCCTACCGCCCTGAGGAGTGTGTCACCCGGGCCGCACTTCCTCCCCTGCAGCTGGCGTCTTTGCAGTGGCTGTTCCAGACCAGCTACCATTGCCATCAAAAACATGTGGTTGAGTATGAAAGAAAGCAGAGATTAAGAAGATGGATTATTTTCTGGTCTTATTCTTTTCAATACACAGTTGACCCTAGAGCAATGCTGGTGTTATGGGTGCTGACTTCCATGCAGCTGAAAATCTGAGCATAACCACTGACTGCTTAAAAAGTTAAATAGTAGAAGCCCACTGCTGACTGGAAGCCTCACCCATATCACAAAGATTCAATTAACACCTACTGTATTCTAACAATAAAGTAAGCTAGAGACAAAAAAACGTTATTAAGAAACTCAGAAGGAAGAAAAAACATATTTACTATTCATTAAGTGAAAGAGGGACATCCTTTCTGTCTTCAGGTTGAGTAAGCTGAGGAGAAGGAGGAAGAAGAAGGGGGGTTGGTTTTTCTGTCTCAGGGGTGGCAACGGCAAAAGAAAACTTACTTATAATTGGACTCATGCAGTTCACACTTAGCTGTTGAAGTGCTGACTGCATTTTACAATATTAATAATTATACTTGATTATAAAATTTTAGAGGTAAGATATACTACCAACTGAAAATGTAGTTATAATTACAGAATAACCATATTAGTAACTGTTGCTTCATTTTTGACCATGTAAGATGTGAAAAATATGCACTACTGAGGAAAAGGCAGAACAAATTTTAGTAATTGATTTCCCTAAGAATTCCTAAATGGTGATGAACATGAACTGTGATGGTTTCCACCTTTAATGTGGGTGGGCACTATCCAGCCTGCTGGGGGTCTGGAGAAAAAAAACAAACCTGTCTATCTGTTAGAACTGAGATGCACTCTTTTTCTGCTGTCCTTGGACAGCAACTCCAGACTCCATGGCCTTTTTATTCTTTTTTTTTTTTTTTCTTGAGACAGAGTCTCGCCCTGTCGCCCAGACTGGAGTGCAATGGCGTAATCTCGGCTCACTGCAATCTCCATCTCCCTGATTTAAATGATTGTCCTGGCTCAGCCTCCTGAGTAGTTGGGATTACAGGCACCTGCCACCATGCCTAGCTAATTTTTATATTTTTAGTAGAAACGGGGCTTCACCATGTTGGCCAGGCTGGCCTTGAACCCCTGACCTCGTGATCTGCCCACCTCGGCCTCCCAAAGTGCTGGGATTCCAGGAGTGAATCATCATGCCCGGCCTTGCCTTTATATTCCAAGACTTACACAAGTACCAAGTCTCTCCTGGATGTTCACACCTTTGGCTTTGGACTGAGAGTTACATCTTCAACTTCTTTCGTTCTGAGGACTTTGGACTTGGACTGAGCTACACTACCAGCATCTCATCCTCCACCTTGCAGGAAATCTGTTGCAGGTCTTCTCAACCACCATAATCAGGTGAGCCAATCCCTCTAGTAAATTCCCTCTCATTTATGTATGTATGTATGCGTGCATGTATGTATGTATGTATGCGTGCATTTATGTATGTATGCATCTATCTATCTACCTACCTATCTATCTGTTATTAATTCCATCTCTCTAGAGATCCCTGACCAATACATGGACAAAATGTGACTTCAACTGAAAGCCAAAAATAGCAAATGGAGTTTGATATGCCACCTTGCCTGTCAAAGTGTGATACAGAGTCCAGTAGCATCAACATCTCCAGGGAGGTTTTCATAGATTCAGTATCTTAGGCCCCACTACAAAATCAGGATCTGCATTTTCTCAAGATCCTCAGATAAATTGCGGAAACATTCATGGATAAGAAGCACTAATATAAGGAATGTATTCAATGTGGGTTCAAAAACATTGATGAGAAAGATGAAATTCTTGGATTTTTATCTTATTTTATTCAATTACTATCAAGTTATCTAATTTTTAGAGATCAAAAGATAGCTTTATAACGCCCCTTCTATTTTTCTTAGGATGATCAAAGGGATTATGAAGAAAATGCCTTGGAAAAGTTGAAAGTAATCTATTTATATAATGAATAAATTATTGTTATTTTGGGATAAAATCTATTGCTTTTATTTAAACTTGGAACTTTGCTTCAAATAATTCACAATAATATTTGATTTGGAAAGAAGTTAAATTTATGAAATATTGAGAAAAACTTCAAAAGAGATTTTTACTGAATAATGAATTAATAATTCTAAAACTTTTCTATAAGCAGAATCTTACTTTTTTATTCTAGATAATGCTCTATATGCAAGAAGTGGGAAATTACATAAGCTAATTTGAAAATAAGTTTATGCTCTAACCATCCCTGGTCACAATGCCTTTTTTCTTTCCTTAATGGCAAACTAGGCTCGCCCGATTTGTACACCATGCTGTCTCAGGGCAGGGAGTGGTTTAGAGTTATTTCTGATTCAGTCACTTGTACCCTTATGTTGAACTAACATATATTGAGATCATAAAGATAAAGAATACTTAGTTAAGTACACTGTTCACTGAGTCCTCCTAAGGTGGCTCACATGGGCCAAGTCGGGGAATGTAATGGGTTTCTGTACATTTTATCAAAATGCCCTGTCTCTTTTCTACCTGATCCTACTGGACAAAAGGTGTAGGTATGAGTAGAAGACGATTCAACAACAACAACAACAAAAAGGCAAAGTTACAACTCTTGGAAATAGAGGCACCAATTTTGTGGAAAGCAACAATCATAGCACCTGGAGAGAAAATACCTTAGACTCCTGGAGATATGAGGAGGGGAAAACGTTAATGATCTTTTTTCTTTCAGAACTACCCTGGAAGCTCCCTCAAAGAATACATCCTGGTTTGACTATCCTAAACTGTTGGAAGTGCATTAAATTGTAAATGACTGCTGAATGTCATTCCTTGCCAGTTGCTTCTGACCATGATTTGATAGATATTCCACCTCATCTTAGACATCTATTAGAAACAGTAGACCATGATCCTATTTCTTACATCTCCGTGTAAAATAGCTGTTGGACTCTCTGAGTATCTACCCCATCTGCATTACCACGACAGTCACTCGGTCATTCCAAGGATAGACAAATGTTGTCCAGTGAGTGTCTGGATAACACAGGGTAGATTGATGGCCTTTAGGCAGTTTTTTTTTTTTTTTAAATCAAGCACTAAATGTAATTATTCTAACTTAATTGGAAACTCTAAGGTTTACCAGCCAGAGAGAGGCCATGTTCACTGTGCCATCAACTAGTACTTCCTGAGTGATGTAGGTATACTCGGTAGATCTCCAACATAATTAACTTTCCCTTTAGGGACACCATATACATCCCTGCGGCTGTACTTACGGGAAGCCAGAAATTAAGTTGCTTCCCTCCCAGAAACATGGTAATTGCACCTAAGGGGTGATAGCGTGATAGTGAAAGACTTTTAATTGTTTAAGAAAACACGACAGTAGATTATGTAGCCTTCAAATAAATGCTTAGATAGCTAAAAAATGAGGTTATGCTTGGTTACTTGGTGCATTTGGCTGAATGATGACCCCCCTTCCCCAAATATATATCCATATTCTGATACTTAGAGCCTGTGAATGCCACATTATTTTCTGATAAAACGGGTCTTGGCAGATGCTTGAGATAAGGATATCATTTGTATTATCTATGTGAGCCCTAAATGATTAATGACAAGGGTTCTTATAAAAGAGAGGTGGAAAAATATTCGAGAGACAGAAAGGAGAAGGTAATGTGACCACAGAGACAGAGATAGCGGTGAGTCCACTGCAAGCCAAAGAAAAACTGGAACTTTCAAAAGCTGGAAGAGGCAAGAAACAGATTATTCCCTAGAGCATGTGGAGGAAGCATTTTCCTACCAACAAATTGACTTTGGACTTTTGCTTTTAGGAACTGTAAGATAATACATTTTTGTTGCTTTAAGCTGCAAAATATAGCAGCCAGAGAAAATGAATACATTTGAGAAAGCTTCCCAGAAAATAAATGACTCATAAATTTCGTTTCTTACATAAAGTTATCTCAAAGAAGGAAGTAATTTAATTAGAAAGTTCATATGAAATTTGTTACTGGCTTTAGCAAAGTAATTAATGACACAACCTTGGCTCCTGGAGGTATTCAGGTCATCCCCTACTCTCTGGGCAAAGATGTCATGGATGATAGGTTTGCTCTAACTTCCTCCTTGCAAACCAAGACAGTGGCTAGAAAATTGCTAATGCATCTTGCTGCACCAGGAGTGATGCCTTCTGCTAAGTAGAAAGATCCCAATATAATTAATAAACCTAAGTAGAAAGCCACTTGGCTTTCTAGGGTAGATACTGATGGTTTCTGGGTTTGTTCACCAGATTGGATTCTGGACCCTGAGGTACATACTAAAATCAATATGGCAGGAATCTTGTTGATAATAGTCTTGATTAAACACTGAATGGACAAACTGAACAAATTTGGTCCCAGCTTCTGTTTTCAGATTAATCAGAGTGGTCAATGGAATAGTGTACTCATGGGAAAAGTCACTGGAAGTCAAGATGGTACAGCAACAAGGTGGGTTTATTGTTAAGAGACAATTTATCCATGGGCCTTTCATGTTTCTGAATGTCTTACAGACAGAGGCATTGGCTTCTTTTTTTCTGAAAAACTTTTCAGGAATATTTTTAGAACAAAATATTTCATAAAGGAGAAATAGTTTATCCCTTTAGACTAGAAAGGATGTTGGTTTACCATTCAGTATAAGAAAGGTAAGGTGTCCTTCTGGGAAAAGGCTTACTGCCATTATAAAATATTCAAGTTCTCGAAATAAGGGATTTTTCTCTTGTAATGCCCCCGCCACCCCACCACTGCATATGCAAGTACCATCTGGCCCTCTTTGCACTGTATTGTGGTGATTGTGGCTCAGCAAACTGGAGCAAATGCTACTGTTGTGAGTAATAAAATTATTTGTTTCTGATCCAGGAGCCTCTTCTGCAAGCATAAATGAAACTGCGGCAAGCTAGCTTGTAAGCTTGCAAGTCAGGTAAAATTGAAGTTCCTCAGATCCTTCACTGTTCTTGCTACCGTACAGCAGTCCAAAAGGGATGAACTTCATTTATGCATATCATATCTCGTTAAGAAACTGCTAATAAAAAAAGTGATTGAAAACATCAAAAGGACAAATTTTTTAAACCTTTTTTTCTCTTTTTTCTGAAAATACAATTTACATCTGTTAGATATACCATTTTGATTAATATAAATCTTACTAAATTTAGTCCACTTGGGATGCTATTTTTTGCATGTTTGTGTCCTCTCCAAAATTCAAGTTAAAATTTAAGCCCTAATGCAATAGTATTAAGAGGAGGGGCCTTTAGAAGGAAATTAGGCCATGAGGGCTCTGCCCTCATAGATGGGATTAGTGCCTTATAAATGAGCGAAGGGAGAACTAGTTAGGCCTTTTTGCTCTTTCATCCTTTTCACCATGTGAGTAAGGACACAACATTAGTCTCTTCCAGAGGATACATCAACAAGGTACCATCTTGGAAGCAGAGACAGGACCCTCACCAGATACCAAACCTGCCGGTCCCTTGGTCTTAGACTTTCAGCCTCCAGAACTGTGAGAAATAAATTTCTGTTCTTTATAAATTATCTACTTTAAGGTATTTTGTCATAGCAGCACAAATGGACTAAGACATGGAGTGATTAAGTGTTACGGCAGAAGTATAGAGCAGGTTGTTTTCTCTGGAATTACATATGAGGGGCCAAGAGCAGTTATGTGGTGGCGTGTGGGAGGGAGGAAAGTGTCAATTGCTGAAAGCTTCCTGACTGTTGTTACAAAAATTTTACATATTGTGACACCATATCTTCTGGAGATATACAGAATCTAATCAGCCATCATTTAAAAATATATAAAATTTATGACAAGAATGTTAAAATAATGTATTATATACTAGAGTAACAAACATATTAGTTGAGTTCCATCAAGACATATAGCAACAGGAGGTTTGAGGGTTAGACTGTCACATGAATTATGAAGTATCCACTATAAGACTACTCTTTTTTGACTTGAAATCACTTATGGTTGTAGACATGGTAGAGGACATTTCATCATGGCAGTTAACACGTACAAAAACTGCACCAGAGATTTGTTCCTTAGCTTTTACAACCTGCCTTAAATTTCTGGCAAGTATGCAGCACAAATCATTGGAGGTGTTATCTTCAGAACTTTTATGAGACTTGTATTAATTTTATATTGCTTCTGTAACATATTATTACTAATTGAGTGGTTTAAACAAGAGAAAATTATTAACAGTATTTTATAGTTCTGCAGGTCAGTAGTACCACACAGGCCTCATGAAGCTCATATCAAACATTAGCAGGGCTGAATTTTTTTCTGTTGAGTTTCAGGGAGAATCCATTTCCATATGCATTCAGGTTGTTGGCAAAATTCTGTTTCTGTGATTATAAAACTGGGTTTCAGCTGAGGGACATTCCCAGCTTTTAGACACCTACAGTTTTTGGCTTGTGCCATCCTCCTATTTTTAAAGTCAGAAAAAGTGGATTGAGTCCTTCTCCTGTCATATCTTTCTAATCCTTCTTCTCTTGTTATATGTCTCTCTGACCCAGCCAGGAAAGCTTCTTCCTTCTAAGGATTTATGTGATTAGATTGGGTCAAACCAGAACATTTCAAAGTCCATACCCTTAATCACATCTGCAAAATCTCTGTTGCCATGGAAGATAAATATTCACAGGTTCCAGAGATTAGAGTGTGAACAAACAGGAGGAATGGGTGTCCTCTGTTTGTAGTCCTCTGCATAGCAGAGGACTACATAATTGTTCCTTGGTGGTTTTGTGTATGTTACTCACAGAAAGATTTAAAATTCAGTACAGAAATAACAAAATTGATTGCATACATAAGGACTGCTTTTATGTTAAGGAATATTCTATGAATATTTGGTATTATTAACATTTACTATACTTGAGAGAATTTAGCTTAATTGAGTAACAGCTCTTCTGAAAATATTTTATGCCATTTGTTATGTGTAATTATTATTATAAATTGAAATTTTAGTCAGGTTATATACTTTACTAGAGCACTTAAATGAACTTAATAGTAAAAATATTTATATGTTTAATTTGTTAGATTCACAAGTATTATTTAAGTACTTGAGTAGATTTATTAGCGTACTTAATAAGAAAACCAGATGTGTTCATATGTAAATGTAGTTTAAAATTTTAGCAAATTTATCTAAGTTTTTAGAATGAATATTAATCAAAAGACCACTTAAAGTAAGTGTTACTATTTTCTAGTTTTATAAATAGCACAGTAATATTTATAAGGTATAAATAAGCATTTAATTAAAATATGGAGTTTTAAGTTTAATAATTTAAATTAATAGAATAAAATGTAATTTTACATCAAAATAAATACCTGAGTATAATTTTCTGTGCATAGAATACACAGACACACACACAAACTGTTAACAAGTTAACATAAATATCATGTCTTAGATAGTTCCCCAAAATTATGTAGGAATTAGCCAGGCATAGGATAGGAAAGGGGAAGAAGGACAATGGACAAGTAGTAAAATTAAGTGTCAAGGAAAGAGAAAAATTGATGTTTTTCAAGTCAACGAGCCAACAGAATGCCTATGTAAAGACATCAACATATGAGACCATAAGGCACCCTTTAGCTTAAGCCATTGGGATCTCCTGTTTTTCAGTTAATATTAACAATCCATTATTGTGAGAAATCATAAAAGGGAAAACAAATCAGTCATAAATTAAACATTTCATTTTAATTTCAAATATATGCACGTGTTTATTCAGGACTTTGAGTATGGGATCTACAAGTTAAAAATTAATTTAATTTTTTTCATAAATTATACCCACACTTCATAATCTATGTTCCTCAATTTTGTTTTTGTTTTGAATGGAGCTGGAGAGTAAAGATAATCATAAGCTTGAAATTTCCCCTGTCTTTTATAGTTGTCCATTTCACTTAAATAACTCACATTTATCATTTTTCTGAAACATTTCATTTAGTTTTCATGGAAATAAGGCCTTTTCTCACACATGTTTCATTAATTTACTCAATAGTTAATTAAATTGAAATAGCAATAAGACACAGCTGCATAAAAATTTGAAAACAAAAATTATATACTATTGACAAGGATCAAGCTAACCAGAAAGGGACCTAAGTATTGATTTGTAAGTGAAATAATAATTCACATTGTAGATTCCGTTAGAAAGATTTATAGAGGGAATGAAGAACCTTAGTTGATATGGCATACAGGTAAGGAGGAGGCACGTTTCTAAAATAATTCCACTGTATTTGGTTATAATGCAGTGTAGAGTTTGGTGGAAAAAAAAAGAGTTCCCAAATTAGGCAAGAATTAGATAATTGAAGGCCTCATATGCCATAATATTAATAAATAGGATAGATTAGCCTTAGGGAAATGTCTTAGCATTACATGTTTTCTTACCTTTTATCATCTTGAGTTATTGCATCATCTAGCTCAGGGCCTTGCACACAATACATATTAAACAGTTGCTGTATGGATTTAAGTGAGGTGGTACTATCAGGAAAACTACTTGAACAGTGTTCCATGGTGTTTACGTAGGACATTTTCTTCATCCGGTCTATCATTGATGGACATTTAGGTTGATTCCATGTTTTTCTATTGTGAATAGTGCTGCAATGAACATAAGTGTGCATTAAAAAAAAGATCATGTTTCTTGCAGGGACATGGATGGAGCCATTATTCTTAGCAAACTAACAGAAACAGAAAACCAAATGCCACATGTTCTCACTTATAAGTGGTGGCTAACTGATGAGAACACATGGACACATAGAGAGGAGTAACACACTGGGGCCTTTCGGAGGGTGGAAGGTAGAAGGAGGGAGAGGATCAGGAAAAATAACTAATGGGTACTAGGCTTAATACCTAGTGATGAAATAATCTGTACAACAAAACCCCCTGTCATGTTTACCTATGCAACAAACCTGCACTTGCACCCTTGAACTTAAAAGTTAAAAAAAAGGACATTGAACAGTGGATGAGCACCTCAAAAAGAGTTAAATTATACTGAGGAGGCCAGGCGTGGTGGCTCATGCCTGTAATCCCAGCACTTTGGGAGGCCAAGGCAGGCACATTGCGAGGTCAGGTGATGGAGACCATCCTGGCCAACATGGTGAAACCCCGTCTCTACTAAAATACAAAAAATTAGCTGGGTGTGGTGGCGCATGCCTGTAGTCCCAGCTACTTGAGAGGCTGAGGCAAGAGAATGGCTTGAATCTGGCAGACAGAGGTTGCAGCGAGTTGAGATCACGCCACTGCATTCCAGCCTGGTGACAGAGCAAGACTCCATTAAAATAAATAAATAAATAAATAAATAAATAAAAATAAAAATAAATAAATAAATATAAAAAATTTATACTGAGGAAATTTGGGGGCCTATTAAAGTTAATAACAGTGTGTAATTTGTTGTAACTCACTAATTTGTGAACCTTTTTTTGTTCAAACACTCACACATTATTAAAATAATCTCTTTTCAAATGAAAGAAGTGGTATGAAGTTTACAAATTCCACAATCACTAATGCAATTGAAATAACTGATTCTTTTTTACAAGTCAATCTCAAAATTATCCAAATCATCTTCTTTCCTATTGATCTAACCTACTCGGGAGGCTTAGGCAGAAGAATAACTTGAACCCGGGAGGTCCAGATTGCAACGAGGCGAGATTGTGCCACTGCACTCCAGCCTGACGACAGAGCAAGACTCCATGTCAAAAATAAATAAATAAATAAAAGTTTTCTTTTATATCAAACAAGCCCTAAATCTCTGTAGCTTAATCACTCTCAGTACTTTGCATCCAATACATCTCATATGACATCTCATCATTATATCAAAATAAAATATCCATTCATCACACTGGTTTGAACATGTAAAAGTCAGTGAAAGATTGGAGAGATGAGGGAAGAGCAAACATAGAAAAATGAACAAAGAACAAATCTAAATGTCATTAGGCTAGTTGAGGTTTTTAATTTAGCCAAGGCGTTATCTCATTAGCAAGGTGTCTTTATACCCTGAAAATGTCTTCATTTCCTCTTTCTTTATTTTCTTCATTAGAAACAAATTACTCAGTTGGTTCTTTACATAAACAGCTAAGACCTGCAGTAATCAAGTCATAGATTTCTCGTGGTTTGTAACATGAGGACAGGAAGACTAAAGGACTGCTCAATTTCATCATGAATAGGGTCCCATAGAAATTATATGGTTTTATTTCTAGGAATTTTGACCACTCACTATATGGTAAAATGTTTTGTCTTTTCAGCTGCAATTCTTGATCAAAAAAATTTTAAAATATCAGTTGTATAGTTCATTTCAAACATGACCTTAGAAGTAACCTACTGCTGATTACTTAAAGCCAAATTTATACTCAAATATATTTTGTCCCCATGCATATCATTATGTTACAGTGTTGGTATAGTAATAAATAGGATACTTGTTTTAAGTTAATGGAATATTTTTATCTTAGTACTAGTTTTGTTATTTTTAATTATATGTAAGTTTCCAGATACACTTGATAGCACCATAATATTTTGAATTTGTTCTATTATTCAGAACAGGAAAATAACTTTTTGATAATATCTCCAAGATCCCTTAT
This sequence comes from Homo sapiens, assembly GCF_000001405.40. Lineage (NCBI taxonomy): Eukaryota > Metazoa > Chordata > Mammalia > Primates > Hominidae > Homo > Homo sapiens. Next base: position 65,253,272 of record NC_000004.12, read on the forward strand.
TATACACTCTAGAAGAATGTTGATTTCCAATTAAATGTTATACAAAATCTTGACTGGGAGTTCTGCGGATTGCCAAAATCTCCCCACTCCCACCCTGAACTTTCAGCTGGTAATGCTGCAAGAAATACAAACCATCAAATCCCACTAAACTTTAAAAAATGTTTTACATCACAGATTGACCTCTATTTTCCTTTTAAATAATAGCATTTCTTAGCCTTCACTCCTTATATTCTGGGCATAATTTATATGCAAATAGCCTCCTTCTTATAAACCTCGATCTCCCTCAAATGAGCTTACAGAAGATTGTAAATGTACTTTTGGCTTGCTGACAACAAACATATTTAGGAAAGAAAGACTGCAACTTACAAAAGCTTCCTTATAAAAGCTAAACTGATTTCAAGGCTTCTAAACTAATCAGAGAGAATTAGCAGGGAGGAGGGAAGGATGATGAGTGAGGAATGTGCAAAGTGTTAAAGAACATCATGGTGGTTTGCTTCCTCTCATGGCCTGACAGCCTCGATCAGCTAATTAGGAAACCTTTACCCAAACTAGTGTTAATTTGTTATTTAGCCCCCATGGGAAATTTTCACAGCTAGAAGTCACTTGTCTTATAATATGTAGAGATATTTAGTTTGAAAACAAGGAGAATCTAGAAAGATATGAGAGGATGAATGGAGGATATTTGTTATGAATTATCTATTACTTTATGCCATATCAACATTGATGTTAAGAATGAGAAGAGCCATTTTGTGTGCAGTATGCCAACCTGTGATCATTTGACATATAATGTGAATCATGGGCTGATTAAATCCATCTCCTATGCTAAGCATGAAGCTTAATTATATAAAAAATCACCCAAGTACAACTGGCTGCTTGGGCCTGACTGACAGGAACAGTATTTACTGTCAGGTTCCATCTAGGCCTGGCCCCTTCATTTCTTAAAGCCTTCATATATCAGACAGTGTGAATATTAGACCCCATCTTCTGGGATGGGACTTCTCAAATAATAATAGTGAAGTACTTTGCTTAATGATTTACTTACATTTTTGAAAGCTGGCTACAATGGGCACTGACAGTGGAAAAAGCAGTAGCCTGCTTGGAGGACTAATCTTTGATCATTACACAGAGAATCATGATTTATAGAGTAGTATTGATTTTTCCACATTAATCATTTTTTATTTCTAGGACAAAATGTCCTTTCACAAAATCCAAATATTTAGAGAACTTCAATATATTAAACAGCTCCAAAAATAAAATACTTCATTCAAATATATTTAAAACTTACAGATTTTATTTCCTTCAAATTAAAAGAAAAACCTTTAGACAAAAACAATTTTAAAATTCACTTTAATCTTTAAAAATATTAACAATAGGTTTAAAATAACTTGAAGAATTTCAGGTTAGAATAATGGCAGGAAAAGCTAATACATGTTGCCTACTTATTATATATAAGGCGTTATTCTAAGTACTTAGTAAATATTAAATCATTTAATCCTTACAACAACCACATGAGGTAGGTTTATTATCTCCATAATGAAAATTAGAAAATAGATTCTCAAAATTTTAAATAACTTGCCCAAAATCATATATAAGTAGGTGTTAGAAATTTGTTTCAAGTATACAGGCTTTAAAATTCCTCCAAGGTAGTATAACAGACATTGTATATAATTAGCATGATCATTCTTCATGTGTTCATTGCGTTTCCTAAGCTCTTTGAATCCATTTATTAGCAATTTATATAGTTCTTGCAGTTACTGCTCTAAGCATGAAACATGCCAAAAAATAATCAACTTTAGCAGACACTCCACTGTTGAACACCATATCCTTCATCTTAGAGTCTGAAGCCATTTGTAACTGAGGGGCTACTCTAATTGCCCTTGGCATTTCTCTCATCCTCTGCTTGTTTTGAATAAACTTTGGAACATAGGTGAGTACTCACTTTCTGTTTAGGAAGGCCTGAGATCATCATATATCAAAAAGCTAGAACCCTAAGAAAAATCTTAAATAAATTTTTGCTGAAATGTTGTCAATTCGGACATTGATTTCCAATTACTTTTTAAAGAAAAAATTCAGTCTTTTTCAGTGTAAGAATTGAAAGCAAAGATTTTCTGGCTAAAGGTAAAAATTATATTTCTATAAAACATAATACTTTTGCATTTAATTTTTAAAATATCAGCATAATACCCTATCTGCATTCAAAATGAGAAATAAAGGACATTAATTTATAACACAATAATAATTCTTTAGTTTAATTTCTACAACATGATTATGCTAGAAAACCTGATATAGTTGTTAAATGGTTGTACTGAGAAGGAAAATCCATACTAACATAACAGGTACAGATATGCACTGTCACCTATTGCATTGTATTTAAACTCAATTATCTCAAATATAATGTGCTGTGATGCTGGGGGTGATTTATTTTTCAAAAATAGTGAAGAACTATTGGTAACTTTCTGAACAAACTAAGTACAATTTTATCTCAAGAATACAACCTGAATGAAATAAATTGTAAATTCATTGTGTAATAAAGACAGGTAAAATTTTCCTTATCTTCATCTTCTAATCAGAGCTATATTCTAGACACAGGTAACAGATTTTTATATACATGAATCAATGACAAGACAGTTAAAAGTTGTAAGGTATACAAGAAAACACTTTCATGAGGGTATGACTGTTGGGTTTGTTGCAGTTTTTATAGCAGCTCTAGCTTCTGCTTTCTAAAAGCAAGTATCATCCCTTCCCCAATCATTTCACAAATGAAAATAAACCTGAAAATCTTTAGGATTACTACAGATCTATAGTAACACGAGTAAAGGCAGAGGAAATGAGTAGAGGTGCAAGTTGGTTGGCTAAGGTGTGGAGAGGAGCTAGTAGGATCAATTCTATTTTCCAACTGTGAGAATGGGGAGGACATATTGGAAGTTGAGGAGGAAAGAAAATCTCTGAGTAAGTGGCTGTAATGAATTAAAGAAATATTGTCTTAAATACTACAACAACTGAATACCACTGTGTGAAGACCACAGCATTTGTTTAAGAAACTTTGAGGCTTTCTGTTTATATATATCTTACAGTGTTTTTGTTTGTTTGTTTGAAATGTGTAAGCTTTGATTTAAACCGTTTACTTCAATATATTAATGATATAGTAAAAATATGTATTGAAAGGCAAATTAGTGTATTTTAATGTTATACCTGTCATTTTTTTTTCCTAGAATATATTCTTTGCATCTAACTGCCAGTGCCATTGTCAAAACTTATTTTTTAAATTGTTGTACATTTCTTATTAAACTAAGGGCTTAATTTTAAAGTATTATGTTGCGATCATATAGTGTATAAAATGTATAATTGCCAATTGATTGTAACTATTATTTATTTTTAAATAAAAGTATAAGAATGCTTTCTGATTCAAGAAATTTGTTATCAAACTGTTTCTTTATCCTCTTTTCTGATGTAGCATAAAAGTTGTCCCTGTTTGAGCTGTAACTGCCAGTAGATGACCAGTCACAAGTGAACCACTTCCCAGTTGCCAGTCTTTGCTCATATCAAACACTACTTACAAATGCTTAGTTTTTGTATCTAATCTCTCATTATTAAAATGGTTATAAAGTTTATTTTTACCAAAGAGGATGCTATTCATTATGACAAAGTATTGCATAATAACTTTGTTTTATAACAAAAAAAGGAAATGTTGTAAGATTGTTGAGAAGAGTTATAGGCTCAGATAATGCTAGCGATCCAAAAATTGAGATCAGTCTTATGACTTTATAACTTCTTGCTTGCCAAATTACCTACATGAGGTGGAATTAACCAGACTTGAGCAATCTGAGCTTGAGAAGAGGAGCGTTTAATGAAAGAACTATTTTTAAAAGTCTAAAGGAGGAAAACCATAAGGGAGAGTGAGAACAGGGCATCATTTTTTTCTCCTAATCTTGAAGGGGGCAAGAGGAGGAATGTACAGATTGGGAAAAAACTGTGTGAAGAAGCCGCCTGATAGAAGTGTTGATCTAGAAAATGCTAACCCATAGTAGCTTCACAGGGAGAATGCTTGAGGAATAAATATACCAAACCCACTCTTCTCTCTCTTTCTCTCAGATCTTCTATAACTGAGTCCCATTGACTGCATCCAATCAGAGGATAGTACAAGAAAATTGTTGATGTAGCCTGTGTTAATCACTATCTGGGACACAGAACAGAATGGAGAAGCATAGAGAGTAAATTTGAAGATGTGGGAGATGAGGGTCAGATTATGGGACACATGGGCTTCTCAGTAGATAAGAATTCAGGTTATGAGAGATGACCCAGGAGCCTAGGATTTTGTGTGACCTGCATAAACAGGGGAAGAAGGGTCTGATAGGATTAGTCTAAATGGTCTTGATAAGTTTTGATGGGGTAACTGTGAATGTAAGAGTTGAGAGGAAATAGGAATAGCAAACTCTCCAAGGATCATATGAACCTCTAGGGCCCTCAATTTGTTATACTTTGTGTATACTTTACATATATTTAGTTCCACAAAATTTTTGACTAATTTTAAATGTAAAAAGTGCATTTAATACTTAAGGAACATTTTAATAATAAAAATAAAATCTGTATTTATCACATTTTAATAAGTTGTGCTATGTTCCATGTACATTATATGAACTAATCATTTGATACTTCACACAAAACCATATAAAGTGTGAAATTCTATCATTCCCATTTTATAGTCATTGAAATTGAGGCAAAAAGAGATTAAGTAACTTGCCATGCTTACACAGGAAGTTAATGACAGAATGTAAACCCACCTTATATTGACTATTAAAAGCCTAACAAACATGCAAGAAAGAATTATATTAATTATCAGTTATGAAAATGATAATATTAGTAAGGAAAACATTCTGAATTATAAAATATTTTAAGAGTAATTTCAAAAATTACATTTTAAAATAATACATGTCACCTAAGACATTAATAGATTTATGTAATTTAATGAGTTAACTCATTAAAATATTAAATCAACCTATAAAAGTAATACACTAAGGTGGTTATGTGTACAAGATACAGAATTGAATTCCCTGGAGTTAAGTCCCTGTCAAGGAGGCCTTGGAAAATCTTCTCTAACTTCCAGAATTCTCGGCTGCGGAGTGGAAATGCTAATACAGTAGAATCAAACCTAAGGTGTTGCTATGAGAAATAAATGAGAAATGTAATGTAATACTCTTAAGAGACTGTTTGGCCCCTAGAAACTGCTCAATGCATGTTGTAATTAGTAATTTATTGTAATTCAAACCATTAGGAGTTTGGACTGGAGATGTACTGGAGAAAATGACAATGAGTCAGGAGTTTATATCTTCAAGGACTGAGGGGAAACTTATAATAATAATCTTGTCACAAGTGTACTCTCCCTTTAATAATTATTTGCTAAACCCACCAGTTTGAACATAGAATTGCTATTGGAGCTAAACAGAATTTTAATGAATATCAAACATAGCATTTTCTAAATTAGTTGGGTCTTTGTTAATGAAAATTTTGTGTGATCAGTTTGTGATCAGTTTGTTATCAAGTCTAATTGAATTAGATCATGATCTTTTGGAGGATGGTGAGATTACTGAACAATTGTCAGAGAAGATCATCACGGCAACTTAGAAAAGAAAAAGTTATAAGTAATTCATTTAAAAGTGGTTTAGAGTTGCTTACTATGTAATATATATACATATATGTATATACATTATTTATGTATATTTTTTCAAAGCTTGAGACTTAGTAAAAATAAAATAGTCTTCTATAGCAGTAAAATTGCCTATTTTCAAATTGAAGTTCTAGGAGAAGATTAATTTTATTAAAACTTCCACTTAATAGGAAATCACATGTGAAATATTCAGTTTCTTTATTTAGGGAACACTTTATTAATGCTTCCAACTTATTCCCAAAACATGTAGACCTTAATGTAGACAGTAATGTTACTTGGCCTTACCTACCTATGATCAGACCATTTTCAGTGACTTCTAGATCACAGGCTCCATGATAATGGTCCTTGATTTCTCTTTCTCTCCTCAGTGGTAGATGTTGTCAAGGCTTGAGCGTCATTACTCCCTGACGTTTCAAGAGCCAAATCGCTTTTTATTTTAATTGTAATTTAAATCTACTTACAAGTGTACAGAATGAATAATCAAAAGAACTCAATGGATTAGGATAATGTTTTTTGTTCCAGAAGCCTCTCTTATTAACATTTTGCCTTTTGTATTAACATCTGATTTTGCATTGCCATCTGAGTTCCCATTTTTATGTAAATAATGGCTGACCTCTGGCACTCAATGTGTTATTAAAAATGCACTCTTGGAAGCACATGTATTTACTAATTAGAACCACTCAGAGGCTTTGCAGGAACAGTAAAGAATAGCATTTGTGACAATTAAGTTTTACCACCTCTTACTGTTGCTGAAATTTTAAAATGTTATTTGTTCAACCAAAGTCTATTTTTCAAAATGATGTTTAAAACATATTTTGCCAAAGATGCTTGGAAAATAACTTAGTGAAATATTACTCTGTGGAGCTAAAAGATTCTGGGCGCAATAAATCTAATATAAATTTTAAATATGGCATTTTTCTACTAATGTTTATATGTAGAAGAACTTAGACATTGTTGCTGTGTGGAAGGCTTAAATTTTATTCCTATCAATAACATCAGTGAAAATTAATCTGCAAAGTAGATCTTGTAAGGTCATTCTTCAGAAGTTTCTAATTCCAATTTATTTTGAATTGATTTTTGCTTTAAAATATTTTTTAAATCACATTTTTTTTAAATTTTGAGCCCCACAGAAAAAATTACATTATTACTCTATTTACTTCTGTATTTGAACAGATTAAATATTAACAAGTTGGAATTTCTCTAACTTTTATAGATCATGCCTTGTGTTATTGAGAATACAATGTCTTAGGGCATCTTATTATTTTAATGATTTAGGTAGAGTGAACTACTTTTAAAATTCACGGGGTAATGTTAATAACCATTTATGGGTTTTTAAAATAGATGCTTAAAACATTTAGATTTGTTCTCTCTCTCGTCTGATCAAATAAACAATTCAGTTCATTATAATTACTCTTACATTCGGACATGTATGTGTGTGAGAGTGTGTGTAACAGTATTAAAATGTTAGCAAATTATATATTTATAATTAAAATGTAACATATTCTCAGATGTGAAAAAACAGAAAACACAGAAGATTTTAAAGGAAAAGTTGCCCACAAACCCACCACACAGACATAACTGCTTTTAACAATTTGTTACATAATCTTCCACACTTTCTTCTGTTTATAATTTTGTGTGTCTATATACCCAATGCCTCCATCTCAAAAAATAAGATCAAACTTCCACTTTTTATAATCTGGTTGTTTTGAACCAACATTATATGGTGACTATTTCATGAGTTAATAAAGAATTGTTATTATCTTTATGATGACAACGTTGCTTTATATTATGTTGAGATTTCATAATTTATTTAACCAAGCCTTTCTCAATTGACATGTTAGTTGATGTTGCTATTTTTACGCCATAAATAATAATGTGAAAAATATTTTTTGTACATCTTTGCACTTTTCCGATTATTTTTCTTTGCATAAATCACTGGAGGTGAAATTGCTAGGTCAAAGTGTATGCACATTTTTAATTTTTATGCATATTGGCTTTCAGTAAGGTCGAGCAAATTTTCACACTGGTCAATAGTATATGACGGTGGTTATTTCCATATGCCCTCACTAATCAAAGTGGGTTAAAGTGTCAATGAGGAGAAATGGTATCTCTAGCTTGCCTTTAATAAACATTACTGATGATTGCATGAATCTTTTCATATGTACAGTGAACTGACTTTTTAAAAATTACATTTATATTTAGTACATTTTTCTGTTATTTTTCTCAATATTTTTTATAGTAGTAGTTATTTGACATGGGAACTTTAACATTTTTATGAAATACTAAGTAAATTAATTTCTAAATTTTGGAATACAAATGACTATGCTCATCATTATTTTCAGGGAGTAATTTTATCCTTTTATTTACTGCTTCAGCTTACATTCAAGAAACAATAGATCCCTCTTCCACAAATAATTTAGCCTTGTATTACACTACTCTCTACAACAAAGGAAAATTATCCTAATCTGTATGTAAAATAATTACGGTAGAAATAAGGTACTTTAATATTTCCCCAGGACTAGAAACCTCCCTTACCACTTTAAATGAAACTTTTTCTCTTCTTCCCATTCCCAAGATCTCTTCGATATGAATACTGATTGGGCACAGGCAGCTCCAACCCATGTATATTTCATAGACATATTTTGTATTTCTTGAGAAATATTAAACCAATAGCTACTGAGAAGTTATTGCGCCTTTGCTCCTAAGAATATTTTATAATATTCTGGTACAACTTTCTTCCTTAAATAAAAGATAATTAAAGCCATTGGAATATTATTATTGTACTTATACCCAAACTTTTATTGATTTAAACTGAAAAGCAGAGAAGGTATTTCCTACATATAAGGTAAGTGAATGCTGTTGTCTAAGAACAAGAGATTTTTAAATAATGACCATTATTTTAAATGTATTCGTGAATTTTTTAAAAAATATAATTTTAAAGTAAATATTAAAATGCAAGATGTAAAAGAAACTGCAGCAAGGAACAGGGAGATTTTTCCCAGAAAGATTACTGACTTTATATGGATAATACTCAGGCAAACCTCGATCAAGGAAGAAATAATAAAATAAGATCATATAGTTCTGCTCAACCATTTTCATGTAATTTAATTGAAATCACATAATTCTTACATTTCTGATTTCTTCAATATGTAAATGAGAAAACTTGTGATTGAATCAGGCACAATAAGGCAGATTCATAGGAACTGTCAATCAAGTGCAAACATATAATAAAAACTTATTTAGACATCCTAAAACTCAAAAAAAAAAAAAAAAGAAAACCCTCACATCTATAATTTCTTACAAAACCTATGGTAAGCGTACTTCTGGAATTGAAGGAATAAACCAAGTAAAAGAAAATCATAGGAAGTAAGAAACAGAAAACTCAACAGAGAAAAATGGTGATGTCGTATCCTAAGATGATACAGATGCCACAGACCCTGAGAATAGTCAGGTCAGAATGGAGGGGAAGAAAGAAGAATGGCAAGGGAGGATAAAAAGGTGAAACTGGTAGACTATCTGACGGAGTTTCCCTTTGAGAAACAGTAGATATCCAAGACAGCATGTGGAAACGAAGTAACAGCAAGTCTACAGACAACTAAACAATTTAAAAAATAAAATAACCCATAACTTCTAGAAAAATGCAAATACATAAAAAAGGAAATATAATTATATATAATACATTTACTTGGTCCTTCAGTGAACATTTATTATGGATCATTTTAAAAAACATAATTGCTGGTTTAATTAAATAGCAAGACAATTATATTGAGAGAATGAGAAAAGGGAGAAATCAAGGTATGGGGCTTAGGGTAGGGGTCAAAAGTAAGTCCTCACCCATCATAACAACTGGTAAATAGAAATGTTACAACTAGTAAATAAAAAACAGCAATAGACCATAATATTTAGAAACATAACATAAATAGTACAAGAAATATCTGGAAGAATTAAAAACAATCAACTATACGGAGCAGAATGTAACAAAAAATGGGTTGGAGCATAACTGTTTGCTCTTATGAAGCTTTTTATAGTATCTGATAATTAAAAATCTTATCTATGCATGATCTTAATAAAAATAATTAATTAAGATAATTTTTTCAAAAGAAAAGATTTTAAACATTATCTCAATATATCAAATATCACAAGTTTGCTGCTGTTCAACTATTTTAATGCTGTGTGTATTTGTAAGAAATGTTCCACTGACATGTAAAATTGGCTAATGCAAGTATTATTCTTATGCCAAATATTAATGTTTTCTGATTTTTTTTCCTGTTAGCCTTTAAAACCCCAATTCCCATAACTAGCAGTTTATTAGTTCATTCTTTTCCCCATCATTTTTATCTTAAGGCAGTTTTGAAGGTAATGTGATTTTAAGCTTCTAGAAAAACTAATTACAGAAGAGATGGCATGGCTTCAAAAAGATGTTGCCCAGCACTCACATCACAAAACCAGCTTTGTTTTCCTTAGCACCAGCAGCTATTATTATCTTTTTCTCCTATTTTGACTGTCTTTTACTTTTTCCTTTTAAACTGAGTTAATCAAAGTCAAGGTGCTCTCACTTGCTATATAAAGCCATATAGTACAAATCTAAGAACAATTATTTACAACCCTGAGAAGCACATCAATCAAGAAGTGTGCAGAAAGAGAAGACAATGTAATTAGACAATAGATCTATTACCTTATTGTTGAAAAAATAAAAGTAAATCATCCTATTTTTTTCTATTTGTGCTGTGTTTAAATATGTTAATATAAGAAATAATATTTTCTTTTACAAGATAATGTTAAATCATCTTTTGCAAAAATAGACAAAATAGAACAAATTGGTGACATTCCTTATAAAAGGAAATAAACAAAAGGACCATAGTATTTTTGTGTGTGAAATATAATAAAGCTTTGCTGATGGTAATTGGAATTGAGATGTTGAAACTTTTAGATTAAAAAAATTGCATGTTTGTAAATATATTTTTTTAGAAAATTTTAAATTATTAAAGATTAAAATGAAAGATAGTGGGCCAGGTGCAGTGGCTCATGCCTGTTATCCCAGTGCTTTGGGTGGCCAAGACAGGCAGATCTCTTGAGGTCAGGAATTTGAGACCAGCCTGGCCAACATAGTGAAACCCTGTCTCTACTAAAAACACAAAATTAGCCAGATGTGATGGTGCACTCCTGTAATCCCAGCTACTCAGGAAGCTGAGGCAGGAGAATCACTTGAAGCCAGGAGGCAGAGGTTGCGGTGAGCTGAGATTGCACCATTGCACTCCAGCCTGGACAAAAAGAGTGAAACTCTGTCAAAAAAGAAAAAAAAAAAAAGATAGTGAATACAATATTAAAAATCAACAAAAGATGAGTCAGTACATTAAAAAATTCAGTTTTTTGATCAAGTAAAAAGGTTATCTTAGATTTCTAATATTGTTACAGTATATACAGCACAGCTCCAGGCAGAATGATAGACAAGATTACCTTGAATCCTTTACAGGCATATGATTCTAAAGCATTTGAGCACAGATAGTTGAGCTGAAACAACATCTGTATAAATGAGCTGCTTGCTTTTGTGATTATTGAACGTAAGATTTTTATTATATGAATAAGATTAATGGATTGATTTATCAAAGCATAGCAGTATAACTGCTTCAGATTAAACTAGCTTGTATAGTATTCACTACAGAAAGAGGAATGCTCTAAATCTACTTACAAGTCAGCATTACTAACCTAAATCTAAATTATTCATTACACTCAATGTTAACTTTCGGATGGTCTCTAAGAATATTTGAAATAAGCTTTTTACAGAAACTAATTTTTTTCCAACGTGAGTCTTAATTTCAAGAATTTTTAAACAATTGTGACTTCAAGCATCACATTATTATTTTAAGCTAATAAAAATTAAATATTTTATTGAAAGAACATGTGTGCTATTCAAGGTTTTAAAAAACATCTATAGATTCAATTCTGGCATCCATGTGAATAATTAGTTAAGTTGCATTTTAATTCTTGGCCCACCTCTCTGTCACTCTTAATTCCAAATATTTAATAAATATTTTTACTTTGATGCAAAATTATGTTATCAAATTTACTTTAAGTACTTTTGCATATAAGCCTTTCTACTCTGTTTTCTGATTTCTAACCTTGGGCCAAATCCTATTAACCTATTCTTTAAGTATTTCAACAACATCTTTGCCTTCAAATCCCCCTCTTGTTTTCCATTCTGCTTATCACAACTACATTTATCTTATTAAAGATTTTTCTGATCATGTTGCCTGTGATAGTAAATTTTGTTTCAACTTGGTTGGGCCATGGGGGCAAAATATTTGATTAATATTATTCTGAATGTCTCTGTAGTGATGTTTGGATTAGATTAACATTTAAATCAGCAAACACTGAGTAGAGCAGATTACCCTCCATCATTTGGGTGGGGTTCATCCAAACAGTTGAAGGCCTTCATAGTACAAAGAGTGGCCTCTGCTGAGTGAGAGAAAATCCTTCCAGGTGACTGCCTTTAACTTAAACTTTAACTCTTCCCTCAGTCACTTAGCTTTTGTGTCAGTGGAAGACAGGGATGTTGTTCAGAGCTTGTGTCAGGCCCTTATACCTGAATCAAAGTGCAGGCCCTTAGGATTTTATAACAAAGCCCCACCATCCTCAGCAGATTACTATTCTCCTTTTGAAAAACAGTTTTTGGCCTGCTACTGGGCCTCAGTAGAAACTAAGTTCTTAGACATGGGCCACCAAGATTCCATGTGACATGAGCAGCCCATCATGAACTGCTATTATCTGACTCCAATAAGTCATAATATTGGGCATGCATAGAAGTATGACATCATCAAATGGAAGTGAGAATATAAAATCTGGCCCAAGCTTGTACTGAAGGCACAAGTAGTTACATGAACAAGTGGCCCAATGCTCATGAATCCCATTTCTGCTACACTGGCTTCTCTCTCCCAGCTTACACCTATGGCCTCATGAGGAGTTCCCCATGATCTGTTGACAGATGAAGAGAAGAGTCAGGCTTGAATTACAGATGGTTCTGTACAATATTTTAGGGATCACATGAAAGTGGACAACAGTAGTAGTGCCCTTTCTTAGACATTCCTAGACGTCAATGGAGAAGGAAAATTCTCCCTGTAGGCAGAACTTCAATCAATGCACCTAATGTTCATTTTGCTTAAAGGAAGAAATGGTCACATGTGTTATTATATACTGATTCATGGGCTGTAACTAATGGTTTGACTAGATAATCAGAGGCTTGGAAAGAGCATGACTGAAAAATTGGTGACAAGAAAGTCTGGAGAAGAGGTATGTAGGTAGATCTCTATAAATGGGCAAAAGGCATAAAGATATTTGTGTGCTATGTGAATACTTACCAAGAGTTACTTCAACAAAGGAAGACTTTAATAATCAAATGGATAGGATGACTTGTTTTTTTGGATACTAGTCCACCTCATCCCCCCACCACCCTTTGTCCAATGGGACAATAAACAAAGTAGCCATGGTAGCATGGATAGAGGTTATGCATGGGCTCAGCAACACAAGCTTCCACTCATCAAGGTTTACCTGGTTACAGCCACCGCTTTGTGCCCAGTCAGCTAACAACAGAGACCAGCACGGAACCCCAGTATGGCTCCATTCTTCAGGATGATCAGCCAGCTACCTAGTGGCAAGTTAATTACATTGAACCACTTTGATCATGAAAAAGGGAGTGTTTTGTACTTACTGGAATAGACACCCTGAATATGGATTTGCCTTCCCTGCATGCAATGTTTCTGCCAAAACTACCATTAGTGGACTCACAGATGCCTTATCCACCATATGGTATTCCACTCAGCATTAATTCTGACCAAAGAACTTATTTCACAGCAAATGGGATGTGACAATGGGCCATTCTAATGGAATTTACCATCCTGAAGCAGCTGGTGATAGTACAATGATATGATTTTCTGAAGACTCAGTTACAGTACCTGCTAGGTACTGTATAGTACAATGAAATGATTTTCTGAAGACTCAGTTACAGTACCTGCTAGGTAGCAATTCCTTACAGAACTTGAAGAATCTTCTTGAGGAGGCTGTATATGCTCTGAATCAGTGTCTAATAAATGGTGCCATTTCTCCCATAGCCAGAATTCATGGGCCCAGAAATCAAGAGGGTGGAAATGGAAGTGGCATTACTTGCTATTTCCCCTAATGACTCACCAGCAACATTTCTGCTTCCTGTTTATATAAACTTATGTTCTGCTGGTCTAGAGGCTTTACTTCCAAAGGGATGAATTCTTCATAAAGGGGCACAATAATGATTTCATTGAATTAGAAGTTGAGACTGCCACCAGGCCCCATCAGGGCTTCTCACACCTCTAAATTAACAGGAAAGAAAGAGTTGCTATTCTTCCAGGAGTGATTGATCCTGACTACCAATGAGAATTTGGACTGCTATTCCACAGTGAAGGTAAGGAAGAGGATGTCTGGAAAACAGGAGATTCCTTACGGCATGATTTAATATGACCTTACCTGTGACTAAAGTCAATGGACAACTAAAACAACTAAGTCCAGTCAGGAATACTAACAACCTAGATCCTTCAGGAATTAAGGTTTGGGTCATCCCACCAGGTGAAGAACCACAACCAACTGAGGTGCTTGATAAACGTGAAGGAACTAATGCATTGTGGAATAAGATTGTTAGGAATACCAGCTAGAGCCTTGTGATAGCTGTATTACAGAAAAGAGGGCTATAATAATTATGAGTATTTCTTCCTTATTTTGTTATAAAAATAATAAAATTTTGAGATTAAGTATATTTAAAGAAATATGTATGAGTGCCAAGTTGACAAAAGGTGGACTTGTGACGATTAATTTTTGTGTCAACTTGGCTGCACACGAATGCCCAGATATTTAGTCAAACATTATTCTGGATATTTCTGTGAAGGTGTTTCTAGATCAGATTAACATTTACATCAGTGGACTTTGAAGTAGACTACCCTCCATAATGTGGTTGGGCCTTATCTAATCAGCTGAAGGATTTAATAGTAAAAAGATTGATTTCTGCTGATCAAGAAGGAATTCTGACACTGGACTGCCTTTTGACTCAAACTGCAATTCTTCCTGGTTTTCCAGCTTGCTAGCCTATCCCATCAGGTTTTGGACTAACCACTCCTGCAAAATTGTGTGAGCAAATTCTTAAAAACCAAACAAAACATCCTGCTGGTTCTGTTTCTCTGGAAAATACTGAATAATTTATCATCCCAACAATTAAACATTTAAAAATCTTCATATTTGTAACACATACAGTTTGATGTCTCTATCCAGTTACTGCATACCTTCTGTAATATGAAACAATGCTATGTTTTTATTCTCGTTTGTTGTTTCTGTCCTGAATCTTATTATGCAGTCAGTATACTACCATCAATCTCTAAGTATATATTATGATTCTACTTCCATGAATTGATAAAGGAAGTTTCTCTAACTGAATTTTGCCCCTTCCTACTCCATCCTAGCATATAATACACAAATCTATTTTTCAAGGCCAAATTAAAAAGCTGTGTATTTCAGTTTCCTAGATAGTGTCAGGTTACAAAACTGTGTTTGAAACTGTATTTCTGGTTTAAAGATAGAGCACTTAGCCTTCTTAAGGAAACCCAAAGCAAAACAGAGATGAGTTTTACAAATATGTTCAGAACAGATCTCAAAACAAGAAAGGGTACTATGTGTAACTCAAAAGTTGGTATTGGAGAAGAAGCAGACCGAAAATCGTAGCGGTTGCTCCTCCTGAAAACCTCTGCTATTACTGCCAACTTTCCCAAACTAGATGCTTTGTTCCTGCAATTGCCACAATGTAATGAAGAGAAAATAGTTTTTCAACAAATGGTGTTGGAATAATTGAATGTCCACATGCAAAAAAAAAAAATCTAGACACAGACCTTACACCCTTCATAAATATGAACTCAAAGTGGATGAAAGACCTAAATGTAAAACACAAAAATACAAAATTTATAAATAATAGATAACATGGAGAAAATCTAGGCGAACTTGGGTTTGGTAATGACTTTTTAGATACAACACCAAAGGCATGATCCATGAGAGAAAGAATTGGTAACCTGGACTTCATTGAAATAGAAAAAGTCTGCGTTGCAAAAGGGACTGTCAAGAGAATGAAAACAAAACAAGCCACTGACTGAGAGAAAATATTTCTAAAAGACAAGTCTGATAAATATACCAAGAACACTTACAACTCAACAATAAGAAAAAAGACAGCTTGTTTAAAATATAGGCCAAAGATCTTAACAAGATACCTCACCCAAGAAGATATACAGATGGTAAATAAACATATGAAAAGATACTCCTTATCACATGTCATCAGGAAAATTCAAATTAAAACAACAATAAGGTAAAACTACACACCTATTGGAAAGGCCAAAATTAGGAACACTAACACCACCAAATGCTGGTGAGGATGTGAAGGAGCAGGAACTCTCATTCATTGCTGGTGGGAATGCAAATTAGTACAACTACTTTGGAAGACAATTTTGCAGATTATTACGAAACTAAACATACTCTTACCATATGATTCAACAGTTGTGGTCCTTTATATTTACCCAAAAGAGTTGAAAACTTATATCTACACACAAGTGTTTACAGCAGATTTTTTTTTTAAATGGGCAAAGCTTGGAAGCAACCAAGATGTCCTTTGGTAGGTAAATGGATAAATATACTGCAGTACATACAGGCAATGAGCCTTTTTCAGTCCTAAAAAGAAGTGAGCTATTAAGCCATGAAAATACATGGAGGAAACTTAAATGCATAATACTAAGTGAAATAAGCCAATTTGAAAAGTCAGCATGCTTTGTGATGCTAACTGTACGACATTCTGGAAAAGGCAAAACTATGGAGATAGTAAAAAGATTAGTGGTTTCCAATGGTTAGAGGCAGACAGGGATAAATAGGAGAAGTACAGATTTTCAAGGTAGTGAAAGTGCTGTATATAATATTATAATGGAAGATATAGGTCATTATATATTTGGCCAAACCCAAGAATATTCTATTCCATGAGTTAACCCTATTGTAACTATGGATTTTACGTGATAATTATCTTCATTCATTCATTCATTCAGGCTGCTATAACAAAATAGTATACATTGGGCAGCTTATAAACAACCAAAATTTATTTTTACGGAGGCTGGATAGTTCACAGCCAAGGTGATGACAGATTTTATGTCTGGTGATGGTCGCCTTTTGGTTCATAAATGATGCCTTCTCACTGTAGTCACATGGTAGTTTAGAAACTAGCCTTTTAGGATCTCTTTTATAACAGCATTAATCCCAATCAAGAGGGCTCTGCCTTCATGACCTAATCAAATCCCAAAGGCCCTACTTCCCAATTCCATCACCTTGGGGGATTAGGATTTCAGCATATGAATATTGGGAGGACATAAGCCTTAGTCTATTGCATAATAATGTGTGGATTCATCAGTTGTACAAAATGGACCACTCTAGTGGGGAAGTTGATGATATGGGAAATGAGTGAGAGCAATCGATGTATAAAAAAACTCTATAATTATCTCCTAATATTTTTGCTTAAGCAAAACCTAAAGATGCTTTAAAAACATAACGTCTTTACAGAAAAAAATGTGTGGGGGTTTCTGAGAGATAACGAAGGAAATTTCCTTGGTGGAAAATAAAAAGAAAGCAAGAAGAGACAGTAACAAATATATATTATTATTGTTAGACCTTAGAAGAGACAAATATCATTTCCAATAAAGATTACAGAAAGCAACTAACAATTGAAGAAACTGGAAGATCAATGTAAAAAAAAAATACCATTCAAGAGAATATTATCACAATTAAATTATCCCACATAAAAAAGTTTAGAAAAACTTTAAGAAATATGGTAAATTATAGGATGTATTTAATATGAAACTTCATAGAAACAAATAGAGGTAATGAGTAAAAACAATGTTGGAAGTAATAACAGCTCTTACTTTCTCAGAACTGAAGAAGAAGTGGAATGCTCAGATTCGTGTTTAAAACCATGCTTAATGCTAGGGTTACAGAGATAGATAAGCTAGACTACATTGAGCATTTTTCCTTTAGCTGGGGAGGAGTGCATGTGGAAGGCATCCCTTCATAAATATTAATTCCTCAAATTGCCATCTACTGTCAGCTTCCTTCTCCAGGCTCTGATCTCGCTTTTACTGTACGTACAATTTTTACTCCAGATCCAACCTACTTTTATTTACTTGTTACAATATTATCCTCACACTAACAAATTTATTTTTGGTAGAGTTCTCAACTGCTTGTAAAATGAATGCATGAATAAATAAATAATAGAAAGAGTAAATGTAACATTTGGTAATCCTGTTTTTTTTATTATTATACTTTAAGTTCTAGGGTATATGTACACAACATGCAGGTTTGTTACATATGTATACATGTGCCATGTTGGTGTGCTGCACCTGTTAACTCGTCATTATTATTATTTTTCTTTTTTTGAGACAGTGCCTCACTCTGTTGCCCAGGTTGGAGTGCAGTGGCGCAATCTCGGCTCACTGCAAGCTCCACCTCCTGGGTTCACACCATTCTCCTGCCGCAGCCTCCGAAGTAGCTGGGACTACAGGCTCCAGCCACCACGCCCGGCTAATTTTTTTGTATTTTTTAGTGGAGACGGGGTTTCACCATGTTAGCCAGGTTGGTCTCGATCTCCTGACCTCGTGATCTGCCCGCCTCAGCCTCCCAAAGTGCTGGGATTACAGGCGTGAGCCACGGCGCCCGGCCAACTTGTCATTTACATTAGGTATATCTCCTAATGCTATCCTTCTCCCTTTCCCCCACCCCATGACATGCCCCAGTGTGTGATGTTCCCCATCCTGTGTCCAGGTGTTCTCATTGTTCAATTCCCACCTATGAGTGAGAAGGTGCAGTGTTTGGTTTTCTGTCCTTGTGATAGTTTGCTCAGAATGATGGTTTCCAGCTTCATCCATGTCCTTACAAAGGACATGAACTCATCCTTTTTTATGGCTGCATAGTATTCCATGGCGTATATGTGCCACATTTTCTTAATCCAGTCTATCATTGATAGACATTTGGGTTGGTTCCAAGTCTTTGCTATTGTGAATAGTGCCACAATAAACATACATGTGCATGTGTCTTTATAATAGCATGATTTATAATCTTTGGGTATATGTCCAGTAAAGGGATGGCTGGGTCAAATGGTATTTCCAGTTCTAGATCCTTGAGGAATCGCCACACTGTCTTCCACAACAGCTGAACTAGTTTACAGTCCCACCAACAGTGTAAAAGCGTTCTTATTTCTCCACATCCTCTCCAGCACCTGTTGTTTCCTGACTTTTTAATGATCACCATTCTAACTGGTGTGAGATGGTATCTCATTGTGGTTTTGATTTGCATTTCTCTGATGGCCAGTGATGATAAGCATTTTTTGTGTCTTTTGGCTACATAAATGTCTTCTTTTGAGAAGTGTCCGTTCATATCCTTCACCCACTTTTTGATGGGGTTGTTTGATTTTTTCTTGTAAATTTGTTTGAGTTCTTTGTAGATTCTGGATATTAGCCCTTTGTCAGATGGGTAGATTGTAAAAATTTTCTCCCATTCTGTAGGTTTCCTGTTCACTCTGATGGTAGTTTCTTTTGCTGTGAAGAAACTATTTAGTTTAATTAGATCCCATTTGTCAATTTTGGCTTTTGTTGCCATTGCTTTTGGTGTTTTAGATATGAAGTCCTTGCCCATGCCTATGTCCTGAATCATATTGCCTAGGTTTTCATCTAGGGTTTTTATGGTTTTAGGTCTAACATTTAAAGTCTTTAATCCGTCTTGAATTAATTTTTGTATAAGGTGTAAGGAAGGGATCCAGTTTCAGCTTTCTACATATGGCTAGCCAGTTTTCCCAGCACCATTTATTAAATAGGGAATCCTTTCCCCATTGCTTGTTTTTGTCAAGTTTGTCAAAGTTTGTCAAAGTTTTGTCAAGTTTGTCACAGATCAGATTGTTGTAGATGTGTGGTTATTTCTGAGAGCTCTGTTCTGTTCCATTGGCCTATGTCTCTGTTTTGGTACCACTACCATGCTGTTTTGGTTACTGTAGCCTTGTAGTATAGTTTGAAGTCAGGTAGCTTGATGCCTCCAGCTTTATTCTTTGGCTTAGGATTGTCTTGGCAATGCAGGCTCTTTTTTGGTGCCATATGAACTTTAAAGTAGTTTTTTCCAATTCTGTGAAGAAAGTCATTGGTAGCTTGATGGGGATGGCATTGAATCTATAAATTACCTTGGACAGTATGGCCATTTTCACGATATTGATTCTTCCTATCCATGAGCATAGAATGTTCTTCCATTTGTTTGTCTCCTCTTTTATTTCATTGAGCAGTGGTTTGTAGTTCTCCTTGAAGAGGTCCTTCACGTCCCTTGTAAGTTGGATCCCTAGGTATTTTATTCTCCTTGAAGCAATTGTGAACGTGAGTTCACTCATGATTTGGCTCTCTGTTTGTCTGTTATTGGTGTATAGGAATGCTTGTGGTTTTTGCACATTGATTTTGTATCCTGAGACTTTGCTGAAGTTACTTATCAGCTTAAGGAGATTTTGGGCTGAGACGATGGGGTTTTCTAGAAATACAATCATGTCGTCTGCAAATAGGGACAATTTAACTTCCTCTTTTCCTAATTGAATACCCTTTATTTCTTTCTCCTGTCTGATTGCCCTGGCCAGAACTTCCAACACTATGTTGAATAGGAATGGTGAGAGAGGGCATCCCTATCTTGTGCCAGTTTTCAAAGGGAATGCTTCCAGTTTTTGCCCATTCAGTATGATATTGGCTGTGGGTTTGTTATAAATAGCTCTTATTATTTTGAGATATGTCCCATCAATACCTAGTTTATTGAGAGTTTTTAAGAAAATAAGGGATATTTTAGTCATCAAATGCAGTTTTGAACTGAAAGGAAGACAAGTATTCTAAGAGATGGTAAAAACCTCACTGGCTCATCTCACATTCTAAACCATTGAGCCAATAATAGTGTACTATACATAGATATAGCCCGATTACAATTTTGTAATTTGTCCTGAAAACTACACCCATTCAAATGTTCATACACGCACACACACAGACACGCACACATACACAGACACGCACACATACACACACATATGGAAATTAATGGGTTAAATAGTTTGTGTCCTAAGCATTTCTCTTTTTATTCTCTCTGTATTTACTCTACCTTTAAGCAAAGCAAATTATTGATCTATATTTTATTATAGAACAATATAATACTAAGGTTGAAAGAGTCTTTAAAATGATTTTAATGTCTCATCTTTGGCATTCATCAGGAAGTAGACTTAGGTTTCCCTCATAACTGTGTATTGTTTATGAAGGTAATGTATACTTTATGAACAAGAGATAATCCAACAATTGGGTAGGATAAGATTTTCTGCTGTAATATACCTTCAAATTCTTGTACAGATAAAAGTTGGATGATATAAACCAGATGCATCATTTTTCTCTCTCTTCTTTTTTCTTTAAGTTTCTAAAGAGTGAGAAAGCAGATATAGTTTACCTTTTAAAAGTTATATCCAGATTCTCTATCAGTGAGATAAATATTATATTTGACCTTTCAATTATCATGATATGCTGTTCTAAGACTAAACATGAATATTTAAAAACTGGAAGTTATTGAATGCACTTTTACTCTTTCATCAATTACTACACATATATTCCTATAAGAATATAAAGATGAATGAAATAACTTTCCTGTCTCCAAGTTCTCCAGATCTAGAGTGTGAATCAGATTTGAACATACATATGTATATGTACATTGGAGTTTCAAAGGGGAGTCTCATAGAAATACAAGTTAAATGTTGTAGTAAGGATAGTTTAAAATATCAACTAGGGTATCGTGGTGGATATACTTAACAGAAAGCTCATCAAATTGAAAAGGAGGGGCTGAGGAGGGATTACATTCCAGCTAGAAGAATGAGCATATAAAGTGTGCAGAGGCAAGGATTATCATAAGAGTTACAAAAATTACAAACGTTTAAGAGCTCTAGAAAACAAAATTTGCATATAACTGTGACATGATTGGGTTGTACCCAGGTCATCATAGGCCTTATATGCCAGGGGTTTGGATTTTATGTTAGAGAGATAATGGAAACTATTACACATATTTGAACAGCAAGATCATCTAGTTGATCTTTTAATAAAATCATTATGGTGGTACAATAGAGGCACAGTTTTCAACTATTTTGGATGAGTATCTTTTTTATGTTAAAATATGTTGTGATAATGTTGCAGTGTTTCAGAATTGGGAAATGTTGCAGTATTTTAGAGTTGGTTGGAAGGCCTGAAGCCATTTAGAGCAGCTTCTCAAAATTTAATGTGCATATGGATGACCTAAGCATCTTGTTAAATGGCTTTTTGCACATTTTTCACAAGCTCCAGCTGAACATATTGAGTATTAGTATATTGCTCTTTGTACAGCCAAATTAAAAAGTCCAGTTACTAGTTATAATTACTGTTCTCCAATTCTGGAGAGAGATTTTAGTAATTCTCAGGCTAAATCATCGTATTTATCTCGTATGATAAAAATAAAAAAATCCAAAGCCTGAATCTGATAGATTATCCTCCAACACTGCTACTACCAATTTCATGTAAATCTCAGAATTTTCAAGATACTTCTGCCTGATGTTTTTCACAGTTATAGACTAGAATTCAAGCACATTAAATGTGTACTACTGGGAGAAATTTTCCATAGTTTTGGAGTTCAAAATGTTTAAAATATTTTTAAAAATCTGTATGCATTTTACTTTCTCACCTGTATTGCATAACTTTAATGAGAATTTCAGCATAATCTTTCCAAATCCCTAGTATCTTTCTTACTTTTATCTCTCAAGACAAGTCAAAAGTAGCATCTAGCTATTGCTATTTACACTGATATGTAAATTTGGTCATACATATTTTATAAAGACATGTAAATGGCTCAGCTGAAGCATATTCACCTGTTTATCCCTTGGATAGATGTGTGTACCCCTCTTAAGAGCACAACAATGGCAGACACCTGCTTAGCATAAGCAGCTTATTAAAATGCAGTAAGGAGAAGAATACCTTTGTGAGCAATTTTCTTATAGTATTAATAATCCCGATGGAAAAACAATGGAACACAGATATGAGTCTTTTCACCAGTGAACCATCTAGACTTTTTCAGCTGTGTGAGCTAATACAAAAGGCTTAATGGTTTCAGGGAGGTTAATGCCCACTGAAAGAGTTCACATTACAAGAAAAAGGAAAAAGGCAAGGAGAATGAAAGATTTCTCTTTGACGTGAAAAAAGAAATCTGTGGAAAACAATATAGAATTCTCATTTGAGCCCTACCTGAATGTTAGCAACTGATAATATCATTTTTGAAACTGATGTAAATGTATTTTTTGTAAAAATTATATGATCTTTTTGTATTTATCTCACTGGATTCTGATCAGAAACAAATGAGAAGAACTAAATTAAAAAAAAAAACTGATGCCTATGTAAATTCAGATCTTATTCTCTGTAGTTGCTGATAGTTTAATTGTGAGTTAAATTAGTGTTTCCAAAATTTAAAGATATTAAAAATGTGATGACAAGAGTTATGTTTTTCTATATGTCTTCAAATAATTTTTCAGAAATGTAATATAGATGTTTTACATTAAAAATTGCTAGTGCTAATCACTAAAGTCAAGAATTTTGTTACTTTATATTTTAACTATAATATTAATTAGTAATATATTTTCCTTTTGGCATGTATATAGACAGAGGTAGAAGAAGGAATTTTCAAAAAAATTTCCAGTCCAGCAATCTGCTCTGTTTATAGCAAATTTAATATGAGTTTGATAAGAGTTTTATTTCAATAATTGTATGTCTATCTGAAAATTAAGCATCAAAGATAAAACTTTTTTTATTTTCTTGTCATCTTCCATGAGTGAATCTTCATAGGCTGCTACCCCTAGAGATCATGTGTGTATCAGAAAAAAAAATAGTGAAAAGCTTTGAAATGAAGACATGATTACTGGGTATCTTTTTCCTGGAATGCTGTGTTGCTCATGGAGAGTTGGGGGTACCTGATTTTATAGGGGTTTGTGAATTTCATTGTTTTTAGAGGCCTACTATGCAACATTGTATGGAAAGTAATGTAGAAGGCTGATGGTGATGCCAACCTTTTCTTGTTCACAGAGATGAAAATTAATTATGTCTAATGGAAATGTGATTGATTTCTCCCATACCAACCCACTGTGCTGGAACAAACAATTTCAAACATTACATTTTACTTTCTTTTTATATTGAATAGTTTTGCATATATTTGACAATTTATTTCAGCATTCTTGATTCTTTATGGTAAATACAGTTATCTAGACACACAAAAAATGCATTCTTTGGAATCTCTTGAATCAGTTTTATCATCTTGCTGGTTCCCTTATCAGTTACTCAGTAAAATAAAATCTTTGACTCACTTATATTTTGTACTAATATATAAGTCATGATTTTACCTTTTAAAACACATAGCTTTTAACACTTGTTGATATAAAAATAAAATCTCTTATCACTAGACATGGTAAATCTTCCAAATGTTTAGAACATGAAGGTCTAGATGAGAATATATTACGCATAATAAAACATTCAAATAGGCCCTGTGCAGTGGTTGATGCCTGTAATCCCAGCACTTTGGGAGGCTGGGGTGGGCAGATCACTTGAGGCCAGGAGTTTGAGACCAGTCTGGCCAGAATGGTGAAACTCTGTCTCTACTAAAGATACAAACATTAGTCAAGTATGGTGGCAGGCACCTGTAGTCTTAGAGACTTGGGAGAGCTTACAGAATGGTTAGAATCTGGGAGAGGTGGAGGTTGTAGTGAGGCGACATTGTACCATTGCATTCCAGCCTGGGTGATAGAACAAGGTTCTGTCTCAAAAAAAAAAAAAAAAAATTAAAACAGCCATTCATATTTTCAAGTCGAAATGAGGATTTCAGGCAAGTAGAGAAAATTCTTTTGCTATGAATACCATTGAATTATTAAGTAACATAGTTCTTAAAGCAAGTTATATTAGAAAGTCAATTTGGCAAATTATAATTTTTTGCATTCCCCATCAACGGCTATAACTACCAAATCTATTTTTTTAATGTTCAGAAAATTCCATGTCAATATTTGCTTTTGTTTATCATGCTGCAGAATTATTCATTTATTTTATGTGAATAGCCTCCAATTTTAAAATATGCTATATGCCTCTTTAGTTTTCTTTGCAACAAAGAGGAGTCATTATATGCATCATTTATGTTAACTGAAGTATTTAGGAAATTTAATATATGATTCAGGAAGCTTAGAATCATACACTAGACTAGATGCAGAGCTTTGCAACTTATGTATTGTAAATGGGTTACATTTTTAATGCTAATGTAATGACACAGCAAAGAGGGAGAAATTTATGATTCAGACTAGAAAGAAAATAAGACCTCTTTCTCAAGCTTTGATGCAAAGACCTTGAAAAAGAATAAAGGAGTAGGTTCTGGAGCATAAGGGATGGTTTAGATTTGGATAGGAGCATAAACACCTAATTTATTGGATGTGGTTGAAAAAAATATAAATTAACAAATATGATAGTGGGCAGTTCTTTTCTTTTTTTTTTTCTCTCCTTCTCCTCCTTCTCCTTCTTCTTCTTCTTTTTTTTTTTTTTTTTTTCTTTTTTTTGACAAGAACTCACTTTGTTGCTCAGGCTGGAATACAGAGGCATAATGACGGCTCATGGCAGCAGCCTTGACCTCCAAGACTCAAGTAATCATCCCATCTCAGTCTCCTGAGTAGCTGGGACTGCTGGTGAATGCCAATATGCTTGATCATTTTATAATATTTTTGTAGAGACAGGAGTCTCACAATATTGCCCAGGCTGGACTCAAACTTCCTGTCTCAAGCAATCCTCCCACCTCGGCCTCCCAAAATGCTGGAATTACAGGCGTGAACTACCTCGTCTGGCCAGTGGGCAGTTCTTAAACAATTATATCAATTTTCTCTCCAAAGTATGAGGTAAGGTCACCAGATGAAATTGAGACATTATTATTCTAGCTTTAGAATGAAGATGGTACTTGGAATAAAAGGGAATGATATGGAGGAGTGGAAATATATACAAAATTTTTAAGGAAATTACAAGCTGTCTAATGTAGTTAAACAGCTAGAAATATGTATTAGAAATGTGAAGAGGGGGAAACAATAATCACCTGAAGCCAAATGGCAAGGGTCTTAAATACTATTTATTGATTAGGAACATATTTGTAGGTGGTGAAGAAATGTTAAACTTTTTAATAAGTTGATTAAGCTTGTGAGTGCAGTTAAAAGATTTATTCAATGGCTGAGTGAGAGACAATTAGAAACAAAAGACAATAAAGGCCAATAAAGTGGTTAAGAAGCATTTGTAGTTACACATGTTTCAGGCCATCAAAGGCTGAATTAAAGTAGTATAGGTAGAAAAAGAAAGATGAGAACAGGAAAAAAAAATTACAGAAATTGGGGGAATCTTTTTTAAGATCCTCAAAAGAAACATAAAACCTCTGTATAGTAGTTTATCCAAAGAAATATTTACTGTCGGTAAGCTGTCACCTACAGTATAGTAAATGAAAGGAGTTTATATTCTTTGTTTATATTCTTTCTTACTAAAAGAAGTCTAGGCTAGATATAATTTCACTAATGCCACTTAATCTCTGTATTTTATCCCATTGTTTCCAATAAGTTTTATAAACATGTACTTAAACAATGAAAGTAATTTCTAGAAAAAAATATACTTTGTGCAGGATGAGTTTAAGTATATGATAAACTAAACGTAAATAATACAAAGGTAAAATTTGCTGCTCTGTATTTAACACATATCACAGAATCATGTATTTCCCAGCTTATCCAGAAGAGACAGACATCAATAATATAACAGAAGTGAAACTCTCTGGTTAGGGCTAGGGTCTTCACCCCTGGGACCTCTCTGGGGTCCTCCAAGGAAGAGGAGAACTGTCCTAAAGTTACCAGTTTTCTAGCTGGTAAGAACCTTAGCAAGCATCATCTCCACTTTAGATACAAGGAAAATAAAAGATATTAAAAACCAAAGTAAATATAGAAAAACAATTTGTGCAAGGTTACTTGGAGTTAGCAAGTTTTCCTTAGAGGCTTCTGAGAGTCACTGCCTAAATAAAGAGATCACTTAAGTCAAGATTCCTAGTCTTTTTCAAGGATTGATTTGCTGTATTAGTATGTAACAAAAAAATCTTTTCTCTGTAAATGTGTAGCCATTTTGTGGGAGTTATTTTTTCAGCACTTGTGACATGGCTGCTTACATGAGCCAATTCAAGTGTTGTGAGACCAAATCTTTGGAGACACCTTGAAGTGTCTCCACTTTCATATCCCCGAGGTCATTCTTTTATTGGCCTTGTGACAGCCCTGCAGGAGTCAACTATTGTGAGGACAAGGGAGACATATATGCTTCTGACAGCTTTATTCACCATAAAGAAATTTGAAGACATTTTAAAATAGAGTCCATAACTGTGTCAATAGCAAAGTTTAAATTCAGGTTTACTTGAAAATCATGTTTAGAATTTGCCTAAATATTTAACATTTAGGCTTCAATAGGTGTGTGATACTCACATGATAATCTTTTATAAAAATTTATTTTTAGGATTTTTTTGATCTTTCAGTATACATAAGAACAAATGTTGAATATGGATAAAAATAATAATTAAGCTGCATATTTTTGTAAGGATTTAAAGTGAATTACATTGCAAGGAATATACATATATTCAGCAAAATGAAAAGCCAATAGATTTATTAGGTTGGTGCAAAAGTAACTGAAGTTCTTTCCATTAAAGCTATTTTATCAATCTATAAGAATAATACCAAAAGTGAAGTTAAGGAGATGCTTCGAGCAATTTCTTAGGCTACTGCTGGAAGATTCCAAAGGAAGGCAAGGGTGAAGGTGAGTGGGTAGATTGTCCCTGAGAAGCTGGGCACCTATTGACTAGCTCCTGTCCACCATTCCTTGAGAGTTGTCCATGGGGGTATTCATTCCTTTTTGTATGATTACATGTTTCTTCCTAGTTTGTTAAATAAGAGCAAGGTTTTTGGACCCATTTATTTTCTTCTGCCTTTATATAAACTTAAAGGATAATGTGAATAAAGCAATTAGCTGCTTTCTCTTCAAACATACACTGTGTTAAATTTCTACTTCCCCGATTATTTTATATGCTTAGACTTTAATATACTGTCATCGTTAATATTATTTTATACTTATTTGAAAAAATATTTTCTTTCCTTAATTGAAAATCATCATTACATTTTACAGCAATTTTTGAAAGTATATTATTTATCATAGCACCATTTTATAAAAATGCTTGACTATGCCATGGAGACCAAAAACAAACAAAAACAAAAAAGGATAACAGAGGAGACACTTGATGGATGAAAAAGGAATAGTGGAGATCATTAAGCCACCCACCTGTCTCTCATAGCTGGTGCGGTTGTGAAACAAACTGCAACACAGGCTGATTAATTTTGCTGAAAAGGCAACACATCTACCCCCTTATGACACAGAAAACTTTAATTTCCTTACTTTTAATAACTCACCATTGTGAAAACTAAATATATTCTTTAGTATTACATTAAAAATGATGAAGAAAAATGAGTAGAGTTTTAAAAGCTTTTTAAATCAGGTTTCATGCTTATTCTATTACTGTGTTCCAGTAAGCAGATCTGAGTATCTCTTCTTCTATGACCGTTTTTGTTGTTGTTTTAATGCACAGGCAGAAAAAGTAGAATTTATTATAGATCACCCTCTGGAGAATTTTCCTTTTGATTGAGTTTTCTCTTTTTAGTGCTTTTACACAAAAGGATTATAGCAATTAGAGAAATGTGGGCTAATTTAACTAAAAATACATTTTAAAAAGATTACATGAGTTTTTTAGTTTCTACTCTTGTCTACGATAGACAATCTTAGCATATTAACCAAAGTAACAAGGCAATTTGACTGTTTCATTTCTGAGTTGTAACTATATGTTTGTCTGAAAGCCCAGTTATTAAAATATATATGATGAGGTTAGACCATAATATCCAGAGATCAAATAATCTGCTTCTGAATCTCTTATCAAGTTGTTGTATGAGGTTGCATATTGTTAAGGAAAAAGAACATACTTTTGTCTAGCTATATCAATTCAAAAAAGAAATCTGAGCCTACAGATAAAACTATAGAAAGAAGATTGATTATGGGTATAAATACATCCACTGTCTTACTGGGGCCAGTTAGATCCCAAAGTAACTACTCCACTAAATAAGAACCTACTCCATTAAATAAATTATGAGGGCATCATGGTTAATACATCAAAGAAAATCTGGTAAATATATTCTTCATTATAAAACAAAAAAATTACAGCAAGAAACTGAGATGAAGCAAAACTATAGTTTTAGTATGTACTTTTATAGAATATCCTGGGGAGATTGGAATAAGGAGACAAAGCAAGAAAGTTCATTGTGGTTAACATATTTTAATCTTAGAATAAAAAATTAAACACAAATGGTTAACTGTTACCTATGTGGTCTTTGTAAATATGGATTGCAAAATGTGCACTTTCTCTAAATGAAGGTTTTGTTTACATCTCATTTTGGGTCACTTTAATATTCTACCAGCTCCAAGGTAAGTGAAATTTAACCTCATACATAAATAAAAATTAAGGGATTTGAAATATTACACAGTTGTGGTAAAATGAATATAATCTGAATTTGAATTAATCTTGTATCCTGTACTACCTAGTATTAATTGTTATTGTCTTCATACTGGCTTTTAGGGCTGGGATATTCAATTAATTTGGGCTACAAACTAGGCTAGTTATTTAAAATACAATCATATGTTCATAGACTTAGAACCAAGTAGAGGAGATAGCTATTAGCCTAATAAAACCACACTAAGAAATGTTTACTTTTAAGCTCAGAGAGGTAATGCAGTCTTTCTAAAATTGTCATGTACATGTAAATCACCATGAAACTTGCTACAATGTAAATTCTGTGTCAGCAGGTCTAGAGTGGGGCCAAAGAGTCTGCCCTTTTATCAAGCTCTTTGGTAGTACTGATGCTGCTAGACCACAGACCAATTTGAATAGTGCGTTAGTAAGCAATCTACTAATACATTCTACCATTGTAGAGAAATGGAGTCAATAGGATCTCTGTCTACATGAGAGAGAGACTGAGAGAAAGACAGAGATTATCTCTCTCTCTGTATATATATATATATATATATATATATGTGTGTGTGTGTGTGTGTGTGTATATGTATATACAAACATGCAATAAATATATATTTCTCTATATATAATATATATTTCTCTATATGTATTTCAGCCCCCTCATACATATGTATATAAATCTATTTATCTATCTATCTATCTATCTATCTATCTATCATCTCTATCTATGTATATATCGATCTACCTATCTACAAAGAGAGACTTTTTATAAGAGGTTAAACAATATATATATATACATGTATATTATATATACATATAAATAATGAGAGAGAGAGAATTTAAGAATTTGACTCGTGATTGTGAGGGTTAACAAGTCAGAAGTTCATAAAGCAGGCTGGATATTCTAGTAAGAATCAATGCTGCAGTCTTGAGTCAAATAGCCATCTGGAGGCAAAATTTCTTCCTTTTTAGAAGACCTCAATCTTTTCTCTAAGGCCTCACACTGACTGGACAAGGCCCACCCACATTATGGAAGGTAATCAGTTTAACTCAAACTCTGCTAATTTCAAGGTTAATCACAGCAACATTCAGATTGGTGTTTAATCATGCAACTGGGTACCACAGCCTTGCCTAGTTGACATTTAACAAAATTAACCATCACAAGTAGCAAAACTCTAAAGCAGGGATGGGCAAACTATGGCCTCTGGGCTAAATGTGGTGAGCCACAAGCCTGCTTCTGTATATCCTACAAGCTGAGTTAAGATGGTTTTGTACACTTTCAAATGATTGAAAAAGTCAAAGAATAATAATATTTTATACAAAGTGTAAGTATTATATATGAAATTCAAATTTCAGTGTGGCTAAATAAAGTTATACTGGAACACAGCCACACTCATTCATTTACATGTTGTCTGTGCTTGGTTTCCTAGATGCAGAGTTGAGCAATTGTGACAGAGAGCATATGGTCCACAAAGCACACAATATATATTATCTCACCCTTTACAGATACATTTTGTTTGAATCCTACTTTAAGAAAAGAAAATGGTTTTATCTGAGTATAATTGAAATGAGAATATGAAGTAAAGTGACAATAACGGAGAAAAGTGGTTCTCAAACTTCAGTGTTTATCAGAATAATTCAGATCACTTGTTAAACTACAGATATCTGGCTTCCATTCTGAGTTTGCAATTCTGTACATCTGTGACGGGAACCCAGAATTTGTACTTCCAACAAGTTGGAAGTTGTTGCTGATGCTGCTAATCAGAGAACTACTTTAACATCACGTTTAAGAAACTTCAACATTTTTTAGCTGGCCAGCAGAAAATAAACCTGTAACGAAGTCAAGAAAACCGCTAAGAGAGAAAAATCAACACAGCATAAAAGATATTATTTCAAGAGAGAGAGTGCATATGTCCAGCTGTCAAAAGTGCTAAACAATAAAAAAAAATTGATGACTGAAAATAGTCTTTGGATTTGTAGAAAGAAAATATCTGCTGGTCCTTCTTAGTCTGCTGGTCCTTCTTAGTGAGACTGTCCTACCGTACTCTGGGTATATCATGGGAATACAACTACTTTACATCATATTACTAGAAACTGAATTCAAAAAAGTTGAAGTTAATAAATCATACATACGAAATTATAATTATGTCACTAGGTAACCTTGTTATATTTGAGATGGACACATGCCATCTCATTAAATGACTAAATATATATGTGATATTAAAAGAGTTGGAACAACTTGACAGATGTTAGAATTACTATTAGAAATAGGAAAAGCTTTGCAAAATTGGGCCAAAATAACTAATGTTAAATCTGACAATCTTTTTTTGTGCTCTACCATTAGCATATGATATTTGAAAATAAACTTTTGAAAATAAATAAATAACAACAGAGCCCTATTTAAAACCAAAAATAAAACTTGTATGTTTCTGACATCTTCGTAAATGAATTACTCCCAAAGAAATATTTTATCAAATTGCTGTCATTTTCCTAATGGTATGTGAGAGTGAAAAAAAACTTCCAACTGAGAAAAAAGCTGTATTTCCTTTTTTAGATCTTGTTTGCTTTGATCATTTAGTCATGAAAAATAAACTGAACAGCCATTATAAAAAATAAATAATCTTTTCTTACATTTGAATGCATTTTAGATATAAAACATGAAAAGGTTTGCAGTCCTTATTGAAAAATAAAATCTAATCATAGTTTTACTAAAATGTTTTGCCAGTTTTTTCCCTTTCTGCATTATCTCAAAGTGACAAAATTTCCTAAATCACAACCAAAATGTATGTATCTCCAAGTGCATTCACCAGAAGCCATATCCAGAAGAATATCTTGTAGTTTATTTCTTTTCTTCTTGGACATTCCCCCATGAGTTAATAGATTAAAGGGGCAGGCATGCATGTGTCCTGTAAAGGCAAGCCACAGAAGTAAAATATTAGCTCTCTCTAAATAATATGCATATTCTTAGTTATTAAGTTTCTCCTCTTTGTGGTTGCTTGGACAGGCAAATGTGTATATCAATAATTATTTAACTCTTAGAGACTATGCTTGGAGCCTATTGTACATTATTTGGTTCACTGTTTAAAAATTTGGGATATAAATCATTGCAGATAGGACCACATCAAATTTTACCTTTTTTAATGTGTTTTTTCGATTCAAATTTATCAACCTTAAAGGTATTAAGTTAAGGAAAATATTTATTTCTTAGACATGAATATAATTATGGCCTATGAATAATAATCTCAGCTTTTCTATTTGAATAATAATTTTTCATTTTTAGCTAGATAACCAGTACACAATATTTTGTGAATCATATTACCATTAAGACACAAGATTGAACTGAGTGATTATTCTGTCACACCATATAGTATCTGGGAAGATTTTGAATAAATATTTGATTCAATGTAAAATGAGTAAAATACACAGAATGATTTTTTTAAAAAAGAAAAAAAATACAATAATAAATTCAATGACCAAAAAGAGAAATAAATGGAAGAACAGTCTCAGAGATAGCAGCCTTAAGAGTGACTCATTCCTACTCCTGCTCTCCTTTGCGTGATCCTTCAGATCTTCTGTGGAAATTGGGCAAGTAAAGGGGACATGACAGGAAAGAAAAATAAAAGGCTCTATTCAGGGTAATAGAGTAAGTTGGACAAAAAAAGAATAAAACCGAGCTGAATTGGACGTTAGAAGAAGGGGTTTAAAGGATGAGTTTTGGAGTTGGACTCACTAGATTCAAATACTAGCTCCACCACTATGTGTTCTTGGGCAAATTATTTTTCATTATGCCTTTTATCTTACCTACAACAGTAACTGATTCCAACAGCTGTTACGAAGCCCCTAATATAAATGTTTAGAAGAACACCTCACAGTTAATAATAATCAAAACTTATTTTATTACTAAATTATTATCCTTTAGGTCTTTAAAAAGCAGAATTAGTAATGAAAAATAATGATTTTCTATAACACACCCAGTATGAGCATCTCTTAATTAGTTTGTGTTGATAACCCCAAAAATTTCTGTAAAAGTGACATTTTCTTAGAAAGCTTTATATTTATAATTATAATAAAATCAATATTTAAGTCTGTCTTGCTGAACACCCTCCAAATACTCCTATTTTATACTATTTTCTAATGTCTCCAGTAAAAGACAACATATAAGTAAATGTAATTACAAACTCTAGTAACCAATTGTAATTTAAATGTTCAAAGTCTTATGTATTTGTTCAATTTTATGCACAGAAGATGAGCTTTATGTGGTTCATTAGTCTGTTCTCATGCTATTATAAAGAAATATCGGAGGCTGGGTAATTTATAAAGGAAAGATGTTTAATTGACTTACAGTTCTGCATTGCTGGGGAGGCCTCAGAAAACTTGCAATCATGGCAGAAGGCACCTCTTCACAAGCCTGCAGGGGAGAGAGTAAGTGCTGAGCAAAGGGGGAATCCTTTTATGGAACCATCAGATCTCGTCAGAACTTACTATCATGACAACAGGATGGGGGAAGCCATTGTCTTGATTCAGTTATCTCTACCTGGTTCCTCCCATGACACGTGGGGATTATGGGAACTACAATTCAAGAGGAAATTTGAGTGGGGACACTGCCAAACCATATCACGTGATATGAGTAAAAGATAACTAGTTGTCACTGAGTCATGCAGATAAATTTTGTACTACTGTGTTCTTTGCCTTTTTTCTATTCTTTATTTCTCATCCAAGTTTAATTTCTCTGACTTGAATTTCATGTAATGTATTACAAAACATTTCAGTTTCTTTCCTGTATTACAGGCAGAAACCAAAGCTGTCTATTTTGAAAACATAGTTTTAAGGAAGCTCTTTATTATAGCATCATTTTTATTCCAGATTTATATTCTAATGCATATTATTGTCTCTGTGTATCAGAAAGTATATGTAAAGACTTGGCAAAAGCATTTTTTTCAGATTATTAGATTATGACAATATATATGTGACTAGAATCATATTCTTATAAAAATGTATAGTTTTTTTAAGTACAGATAAATCATTTTAAAACTTGTTTATTTTTTACTATGAATGCTATTCTTTCCATAAATACTTCTTCTTTATAAAAGTACAGAATTGTGAAAAACACTATGTTCTCTACTTACTGTTTAAGACTGAGTTGTCTGTCAATAGTGGAATAGCTCTGGTCTAACAAAGTGAAGTTTAACAAACCTAATATAAATATTTTATCTTTGACTTTAAAAGCTGGAGGATTTTTTTGTTATTAAAAATCAGTTTTCTAGAGAGAATGCATTTCGTCATAGCCAATTTTCCAAAATAATATAAAAATACAGTAACTTTCAAAGAATAAAGCTATTTTCAAAGAAAATGCAATAACTTTCTTATAATGTATTAACCATGCTGTAGTATCATCACCTTTAATCTACTAACAATTCTGAATGACTATAGAATGTCACTAAATGGAAATTCAAGTAAAATACAGTATTGTATATAAAGCTCATGAGACAACTCTCTATGCTTCAAATATGCAAGTTTCAATGATTAACCAGTTGCCATTTGTACAGTGCTTTCAGTTGTTTCCACTTAAAAACAAATACCATTATTTAAGCCATTGTATTTTTTTTTTTATACTTTAAGTTTTAGGGTACATGTGCACATTTTGCAGGTTAGTTACATATGTATACATGTGCCATGCTGGTGTGCTGCACCCATTAACTCGTCATTTAGCATTAGGTATATATCCCAATGCTATCCCTCCCCCCTCCCCCCACCCCGCCACAGTCCCCAGAGTGTGATATTCCCCTTCCTGTGTCCATGTGATCTCATTGTTCGATTCCTACCTATGAGTGAGAATATGTGGTGTTTGGTTTTTTATTCTTGCGATAGTTTACTGAGAATGATGGTTTCCAATTTCATCCATGTCCCTACAAAGGACATGAACTCATCATTTTTTATGGCTGCATAGTATTCCATGGTGTATATGTGCCACATTTTCTTAATCCTGTCTATCATTGTTGGACATTTGGGTTGGTTCCAAGTCTTTGCTATTGTGAATAATGCCGCAATAAACATACATGTGCATGTGTTTTTATAGCAGCATGATTTATAGTCATTTGGATATATACCCAGTAATGGGATGGCTGGGTCAAATGGTATTTCTAGTTCTAGATCCCTGAGGAATCACCACACTGACTTCCACAATGGTTGAACTAGTTTACAGTCCCACCAACAGTGTAAGAGTGTTCCTATTTCTCCACATCCTCTCCAGCACCTGTTGTTTCCTGACTTTTTAATGATTGCCATTCTAACTGGTGTGAGATGATATCTCATAGTGGTTTTGATTTGCATTTCTCTGATGGCCAGTGATGATGAGCATTTTTTCATGTATTTTTTGGCTGCATAAATGTCTTCTTTTGAGAAGTGTCTGTTCATGTCCTTCACCCACTTTTTGATGGGGTTGTTTGTTTTTTTCTTGTAAATTTGTTTGAGTTCATTGTAGATTCTGGATATTAGCTCTTTGTCAGATGAGTAGGTTGTGAAAATTTTCTCCCATGTTGTAGGTTGCCTGTTCACTCTGATGGTAGTTTCTTTTGCTGTGCAGAAGCTCTTTAGTTTAATGAGATCCCATTTGTCAATTTTGTCTTTGGTTGCCATTGCTTTTGGTGTTTTGGACATGAAGTCCTTGCCCACGCCTATGTCCTGAATGGTAATGCCTAGGTTTTCTTCTAGGGTTTTTATGGTTTTAGGTCTAACGTTTAAATCTTTAATCCATCTTGAATTGATTTTTGTATAAGGTGTAAGGAAGGGATCCAGTTTCAGCTTTCTACATATGGCTAGCAAGTTTTCCCAGCACCATTTATTAAATAGGGAATCCTTTCCCCATTGCTTGTTTTTCTCAGGTTTGTCAAAGATCAGATAGTTGTAGGTATGCGGCATTATTTCTGAGGGCTCTGTTCTGTTCCATTGATCTATATCTCTGTTTTGGTACCAGTACCATGCTGTTTTGGTTACTGTAGCCTTGTAGTATAGTTTGAGGTCAGGTAGTGTGATGCCTCCAGCTTTGTTCTTTTGGCTTAGGATTGACTTGGCAATGTGGGCTCTTTTTTGGTTCCATATGAACTTTAAAGTAGTTTTTTCCAATTCTGTGAAGAAAGTCATTGGTAGCTTGATGGGGATGGCATTGAATCTGTAAATTACCTTGGGCAGTATGGCCATTTTCACGATATTGATTCTTCCTACCCATGAGCATGGAATGTTCTTCCATTTGTTTGTATCCTCTTTTATTTCCTTGAGCAGTGGTTTGTAGTTCTCCTTGAAGAGGTCCTTCACATCCCTTGTAAGTTGGATTCCTAGGTATTTTATTCTCTTTGAAACAATTGAGAATGGGAGTTCACTCATGATTTGGCTCTCTGTTTGTCTGTTGCTGGTGTATAAGAATGCTTGTGATTTTTGTACATTGATTTTGTATCCTGAGACTTTGCTGAAGTTGCTTATCAGCTTAAGGAGATTTTGGGCTGAGACAATGGGGTTTTCTAGATAAACAATCATGTCGTCTGCAAACAGGGACAATTTGACTTCCTCTTTTCCTAATTGAATACCCTTTATTTCCTTCTCCTGCCTGATTGCCCCGGCCAGAACTTCCAACACTCTGTTGAATAGGAGTGGTGAGAGAGGGCATCCCTGTCTTGTGCCAGTTTTCAAAGGGAATGCTTCCAGTTTTTGCCCATTCAGTATGATATTGGCTGTGGGTTTGTCATAGATAGCTCTTATTATTTTGAAATATGTCCCATCAATAACTAATTTATTGAGAGTTTTTAGCATGAAGGGTTGTTGAATTTTGTCAAAGGCTTTTTCTGCATCTATTGAGATAATCATGTGGTTTTTGTCTTTGCCTCTGTTTATATGCTGGATTACATTTATTGATTTGCGTATATTGAACCAGCCTTGCATCCCAGGGATGAAGCCCACTTGATCATGGTGGATAAGCTTTTTGATGTGCTGCTGGATTCGTTTTGCCAGTATTTTACTGAGGATTTTTGCATCAATGTTCATCAAGGATATTGGTCTAAAATTCTCTTTTTTGGTTGTGTCTCTGCCCGGCTTTGGTATCAGAATGATGCTGGCCTCAAAAAATGAGTTAGGGAGGATTCCCTCTTTTTCTATTGATTGGAATAGTTTCAGAGGGAATGGTACCTGTTCCTCCTTGTACCTCTGGTAGAATTCGGCTGTGAATCCATCTGGTCCTGGACTCTTTTTGGTTGGTAAACTATTGATTATTGCCACAATTTCAGCTCCTGTTATTGGTCTATTCAGAGATTCAACCTCTTCCTGGCTTAGTCTTGGGAGAGTGTATGTGTCCAGGAGTTTATCCATTTCTTCTAGATTTTCTAGTTTATTTGTGTAGAGGTGTTTGTAGTATTCTCTGATGGTAGTTTGTATTTCTGTGGGATCGGTGGTGATATCCCCTTTATCATTTTTTATTGTGTCTATTTGATTCTTCTCTCTTTTTTTCTTTATTAGTCTTGCTAGCGGTCTATCTATTTTGTTGATCCTTTCAAAAAACCAGCTCCTGGATTCATTGATTTTTTGAAGGGTTTTTTGTGTCTCTATTTCCTTCAGTTCTGCTCTGATCTTGGTTATTTCTTGCCTTCTGCTAGCTTTTGAATGTGTTTGCTCTTGCTGTTCTAGTTCTTTTAATTGTGATGTTAGGGTGTCAATTTTGGATCTTTCCTGCTTTCTCTTGTGGGCATTTAGTGCTATAAATTTCCCTCTACACACTGCTCTGAATGCGTCCCAGAGATTCTGGTATGTTGTGTCTTTGTTCTCGTTGGTTTCAAAGAACATCTTTATTTCTGCCTTCATTTCGTTATGTACCCAGTAGTCATTCAGGAGCAGGTTGTTCAGTTTCCATGTAGTTGAGCGGCTTTGAGTGAGATTCTTAATCCTGAGCTCTAGTTTGATTGCACTGTGGTCTGCGAGATAGTTTGTTATAATTTCTGTTCTTTTACATTTGCTGAGGAGAGCTTTACTTCCCAGTATGTGGTCAATTTTGGAATAGGTGTGGTGTGGTGCTGAAAAAAATGTATATTCTGTTGATTTGGGGTGGAGAGTTCTGTAGATGTCTATTAGGTCCGCTTGGTGCAGAGCTGAGTTCAATTCCTGGGTATCCTTGTTGACTTTCTGTCTCGTTGATCTGTCTAATGTTGACAGTGGGGTGTTAAAGTCTCCCATTATTAATGTGTGGGAGTCTAAGTCTCTTTGTAGGTCACTCAGGACTTGCTTTATGAATCTGGGTGCTCCTATATTGGGTGTATATATATTTAGGATAGTTAGCTGTTCTTGTTGAATTGATCCCTTTACCAATAGGTAATGGCCTTCTTTGTCTCTTTTGATCTTTGTTGGTTTAAAGTCTGTTTTATCAGAGATTAGGATTGCAACCCCTGCCTTTTTTTGTTTTCCATTGGCTTGGTAGATCTTCCTCCATCCTTTTATTTTGAGCCTATGTGTGTCTCTGCACGTGAGATGGGTTTCCTGAATACAGCACATTGAAGGGTCTTGACTTTTTATCCAACTTGCCAGTCTGTGTCTTTTAATTGGAGAATTTAGTCCATTTACATTTAAAGTTAATATTGTTATGTGTGAATTTGATCCTGTCATTATGATGTTAGCTGGTGATTTTGCTCGTTAGTTGATGCAGTTTCTTCCTAGCCTCGATGGTCTTTACATTTTGGCATGATTTTGCAGCGGCTGGTACCGGTTCTTCCTTTCCATGTTTAGGGCTTCCTTCAGGAGCTCTTTTAGGGCAGGCCTGGTGGTGACAAAATCTCTCAGCATTTGCTTGTCTGTAAAGTATTTTATTTCTCCTTCACTTATGAAGCTTAGTTTGGCTAGATATGAAATTCTGGGTTGAAAATTCTTTTCTTTAAGAATGTTGAATATTGGCCCCCACTCTCTTCTGGCTTGTAGGGTTTCTGCCGAGAGATCCGCTATTAGTCTGATGGGCTTCCCTTTGAGGGTAACCTGACCTTTCTCTCTGGCTGCCCTTAACATTTTTTACTTCATTTCAACTTTGGTGAATCTGACAATTATGTGTCTTGGAGTTGCTCTTCTCGAGGAGTATCTTTGTGGCATTCTCTGTATTTCCTGAATCTGAACGTTGGCCTGCCTTGCTAGATTGGGGAAGTTCTCCTGGATAATGTCCTGCAGAGTGTTTTCCAACTTGATTCCATTCTCCGCATCACTTTCGGGTACACCAATCAGACGTAGATTTGGTCTTTTCACATAGTCCCATATTTCTTGGAGGCTTTGCTCATTTCTTTTTATTCTTTTTTCTCTAAACTTCCCTTCTCGCTTCATTTCATTCATTTCATCTTCCATCGCTGATACCCTTTCTTCCAGTTGATCGCATCGGCTCCTGAGGCTTCTGCATTCTTCATGTACTTCTCGAGCCTTGGTTTTCAGCTCCATCAGCTCCTTTAAGCACTTCTCTGTATTGGTTATTCTAGTTATACATTCTTCTAAATTTTTTTCAAAGTTTTCAACTTCTTTGCCTTTGGTTTGAATGTCCTCCCGTAGCTCAGAGTAATTTGATCATCTGAAGCCTTCTTCTCTCAGCTCGTCAAAGTCATTCTCCATCCAGCTTTGTTCTGTTGCTGGTGAGGAACTGCGTTCCTTTGGAGGAGGAGAGGCGCTCTGCGTTTTAGAGTTTCCAGTTTTTCTGTTCTGTTTTTTCCCCATCTTTGTGGTTTTATCTACTTTTGGTCTTTGATGATGGTGATGTACAGATGGGTTTTCGGTGTGGATGTCCTTTCTGTTTGTTAGTTTTCCTTCTAACAAACAGGACTCTCAGCTGCAGGTCTGTTGGAATACCCTGCCGTGTGAGGTGTCAGTGTGCCCCTGCTGGGGGGTGCCTCCCAGTTAGGCTGCTCAGGGGTCAGGGGTCAGGGACCCACTTGAGGAGGCAGTCTGCCCGTTCTCAGATCTCCAGCTGCATGCTGGGAGAACCACTGCTCTCTTCAAAGCTGTCAGACAGGGACATTTAAGTCTGCAGAGGTTACTGCTGTCTTTTTGTTTGTCTGTGCCCTGCCCCCAGAGGTGGAGCCTACAGAGGCAGGCAGGCCTCCTTGAGCTGTGGTGGGCTCCACCCAGTTTGAGCTTTCTGGCTGCTTTGTTTACCTAAGCTAGCCTGGGCAATGGCGGGCGCCCCTCCCCCAGCCTGGCTGCTGCCTTGCAGTTTGATCTCAGACTGCTGTGCTAGCAATCAGCGAGATTCCGTGGGCGTAGGACCCTCCGAGCCAGGTGTGGGATATAGTCTCGTGGTGCGCCGTTTTTTAAGCCGGTCTGAAAAGCCCAATATTCGGGTGGGAGTGACCCGATTTTCCAGGTGCGTCTGTCACCCCTTTCTTTGACTCGGAAAGGGAACTCCCTGACCCCTTGCGCTTCCCAGGTGAGGCAATGCCTCACCCTGCTTCAGCTCGCGCACGGTGTGCGCACCCACTGTCCTGTGCCCACTGTCTGGCACTCCCTAGTGAGATGAACCCGGTACCTCAGATGGAAATGCAGAAATCACCCGTCTTCCGCGTCGCTCACGCTGGGAGCTGTAGACCGGAGCTGTTCCTATTCGGCCATCTTGGCTCCTCCAAGCCATTGTATTTTTATGTTTACTTGGTTTGAAAACCTGAATGAAACAATAGCAATAATTTAATTATACAAATCTATTTCTGATTCATATTACCTATTAATAACCACATGCTTTCTTAAACAAAAGAAATAAAAGGAAGAAAAGGGAGACAGAGAGACAGACAATGCAAGAGAGCAGGGATGGGGAAGGCAAGAGAAGGAGAAGCTACAAATAGCTTATACTAGAGCAAAGAAGGAAATGAAGAAGCTACATGAATATTGGGTTTCTTTAGCAAACCTAGGCATCTAAATAGTAAATTATTAAAAGGTGCTGTTTAAACATTCACTGAATGACAAAATGATAAATATTGCTGGATTTGAGTAAGGTAGTAGAACATTAGAGAGTTGGGAACATGGTCATTTGAGTAGATGGATGCAGGGAAAACAAAGCTGTTTAAGAGATCTGTGTTCTGTATATTTTCTCCTTTTTTTTCTTTTCTATTTTCCTGCCTATTGTGGACATGTGACTGCATTCTTAATTTCAAATTTCTGACTAAATTTTTAGAAAATGTTGTTTATAATAGAAAAGTTTGTTTCATTTGCTTATAGAAATAAACCTCCAAAACATATACATTGTTGCTGCTATGCTAATCATGTACATAAAGTATTGAATAATGTATAAAGCATTTATTTCACTATATTACTGGATGTTCATAAAATAGACTTTAGCCTTTTTCCTACTATTAATTGTTTTGCAGTAAAAAGCATTTAGAAATTGTTGGTAATATATATTAGATTAATTCAAAGTCCCTTACATTCATCACTTCATTCAAATTTTCCTTAGTTCTTTCATGAACATGTAAATATTTTCTTCATCATTATAGTGATAATTTATGGGAAATGGTATTAATTTTCCTCAAATGGTATAAAGAGGGTTACTGCATAGTTAAACTATACTGATTTCTTTCCTGGATATATCCTAATGACTATGCTTGCTTCTTATACTGGTTGAATCTCAAGGCTATTTTTTAAAAATCTATTCTAAACAATGGCTACTTTTAAAATGTATTCACTCAACAAGTATTTATAGGGCAGCTAATTTTTCCTTTAGGCATAGTGTTATATAATTGAGATGCAATGATAAGCACAAGTATTACTTGGTGCCCCTCTGGACACTG
Source organism: Homo sapiens (assembly GCF_000001405.40). Taxonomy (NCBI): domain Eukaryota; kingdom Metazoa; phylum Chordata; class Mammalia; order Primates; family Hominidae; genus Homo; species Homo sapiens. The sequence goes on from NC_000004.12 coordinate 65,295,419, forward strand.
TAATCCAGAAGGATAGATAGATAATTAACTATGTGATTACAGCACAGTCTGACAAATGTAAATACTGTAATTCCTGTTACCAAATTGCCATCTTAATTTTTAGTCTGTTTTACTTGTGCATAATACAATACAATCTAAATTATCCCCCTTCTTCTTCAATGATGACCTCTTAATCAACTTGTTCTCTCATTGAACAAACACCTGTATGTCAGTTATTCATCCAGATGTAAAAATAATAGCAATAAGAAAAACAGATACAATAATTGTTCTTAGATTACATTTTCCTAGTGGAAACAGACAATAAGCACAAAAACAAAAATATAAATGAATTGAGATAATGAGTTCTGTTATGATAAAGCAAAATTTTAAAAAGTCATGCAGAGAGAGGATGAAAGGTGATATCTGAGCAGAAATTCAATGAAATAAGGAGTATCATGGAAATATCTGGAGGATGAGTTCTCCAAGAAGAGAGAACGGAAAGTGAAAGAAACTTGCATGCTTTAGATACAGTAACAAGACCAAGCCATGTAACTATGATTAAGTAAAAGAGACATATATATTTATTTGTTTCAAGATATAGTCTAACTAGAGTTATTTTAGACATGTTTAAAAGTTGGATTTTAGAAAAGGAAACTGCTATAAAGTTTGAGAGCAGATTAACAGTTTCCAATTTAATTTTTTAAAGATAATTCTGGTCACTTTATAAAATATTTGCATAGAGAAATAAAAACAGAAGCAAGAAAATCAGTTAAGCGGTAGTTTATGCAATAGAAATGGATGTGATGAGAAATGGTCAAATTTGGGATACATTTTGAATATAGAGCCCATATATCTTGTAAAAAATTTTTATGGGATTTAGATACAGAAACGAGTATTGACTTCTAGAGTTTCTGCCTGAGCAACTGAATAAATAGTTGTTCCTTTTATGGAAATGGAAAAGAATAAGTGAGGAGCAGGTTTTGTAGCACAAAACCTCACAAATTGGACCTGTCAAATTCATGATGCCTTTTAGACATCCAAATGAAGCTATCAGGAAGGCAGTCAAATATGTGTCAGCAGCTGAAAGCACGTTCATTCTGAAGGCAGAAGTTTTGCCGATATTAGCATGGGTGATATAAAAATTATTTACAGTTATAAAACTGGGTGTGGATTGAGCTGAGCATAGATTGGGTATGGATAAAGACGAGCATAAATGAGACCCAGAATACCCAGAATTATCAGTCTACTCTAGAGGCTAAGTGAACAAAACGTTTCAGGAAAGAAAACTTGGTAATTTTAGAGGCTAAGATGACTAAGAACTGAGTAATGCATTTGTTAGTCAACACTGGTCAACACTGTTAATGAACTTAACAGAAGAAGAATAATTGAAGTAGTTTAAGGAAAGCGTATGAGTTGAGAAACAGAGCAGTTATGGTAAAAAACAATTTTTAAAAATTTTTCTGCATAATGATGTAGACAATGGAGTGGTAACTGGAGTGAGTTGAGGGATCCAAGAATGGTCATTTTAGGATGGAGGATATGACCATGTATTTGTATGCTGATGAGAATGACCTAATAGAGAGGATAGCATTGATGATATTGTGGAGACAAGAGTTTATTTCTTGGAGGAAAACAAGATCCTTAAATAGATGTGGGGAATGATAGGGTGGCTGGACTAGATAAATGCAATGATTGCTAGGCAATGCTACGAGCTCACTTTAAATTTGTGAGACTGAATATGAAGTGATTCAATTTGGGCTGACTTTAATTACATTTTGAAGGTTATTCAGTTACTTACGATAGGAGTTATAGTATAAGCCTGGGTGTTAGTGGCAGAGATAGAGTAGAGGTAAAGTCGTTGACAACGATGAAAAAAAATAATTTAAAAGAAAAAGGAACTGGAGGAATCATTTGCTTGGGCCATTCCAGAAACCAACCGATTCATTGGCTAAACTCTACACAGATTCTACTTCCAGTCATTGGCCTGGGAAACAGGCTAATATCAGTATAGAGGAAGGGACCCCTTTTGAATTGATCTGCCCATGGGAAATGCCTTTATTTAAGTTCACACACAGAGAGGGACATTTTAAAATAATTTGAAAAAATATACTCTGTGCTAGTGGGCCCTGGTTTGAAATTACAAAACCTGTAGGTTAGGTTATTAAAGTTCCAATGATTGATGACTGCCAGGAAGGTAGGTACATGACCACAACACAAAAAAGTGCCATAGTCCTCCTGTATTCATGGTTTTACTTTCCATGGTTTTAGTTACCCACAGTCAACTGAGGTCTGAAAATATTAAGTGGAAAATTCTAGAAATAATTGTTTTAAATTTCATGCTGTTCTAAGTATCATAAAGTGATAAAATGTGCTGTACCACTTTATACTAGCATGTCAGTCATCCCTTAGTCAAGTGTATCCATGCTGTCTATGCTACCTGTTGCTGAGTCATTTAGTAGTTGTCTCGGTTATCAGATGAACCGTCATGGTATCTCATCAAGTGGACATTTTATCATCTCACATCATCACAAGAAGGAAAGGTGAGTACAGTACAATACGGTATTTTGAGGGAGAGAGAGATTGTTACAGGTAGTTAGACAGGCATGCTAAGGGCAGAAGGGGGCTCTCCCCTGACCACTAAAAATGCCAGATGATGGTTTGACAATTATCACATTGCCTCTCCAAAAGTGATAAATTGACAGCCCGTGCCAGGGAGAAGCCATTTTCTGATGCTCCGCACCTGTTGCACTAAAGTGCTCATTGAATGCAGATTCCAGGGAGAAGCAGCTTCCCGGGCAAGTGCATTAAGAGATAAAATGACGGATTATGACCTTCTGGGGACAATCCACCAGAAATAGGAAGAAAGCCTCAGATGAGCATGTGTACCACTTCCTAAACACACTGTGTGTGCTCACCTCCCAAGGGTAAGGAGGGCACTGAGCATTCAGGCAGCCCACCCTAAGAAAAGAATCCTGGGAAAGAGGAGAGCCTTTAAAGTCCCAGGATCATGATTAAACACCACATTTAACCTTCATATGCCTGCTTGAGTCTCTTCCAAGCATACTTTCCTTTCTTTTTCCTTTCTTTCCTATTACAGAGCCTCTTTTTTTTTTTTTGAGACAGAGTCTCTCTCTGTCACCTGGGCTGGAGTGCAGTGGCACAATCTCTGCTCACTGCAACCTCTGCCTCCTGGGATCAGGCGATTCTACTGCCTCAGCCTCCTAAGTAGCTGGGATTACAGGCACCCACACTATGCCTAGCTAATTATTTGTATTTTTAGTAGAGACAGGGTTTCACCATGTTGGCCAGGCTGGTCTCAAACTCCTGACCTCACGATTCACCCGCCTCGGCCTCCCAAAGTGCTGGGATTACAGGCATGAGCCACCACGCCCTGCCCCTTTTTAAGTAAACTTCCACTCCTGCTCTAAAACTTGCCTCAGTCTCTTTTTCTGCCTTATGCCCCCTCAGTCAATTTCTTTCTTCTAGAGAAGGAAGAATTGAGGTTGCTACAGATCCATACAGATTTGCTGCCAGTAACTCAGTTACCTTCCACTGGTAGGAAGATCACATTTACATAACTTTTATTATAGTATATTGTTACAATTCTTCTATTTTATTATTAGTTATTATTGTTAATATCCCTTAACACGTCCTTAGTAATATATTCCTTAGTAATATATCTTACTGTGCATAATTTATAAATTAAACTTTTTTTTTTTTTGAGACGGAGTCTCGCTCTGTCACCCAGGCTGGAGTGCAGGGGCGTGATCTCGGCTCACTGCAACCTCTGCCTCCTGTGTTCAAGCAATTCTTCTGCCTCAGTCTCCGGACTAGCTCGGATTACAGGTGCCCGCCACCACACCCAGCTAATTTTTGTATTTTTAGTAGAGACAGGGTTTCACCATACTGGCCAGGTTGGTCTCAAACTCCTGACCTTTTGATCCACCCACCTTGGCCTCCCAAAGTGCTGGGATGACAGGCATGAGCCACTGTGCCCAGTCTATAAATTAAAGTTTATCAGAGGTAAGCATGTACAAAAAAAAAAAAAAAAAAAAAAAAACTATTGCATTTAGGGTTTAGTACTTTATGAAGCTTCAGGCATCCACTGTCTACTGGGGATCTTGGAATTTGTCCTCTGTAGATAAGGGGAAACTATTAGGCCGTACATTCTACTGGCATATGTTTCAAAAGGATTGAGATTTTAGAAAGGGAAAGGAATAACTATGGCCTGAAAGCAGTTACAGGAAGGATGGAAGACTCCTCTCTGTAAGCAGGAATTGTAAACCCATCCCCGCTTGTTAGGGCTGCCAGGTAAGCAATATCTTGAGGTAATAGAAGATTATAATTAGATTATGAAGATGGAAATTTCTTTTCAGAGCAGAGTTTGTGTCCTGGCTTTACCACTAAATGTATGTTGTCTCCTAGTTACTCAAGTTCTTTGTGCCTTGTTTCTTCATCTCTAATGTGGGAATAATATTATATAAATTGTCAGATTCCAGTGAAGATTTAAACACATAATATACACAAAGGACATAAAACATTTTCTAACACATAGTGTTAGTGGTGGCAAATATCTGAGTTTCATGGCACCAAATATGTTACTGGTGGTAGAGATGTGATTTACCCGTGGTGAATCTGTACAGGTGGGCAGCGACTTCAATTCTTGACTCCTCAGAAGAAAGAATTTGACTGAGGGGCATAAGGCAGAAAAGGAGAGACCGAGGCAAGTTTCAGAGCAGGAGTGAAAGTTTATTAAGAAAGGCTTTAGAACAGGAAAGAAAGTAAAGTTCAGTTGGAAGAGACCCAAGCAAGCACCTGAAGGTCAAGTGCGACATTTAGCCATGATCTTAGGACTTTATTGGCTCACCTTTTCCCCATGATTCTTCCCTTAGGGTAGACTGCCCGCATACACAGTGCCCTCTTACCTTTGGGAGGTGACTATATGCAGTGTGTTTAGGAAGTTGTACACATGACCATCTGAGGCTTGCTTTCTTTTTCCGGTGGAGTGCCCCCAGAATGTCATACTTCACCATTTTGTCTCTTAATGTGCATCCCAGGAAGTTGCTTCTCCCTGGCACCTGCATTTAATTAGCACTTTAGTGAAACAGGTGTGGACCATCAGAAAATGGCCTCTCCCTGGCACTGGCTCCCAATTTATCACTTTTAGAGATGCAATGTGATAATTGTTGAACCATGATCCGACATTCTTAGTGGATGGGGGAGAACTCTCTCCTGCCCCACTCATGACTTTCTAACTACCTATAACAATAGTAGACACTAAAATATGAGTTATTATTATTTATTGCATAGTCCTGAGTGTGTTGCTGTTGTTGGTGGTGGTGATATGTGTATATAAGAGAGAGATGATGAGGGTGGGTACTGTGCACAGGAAGGGATAGGTAGTGACTGTCTTACCATGGCAACTTCTAGCTGGGAAGATTCTGTCTGTTCATACGTAGAATTCCCATCATTATTCCACCCCTCCTGTGTAAAATACCTGCACTTTTATGATCATAGCATTTAAATATAATGTTTACTACCTGCTCAGTTTTTCATCCTTTTTAAAAGTCCTTTAATATTTGGAGATTTTTACTCTCATTTTCTTCATACCTGAGTGCATTTATAATTCAAACTTTAATGGTATAGAATAATAGCCCAGGCAATAACTGGTCTCTGAATTACTTGGCCTTTTATTTTTTTTCCCCTTCAAAATTTTCCCCATTGAATTAACTAAGTCAAACACTATGCTCACTTATAAGGTTTCTGTAAGGTGGCTTGAGGAACAGATGGAGACTAAAAGGGAATCTATCCTCTCTACCTTGTTACCACTTTGGAATAGAGTCTGGATGACTAGGGTGTAAAGAAGATTATTTTAATTACCAATGTCGCCTCTTTCCTTGGTTGATCTCTGGTCTCAATCACATGGGTTGGCAATTCCAAATTACTCTGACAGTACACGTATCAACGATCTAGCATGTTCTCTTTATTTTTTTAATAAAGTATTAATTATTATTTAAGAAATAACTGGAGGTAGAATTCTGGGCAGGAATCAAGCCCTGATTTATACTTTTTGTGGATTTCCATAGTGCAAATATTTTACCATAGCTAATGTCAAGCTACAGCATGGTATATTAAATGTATTTCTGGGGAAAGACATGCAACAGCACTCCATTATGTTAGTATTTTGTCATATAGATTAAATAGATCTACATAACATCAAGAAGGTAGATAATGGAAAATAATTAGAACATGATAGATTTTGAGTATTAAATACTTTTGTTTTGCATAAAATGTATTTAATTATATAATAAATACTTTTGCATAAAATGTATTTATATAATAAATACTTTTGTTTTGCATAAAATGTATTTAATTATAAATTTAAGATATTTCATTTTTAATGATGACCATGTTTTAAAACCAGCTATCAAAATACCTTAAGAGATTTTGGCCACCAGATCATCTCTAGAGCCATGGCCTTCTTGGAAGTCATAACAAACTGCTCTATTTGCATATTAGCTTGAAAGAATGGGGAAGTTAACACATCAAAAAGCAATCCTCAGCCATATGGATGAGAATTACTAAATTAGTGTCCTGGTATTTCATCCCAAGACAGACATTTATGGCAGGGAATTTTTTATACTTCTCAGTGATTCCAGCTAAAACCTCAATAGTGGGCTCTGATGCTTTTTTCTTCTTTTCCTGTCTCACTTTCTCTACTCCCAAATCCTGCTTTATAAAAACACTTGAGATAAATAACTTGCAGCTATTTCCTTGCCTCAAATTTTGCTTTGGGGAACACCCAGAAAAACTAAGAAATTAAAACCAGAAGTGGATCTAGTAAGCAATTATTCAGAATGAGATGTGAAACTAAGATAAAGTTATCTTAAAGCAGAACTGCTTATCAGTGTTATCTATGGTGATTTGTGGAAGTCTGATACTGACTCAGACCAAGATAAGTATGAGATAGACCAGCTAGCAATTTATATTTTGCTATTTAATGTTTGAAACTCCCTTGGCAGGACCCAGAGCCACCTTCTTTGTGTTACTTAAGGATGTCTAGATTGATGACTTACACGTGGTGAAATGCATTAGCATCTGGCTTGGATACCTGTCCAATGGAGCATAAAAGATTCTCCAAGAAACTTTTGTCCTAGCTCATCTAAAACTAAGATTCCTCCCATATGTCTTGATGGTTCACAATCTAGAGTCAAAGAACATCCTATATGACTACAGAAAATCTCTGGAGAGCTGTGCCTAGACATTTCTGCATACACTTGGTCCCCCTGTGCTTACCTACATTTTATTTCTAGTGCTCTCTAAGATCATTTAATTTCACTAAACCTAAACCTTGCATGAGTATCTTCTGTGAGGTTTAGTGAGTCCTTTCAATTATCTGATGTGTTTAATCCTATTTCATTTATACCATTCCATTTCATTCATTGTAGTCTCTCATCATCAGAAAATAACAAAGATACCATTCTTAATGGTAAGTTGTATGTTCTGATATCACTATTAATAAGAGTCATATGAACTGGTTTACTATAAGGTACAGGTAATGTGGAAGCACTGTTATTCAGGAGTTGTAGCATTCTATCGGTGATTGACCTGATGTATTACTGCACAATAGTAAAAACTGATGATAGTAAGTTTATGACGGAGCTTCTGAATGTTTTCAGTTCCACTAATTCATAAGGTCTAGTGGGTACAGCAGCAATTTATCATACAATAGAAAAGGTCCATTTTGGATCAAGCCCTAGCATAGCCAGTGGATCTAAGTTTGACAAAGTGGTGACTGAGTCTCTTATGTTACCTACTTCTGTTATTCTGACACCTCTCTTTCAGCTTACAACTAAATGATTCAAGATTTTAATGGATTATAATTGGAAATGGCCTGGGTGAGATTTGTGTATTGATTTGACATTTAAGCATATGATTAAATACAAACTGACTGAGGTTATCACTAGAAAAAAAAATGTTGGCTGATGACCAAATAAAATTGGGGGCCTGTTTCCAAATTGTTTAGCTTGTTGGGCTGATGTTAACTAAAGATGGATTGTTACTTCATTGAGCAGACCTGTAAGAAGTGAGTACACTTGGACATACCCTTTGAAGGAGAGATAAGTGGCCTGAAGTAATGATATACATAGACTATCGGTAGTGGTGAATCGACATATGGCTCAGGGCCCTGGAAACTAAAATTGGAAGATTAGAGGTAAGTTTTCTGGAGCAGTGGCATGCTGATGGAATCTACGTGAATGGTTATACAGTGAAATAATTTTTGTTTTACATTGAATGCCCACACAGTGCAGAGAAGACACTCGAAAACTAGGTGCACATGATGACTTACCTAGCAGATGTCAGTGAGTCTGTCCTTGGCTTCTCCAATGCTTGTGCAGTGAGTTCATGAGTACAATAGTCATGATGGCAGAGATGAAAATTATGCAGGATTACAGCAACATTTTCTTCCTTACAAGGCCAGTGGAGCGACTACATTACTGGCAGTGAGAACTTGTTATCAGATAAATAACTTGGGTAAAAAATTAATTATATCAGATACCTTCTACCCTTCTATGTGATATGCATGGGTTTGCCTTCCCTGATTACAGTGTCTCTGCCAGCCCCATTCTGAGAGAGCTTATAGTATGCCTGATTTACTGACTTGGGTTGGCACATAACAGAATCTCAGACCAAGGATCCAATTTACAATGAAGAATTTGTGACTGTGGGAGTATGACTACAGAATCCATTGATTATATGCCATATACACACCACTGTAATGTAGCCAAACAAATCGAAACCCTGGAATTGGTCCATTAAAGACTCATCTAAAGCATCAGATAGGAAGCAACACACTGCAAAGTTATGGTGCTCTCCTTTAGGAGGCGTTATTTATGATAATGCAAGAAATAATTTATACATTTCTACCATTCATAGCTAGAATACCTGGGTCTGGAGAACAAAACATGAAAAAATATTTGTTATCAGACCCAGTGCCTATTATGGACTGAATTGTTTCTTCCCACTTAAAATTCATATGCTGAAGCTCCAAATCCCGGTCCTTCAGAAACTAACTATATTTGGAGATATGGTCTCTAAAGAGGTAAAATTAAAATGAGGTCATTATGGTGGGCCATAATCCCATAGGAACTGGTGTCCTTATAAAAAGATTAGGATGCAGAACATGTACAGAGGGAAGACCATGTGAAGACACAGAAGGGACAAAACAGCCCTCTGCATGCCAGGGAGAGAGGCCCCAGAATAAACCAAACCTGGGATCCCTTGATCTCAAACATCTGATCTTCAAACTCATAAGAAAATAAATATCTACTGTTTAATCCATGTGGTCTGTGGCACATTGTTATGACAGCCCTAGCAAACTAATACGGCGACCAGCTTGCAAAATTGGTATTTCTGTTTCTGCATTTTGGGCTCTGCTGTACTGAATGTGCTGATTTGGGACTGAAAGAAAATGTTTTCTCTACTGAACCTGAGTCTTGACTATGAACCAACAGATAAATGAACTACTATATTGTAGTAAATGAATTACTACATTGACAGGAGTAATTGACCCTGATTATTATGAGGAGCCAGGATTGCTTTTATGTAATGTGGGCAAAGAGAAATATATCTGAAACTTGGGGAAGTCACTGGGGCACTTCTCCAGGCTTCCATGCTTATTGAATAGGCAATTGCAGCAACCAGAGCATGGGAAAGCCAAGGCAATCAAGAGCACATGCCACTCAGGTTTGAAGGTGTGTTCCCCAATCAGGCAAGCAAACTAGACTGGCTGCAACTTTGCCTGAGAGCAAGGGGAATCTAGAATGGAAATGATCAGGGGTGAAAATTAATATCGTTTATAGCCTTGGGGGTGGTTGCAGCAGCCTGTTTCTTCTGTATTTATTCTTTTTTAGAAATTATAGAGAAGCACTTCCTTGTAACAGAGTTGGCTACGTGATTTGTGGGGCCCAATGCAAATTGTAAATGTGGGGCCCTGCGTTCAAAAAGCAGGAAGAAAATTACAAACACTAAAATATTGTATAAACTTTTCCCCCTCTTTCTTCTTGTCTCTCTCTTGACTGCTCAGGGTATTTTAAAATCCCTACTTAAAGTTGTGCTCCTTCTAGTAAGAGGGAATCCCAGGGGAAGTACAGACATTCGCACGTGTCAGGGATTTCCCTGTAATACAGCATGTTTGTGAGAGACCTACAGGTTGTTGGGTTTGCCCTCCTGCCAGCTGCTGGACCAATACAGCCTGAAGGGCAGGAGGAGATTGTAAAGTAGTAAGTTTCTCTTTTTCAAAGGCTGTTAGCTCCAGGCACAGTGGATGGGCGATGCCCAGGGTATTGCAACCTCCACAATGGGAAGTACTTGGTATCTGGGTTGGGAGTAAGCAAAAGACTCATCCCTGACTAGGTGCCTGTCATGATGCTGCCAGCCAGGACCAGGATTGCCACTGTTATGCCCTACTCTGAGACACTGTGGGGCATATGACCCAACAACTCTCCCTGCACCTGTGCCCATGCTGCTGCTGGGGGCAAGAGTGGATGATAGTACACGACCTCCCTCCATTAATGTGATGTTATCTCTACAGAAGGGCAGGTTGGCAGCAGTGGTCTAAGGGCTAGGGCAGGTAGCGAGGCACTAGCAGTGCTAGTGCATGGGGATCAAGCAGCCCAGAGCTCTCCGAAAGGAGGTGGTGGGAGATGGAATAGTGCAAGAAAAGCCAAGATTCCAAGTTCCCTTCTCCCCTGCCCCGCAACTCCCATATGCTTCATTGATCTATTAGATTTCATTTACAAAATACAAATTCAAAAATAAATTTTTAAGGCAGCAACTGCAGAGCATTGAACCTTACAGGTCAAGCCCTACTGAGCATGGACTCTGTAAAACTGCACAGGCCACAGGTCAATGAGGCTACCTCTGCCTTTAAGACTGGACTGAATATAAGGCCTGATTGGATCTGAGTGTTTCAAGAGTTGAACTGCGGCAAACACTTATGTCTTCAATTACACTATTTTGACCTGTCTCTGATTTTATCTGCAGTTATGGTCGATAGTTCTGACTGGTGGTACAACACATACCTTGATTTTCTATTGCATATCTCCACTTTTCTATTTCAGGACCAATTCCACTTCAGCATCATTCCTGAAGACAAAGGAATATGTAAAGCCCATGAACAGTGTGGCATGAAAGTTTGCAGGTGGTAAAGCCCCTGAAGTCATGTGGGATGGGAGCTGGTGGACAAATGCCCAGCCTATCAAACTCTGAAGGCTCATTTCTGAGCGACATTCTCCATGTTTTCGAGAGATCTTTGTGACAATGGAATCCTTGGTTTCCACACCATTGTCGTACTGACTTTTCCTCCTTTCCCTTTCTTTATTCTTGCTTTCTGGGGTCACCTCCCAAATAAATCTCCTGCACCCAAGTCTTTGCCTCAGGCACTAATTTCATGGAATGCAAATTAAGATGTGGGTGAGGGAGAATGAGTAGCTAGTGTCATCACTTCTTTTTTTCCAACTATATCTTTCAGTCATTCCCCAGTACCTTCACAATAATTCCTAACAATTTGATTATGTGAATTGTAGAGTGCTGAATGAAATTCCCAAGATATTTATGAGACTTCTGGAAACAGGGGAAATAAAACCATCATTTCAAAGCTGTAAACAATGTCCTTTCTTCCAAAAAATGTGGAAATCTTTTTTTTTTTTTTGAGACAGAGTCTAGTTCTGTCCCCCAGGCTGGAGTGCAGTGGCGTGATCTTGGCTCACTGCCAGCTCCACCTCCCGGGTTCACGCCATTCTCCTGCCTCAGCCTCCCGAGTAGCTGGGACTACAGGTGCCCACCACCACGCCCGGCTAATGTTTTTGTATTTTTAGTAGAGATGGGGTTCCACTGTGTTAGCAAGGATGGTCTCGATCTGCTGACCCAAAAAATGTGGAGATCTTAAGCTACCCCTCCATTACACTTTTTAAATTTTTTTTTTTCTGTTTTATTCTGGTATTCTGAGCGAGTCTCCAGAATTACTCCTTTAATCTCAGATGTATAGGTCAAATAAACAAACCATTATTTAGGATGAAAACTTTGAGGTAGTAATGGAGATTTAAACTTCTAAGCTCAGTGTTCTTTCAATAATATAGATGGATGTTCATGACTTTTTGAGTCACAGCTTTGTCAATAAAAATTGTGTTGCTCTCTTTGGGAGAAATGTTTCTTTTCCAGATATAGATTATAACTGCACTGTGCTGCATGCTGATGTTTATTTGTGTGGACATGAATGTTTTCATATTTCAACAGTCACTGGGGCCAGAACTGAGATCCAGGGGACTGCAGACAAGATGTGTAGCTTGTTCTTTGTCATTGGCCAGAAAAATTACCATTAAAAGAATAAAGCTAGGTTTATTGAAGCTCACGCTGGTTCAAAGATTAATCTCCTTTATATTTTAATCACTTTAATTGATGTCTTAGCCACCTGAGGCAGAAACTTTGCACTCAATCCTTCTCTTATCCTAATCAAATTCCATCAACCCATCTATGTGTCCTTTGACGCTGCCTCTAATTTAAAAAAAAAAAACAGTTCCCTTCTTTCTATTTCCTCTCACTCCACTACTATTTCTTTAGTTTAAGCATTTCTCATCTACAATACTCACTATATTTCTATTCTAATTGGTCTTCATAGCTCTATTCTTGCTCTTTCTGACATCCCCACACAGATTAAAATGTCAGGCTCTCAGTTGCCTGGATCAGTGTTGTCTAGTAGAACTCCCTGCTGTGATGGATACATTCTATATCTGTGATGTTCAATAGAATAGCTACTAGTCACCTGTGACTATTGAGTACTTGAAATGTGGCTAGTGAGATTAAATAATTGAATTTTAGTTTATTTAATTTCAATTAATTTAAATTTCAAGTTAAGTAGAAACATGTGACTGGGGCTACCATATTGAACAGTACAACTGTGGAATGTAAACTCCATGAAGAGATTCTTTCTTAGCCATTGGAGATTGACTATTCTGAATTGTTCCTAAAATCGCATGACCACATTGCTTTACTGTACTTAATTCCTTTACTGATATAACTCACTCTGCTAGGTTGTAGCTTCTTGAGGGCAAGGTCATATCCTGAGTACAGCAATAACAATAATCTCAACAAACTTAAGTGGCTAGAATGACCATTCATCTGCTCTATGTTCCTGCTTTAGTCGCAGAAACGTTTCCACCAGTAACTCTGCCATCTGGGAGAAATCACTGGAAGAACATCCTTTTCTCTTACTCCATCATTTACTTGCTATTCTTTATTGGAGGAAGATTATGGAATCTGATTATTAAAATTCTAACATTCATTGGGCCCACATCATATGTACTATTAATAGTATGTGAAGGCCAGGCGCGGTAGCTCACGCCTGTAATTCCAGCACTTCGGGAGGCCAAAACGGGCAGATCACCTGAGGTCAAGAGTTCAAGACCAGCCTGACCAACATGGAGAAACCCTGTCTCTACTAAAAATACAAAATTAGCCAGGCGTGGTGGTGCATGCCTGTAATCCCAGCTACTCAGGAGTCTGAGGCAGGAGAATCACTTGAATCCGGGAGGCAGTGGTTGCGGTGAGCTGAGATCATGCCATTGCACTCCAGCTTGGGCAATAAGAGTGAAACTCCGTCTCAAAAAAAAAAAAAAATAGTATGTGATATTACTTTGCCTCAAAGATTGATAACCAAGAAATAGAAGCAGTCTTTTAGAAAAATCCTTGGGGACTAGAGACTGACTCTTCTGCTTTCTATCATGACAGAAACTACGTTTGTGAGGTAAGCCACAATCTTCTATATTAAGAGTAAATGTATTTGAATTTACCTTTGTATACCTAACTTTAGGTGGCTTCCAAAGTCTTGACTGAGTAGGAATGGAGAGAGTAGAAAAATAAGGCTCCAATTTGCTCCCAAATTCAAGCTGCTTCTTCAATTCAGTAATACCAAGGAGCTCTATACTTTAGGGGTCATAAGTGCTTTATTTAATTATCATTTGACTCTCATTGGTTTCTTGCATCTTGTCTCAATCGGTTAAAACCTAGAAGGAAAATTTATTTTTGTTTGGTACTTTATGGTCTCCAAGATTAATAATTGCTAATATTTAATTTCAGACTTACTCTGTGTTATAAAACGTTGGATACTTTATCCCTTCTTTCATTCAAATGATGTATATTGATGTCTATGCTGCTCTAAGAACTATGCTAGGTAATAGAGACACAGCAGTCTACAAAACAAACCTGTTTTCTGCTTTTATGGAGCTTAATATTACAGAGGTAAAGACAGGTAACAAACTTACAATAAGATAGGCAAAAAAATACATATTTGTAAAGTGTTTTGAAGAAAATAAAGTGCTATGATGAAAAAAGATAGGGTGTGGCGGGATACTTTTAGACAAGTTTAGTGGGTAACCCCAGAAGACCTTTAATTGGAGACCTTAAGAATAAGAATAACAAGCTATAGAATGTCCTGGGAGAGGAGTGTTCCCCACTAAATAAAACAGCATATCCAATGACCTCAGGTAGATAGTAGCATGAAAATCCATTCTAAGTGACAGTCTGGAGTAAACTTATTATTGCCCATACTGCAGGTGAGGAGGCTGAGCATAGAGGTGTAAACTGACTTGCCAAAGTCAAACAGCTAGTAAGTGGCAAAGCCAGAATTTGAACCACATCTATTGGACTCAGAGACCATGATCTAGATAGTGAGCATCTAACATAAAAGGTTCTTAAATGAATGAAAAGATAAGTAAATAAGTGTTTGAAAAGAAATCTATATGGACTATTAAAACTGATCTGGTCAGAGAAAATATCACTACTAGTCTTACAACAGGGATTTTATTTAAGGCAAAAGGTCTTGTAAATTATAACCACTGAAGTAATACAGGGTTATAATTCTGCCTGAGGATAAGCTTTGGGGACATATAGATTTGACACCCTTCGATTTTGACAGCCACTTAATAAAGTAGTTAAGTGACTTCTTACTATTTTAAAAATAGTAAGATTTTTATGATAATATCATTGCTTTAGCTATATAGGAGGATTTGTTTAGTGTTTAATATAGTTTTCCACTTAGTTCGTGAAAAAATGTATATCAGATTATGCTATCTCTAGGTCCCACCGTATTATTATTATCAATATCTTTTACTATCTATAACTATTATGATCAAAATCTTTGATCTACTGGAAAGAGCTACAATGAAGTTAATCTCTCAGGAGTAATATCTCAGAAAGATTCTCCAGGACTTAGATTAAACCTTGAAAAAATAAGTCAAAATCATAGGAGAGTCTTATTACAAATTGTTTACTTACAGGTATAAGATGTCACTGGCTAGAGGACATCCAAAGATTACTTTAAGCCAGTGATTTGTAACATTTTATTGACAGGTAGCCCTTTGTGAATTTAATGAAGTCTGTGAGTCATCTCCTTCCAAAATATACATACACAAATTTTGAAGATTTACAGGGATCTTCAGTTCCCTAAGGCTAACTAAATTCAATAATGCCAGCTTTAATGTCTTAGGTTCTAGGTCATTTCTCTAGAAATATCCCTGTAAAATTGACGTATATATTTTAATTATTTCATTCATTCTCTTTTTTTTTGATTTTCATGTATTTTTCGAGTTTCATATACTTCCATTTTATACATCTTTCTCTTTTTTCACATTATACATAGTCTTATGTTAAGGTCTAAAATCATGTTTATGTACGTGTACACATGTACGTGTTTGTGTATATATATGTGCACATGTATATACACATCCAGTATATACACGTCTAAAATGCTTTATTGATTTTCAGTCTTATATCTAGGTCCCAGGCTTTTTCCTTGGCTCCTCAGAAAGGATGAAGTGTGGTGATGCCCTCATTTCCTCTGAGATACTTACTCTATCAATAGTTCCTTGTTATATGTTTCTGCTCTTTCACACAAGATTCATTGTTCTTTTCCTCCTTCCCCCAAGTCTATTGACTCAAAATATTTGCATTTTATATAACTATCATATCAAGTGACACATTCACCAAAATAACAAGGATAATAAATTCAACATCATGGTTCAATTGTTGTATAATGTTTTATTTTTAATTTAAAAGTTTTTATCTTTTAAGGCCAAATTTCTTAATATCAGAAATTATTGAAACACAATTCATGTTCCAAAGTGGGTACATTTAATTAACTAGTTTTTTATTTTTTAGGGCCCATCCAACTCCATCCAGATTCATCATACTTGTGCTATTGCACTAGTCCCCAGGAAAATTAGGCATGAGTATGGACGAACTGTTATGCAAATATATTGCGTTAAAACAGATGCAACTCTGAGTGGCTTTCTTCCTATCAGTGTTCCCCCAGAGTGACACTGATTGAAAAAAATATAACATTCTTATAGTTAATTTGGGAAGTGTTCACGTGGATGACACTCCACTCTTAGAATTGCCTTGAAGTAGTAGCAATACTTGTTACTAACTAAAAGGGTTCTGTGGTCAAACACTTGGGGAATCACTGAACTAAACTTACTTGAGCCTTTTTATTTCTAGGATTTTTTTGTGATGCTCTAAAAGAGAGTGAAATATAGAGGGTTTTCAAACTACTTTTACTTTGACTGGAAGAATTTTTCTTAAAGAACAAGGAACATTTACTTTTTGGAAACCTTCTTCTAAAAAGAGTAAGGACATTTATTTTTTTGGTAGGGAGGGACTTTCTTCTACATTCTGGATAATCAGGGCCATGTGCTTTAACAGGATGTAAAGGGGAAGCTCATGATTAAACATGGGAAATATGCAGCAAATTGCAAGACCTGAGCTTAACCGCATAATTAGAACATAATTTTTCACTTCTTCCAGAGCATCAGCCAAGCAAAGGACTGAGAAATCTGCAACCCAATTGTCCTAAAAAGAAACTTAGGCTTCACATTTGTGACATAATTTCTTTTAAAATGAATATAAAATTTTATTTTTTATATTTGTAGAGCATAGGATGATTGAAATCCAGTTGTTGTTTTGTCTGACCTCCATATCTAATATGGCTAGTGCCGTTACTACTCTACAGAACGCGCAATAAGTCATTTTCTTTTATTCTTACATCAGAGTGGAAACTCTTCAAGTGTTATCCTTTAAAATGTCTATAACAAAAGTTTTATTTTATTTTATTTTTAATCTTCAGCATAATTTATGGAAATTTATTTGCTGACATGGCTCAGAGCACCTCATCTATAGGCTATTTCTTTATTTGGACAATCAGTTAAACATATGCTTTCTAGCTTCTACTTTCATGACAAAGAATACACTAGTTGGCAAAATTTTGGATAAAAACGTGATTGTTTAATGCGTATAATATATTTCTTAGTGTTAGAAGATTTGTGTTAAATCCTCGTTATAAAAATGCTTAAAATAATGTATTATTAAGCAAGATTGTCTCTTTGGTTCTGGGTGATATGTTTAATTTTCTAGGATGTTTCCCATTCGGTGGTACCTTTGTTTTGCTCTTCCTTTTGTACATTTGCAAGTAATATATCTGAGAAACATATTCAACATGAAATTAATAAAATATAAGGTTTAGTGTAGTTGATTGGGGTTAAAAAATTTAAAATACAAATTTTAGATATCTACTTTTGTTTACCATATGTAAAGTAATGTCTTTTATTGGTTAGGAAGTATAGGAAGAGATATAAGTTGTTTTCAAGGTAAGGAGGTCAGTTTGGGTACTCTACTTTTACAATGCCTACAGTACAGCCGATAAGAGATGTTTAGTAAAAAGTTATATATAAGAAGCTATATGTTACAGAAAAGACCAGGATTGGAGATTTAGTATGCAATACTATACTGAATATCATTTATTAAAATTGAAGACTTACTAGCTTCAATTTCCTAGGGAAAGCATACGGCATGAGATGGGAAGAGTATAAAATGTATGATCTTTATTATATCAGCATTTGAAAGAAAGGCAGAATAATATTTTTAAGTGGAAATGACTGAGAATAAATAACCAGAAAAGTAGGCAAATCAGAAAATGGGTTATTGGATGCCAAGAAAAGGCAACTGAGGAAAGAAGGTCAATATAGTATGTCATCAAGCCAAAGGGCCACAGATGAGACAAATTGAGCCTTTGCTTACTTTTAAATAATGATAGCACACACATACAAACTCACCAATCAACTTATGCTTTCTCTATATAAAATCTATCTCAGAATAATTAAGTAATTGATGAGGGGAAATCAGTCTTTATAAAGACAGTTTGGTAATTAAGTGAAAAATCAGCATTGTGAAATTATTAACGAATAATGATTTGACAATGATCATCAATTACTCTTAACATCACAGGAAGTCAGTTTGACTTTAAGTGTGGCTTGATGGAAGTATACAAAACTACCTATGATGTATTCTTAAAAACCTCAATCCTGAATCTGATTGAACTTGTAAACCCAACTACTAATTTACCAGAAATGAAGGGAATATAAAAACATGTTAAAGGACTAAACAGTAAAGTAACTGATAAAATATTGAGCATTTTCAAAAAATGAAATAGAAGAAACAGGGAGAACAGGAGGAAGGAAGAAAGATTATAAATTAACAGAGACTTTATTTGAATACTGATACAAAAATCTGTAAAAAAAAAGATGTATAATAAAGCAGGGGAATGCTGATTGGATATCGAAGATAATTTTAAAATATTGCACATTTTTAGGTAGTGTAAAGGTACTATAATTAGTTTTAAAATAACCTTTCTACATTAGAGATACACACTGAAGTAATTATTTATGAAATAATTAGATATCTGGGATTTTTGTTCAGCTCATCTCGGAGAGGAGACAGTCGGTAGGGTTGTTAACACAACAAGATTGGCATTGAGTTGATAACTGTTGAAGCTGGGTTTCATGTACAAGGAAATTTATTAAAACTTTATTGAGTTTTATATGTGTTTAAAATTTTCAATAACATTACGTGAAAGCAAAAAGAGAATGAGAGAAAAGATTGCAGTGAAATAAATGAGAGGGAGAGATAAAAAGTGAAGGTAAGTCTTTTATATGTTTTGACACTGAAGAAATGGTAGAGTAGGGTATATAAAAATAACGTTTACTAAAGAATTATTATGTGCTGGATACTATTTTCAAATTCTCTATTAATATATTCTTAGATTTTTGCCAGTTATGTTCTCATTTAATAGACGAGATACCTCAGGGCTAAGCGCCTAAATGGCTTGCCTGCATTCTCACAATTACTAACTAACAAAGCAGAATTTGGCATGCTGGCCCCAGAGAACCAGCATGCCTTACTCCCTCTTCATGACACAGAGGGTAAGGTGAAGGGAATCATGGGGAGTGATTGCTGCGGATATTCAAGAATAGGAGTAACTAATGGAATAGATTCCAAAGCAAGAAAGCGGGCATCATATGGAACTCAGAGGGAGAAGGCTTATTTGAAAGAGCAGCTGAGATACAGTACTGAACTACGTTATCTGAGGAAAGTCACTTAGCCATTGCATAGTCTCTTTTCTACATTTGTTCAAAACAAAAACAGAAGAAATCTCAGTTAAAGAACTGTCATGAGAATTAAATGAAAATATATGTGAGAGTATCCAATACATTTTCTGGGAAGATGTGGGTCTTTAACAGATATTTGTATTATTGTTATTAATCCTCACCATTTTCTTTATATGCCTTTGTCACTAGATTACAGGAACACGTTTGTAAGTCTTGGGGTTGTTAAAGACTGTCAATTCACTAGATCCATGATTTTAATTGTCAACAGTATTGAACTTTCTCAGTTTCCTCATTCACAAAAAGAAGATAATAATCTTGGTCCTGTTTAATACACAGAATCCCTTTAAAAATTAAATCAGAAGATATTTGAAGAAATGTTAAGATTTTATGAACTTCTTCCAAAGTCTCAATATTCAAACAAACAGAACTAAGATAAAGACAACAGGTCTCCAGTTGTTAGCCCAGGGTGTTTTTATTTTTTAAGGAGGAGCAAGCTTCCTTCTTGATATTTTTTCTGCATTTGTATATATATCAATTGTTGTCTTCCCAGAGCACATTGGCCCTTGTTGCCAAAAACATCACCTAATTTCTAGCATCAAAGATATGATGGAAGATGTCTGTATGTTACGACATGGAAACTCGTGGCAAGCCCACTACATGATGTTTTATAAGATATTCACTATCTAATACTCAGCTGGGATGCAATTATATTAAGGTAATTAGAATGCCCAATGGCTCCAGGATATGAAAGATCCTCATACTTGCATGTTGATTTATTCTTGCAGAATAGTCCAAGAACTAATTTTAAATTGTGAATGTATTTGTTTCCCACTTAATCTATAATATTTCTAATTTCAAACATATAGTAGCAGCTTAGAATATTTTATTTGGGAGTCTTAAGGGTACAAATTTATTTAGAAAAAGTGTAAAGGAGTTCACCTTGAAGCTACCTATTCACTGGAAACAGATTTTTATTTATTTATTTTTCCTCTGGAGCCTAAAATAAAGCTACTGAAAATTATGTAGGAAGAGAATGGACTAACTATAGTCTTCCCTATAAACGTTGTGTTATCACTTTTTTGGAAGTCCCAAGTTTTTCTGTGAGTCTGTGAAAAATTTTTAAGTGAACTGCTAGCCAAAAAATGGGGCTCACTTTCAGTTCTATACCATTTAAAATTAAATAAATAGATAGTTCCCGACCTGTTCAGCCCCCATAATAGAAAATAACAAGTTTATATTTTTTCTTTTTTTTGCACAGATCAAAGCAAAATCTATAAAGATTTATAAAGCTCACTCACAAACAGGCCATATTACAGTTACTTGGTTAGAATCTCTTGTGTTGCATACAGACATCTGATTTGCCTTTATCAGGCTTTTCTCCATAGAAACAGAATTTGGGCACTGAAGTCTATTAAATGGACTCACTGGTGAAGAAAGAAAAGATAATGGCATGCTTTCTTCCATTTTACCTTCTCATATTAATTTAAAATAATATATTCTTTTTTTTCTTAGAAAGTAGTGTGACAAAAAAAGATGTAAGAAGACAATCTGAGGAAGATATGTAAATCAAGCCCAGAAGTAGATTTGTGTATATCAGCAAATATAGCAATAGGTGGACATTATGTGCAATTCCAGAGAACAAAGAGTCCAAAAAAGGATATCATTTCTTGACACCTTAAGGTAGATAGAAGGTCTCTGACCTTCACTTAGAGGCTAGGGTCTAAGAAGGATCTTTCATATATACCTCCTAAAACAGATACTCTTCAATGAATTTAGAACATGTAAACCACATCGGAACTGAAACTTAACTTCTCAGTTCTAGCAAAGAGATCACGTTCTCCTAATGGATAGATTATCTCATACTGTGAACTTGAAAGTATTAATAGCTCATACTGGCTGTACCTGTGTTGAGATCATATTTGCATTGCTGAATAAAGAAACCTGGTGCTTTTCGTCAAAGTTATCGACTTACTCTTTTTTGAGTGTGAGTTTTAAAAATTGATTGATTGATTATATGACTTAAATAAATGGATGAAAATGCTTGTTGCTCAAGATAAAGGTTTCTTATCAGCATGGTTTGAGACATTTATCATGCCAATGAATACTATGAACCACAGAAATAATATTAAAGTACATATTTTAGAAAGAAGGGAAAGTAAAAAAAAAATTAAAATCATAATCTCCTGGCTGATATTTAAATTTATCAATAAATTATAAAATGCATTTATAGATAAATATTTAGAGCTCTGTTTAGGTGGGGATATCGTTTGGATATGTGTCCCCACCAAATCTCATGTTGAAATGTAATCCCCAATGCTGGAGGTAGAGCCTGGTTGGAGGTGATTGGATCATGGGGCTGATTTCTCATGGTTTAACACCATCCCCATTTGGTGCTGCCCTCATGGTATTAAGTTCTCCTGAGATCTGGTTGTTTAAAATTGTGTGGCACCCCCCCCCACACACAGCCTTGCTTCTGTTCCTGTCATGTAAGTTCTGCTTGTTTTCCCTTCGCCTTCCGCTATGGCTGAACTTCCTGAGGCCTCCCCAGAAGTCAAGTATATGCTAGATTCATGTTCCTGTAGAGCCTGAAGAATATTTTTTTTGTTAGGAGCAGTATAAGAAACCATGATTTTTTTGGAAAAACACAGCCAAATTTCTACTTGTCATCTAATTGAGGAAAGAAGCCTAGACCAAAGTCTGAACACCTGCAAAATCTCTTTGAATTAATAAGTTACGCTATTTAAAATGGTTTACTCATGGTGAGTGTATTTTATCTCATGAAGTAACCTGCCACATATAAACAGTGTTTAATTTTAAAAAGTCTTTTTTTCATTACTCATTTTAGAGAGTAAACTTTAACATGAAATTTGCTGTTGAATTTTATTATCATAATAAAAATGCTAATTAATAGAGAAATTTTTCTTTTTGTTTAAAAATTCAATATCACAAAATTGTATAAGATTCTTAACAAATTTCTACTTTCTGGAAATATAAGATCACTTGGAAATGTCAAATTGAAAATAATCATCACATCACACATCTTAATATTTTTCATAATCAATATTTTTTAAAAGTAAAGAAAAAATTTAAGAGCAAATAACTCTTGCTGTGTAAAAACATTTATCCATATATCAGCATTTCTCCAGCTTCATCCGACTTATTTTTTAACCTGCTAAATTAAAGTAAAATTACCTTTAATATTTTATGTACAACTCTGCCTGATTTAAATAGCTACTGTGGATTTTCATAAATACAAACTTATTTATTTTATGTTGGATGTAGCAGCAATTTGGTAGCTAGTCTCTTGTAGACGTCAATGTTCTATAAGTGAAATTCAGATATTATAGCTGAAAATAACCAACAAATATTATTTGCAACTTCCTGAGCTTGTAGTTTCAGACACTATGACCTATATTACAAAAACATCCTGAATTAGATCATGTTGCTACTCAGTGGCAGAATAACAAATAAGGAAAACTATTTTTGATTACCAAAGTTTGGCTTATTCCAAAAGCTGAACATGTTAGAGGTGTATTCAGTCAGACCCTGGTTTCTACCCAATGTTCACACTTTGCTTATTGTAAATGTGCAATTCATTGTTTCCTGATGACTCTCAGTCCTTGTGTCAATTAAGCCAGAATGTTGGAATAAATGATACTGTTATCTCAATAGCATGGGCAACAGTG
Source organism: Homo sapiens (assembly GCF_000001405.40). Lineage (NCBI taxonomy): Eukaryota > Metazoa > Chordata > Mammalia > Primates > Hominidae > Homo > Homo sapiens. Next base: position 65,318,580 of record NC_000004.12, read on the forward strand.
TGGAATCAGAATTGTGTGATGGGAAGTTCATAGGTTTACTCTCAAATAAATGTGGATTTCATCAGCCTTTGAAGAGCAGTCAGGCCTTGGACAAGTTTTGGACAGCTTTACGCTGTTTTTTCTTCATCATTAAAATGGAGTCAATAATATGTATCCAAAAGGTAAAAGTGGAAAATTAGAATACAGAATGGTGTATTCTCATTAAATGCTAACATTTTCACTATCACTTCTTCCTTTCTACCTGGTCATATAATCTTTACTTCTGAAGAAAAGCAGAGGCAAAAATAATAGTCTACCTAGTGACAAAGAACTCAGAATTATTTACATAAAATATATACTAAAATATTAAATAATATCATTTGTAGTTGTTATTTTATACATATGATACATATGAGAAGGAGTTGTGGATTATTCCCATAGGCATGGTGATGTTACATATTGTGACATAAATGCAAACAACTAGAAATATAATTTATTTCCTTGAATACAGTGCATTGTTTGCTATGCTTTCTACAAAAAGAGACCAGTATGACACAATACTTACAGAAAAAGAGGGAGGTGTTTGTACTAAATGACACCTCTTCCTGTGACAATGCAACTCTTCCGCTCTATGCCGTAAGCACATGTATGGAGAGGAGATAGTCTTGGGCTGATGCTGATCAATAAAAGTCTCTTTTCTTTTTCCAGATAGTGTGCATAGTTTTCTGTTTTTTCCAAATAATATATTACACTGTCACAAATCAACTTCTAATTAGATTTTGACACAGTAATGCACCTGTGCTACAATTTTAGTGTTAATCTCCATATGCAAAAATTATTTAAATGCAGGCTCATGAATCTGTTTTAGAAGAAAATGGATGCTAATGGCCTGTAAAATATTTAGCATAAGAAGTTGAAACATTGTTATTAGAAGTAACTGAAAACATTACACAAAGGCTATAAGTTTAAACTTTCCAGAGAGGGTCAAGCATGACAATCAGATGTAACTGTATTCAAAGGGTTTTTATTTTCTGAAAAAATATAAAATTTCATATCTTACACTACAAAAAGCATGTACACAAACCAAATGCACATAAAGATTCAAATGAGAAAAAATACAGAAATCCTAATCCTTCTTTGAATTAACTGTGAGACAGGAACTTGAGATAGCCTGATGTATATCATAGAATAAGATATGCTATATAGCTGCTTCTGACATGTCTGAAACTAAGAGATTTTGGTAAAAATACTAACAAATGACTGAGTCTAAGTATTCTCAGGCTCTTATAAATGTAACTACTCACTTTTAAATAATTGACTGTAAAACTACAGCAGCCTAAAGAGTCATAGATATGTTGACCACTGAAACTTCTACTGTGAATACAGTTCCCAGCCTGAATAAACATGACATTTTACCACCTTCAATTTTCTCCATTAACGTTTAGAAGAAACAAACAACATTTGATTCTGATTATTATAAACAGACTTTTTTTCTTTTAAAAGAATTGGTATCTTCTTCTAAGCAATGATTATGTGGTCATTCTGAACAAGAACATTCAATCATTTATGTGTGAAAAGATTTCTTCATAAATGAATAAGAAATGAAAAGAAAGTTCCTATTTCTATTTTGATACATTACTATATAATTAACAGCACAATAGAGAAAATTATTCAATGTAAACAGCTGTGCTACAGAGTTGAAAAAATGATGACTTATTTTACTTATTAATGTCAAATAAAGCTAGCATTTTGATTCCATTTATTCTTCATCATCATCATCATCATCATCATCAGGATCATCATCATATTGTACCTACTTTTTGCTTAATTTGAAGTTAAACATCTGGCAGGACATTAGCAAAGACAGTTTACTATCACACTTCTTTTTTTTCTTATTTTTAGGAAAAACAAAATGAGAAAGGGACCTTATTCTACTATGTAATATAATACATCTAATAAATTTCTAACACCTGACTCAAATAGTGTTTGCCATCCAATGCACTTTTATAGCCAAAAATGTCTTCAGAAGGTAAATATCTGTGCTTGTGCTTCTGAGAACCCACTTTACATGGCATAAATAATGGTGTTAAAAATATTTTACTTTCACATACAGATTAAGTAGAAGACATGAAAACACATAAGTGCTCAAATGATATTAACTTTCCATTTTAAACTTGAAACATGAAACTGTGTCTTCACTTTTTTACACTGGTCAAAACTCTTTTACAAACTGAATTAAGGATATTCTGTGTTGTTTAGGCAACTCTGAAACCAATAATGCTGGCCACACTTAAGTTTAGATAAAATATTGGAATATAATTTTTACAGTAATCTTACAACCTTAGAATACTGACTTGGTAATTGAAACACAAGAAATAAAAGATCATGCACATTACAATTTTAAAACATAGGAAAATCAAAATCTTTACATCTTTACATAGAAATAGTACATTATGAAAAGAGCAACTGGTTATATTAATAGTATATATGAGCAAATGACAAGATTAGAAACAAATTATGATAGGTCAAAGTAGTAATTGAGTGACTTCAAGTATCAGTCTGTTGAAAATTACTCCCTGTACCAATTTTTCAAAGTCCAATACTGTGAAAGACTCATGCCCCTTAAGATATTGCTACTGGCAATTACAATAAGATTATGTATTATTTGCCAAATCTGTTGTATATACTAAAATTGTCATGTCTGTGCTTTATTTTTGGTAGTCTGGTGGGTGACAAAATGAATCAACAGAATAAGAAATTACACAATCAAGATTTGTTAAACTTTGCCTTGGATTATGGCCTCACTACATTTTACTAGAGTTGGCTCCTCTCCTTGTTCCATTTCTCACACTTGCAGATGAGATTGGCATTTTCCAATTGGTGACATATACAATAGGAAACAAATATTTTAGGAAGGCATTCTTTCCTCTTTTTTAGGGAGAGTACTTGTTGTTTGACAGTCTCTTTATTCATTCTAAAGTCATATTAACCTTCCTTAGAAATTCTCAACCAAATTGAGATGCAAAAGAAAACTATGTGGCTATTTAACTTTCCTTTCAATTTACTTTCCAAAATGATCACCAAGATTGCAAAGAAGGCAAATAAATTTGATCCAAATTAATTTATATTCTTCCTTTGTTAAAAAGAGAAAATCTATATTGCAACTTAAAGTTCTAGTCATTTAGATACACTCCACCCGGACCTCCTAATTATCTTTCAGCATATAAAGTTGGAAAACAATGTAGAAAATATCTTTGTTATGTCTAAGCAATTGTGGCAAGTTCATCAGCCCTAAAGCATATGGTAATTTTCCTTTTGAATCAATAAGGCTTTCATTCTGAAGTTTCTCAGTTGTTACTTTATCACTTAGATTGGAATATTTCTATAAAATTCAATAAAGTGCCACATAATCATCATTTATTTTGTACAAAAGTAATTTGTTTCATTAATTTCTGTTTATTGAAATGAACAAATGCATCTTTAATAATGGTGATGCTTTTTTATGATTTTATCAAGAAAATATTAAATTCACATCTCTGGAAATTTTACTAAACTAATAGATTATATGTTTGCAGCACAGTTTGTGTGGACCCATGGTATATAGCCCTTATTATTATGAGAACTGAATGTATTATTTGAAAACTGTTTAGATTTTTGTTGTGGTTATTTTGATGTTTCCTGGTTCTTTAGAAAAGAGGTACTTTACTGCTTAAGTAAAGGGTGGGCAGAATAGGAAGTAGTTATTTCCCAAAAGTTTATTCTTATATGTGCTAATATTCAAATAAAACAAGTGCTTGGAAAAAAGAATACCATTAATATAACGTGGCTATATTTCTGATAAATTTCATTAATCCAGGCTTCTCTGATCTACTGTACTATTAACATTGATAATCATGAGTAGGCTGTATTTTATTTAAATGCTCTGATTTTGACTAATCACATGACATTCCATAATTTTTATAAAGTGTAATAATACAAAAATGTTGGTTATCTCAGGAGCTCAGTTTTGGACAATTTCTAATACACTGCATAATTTGTATCACAAATATAAGTCTTCATCATGTGTGGTATATAGAGCATACATAGAAGATATGTTATATTCCTTAATAAGCCTAATTACATAATACCTTGGATTGGTTCAATAAAATAAACTCAAAGCCATGTAACTGAATACAAACTGAAATTAACAAATGAATAAACATCCATTAAAAATAAAACTTATCAATTATTGAAATAAAATTCTGAAGGGAAATAAGCATATATATATATTTGTGTGTGTGTATGTGTATATATATATATTTGTCATAATTCCATTGCTGCCTTAGAGTCAAAATTTCTAGAACTGAGTCAAAATGGGAATGGTTACAACGGATTAACACTTAAGGGTGATGCTTCGTGCTATGTGCCTGGATTTAACAACATTAACAGAAGCCTGCACAGTTAAATCCTTCTACATCCTGCTGAAAATGTGCCCTTCGGTGTCAACTTTGCTTGACAAGATACTTTTCAGGACTCAGAAAGGTGAAATTTCTTACAGGGGTACAAGATTAATGGCTAGAAGAACTGCATTGTCACTGATATCACAAAATGTTTTTAAAAAGCCAAAGGGGATTTAGTCTTATACACATTTCCTTTTAGTGAATAAAGAGATTAGCTTTTGGACACATGAGAGGAAAAGAGACACAAGCTTGTGTTAAATTTTGTTTTACTGCTTCCCTATTTCTCCTATTCATATTACATTCTGGAACACTTGCTCCTATATGTTGCTAAAATTGAAACACTATTAGAAATGCAAGCAGAATGGTAACACACACATGTGCAAGCAAACACACACACAATTCCATCTTAAATCAGTTCCTGGGTATATTGCAAATTATACAGTATATACACATTTATTACCTAATAATCTCTAGAAGAGCAACTAAAAGTAAACTTTATAACACAAAAAATAAATATACACCCTGTATTGTACTTTTTCTTGATCAAGCAACATGTTTACACACTAGTTTCTATAACTTAACGCTGTGTAACAGCATTTTAAAATTACAAAAGAAGATATCTATTAAGAAATAATCTAATCATATTGCTCTTCAATACACTTTTGTAGACAATTAAGACTTGAAGTAAACTTCAGTAAACTGTAGCTTTTGTTAGCTCACAAATGGCTATAAAACATTTCCTTTCAAGTAGATCCCTGGAAGTTTTGAAAGGGGTTGCCTTAATTCAGTCTATAAAAGTGCTATATAATTATATATTTCATGTACAAAATTTTGTAGAAGTAGTGGGAAGGATTCTGTTGTTGTAACTTAAGATGATGTCTAACTTCATGTCCCTTTTAATGCAAGATATGTTTGCTTCATGAAAAATGAAGACTAAGGACTAAGAACTGGATACTTCAGTAAAACCATGATTACAAATTCTGTGGCTGAGGCAAATGTTTTCTAAGGTTTAGAAATCACTGTTTTCCCTTTTCCCCCTTTTTTTGTTAAAATAAATCTCAGTGCTGTTTACAAAGTGCAGAATCATTCACTTGAAGAAGCGACATTTACATGAAGTTACAATGGCACCATTCCGTTTACCAGCTGCACCTTCATTTCTTGAAGGCTGTTCATGATCTTCTTCTGGTGACCGACAAGAGTCACTCCAAGCCGTCTCAAATCCCTGCATGAAGAAAGCACACATTGGATGTATTGATTCAATTTGTAGCACACCTCAATATTTCATGTTGGCAAAGGGGCAAACATAGTGCAGACACTAGTTAGATTACAGTCCTAATTTAGACATACAGAGTCTAGTTTTTAAAGGTTAGGCTCTAAAATTATACCTCCAAAATCTGTTAGTAGTCAAAAAATATTTATAATGAGGAATGATATAATACATATTTGCTCTCATTTGTGGACATCACTATTTTAGTGGTGCAGAGTGGTGATAAAACAAATTTGCACATTATTACCAATAAAGAGTTAACAGGTACAATTTCATTGAAAAGTTTTGAAACTGCAGATTTACAATATTCATAAGCACTTATTTTTGCTAAAAGAAGCTTGAAATAGACTTTTAATATTTTATAGCTAAGCAGTTGAAAACCAAAGTCATAAAATGACTCATTCTATACAGTAATTTTATATAACAGATATCTTTAGGAGATAATCACCACTACATTGCTTTTATAACAATGTTTTACTTTTTTTTTTTTTTTTTTACTTTATACTGAAAGTACCAGAATTTTTTTTTAATCAAATAACATCCAAGCTCTACTGGCACTTAGAGCATGCTGAATATTACATGCTTTCAGAACACTTTTCAATCAAGATACTTCTGTGCATTTTTTTCAACATGCTTATTATTCAAAATAAATTTACAAATATTTAGATTTCTAAACTAACAACATATTATGGAGCTCAAGACAAGTGGCCATGGTTTTTCAACGTTCTTTTACAGGATGTTTAGGAATGCTATTCCCCTAAAGTATGTATTTGTCAGATATGTTTGGCAAATGATAAGCATTAATTATAGGAAAAAATAAACATGAACAATTCAAAATCCTAAATGACAAAGATGTTTGCCATGTTAGATTTCTCAAGGTAATTACCTTATTGAACACATTATGTGAAAAGTGGAATCTTTTTCCATTCAGTGTGTGTTTTAATTCAAGATTTTCTTAGAGTTCTATTGAATTAATGACATTAGACATTAGAATAATCACAGGTAGAAACTGAATAGTTTTAATTGTTCTTTGAATTCAAAGAAACTCTTAATTATCAGAGAATAGAAATTAAAGGATGCTAAGGCTCTGTGTATATTCGTATTGGAAATATTTTTTTCCAAAATAGTATTTTAGTTTTCTTTTCCCTTTATGGTTTCTTGATTTCTTATGACAGTTTTAGGAAATGGCAAGCAGCTACCCCCCCAAAAAAATGCTATTGATATTTGTGATGGAAACATATTTGTTTTTTAGAATGTGAATATTAAACAGTAAGCTTAAAAATTACTACAACTAAAAGGCACCAGATTGGAATATAAAAATAATAATAGCGGTAGAGAGAGCATGGAAGACAATCCTCAGGGAAACTTAAAATTAGTAAAATTAGCTTTGAAACAAAATCATTATTATTAATAATGGAATAGACTACAAGCTAGCTAATTACAGACCAAACGAGGAATATAAGAGACATGAGTCTAATCTTGTCTCTTTTCAACTAAACCAGAGTTTCTCAGCCTTGAACCTGTTAACATTATAGGCTGGATAATTCTTTGGCTGGATAATTCTTTGTTGTAGAGGTGCTGTCTTATGCATCGTAGAATATTCGGCTGCATCCTTGGCCTCTGCCCACTATATACCAGAAGCACTGCAGCACCACCAGCCCTTCATTTTTACAAGATAAATTGTCATTGTCAATTTCCCCTTAGTGACAAAATCTCTCCTGGTTGAGAATCATTGAGATATATATATCTCATATATATATATATCTCATATATATATGTATATATATGTATATATATATTCACACATATAAATTGGTGACACTTTATAAACATATTTACACACCAATTTAGACACATATAAATTGGTGACATTTAATAGACATACATCCTGTATGCTAGAAATATCAATAACCCTATGATACAGATTTTTAAATTTCCTTTTATGGATGAGGAAACAAAGGCTTAGATAATTTGAATTACTTAGCTATAAAACACAGCCAAATGGGTAACCAAGTTAGGGCTAATATCAGGTACCTGAAAACCAAGTCTATACTTTTAATTTATCATTATTCTAAGAGATGATTTTAAGTAAAGCACTTCAAATTATATGCAGTAATTTATTCATCTATAAAATGAGAATCCTGTAAATGTAATTTAAAATGTCCAAAATTCTAAAAGAAAATGTCTAATGAAGGGAATGAAACACATACTTTGCCTGAGGCTATGGTCACCAAATCTGACCATAGTAGTTTCTGTTATGCACTAATATTCTCGTGTTTCCACATGTAAATTATTAATTATAAAGAATTATGTAGATGTGCATATTCATGGGTGTTCACTAGCAAACTGGATCACAGCCAAGAGAAAAAGGATGAAAATTTTTCCTAAACTGAAAACTGTCTCTGCTGGATAATTTAATTAGGACTAGAAACAAAGTTTTAAAACATGTGTTTTATCATATGTTTTATAAACCCATAAGAAATACTGATGAATCCAGATTGGGAAATATGGTTGTAATAATATATATGCTTAAATTGCATAATTCATGATTGCTATGTGAATTATTAGGAATTATTAGGAATGAGCCTTTGAAAATAACCATTATTATTTATTTTGAATGACCTGAAAGAATTTATAAGTTCTCTTTCAAACATGGAATTTATACAATCACAAAACTTAAATTTGAAGCATGTATGGGTTCCATATTCCAAATCTTGGTTTTGTCTAAAGGATATCAAATCACTAATAACTTATTTTTATTTCTACTGTCTTAACTTGTTATATTAGAGAAAAATATAATTTAATCTTCTAGATATGACTTGAGAACATGAAAGACTCTAGCTCCCTCAATGTTTCGGTAGTTTAAATTTTTCATGATAACTATATCATACTAAAGAATTGTGAGAAATTTTATTTGATTAATAAATGTGGGTATTGTTTGAGTTTATTGAAAAATGAAATCTGTACTTTGTCAGAACATTTCATACTTACAGATTTTAAGTTAAATTTGTTTGAATTTTAACAGTGAACTAGGGATAAAATTTTATTTCAAGAACAATTTATTATCTGATTATCCCTTGAGATGAATGTCAAAGGGCACACCAGTGAAATTATCTTTCTCCTCTTCCTTTTACTTCTCTCTTGCCTTTCCATCTCATCCTAAACCCATCTCCCCAGCGGAGAAATGGAATTACAGAAACAAAACACTGAATTTTAAGTACTGCCACAAATGATGTTTTCTCCCATGAAATTCTGTTGTTTTTCTTTAAATCTGACCTATCATTTCAAAAACTGTCAAATTAAGGTGAAGAGATTTAGAAGATAGGATAACTATAATAATGCATGCAACGTACATGTACCTTTATACATGTGATTTTCAGTGAAAACATGGATAAATAAGATGATTTATGCAAGTTAAAATTGTTCTCAGCAACTAAGTAGTTTCTTTTGAAATGCATCTTAATATTTTTTAATAACACTACAGATGAGAATTAACACAGTATTAGAAAATGTTTATAGTAAAGGTTAAATAACTGTTCAAATATTACTAAACATTTTAAGGTATTTTCTTCTAAGTAGTTTAGTCTCACATTTCTTATTTCCAATAATTCCCATTTTACTACCTAAACCACATATTAAATGGTCATCTTAGCAGTAATTACATAAATTTGATGAAAATAAAATATAAGAATGATATTGCTGCCCTATGTACAATAATTTTTGAAAAATAATTTGGAAATGGTACAAGGTATGCATTTTTTAATTTCATTTTTCTAAGTAGAAAATTTTATAGCTACACAATGTCTTAAGTATGTTCCCATTATAAGTATGACACAAATTTTATCATGATCATGCATAATCTTAAGTAATACCGAAGGTCAATTCTAGTGATAACGAATTATATTTTGATATAGGCCTATGAATCTAAACATGACGAGACTAGCATTGTTACATAAACATAGTTTGGATTTTGTTGACAAAATTGACTACTTTTAGAAAAGCTTCAAATGTTATGAACTGTCATTGTTGGGTTTACATTTCAGTATTTTTTCAAACATTATTCAATAATATTAAACAATGGAAAAACACTGATATTAATGATGCTAAAATGGCAGAATGAAAATAGAGTAATAAAAAGTATATAGTTGATGTTGGAACCAACTCTTAATTATTCAGGCTTAAATTAATCTATCTACAGATGATTCATTCTCTTCCTCATTCTTCTCCCTTCTACTTTACACACCTTTTAGCCGTATCACTGGTACTTAGCCCCAACCAACATTGGCTGGATAGGAGAAGGGAGAAGACAGATTAATGAATATTCCCCAAACTTCAATATTTATTGCTTTTGTCAGAGTTTTATCATGCAGTTGTATGTTTGTCATTTTTTTTTTTGTTAACTTTGCAGAACCCTAACAATCAATGATATAGACATTGTACAGGATAAATGTATTACTTTTGGCAAGAAGAGATTTAACCATGGTCTGTTAATGGTTCTCAATGGAAGAGATGTTGTCAGGGCTAGAACACAGAGGACTGTAGGTACTCCTATGTGTACTTTAAGGGTATAATAAATCATGCATAATGATTTATTGATAAGTTAATAAATCTATTTCAATTAATCTGTAAAGATTTTGCCTCTGGATTTTGAAAACTTTCATTTTATTAGTTTAAGATTCTATTCCAGTAACTGATGATAACAGGAACCTCTTCAGCTGACACACAATTGGTATAATATTTAAATTGATTGGATTTTGCTCATTTTCTGAATAACCAAAGGCTGACAGTACTGATACGAAAATAAGTTTAAAAAGTAGCTGTGATTCTGTCCTTAACTGAAATGTTTGGATTCAATTTTCAACTCACCTCAAGCTCACAATTATCCCTGTTGACAATAACCCACTGCACTTATACAAGATGAGATAGTTTGCACCATTACTGCCACAATTGTTTTCATATAAATACTGAACACAGAATAGAAAGGTTTAGGCACAAACAGTAGCAGACAAACACATCTAAGATTGAAAGCCACTTTCATGAATATGCTTTGACTCTCAGACCTCTAAGTTCTTCATTACCTTTCAATATTTAGCTATACATGCACGTACTGGCAACAATCCATATACAAGTGAAGTTAAACCTTTGTGATGGAGATTTTTAACCAAAATATGTCATTCTGAAAATTTTATATTTATTCTTTTTTTCTAAACCCACTATGAAAACAAATTTGATGCCACAAATTACAATGTAGTTTTTAAATATGGCAGTTGGACTATTCGCTTTATATTAATTGATTTTCACATTTTTCCTAAGTATTTACAACAGTTATGAATGTATTCTTCCATTCTCAGCTTCTACTATCTTCTGACAATAACTCTAAGAATTATATTTTATTATTTTATTATACAGCCTTCATAAAATTAATACTTAGGTATGGGGTAAAGACTATGCGTGAAAAATCAGTATCAAGGTATTTTGAGAGCTGGCCTATTTCTTTTGCTGATAATCCCGTCTCCTTTGCCATTAGTCCTTAGCAATGACTGACTTTTTTTTTTTTTTTTGGAAGAAGAGTAGGCAAAATGAACAGATGAACTTTTAAAAAAATTTTTTTGACCAAGAAAGTAACTGATTACTTGAGTTACTTAACATAATGTTTTGATAAATGTTCTTACAGTTGAAAAAAATGTAGTCGAAAGCACAGAAAACAAAGTGGCATGTAGTTAAATTTAAAGGGCCTGGAGTTGCCCCAAAAACCAGCTTTCTTGGAGTTATGATCTGCTGGCCCAATTACTGGTAAGAAATGTATTAATGATTATGACCCCCAGGAATTTGGAGCAGTTACTATAGACAGACCAATACTTTCTGAATGGGAAAATGCTGGTAAGTCTCCCAATGTAACTTTACTCTTCTGGTCAGAGTAAATGAATTAAAAGACAAATGTTTGAATAAAGGCAATCTAGCAAGAGGCCATAAGCTGGAGAAGAATCATTATGAGAAGACATAAGAGGTTATTAGGGCTTGAAAGAAAACAAAAACTAAAGAGCATTTGGGGATAGAGGAGCAGATAGGAAAGAAATAGAAAAAAAAGGAATAAGAAAAATGTGAAACTATAATGCTAAAATATTCAACATATTTATAGTATTTTGGGACCCCAAAGATATAAGTAAAACACAAGTAGCTAATGCAAAAACTATAATTTGTAATTATAACTATTTTTTGAAGGAAGAAGCAAAAATGTAGTAGATGTAACTATATACAGAAAATGTGCTATTTTAATAACAAAAGAGACATTGTTTAATGCAAATAATTTTATTATATATTTACAAGTAATCTGACATTGGGTAGAAGAAATACCTACAATATCATTTTAATATAAAATGACAAATGACTTTAATAAATTAAAATGACCATTTTTACTGAAAAATTAAATAGCAATCATGTAAAAATAGTTTTAAATTATCAGTAAATTTTTCAGTATACCAGTTTAAATATAGCACAAATGGGTTCCTTGAGTGTCCAAAGAAATAATGGACAAAGCATATGTGTTATCAAGTAGATATGATCTGGTGGACCGTGAGAATGAGATTCAGTAAATTTAGAAAGCAAGCTGAGTGGTTGGTTTCAGGTCCTTTTAGTTATCGGTATGAAGGAAGAGAATGCTGAGAATGTGACATTAATTGGTGATAAATGGTGGTACCCTGTTACCTTCTGTGGGGAGGAACAATGAATTCAATGAATCAAAGAATGTCAGAATAATAGAGATGGGTGAGCAAGAACTGCTCAATGTTCATATCATGTGTACAAATAAAATAACAACTATGGTTTAGTGCTTCAGAATATTCTACCATTTTCTAAACCTTACAATATTTTAACCTTTGAATTGGCAGGTAATTTGAAGTAAGTTATCATTATATTCACAGGTTAAAACATTAATGTTAATGTAATCTAGATGGAACCACCATAAAGACAGTTAATTTTCACAAATAACAATTAGGCTAAAACAACCACATGTACAGAGTATATAATAAAATACAAACAACTTACAACCTTAAAGAACTTAATATTTAACTCTAGTGATTTTTATTTAATAAGGTTTGATAAATTTTATCTTAAACGTGCAAACAGAAAAGGGCACAATTGGTTCCACTGAGATTGTACCAAATAACAAATCAGAGGCGGGATCTGATACATCCTTAGATTGAAAGAATGTAAGGTGCACCATTTAGAAATTAAATGAGATCCTGCCAGGGAAGCTTTGTTTAAGCTACTGTTACCTTGATATTCATCGTAGAGAGCCAAAATGTACAAATATGTTTGGTCCTTATGTAGGACTAGCCACACCAATTGTGCTTACAGTTTATTTTGTTTTGTATTTACATTCATATAACATAGATACCAGTATAAAAAAACTTGTCAAGAAAACATCTTTTCCACAACACAAAACACCAGTATTTTGCCAAGGAGCTGTTATTCCAATTATTCAAGTATGCCAATGTTATTTGTTTGAAGCAAAGAAGCAAAGATACTGGCCACATGTAGCATTAACCATGCAGTTGTTAACAATACAGGCTAAAGATGATGAGGCTTCTTTGAGAGCTGCCACACATCCGCAAAGGTTAACTGATTTCCCTTACCTCATCCAGATTGGTTTTTGAACAATTTTTCTTGCCCCAGCAATTATGTAAAAATTATCAGAAAAATTACTCACTCCAAGGTCACCTGAGCCACAGCGTCCATTGAACTGTATCCATTTTCCATGAAAATCTCTGTATACCGGCCCATCTTGATTGCCTCTAGCCATTCACCTACTGATCTGTAGGCCCCAGATCCTAGTGGGCTATGTTCTGCCAATAAATTAGATACTCTAAAACACATAAAACATAAATATTAAAAGTTACAATTTAATTCTTTTATAACAAAGTTTACTATAATGTTAACTCATATTCAATGGATCTTTGAGTCTGTAAGTATATTTATAGAGGAAAAATATGCAAATGCTAATATGGAAGAAAATAATTTAAAATACAGGAGAACACAAAATCAGTCTACTGAGATTATTTTATCCATAATTAATGAGGACTTAACATGAAGACTTACTAATAAGTAAATTTTATGTAAAACAAAACAATAGCTAAAAATTTTATTGAGTACTAATAGATGAACACAGAATTTTTAGGACAATAAAACCACTCTGTATAATAGTATAATGGTGGACACATTTGTCCAAATCTGTAAAATGTACACAACCAACAGTGAACTCTAATGTAAACTATGGGCCGTGGCTGATAGAAATACAGGTTCATCAACGGTAATAAATGTGTCATTCTGGCGGTTGATGCTGGTAATGGGGTGGTGGGGGGTGGGGGAAGGCTACATATGTGTAGGGTAAGGAGTACTTGGGAGATCTCTGCACCTTCCACTCAATTTTGCTGTAAACATAATATTTCTCTAAAAATCAGTCTACTAAAATTTGTCATGTAGTGATTTAGATATACTACTCTTTGTTTATGAAGGTAAGAAAAATGCTACCCACTATAGCTATGTGGGATAATTTGTGCAAAGCCAATCGATTTTTCCTAGAGGAACTTATCGACTTCCTAGAGGAACTTATGCTCATTTAAGTAAATTTATCTGGAAGTTAAGAAACTATTTATTCTTTATTTTACACTTTTACATAGAGTGTTTCTTAATACACCGAGGAGTGGTAGATCATGAAAAACAAAATGTAACCCCAAATACAAAACAAAACTTAATAGAATCAACTAAATCAATAGACACTTTTAATGACACTACGTTCATATTCTTTGGACAATAATAATAATGATATAATGATGATGATGACTTTTAGAAATGTATCTTAAGGGAATAATCAGAAAAAAATGGCAAAAGGAAACTAAATATTAAAAATAATTTACATGCCCATTATGTAAATTTACATAATTTACATGTGAAATTTACTTAAGTAAATTGCAACTATAAGAAAAAGGACACAAATACCTTTCTCTCTACTCAGGTTCTCTCTACTTTCTCACATTCCATTTACCCTTGAGTATAGTTTCTTCAAAACCAATTTTATAAAAATTACTCTAGTTGAGATGGTCAATGATCTCTCTTTTGCCAAAATCTGTGAGCACTTTTCAAACTACAAAATGACTGACCTCTTGGAAACATTCAGCCAACACCACTACCACCTCCCACCTTACTCTTGAAATCTTACTCTGTCTGAACATTGTTTAAATCACAATTGTGTGCGTGTGCGTGTGAGAGTGTGTGTCTGTGTGTGTGTGTGTGTGTGTGTGTGTGTGTGTGTGTGTGCTGGATTCCCCTCAATCTCCTTTGCCTGCTAGTCTTTTTTTTTTTTTTTTTTTTCCTGACTTTAAAACTCTAAGGGAGCCAGGACTTGGCCCTATATTTTTCTATTTAGGCTATAACTCCACTATAGACAATTTTACTCATTTTCATATCTTTAAAAAGTATCTACTTTTTAAAAATTTTTGTTTCCAGACTAAGATTCTTCTATATCCATATGCCTATTTTGTACCTCCATATTTCTCAGAGAAATACGGCCCCAGGTCCAAGACCACACTCCTCATCTCCACATCCGTGTGCTCTTGAAGTTCTGCCCATTATATAGTATGATGCAACAGTCCACCTCTTCCCTGTCCTCATTTTTCTCAAAACCTATCATTGTGCATACCATCTATTCAACTTCCAATATATTGTACAGCCGACCACTTCTCTCCCATTCAATATTAATACCACCTTATTTCAAGATATCATCATGTCTCGCCTGCACAATCTAACCTTCTAGTATTCATCTTGAATTCAACTCTCACTCCCCACTCCAAAACCAAACACACAATTGGTTTTGAAGTTTTTATTTTGTTCAGTGTCTCTCTCCCAACAGTGCATTGGCTTCATAAAGGCAAATACTTAGGTCTATTTGCTTAATGCTGTATCCTCAGCACCTAGCCCACAGCATGACCCAGAGTATAAAGGTGAATAGATGTTGGATGAATAAATGAATATGTTATAGTGATTTTTAGCCATTAGGCATGAATTGTGAGAAAGAGAATTGCAGAAAGAAACAGTTGGAGAGTAAGATCTTGAAGTTGAAGTTATGAAAGAATTGCAATTTTGATAATAGCAAGGTCTAGAATATAAGCATGGAAAGGAAAGCACAAGGTCGATTTGAGAATAAAATCATTGAAGGAGAAAAATTCAAGATATTTAGAGATACTGGAATATCATCTACATGGTTATTGAAGTCATCAACTCTTGTGACATAGGTAGGGATGGAGAAAGGGCGAGACAATGGACCAGGAACTAACAATTTCTAGAGTCAGGATATGCACATGACTGAATAAAGGAAAGGTAGTGAGTGGTACAGTCGGTCTTAAAGCAAAATTTGTTTAAACGAAACCTAGAAAGCTGAATCCTATATACTGCATACAATGAAATAAGAAAATTATTTAGAAATTTTTAAATGCTCTCAAGCTGTAATAATGATGCCTATATAAATTAATATAATTTAGAACATAAGTTTTTTTTTACTCCTTTTGTACGTCCATTTGTGACAATGTAATATAATTCAAATAAGTAGATAAGAGAAAGTCTTAATATTTTACATGACAATAAGCAATTTAAAAGCAGATATTTAGGGAACAACATAAGGAATAATTGCTAAGAAGATACGTTCTCCATTTGCTACCACAGGAAGTTAATGATGCTTGAACAGAGTTTGAAGATTCATTCCTCATTTGTATTTAAAATGACTTTCCATCTAGTAAACAAATGTTATGTCAGAATCATAGAACTTTCATAACTTTATTAACAAATTGTTTCTCATTTAGTCCATGCTAATAGGCAGCCAATTTAGTTATTAACATAACACTTTCTTGTAAAAATAGACAACTGCCTCAAACATAGTGAAAATAACAATCTGGTAAATTTTCTAGTGCAGAATCAAACTGATTTATTTTTTGAGAAGATAATTCTGTTTTTCAGAAAAACAGAAAGGCATGCTTTACAAATATGAAACATTATTTAAATGCATTCATGTGCTATTCAGAAAAGTAAAAAATATGCTCATTTACTCCCACAAATTTTCTCCACAAGATTACTCATTTATCAGTTTTAAATCTCATTCAAACTACATGCTAAATAACCAAAAATCTGTGTGCAACTGGATAAGAGCAAAAGGGTCCCTAAAATTGTCAATGTTTCTAAAATATGAATACTAAAATGTATTCTAAATAAATCAAAGAGTAATTATTGCTAGATATCTCTGGTTTAAAATGCATCAGTGCTTAATTGGCTTTTTCTTATGTTATAATCTTACATTCCTCCTCCTCACCTATCCTCCAAAATGCATGAAAATACACACATTTAATTTTTTTTTATGCTACCTGAATGTGGCTATAGTTCATTTTTCTGAAACCTGGCATGTCACACTATTAGATTAGGTATAGGTGATTTTAAGTATCATTTAGTCACATATTTCATTCATTGTAAGAGAGTAGCATGCAAAAACTATATCCAAATAAATTAGTGTCATATAGATTCACAGATTAATGTCTATACGAGAATGATTTAATTGATAAAATATTTGTGACATCAATCTGAGTTAGCTACATTCTGGAAAATCACTCGGATCTGGCCTTGTACCTGCAGGATGCATTAACCAGCGTCTTCAGACTACTTGGGTTACGTATCAGCTTGTCCAACATGTTGACTATTTCATCAAACTTGGGCCTGCTATTTCGCTCTTTCTGCCAGCAATCCAGCATTAACTGATAGAGAGCAGCAGGACAATCCATGGGGCTTGGCAGACGATAGCCTTCCTCTACCGCTTTAATCACCTGTATAAAGCAAAACAGAACCAGCACCCCAACACCACAAATTTAGTATAGAATAGCTTTAAAAATGTCCCACTGTCCAACTTTTATCCTTTCTTATCCTTACTCTTGCAATAACAACTAGCATTACTGTCTTTAAAATCCACGGCTATTTCCATTTGCTGCAAAATACAACATAAAATAAATATACTATCATAATATAAAAAGATAGGCTTTCTTCACGTATTATAAATAAAATAAATGGTAATCATTTTTTCTTAAAATCTTGGTGAAGGGTGATTTGTAAAATTAATTGACATAAAATATACAGTTCATGTTTTATTTATCCTTGCACTCCAGAATCAAATAGAGATTAAATTTTCTAGTGATTTTTCTGAAAAGTTAATGTCTTTTTAATGAAAAACTATGTGCACAGCCACATTTTTAAAGTAATAGAACTGTAATTTTACTTCAAAAGAGACTTTTCGATGGTAAATGATGGATAAGTCAAAGGCTAAATTAGCATAACTGTCTCATGTATCATTTAATAATGTCAAGGTCTGACTGTTTATTATCATCTGCTGATTTCTGTCAGGAATCTGGAATGACTGTCTAGTAGCACAAGAATTATAAATATCCTTGATTTTAAATGTAACCACACATATGAGTATCAGCCTAATTGTGAGGTCATTTTATCAAAACCATTTGTAATGTTGCTGCCCACATCAAAATACCTAACTTAAGAAGAAATTTGTTTATGCTACCAAACACAGCAATACAGGTTTATTTTATTATTAAAATTCAAATATTTGAGTGATACTAAAACAAATATTAATGAACATATTTCTCAATATCTTATTTTGCATATTTCTTTAACAATTAGTCTTAATTATACTTTTTCACAAAGAATTCAGAATTGATTTGATAAATGGAAAAAATGATTAGCATAGGAAATTTACAAAGATAATTTTAATTTTTTTTTCTTTTTCTGCTGGCACATAATAATTGTACATATTTATGGAATACAGAATGATCTTTCAACACAGGTATAAAATATATAATGATCAAATCAGGGCAATGAGCATACCCATTACCTCAAACATTTATTACCTGTGTTGTGAATATTCAAAGTCCTCTCTACTAGCTTGTTGAAAATATACAAGAAGTTATTGGTAAGCATATTAACCCCGCAGTGCTGCAGAACACAAGAATTCATTCCTTCTACTTCGCTGTAATTTCGTATCCCTTAACCAGCATCTCCCCCTCCTCCCTTCCCCTTCCTCTTCCTGGCCTCTGATAGCCACATTCTATCTACCCTTCTACTTCCATAAACTTATTTTTTTTCAAAGACAATTTTTAAGCATTGGAAAGAAAGCATTCTCCTTATGATAAATAAAATGGCACCTGACCCAGTGCAGGGGCAGATGGAAAGAAGATTAAACGGTACTTTTAAAGTAGTTAAAACCAAGCAAATTCAAGCCTATCACATTTGATGGTAATTTCTGTTAACTTTAGGCAAGCACATTTCTGAGGGTAGAAAATGTTGTCAGATATAATTTGGGACTTCTTTTATTTGAAGTGAGTAGAGAATACCCAGATGGCAATTTGCAGGAATCTGGCTAGAGCATAGGAGATAGCTGGACTGATAATATAAAGGTAAGGGTCATCAGCACTTGGCCACAGCTGATGTAGTTTATATCCCCCCTGGAAAAGCATATAATAAAAATTATTAGAAATACCAAAAGCTAAGTGCAAGCAGAGAAATAAAAAGTACTCAAGGACTCCAAAATTAAATGGTCAGATAAATTCAATAACTTTGAGCAAAAGTCCTAAGAGCAGCCTACTACCTTAATTAATTTACCTCAAAAACAATATAGTAATTATAAGGCAAACTCCAGGAGAAAATGTTTTCAGTAATTATAACATATAATTAACATAACTTATTAAAATTTATACATATTGAGAAATAAAATAATAAAACAACAGATACATGAGAAACATACTAGCCAATAATTTAAGAAAGAAATAACAATGCTAAACAAGCCTTGAAAAAATATTTATTCTCACTAATGATCAAATAAAGAAATATTTTTAAAAATTATCATTTGCACACATAGATCGATAGAAGTTTATTTATTGGTTTGCTGATTATAAGATTTTCCATGGCTGATAATAAGGACAGTTTTTATTCCCTTTAACAGCATATAGGTATCAAAATAAAGCATCCTAATATAAATGGCTTAAGTCATGTAATATATTTGCTATACAGTGAGAATAGTAATTCTTATTTATTCAAAACATGGTTTATTTCATAATTTGCCCTTTCTCCAAAGCTGCTACCAATTAATTCGATTTTTTTCTTTAGCACCCTTTTTTTTTCAATAATCCTTCCTCCACTAAGCACAACAATACAGATGTTTACCTTAAACACCTTAAGAAGTTATTTGACCTGTGAAGATATTTCTAGAATTTATTTCTTATTCGGTCTTATTTTCGGGTAAATTTATACTTAGAAATACAGTGCTCTGTCTCTATATCAACTTAGAACTGGGTCCAGGTAATTAGGTCATGAAATTTAATTCTAAATTAATTGTTAGAATTTATTTTAAAAATAGATTTGGAACTATAACTTCACATTTTATATTAGAAGTTTCCTTTTTTTTCCATTTCTAATGATTCTTTATAATAGTTTTGGGGGAAATAGATAGCATTACTACTCTGGTAGGTTGTAAAATGATGGAAATCTACCAAAAATGACCAAAGTGCAATTTAGGTGTTCATTTTCCCATGCAACTTGTAACATATAACCAAATGAGTTATAATCTCGATGGACTTTCTCATTACTATTAGATTTGTTGATACAGGTGGCTGAGATGAACAAAGTAAAGAAAAGACAATTAGAATGAGAATTTTTACAGGCAAGCTGGCACCAGTTCAGATGTGCTATATCTGAAATAGTATAATATGCTATGCATTTTCTTGGCATTGGCATGTAAACTGATAGTCTGAACACAATACTGCCTCTCTTTCCAATTCCTAAAAACATAACTTAGCCCCCTATATAGTATTATTCATTTGATGGCAGGGTGGCTCTCTGGGCTCCTTCTATCACATAAGTGTCATTGGGTTAGCATTTTTAGGTGTATATACCTGTTGTGGGTATGGTTGCTTTTCCCACCCACAGACCCTCAGCCAGCAATAGGAGTTTTGAAAGGCTTTATTCACAAACACAGAATTCCACATAGTATATCACCCATCCAGAGTATGCCTTTTGCAGTAAAGAATGTATGGGGACTTAACTATCACAAATAGTTAAGTCCTCACTTAATATCATGGATACGTTCTGGAAACTGTGACTTTCAGTGAAACAAAGTATAATGAAACCAATTTAACTATAACTTTGTTGATATAAATAAACAAGAGTTAAGCTCTTAGGGCATATTTCTGGTCACAAAAACATAACTAAACTTCTAATAATGACCCAAAACACCTCTATTATTAAACACTGAAATAAATGTGAGCTATACATACATTTAAGAAAAAGTGACAAAAACAGGTAAGATAATTGCTTATTTGCTTATTCCATTTTAGGGCTGCAGGTGGCTGGAGCCTATCCCAGCAGCTCAGGGCACAAGGTGGGAAACAACCTTGGCCAGGACACCATCCCTTTGCAGGACACACTCACACTCATGCCACACTCACTTGGACTGGGACCATGTAGACACACCAATTAATCTAAAGGGCATTGTATATGGAAGGAAACCCACACAGACATGGGGAGAACCCGCATGGTCCACACAGACAGTGGCCCTGGCTGTGAGTTGATATATTTGTTTTTCTTATCAACGTTATAACAAAGTGCTGTTGAACAAAATTATGTTATTTCAAGAACTTTTGTACTTCATGAAGTGCTGATAAATTTGTAACAACTCACTCTCCCTGGGGGAGGACAAATTTGTAATATTGTATCGTGACATGGTATAAATACTCTCTCTATGCCAATTGTAAGCTACTAACATGGTCTCATTCAAGTAGAAATATTCTAAAAATATGCTAGCTGGTACAAGCTTGTTGGGGCACACCAGCACACATAGTTCATTATCCAGAAGCAACAAGACACAGCTGAAGCACCAACATGGAGATAAGATTCTGAAAGTATGGGTGTTATTCTTCATGTTGCGATATATATATAGTCAGAGACTTCTGTGTTGTGCTCCATTCCCAGTGACTCTTGCCAGAAAACACAGCAAAGCTCCATTGAACTAACAGTTATGAATTACTCATGCAAAGAGATCAGCAGAAAAGAAGTCACCATAATGGCAAGGATAACTGATACAGAGCAGCAGGAAGCAGTTGGACTTCTTTCTCACAGTGGGGGCAGGGAGAAATATGTGTGAAACCCCAAGAATGAGGAATTAGATCAGACCACCAGTTAAGCTACCATGACCTGCCAAGATCATAGTGAGGGGGATTCAGAGTGGATAGTGGAGGAGGGGGAGGATAAGGACCAGGTGACATCCTATGATCAACTATAGCTACAGGCTGCAGTTCATTTAGTAACCTGCCTTTTCTGAATTCTTTCTTAGGAGGAAGTGCCCACAGAACCATGAAACAGATGTTTTCTGAACCTATGCGAAGTAAGTGTGTCATGGCAAGAGAATAGAGCATGTCAATCATAAACATTTGTCTCTAGGCTCTTCAACTGCAGAGATAGTAATTGGCCAACAACACTAGCTGCTGTGCTGTAAAGCCCTTCATCACATGTGCACCTGCATAAAGCTTACTTTATGCACGTTGCTTCCAGGCAATTATGGAGTATGGCAAGGATAATAAGACTCCTTTAGAACGGCATTTCTACTCCATAGCTTGCAACCAATCATCCTTCCTTCCTTCCATCTCTACTGTACCTAGGGACATACCTGTGTCACAGTCTGACATCTATCCCGGCTTCCCTTCATCCCTCCTCAATTTTTCTTAGAAAAATTTTCCTCAATATCTAATTATTTCCTGTTGACATAGGTTTCTTGGAGGGCTGGAGGGCCTAGATTAGCCTATGGATTATGTCAGTCATAGCCATGCAGGCTGTTTTTAATTATCTAAATTCATCCATATTACAAATCTACAAGATAAAAATTATTATACACATTTCACATATGAAACACCTCAGGTTCCAAATAATCAGAAGGTTTAAGAAATTGCCCAGCTAGGAAGTGGGGGTGGCAGGATTCACAAATTAAGTATTTTTGTCATGAAAACCTGTGGTCTTTCCATCTTGGTGCTGAGTCACACCATTGAAATTAGAAATCATCATCGCTACACTTCAACACACACCAAATAAAATAATTTGAGAGAGATATGAATGTCACCCCATAGAATCATATTTATTTGCATCATAAATAAATATACATATGAATGCCACCCTATAGAATCATATTTATTTGCACCATAAATAAATAGATATTTACATATTATATATATTATATTTATATAAATTATTGTGTGTGTATATGTATATATGTTATATATCTCTCTCTCCAGAATTACAATGAGCTATTTTGGAAGATAGTGCATTCTTCATCACAGGAGATGTGAAAATGTAGGCTTGAAAACTGAGTGGCAGGAAGATTAGGAAGATTATAGGAATTCAAGCATCAGCTGTGTGTTTCCATGAATTAAGTTCTATCTAGGGCTTGAGTACCTATGTTGCTAGGCATTTACTTGAAATCTCACATATAGGAGCTGTTACTATGAGATATGAAGCTCCCTACAAATGACTAGAGTTTATGAATATATTTCTGGAAGCAAACCCAGATGACATAGAAATAGTTTCAGATATATCAGTTTTATTCTAAGATTCTAAGATATATCCGTTTTTATTCTAAGATAGTTATTAAAGATATATTATGTTTTTTTCTTAGTGCATCAATCTTAGATCAGTAGACTTCCAGAGATTAAAGAGATCTTAGAAATCTTCTGTTGAAGCCTATTCCCTTTATAATCATTGAAACTGACCAAGAGTTGTAGAATCCAAGATGACTGGTTTAAGTCCAAGATTTTTGTTTTGTTGTTGTTGTTGTTAAACATCCAGGTACAGAAATCTTGAGCTGAAGAACTGATAATTTTTTATGTGTCATTTTTTTCAAAAGCATAAGAATTTTCATGAGGCTACTAGTTCCTAAAATAATTACTTACATCCAAGGGCGGCATTATCCTTAAAAGATGAATATTCTTTGGTCAAAGACACTCATTTTAGATTACATAGCAATGAGGCTAAGGAGTCAAATAATTCGCTTACTGTCAAATCTTAGTAATTTGCAGCATTTGGATGAGAACTAAATTCCTCATACCCCTTCTTTAGTTAATTACAACATACTGACTCTTTATTTTAGCAAGAAATATGTCTATAATATAAGCAATATACATAAACATATAAGGAATATGTATACATATGTATATGTATGTATATCTGATGTGCCAGATATACATATATACATATATCAGCAGTATAAATTATATGTATATGAGCAATATACATAAACATATAAGGAATATATGTTTATGTATATACATCAACATATACAATATACATAAACATATAAGCAATATACATAAACATAAAAGGAATATGTATATGAGCAATATACATACACATATAATTTATACTGCTGATGTATGTATATATGTATATCTGGCACATCAGAAATGAAACAAGGAATAGAAGGAGGAAGAGAGGCACACCCAGTACAAAGCTAGTTGATCTTTTCTGGAGTCAAATAGTCTTTCTGCTTTACAAGTAAGATCTGGGCCAACAGAAGTAGTAATAAAACGACTGGATTAAAACTGGCCAGAAAAAGAAAGCACAGAATCTGACTTCCTAAAACCAAAAAAGGCAAAAATCCTTCCAATATAAGAAGATTAAAAAACAGGCTACTTAAATTAGTTTTCAAAATATTGTGCAATCTATGTACTTAGTAGAATCTATACAGTCATATACTCTGCAATAAATATAAGAGAAAGACCTTGTCACTAAAAATAAAAATACAACAAAATGAAATCTTTAGTTTTTATTTTAGCTTCTGAAAACTGTTGACATTTAAAGTGTTTACTATCAATAAATAGGCTTCTACTGACTACATGATATTATCTTAGCTTCTGAGCTTGAATCAGAGTTCATGGTCTGGTATTTACCTAAAATCTCCTTAGTTGTTCTAGTTTATTTTCATTATTGTCATTACAGGTTTTCTTCCTGATGGAAGAGGCAATCCTAAATCCCAGGACTCCTACTGCTGCATTTTGTCCTCCTGACACAGAGGAAGATCTCCTCTGTGAGATTTAGATTATCCTGCATGCCTTGGTAACGTAACATTTTCATGGTGGCAAAGCCCTTTAAGAATCAGATAGCATCTGGAATGTAGAGATTATGGAATATATCATTTGAAATTGCCAAATCAGCACTTCTACTTTGTTTTCTGAGAATTTTTCTCCAAAGAAATATTTAGTGATTGAAATCATTAAATATAGTTGATTTGTCATGTTTCTTGGATACAAAATTTGGACAGAAATTAAGGCATAGGAAATTTAATGCTGTATCTGAAAACTAAAATGCCACTTATGAACTAATTGAGAAAGTAACAATGCATGCATTGGACATTGTATTATAGACAGATATTTTAGAATGATCTTTAATTGTATGATCATTTTCTGTAAACCTCATTTAAATTCTTAGAAAACCAAGTAAAAGCCAAAATATTAGTGTTTTTTTTTTCTTTAAACTTCCTGAAAGGTTACATAAGCAATTTCTAGTGTTTTTCTAAGTAATTTGAAATACAGTTATCTGAAAGAGTATCAAGACACTCAAATAGCTGAAATCAGGAAAATAAAATTAAAGGCACAAGGAAAAATAAAAATCACAAAGAAAGTACTATGAGAGTAAAAATAGATGATACTATAATGTTAAAGAAGTGATTAAGCATTAGATAAATGAACTTTTATTCACTTATCTATGCAACTTTGTAGTGCCCATCCACAAAGAGTAGTGTCATTGACTCAGCACTTTGATTATGGGATTGGCCAATGAGATTTTAGCAGACATGTTGCAGGCTGAGATGTAATTGGGCTCCTTCTTACTCTTCAGCCATTTTGCAAATGAGATCACGTTTGGGCTAGCTGCTGGTCTCAGGAGGAAAATAAGAGACTTGTGGAGGAGAGCCAAGGCATACTAATACAGACCCACTGGCCCTCAGGAACATAAGAAAGCCTAGTCAAGATGAGCAGTTATGAACATTCACCTAGCACCAGTGTTTGCACTGGTGTATAATTGTGTCTGTGACAGATACAACTGTATTAGGCATCATTCCTTATAACGTGGATGATCTGCTGCACAGCTGGGAAAAACTAATAATTCTGAGTGACAGGATCAGAATTCAAAATATCTCAAGTGTGAATAGAAGTTAACCAGGCAAATAAGGGATGAATGTTTCCCTTGAGTGAAGTAGACACGTGGTAGAAACCAGTATATCAAGGCTCGCTGCCAGGATGGATTAAAATACTTTCACAAAAATTAAAGGGAAGAATGGCATTGCAATGAGGTTTAGATAAGTTAGAAATGAAACCACGCAGTGTTCTGCAGGGCCTGTTAACATTTGGCATTTATCTGAAGAATAGAAAGTAGTAAATGGGTCTGGTCTTAGTCTAGACTAAGATCAAGATCAATCCAGAGTAATCATATATTCAATTGAACATTTTATATTTTATATTAAATTAGAAAGCTGATGTCGGACTATTGGTTAGAAATGAAA
Organism: Homo sapiens; assembly: GCF_000001405.40. Taxonomy (NCBI): domain Eukaryota; kingdom Metazoa; phylum Chordata; class Mammalia; order Primates; family Hominidae; genus Homo; species Homo sapiens. The sequence goes on from NC_000004.12 coordinate 65,344,900, forward strand.
GAGAGGTAGGAGACATTGATTCAATTGGAGACAGTGTGATGCTTAGATACAAAAATTTTGGAGAACCAGATTGAAATTTCTGGTATCACTTTCATTATTTCTGTGATGGTAAATAAGTCATTTAACATCTCCAAGCTTCAGTTTCTTAATTGTAAAACAGTAACAATAATAGCATCCCTCTGACACAAGGTTGTTAAATATAAGTATAAATATATGTAACAGGAATTGAATGACACAGTTTTGTCATAGTCCCGCCCCTAAAATCATAAAGCTGAAGACAATATATACCATTTTCCCAGATTTAGAGAAATGCTAGTCAGTGCTCCCCTCCCCAAGCCAAGTAAGCAGGGCATAAAGAAAACCAATTTTAGCAATTTTAAGTGACTACAAGAAGGGGAGACTCATTGTCATCCGGTGTGCTTGCTGAGAAGCAGAAATCCATAACTCCAATTTGCTGTTTCGATCAAAGAAGAATGCTATGAAATCATTCGTGGGAAAGCTGATGTGTGACCCTGGCTTTTCTTCTGGGGAAATTTGAAGAAGGCTGGCTGGAGCAGCCTGCAACAGATATCTGCAAAGAGAAGGCACTGCTAGTGCATCCAATAAGAATGTGTGTCCCTCCAATAAAGTGGACACAGCTGGAACAGTAAGAGACTGTCAGATGGGGAACAGACAGAGAGCGAGAGGAACTATGGAAAGTCGGAGGACATCCTCCTCCTCTAGGGCCCTTGCAGAGAAAAGGGCTTCATCAAGGGTCTTTGGAAGAGCTCAGACAGATAACTCACTTGAGAACTAATGCCTAGGCAATTTGTCTCACAGGAGGCATCAATATCCTCACATTAGGAAAGCAATCATGCCTCTTCTTTTTCTTTTCTTTTCTTTTTTTTTCTTGAGACAGAGTCTCGCTCTGTCGCCCAGGCTGGTGTGCAGTGGCGCAATCTCGGCTCACTGCAAGCTCTGCCTCCCGGGTTCATGCCATTCTCCTGCTTCAGCCTCTCGAGTAGCTGGGACTACAGGCGCCCGCCACCACGCCCGGCTAATTTTTTGTATTTTTAGTAGAGACAGAGTTTCACCGTATTAGCCAGGATGGTCTGACCTCACGATCCACCCGTCTCGGCCTCCCAAAGTGCTGGGATTACAGGCATGAGCCACCGCGGCCAGCCCGTGCCTCTTCTTTTCTCTCTCTTTTTTTTTTTTCTAATTTGTAGTTCTTTTATTTAAAAAGTTAAACATTTTTTCATACATTTATTGGCCATCTGCATTCCATCCAATGTATCTTGCCAAATCTTATGCTTTGCCTATTGTTTCTATTTTTCTTAATGCTTTATTAAGTCTCATTGTATAAGTAAGTACATTATACTTTTGTTTATAATGCAGTATTGAAAATATTTACTCAGTCTAAACTTGTATTTCTTACTTTTTGTTGTGCATTTTTCAACACATAAATTTATAATTTTGTTAGTGAAAACTATCAAACTCTTTTCTTAAATGGCTTATGGATTTTTCCTGTTTTTAAAGAAAGGCTAAATATAATCAAAATTTTTCTTCTATTATTTTATATTCTGATTTTGACATTTCAATATTTATTCCACCTCACATGTATATTTTATATATACATGGTGTGAAGTTGGGGTTTCATTTTGTCTTTTTTTATTATTATATTTTAAGTTCTAGGACTTCATGACTAAAACACCAAAAGCAATGGCAACAAAAGGCAAAATTGACAAATGGGATCTAATTAAACTAAAGAACTTCTGCACAGCAAAAGAGACTACCATCAGAGTGAACAGGCAACATGCAGAGTGGGAGAAAATTTTTGCAATCTACCCATCTGACAAATGGCTAACATCCAGAATCTACAAAGAACTTAAACAAATTTACAAGAAAAAAATCAAACAACCCCATCAAAAAATGGGCAAAGGATATGAACAGACACTTCTCAAAAGAAGACATTTATGACCTTCTTTTCTACCTTTCCACCCAAACCAATCCTGAAGAATCCTGATATAGACTTTGGCAGAGGAGGAGGGGCAAATACTTGATTCACACTGTAGGTACCTACAATTAGTCTAGGCCTCCAGTTGTGGAAGACACTTTGAAATGAATATAGGATCCACTTTTAGGTTGGACTCGAATTTTTAGATTGGAAAGTGAGTGTTAATTACAGGCATTGTTGTTTCAACAAAATTCAGCTGGAGAGCTATATAGTATCTGTCTAACCAACCCTGAAGGCATGAGAGAGGGAGGTTTTATGGAGCATGGATGACAGAAATAATGCGAGTGAAAAAGTGTTTCAAATAAGCACATTATTAAATTAAAACTGTTCAATATACTAGCTTTACAATGAAGTAATAAAATAGTTGGTAAAGCACTTAAAATAGTGTATGTCTCATGATAAGGGCTCAATAAATGTTAGCTGCTTTTATAATTGTTGTTTCTCAAAATAAAAATATGAAATTTCCATATGATCCAAAATAGAAAGGGCTGTATTGAATAGTAATGATGGAAAATTACAAAGGGAAAGATTAAAGAGCCATGTGTCAGGCATCACATAATAAACGCTGTGAATTTGAACAGAAGATTCTTTCATAGTTCCTTTAATTTTAGGATTCTATTATTGTAAGTATGAATTATTTTTCCATTGTGGGGAAAATCTGGTATTTCTTTCAAGTTAAATAAACAATACAACTCTTCTTACATTTTTTAATTTAAAGAAACGTAGACTATTCCTTTTTATCCTCTAAGAGCATCCACTATTAAATCAATATCATCATCCTATTGGTTTGGAGTATTAGCTGCCTTTATCAAATGCAAATCATAAAAACTTGCCTGTCAGTATTCATTCTTTGATGGCTCTTTCTTTATCTTTGAAAATGATACTGACAAGAATTGAGTGAAACATCACTACAGTACAGCTAAAACTGTCTGGCAAGGGACTGAGTTTTTATATAACTGTAACTTACTTTCCTTTGTAATAACTCATTTTGAGCTCCTGCTTAAAGGATATTTCAACAACACAAAACAGATCAGAGGGTAAGCAAAGTATTTCATTTTCTTAAGCAACTGTCACTTTCAGAAATGAAAAACATTGTGTCTTGACTCAGAGAACAAAGCATTTCATTGTCAAGTTGGGAAAGAGTAGTTCCATACTCACATCTTGATTGGTCATCTCCCAGTAGGGTCTCTCTCCATAAGACACAACTTCCCACATTACTATTCCATAACTCCAGACATCACTGGCAGAAGTAAACTTTCGGAAAGCTATTGCTTCTGGGGCAGTCCATCTGATTGGAATTTTTCCTCCCTAAAATTGAAAAAGATTTAAAAAACTTCCTACATACTTCAAATGTGCCTAGGGACAGTGTTGCCTCACTGAAAAGATCTAGACAGAGATGTAGCATTTTTAAGTGAATCTGTTTGACAGCGCGCAGTGTCTTTTCAAATCTCTCAGCCCATAAGCAGTTGTAGACTACTAATTGGCTGTCTAGAAGGTTTCTAGTTTAAATTCTGTGTGACTACTGAAATACATACAGAAACCACATCTCAATTACAGTCCTCAGTATAGCAGCTCTAAGTAAGGGAAAGCAGGCAGTCAAGCAAACCAATAAGGTATACTCTCATGACTTTCTAACAGAGTAAAAGACTCAAATTCCCTGGGTGCTTCGTTTCTTTAATACAGAAATTGTAAGTGGAAATTATAGGTTGATGAATGTGACCCTGAGCTGTTTAGCAGTTAATAAGAAAAGCATAAACATTGGAGATATATATATATATATATATATATATATATATATATATAAAATATATATGTGTGTGTATATATATGTGTGTGTATATATATGTGTGTGCATATATATATGTGTATATATATGTGTGTGCATGTGTGTGTGTGTGTATATATATATATATATATATATTTTTTTTTTTTTTTTTTGAGACAGGGTCTCGCTCTGTCTCCTAGGCTGGAGTGCAGTGGTGAGATTTCCACTCACTGTAACCCCCACCTCCCAGGTTCAAGTGATTCTCATACTTCAGCCTCCCGAGTAGCTGGGACTACAGATGTGCGCTATCATGCCTGGCTAATTTTTGTATTTTTAGTAGAGACAGGGGTTTGCCATGTTGGCTAGGCTGCTCTCCAACTCCTGACCTCAAGTGATTCACCCACCTTAGCCTCCCAAAGTGCTGGGATTACAGGCGTGAGCTACTGGGCCCAGCATAATATTGGATATATTAAAACAAAGTTACACTTTCCCTTGACGTTGTGTTATTTCTTTTAGACTTGCTTTTCTCTTTTCCTCTGTTGTCTTATTTTGTTTTTGTTTGGTTCAACTGTTTAAGAGGAGGGTGTCTTGTTTGACTAAACCAAATTAAAAATTATTGAAATTGGATTGGGGGAAAATCTTACTACATTATCAAGTTGTTTTTTATGGCATAAAAATTGATTTGGAGACTTTCTCTTAGTTCATACAATAAACACTTTTATAATATGCCTCTTTCAGGGTGAAATTATTATTCTCTTAGCTTCAATAGCAGGCAAATCTAGATAATCAAATATTTCATCTATCATCAAATATATATTGAAAGAGAAAGAGGTGAAGGTTTCCAATATTTTCTTGTAAAAAGACTAACATGTGCCTTCCCATTTTGCAGGAAGGGAAAGATTTAATTTACATTGCAAGGGAAAAAATAGGACTTAAATTGCTGTTTATGAACCAAAGTTTCAATATATATAAGGAAATAACAGTTTGGGGTCATACTAAAAATTATTTTGGGAATTGAAGTTAGGTTTGAATTATTTGCTCTTTAGATATATGGTAACATCATTTGAAGAAGACTTACCTGAAACTTATTCTCATTCGTTAAATATTCATAGGCAAGATTGTATTATGAGTCCTAGCTATGCATAGATATTCTATAATGTCTTATTAATATTCCTTTTAGAATTGTCATTTGTTGATTATATTAAACCTTAGCCCATAATTTTTCTCCTGATCCTCTGATCATCCTTCATGTCTTCAATAAATCTCAAGTTCCTTATGTTCTCATCTCTCAGTGTATAGATTTTCCACAGGCTGCCACTATACCCCATTTCAGAGGAATAAGCCTTGAAGGTTTCAGGTTCTCTGTCTCTCACTTTACTCTGTAGCATAACACACTAACACAAATCTTGAAAAATCTACTTTTTACACTTAACTAAGACACCCACCAATCACACTGGCAATGGATAGTTGTATAACCTCAATCTTGATCAGGCAAAATTTATTAAAGGTAACTCTATTCCCAAAAGAATTCTTAATTGAGTTTTCATGTAATGAAAATAATGACACTGATAGGTCTGGAAGAGGAAGGATATCCCCCTAAATACTTTATTGATTAAGCTGACCACTGGAAGTCTTTGTTTGCTTGGATAAGTTACTTTCTCCCTTCAACAAAGTACAAATCCCCATGAATCACAAAGCAAAAATGTTTTAAAAAAAAAACCCTTATAATCTGAAAAGAACTTATTGTTAGACTACCAGTGGATGTAATTTTTAAAAGTTGAATTAAATATGAAAACATGCATATTACTTTGAGAATGAGAGCTATCAAATTGTATAGGGAAAAATAAACAATGACAGATCTCTATCTTCACAAGGGTTTTAGACATTGAGGATATTCAACTTGATGACACTGAACATATTTAGAATTAAGCAAATATTGTTTATCATAAGGAATTCAAACTCAAAAAGTATGACATTACAGATCACCCATAACATTCTGTTGTAGCAATATGCACAGTTTTTCACAGAAAAAATGTCAATTATATACCATATCAATACAGCAAGCAATTACTTTCATAGAAAAGAGTTTTGACTTCTGTGAAATATAACAATATGAGTTAGTGATCAATTTTCCATAGTGTAGACGTAACAGTTTTTAAATAGCTATTACAATACCTCCAGGAAATCAAAACTTTTTGAAGGAATAGCTCTTTTTTCCCTACAATGTAAATCCTTAAAAGGTGGGAGCTAGATATTTCTGTATTTATTTTACAAGTAAGGACAGTATAATGCAGAGAGCTTAAACTACCCAATAATATTATACATGTTTACTTATTCATATATATGTGTGTATACACAGACACATACATACTATATATATATATATATAACCTTTAATGTAGGAGATTCTGTATTTAACTCCTTACTTTGAAATTTAAGATGATTATTCTTACATGCTGTATCCATTCTGAAGTAAGATTTTTTATTTTTAGTATCTTCAGAAAAAATGAATTATGAAACTCAGATATTCTAAAGTTAATATTTAAATTTGCTGATACATAAAAGGAAGAATTTTTTGACTTTTGATTTTCTCTCTCCCTCTCCCCCTCATTCTCTCTCTTTCTTTTTGACTTTGTTGCAGGAATGCTCTTTTAGCTATTTCTTTCAGAATCTTTAAAAATAAATGGCTCTGGTCTAGTGTTTAGAAATGCACTCTGTTAGATCTTACCCTTGTGGTGTAGGCTGCCTCGGGATCATCTTCCAGTACCCGGGAAAGTCCAAAGTCAGACACTTTGCACACAAGGTTACTGTTGATTAAGATGTTTCTGGCAGCAAGATCTCTATGCACATAGCCCATGTCAGAAAGGTACTTCATTCCTGCAGAGATACCTCTCAGCATGCCAACAAGCTGAATCACAGTGAACTGCCCATCGTTTTTCTGTAAAGACAATGTAGAAATATTAGTCTAGCAACACCAATCACTGGGGGAAAATATGAGAGGTCTGTATTCAATCCCCCAAATTGATACTATCAGTCGCTAAAATTCATATGCAATTTCTATCTGAAGGAGATTGGAAAATGGTAGGAAGTATATGGCTAACTTGGTGACATTTATTTTTCCTCTGCTTGGTCAAAGCAGATAAAGGTTTTGAAAACCCTGGCCAAAAATCTTATGTAGTTGCCTTTTTCTGCATCATAACTCTTTTATTCTCAGTCATCAGAAGGGTTTGTTCACACTCCAACCTAGTATCTGCCTTGGGTCAACACCGTACTATTTTGATGTGATTTAAAAGAAGCTAGCTGGATAGACATATTAAGGTAAAGAAGAAATGGACAGAGGTGATAAGGGAGTTTCTGTAACAGCAGATGGGAGACGGGTGACTGAGCAGTGATCAGGTCAATGTTAGCAATTTTTGGAAGTTTGTCGTCTTTGTCAAGGGCACTGAAATTATTTCAGTTACATTAACTCATAAGGCTCAATGGATGGCTATTTTAAAATAAAGGAATGGCGTGACTCTAAGAGACTGGAGTACTTAAAGGTATGGTTAGAAAATTTGATAAAATAATTTGGCAGAGTCTGGCAGTAGGAAGAAAAATTTGACTTTTCAGTGGACCATTATCAAATTCATTGCATAGGTCCCTCTTACAATTGTTATCAATGCCATTGGGCTATCACTTTTTCCTACCAATGGTAATGAGCACTATATTAAAATTACAAACTGCCAGCCTATATGTTTAATCAGGCCTGCAAATATGTTACATTGTCTAACACAAGCTATTTACTAATAAAGTGGGTTGCCATTATTTAAAATTTAGAGATTTGCACATGAAGAAAATCTTTCCCTGAAACGCTGGTGATCTGATAATATTAGCTATTGTCAATTACCACGTGAACTCTGCTGGTGCAAGTCGTGACGGATCTTCAGGTAGATTAGGAGCACTTATAGGCTCTAACTTGACACCTTTATTAATGACTTGCCTGGGCTATTTACACGTTTTCTTGCTCTGCCTGATACACTAAGAGAAAATCGAACACTTGTAAGACCTTATTTTTTCCTTTTTTCCCTTTTTACATTTCTTTTTTAAAATTTTTCTTTTCCTCTCTTATTCCCTTCTACTTCTCTGCATTTTTTTTTTCAAATTAAGACATACTTAAATAAAACTTTAGGGGCATATAATTTGGATTTGTGTGAGTTTTCTGAAACAAACCTATGTTCATTTTGGAGTGTAATTATTGTGGCTCCATAAATTTCTGTTCTATTAAAAACTTAAGCTTTAAAGTGGCCCAAATTCAACTTCAACATCACAGCATCATCATCACAGCACAACATCACAATATATAAATAACACCTTGAATAACTAAATTATTCCCCAATCCTACCTTCAAAAATGTATCTAAAGAGCCATTCTCCATATACTCTGTCACGATCATCACTGGTTTACCTGAAAAGAAAACAGAGTGATATAACCTGCTGCTCTTCGATTTTGCATTCTTATCTGGCAAAGCTTACCCAGAAGTTTTTATTAGTGTCAAAATTGTATATATATATATATATTTAAAATATTTAAATAAAAATATTAAAAAATAAAATTTATTAAATGAAAGATATTTAAATATTTAAAAATATTTTAATATATTTAATATTTTAAAAACATTTTTAATATATTTAATATTTTAAAAACATTTTTTAAAGTATTTTAAAACTATTTAAATATTTAAATATTTAAAAATGTCCTCTTTAAGAAAGAAGATAATTCCTGATATGATGATATCTTAGTGTTATGGTTGAGTCAGTGAGAAAAATGTATCACAAGGTTAATAACAGACTGATATTTAAGATTTACACACACACACACACACACACACACACACCCTTGCCAATATCATCACTAATTTATGTAGGAAATGTGTTTAAGAATAATTCTATGAGTATTAGGATAAATTTTATTTTAATAGAAATAATGATATAATGTATCCAATAATATTCAGCGAAACACTTGGAACATATTCATCTTTCTAATTCTCACAATTCTAAATAAAAACTCCATCCTATCTAACTGCCCTGTTTATGATCCTTTGAATGTATATTGCATTTTCCTACCTTTACCTCTATGTTTTTGTAACTCCTTTCCTTATGGCTACCTGCCCTTCCTCTCTCTGCTACACACTTAAAATCTCGATTAACCCCACTTTTCTTTTCATTTTTTAAAGCTCTGTTCTAATTGTTATGTGAAAGATTTCCTTAGCAGTCATTAATTATGATGAAAATGGTTCTCCTTCTTTCATATCTGACATTGACATGTAGCCTAGAGGTCAGCTGGACAGACTCTAGAGCCATACTTCTTGGATTTTCATCCCAGAGCAATCACTTATTATTATGGATCCCGGGCAAGTCAATTCTTATCTCTGTGCCTCAGTTTTCTCATATGTAAAATGAGGATAGCAATGGCGCCTACCTCATAGGGTTGTTGCGAGTATCTGCTAAGTCATATGGTTATCCAAGGCACTTAAAATAGTTCCTATTACTCAGAATTTGCTATGCAAGGATTTAACATTTTAAAAATACATTTGATCAACTTTGTGTGTTAGCTTCCTTGCTAGATGTAAGTTGACCAAGAGAATAGATCATCTCATTCCATATAAAATTGTGACATTTCATACCTAGTATGTCTGTAATACAAGATGAAAATTGCAAGATAAAAAATTATTGCTATATGAGAAAATATCTAGAAAACAGTTGCTAGTTTTATCATTCCACATTTTCACTATATTTTAAGACACACCCCTTTACTCTTTAATAGAAACATATGACATAAAACTAGTTTTAATTTAAAATATTTTGAGTTAAGAAAACAGAGACCTATGATAATAAAATTACCATATATGTCCATTAATTAACTTTTTAATTTATGAAGAGAAACAAATACTATACAATTGTGAAATGCATTATAATTAATTTAATGGCATTCTTCAGAAGAGTGTCTGTATTTTACTGGATAATTGATTGACTCAGGTCATAGAATGACAGCTTGCATATTTACACATATCATATTATCCAGAAGTACAACTATAGATATAGAACATATGATTAATACATATGAAAAAGAAATAACTGGGAAGAAAAAAGAATGTTTTAGTCCCATATCACTTAAAACTCACCGTTTATAATAATAATATAGGACAAGTAAGTCTAATTCTCACTTAATTATCTTCTTATAAAATACTCGAGACAATATTTCTTTAAATGGAATGTGATAAGTGTATTGCAAAGGCAGCCACATTTCCTCGTCCTCTAAAGTTTATAAAAGTTGTAAAAATGTTTGTCTAAAATACTTTATTTGACACAGGTTTGTAGATGCCTATGTTAGGTGAGAGATCACATATGCAGAGAATGTGCATTTTGGATGTAATTTAATCTGCACCTTGAAGAGTGCAGGGGTCACAGGTGTAATAAAAGGTGGCCAGAGTTCCAGGAAGAGAGGTGGCACATGTCTATGCATATTGTCAAGAAAGAGCCCATGAAGTTTAAATACAGTCACAACTCTGAATTTTTTTCTCTTCTTAAATCATAAAGTTACAAGAGATGAGGTGACAAATACTGACCTTAAAACTAGATGGAAGTGAAATTTCTTAGTAGAAAAATAATTATTTAGGTTGTATTTGTAAATGGCTCAAGAACAGATCAGGAAAAAATTGATAATGAAATTTTTATCATTAGTATAATTTTAATCTACATTCATGAATAAAAAATGCTTGCAACTTAAACTTTATTTTAACTATATTGTCAGACTCTTTTTAAAGGACCTCAGGCAAACTCTAAAATAGACACAGTTCTGCTTTGGGCTCTTTTCGTCCCATTCTCACATCTCTGAGCCCATTTCAACCTTTTATATTCATCTGAAGTCCTGTTCTTTCAAGAATACAAAACTAATATACCTCTCCCAGTAGTGATAGCCCCACTGTTTGGGCACGGGTATCTATATGTCAGAATTTATACCAGCGATAATGCTGAGGTATCCTGGATCACCCTATGATATTAAGGCATTATCCCATCATTTGCCCAGTTTCAGGAATTTGAAAGAACTCAGCGAAGAAACTGTTACTCACATAAAGGGGACACATGGGCAACTCCGGCATCAGTTTTTAGAAAGATTTCAATCAATTTACAAGGAATAGAGTCAAAGGGTATGTACCTGACAAAGATCAGCCCTAATCTAACTAAAAGGAGGACTAGATTTTCTGGAATCAGCCTATAATTCCAGAAATCCTCCATGTGTGGCTCTTTTACTTGGATTCTGCCTGATTTATCCCCTCATTTACAGAAATCTATTGAGAGGGTTGTCACATTATAATAAATTGAAAGAACTGAATTCCAGCAAACATCTAGAGAATATAGTCGCAGCTTTTCCTGCTTGGCACCTCTCAGCTCATATCACATGAACAGACGCTGTGCTCCACTAATCTATGTTATCATTATCTACTTTACCCCATGTCCTTTATGTTTTCAGGGCTTTTCCTGCATTTCTACTTACAGCACTTTCAGTTTCTTTCTTCTTTCTTTTGTAGAATTTCTTCTTTCTGCCTATCTTTTTATATTTTAGGATCTCTTTTTAGAGTTATGGGTTAGTGGTAAATATGACCACTGCTCACCCAAGGTCTACTGAGTAGGATTTAGATGGAATTCTCATATAAAATTATCTCTTTCTTTGAAAATCTGTATCTTAGATTCAACCCCAAATTCATTGAGCTAAGAAGACAGAATTTATACCCTAAAGAGAATGTGCTGATCAGACAACTTATTAACACTGAATAGTATATATTTGGGGAAAAAAAGGGAGATGGGCACCTGGTATTCATCCTGTAGGATTTTTCAGCTAGTGTCATCTAATTTTAAAAGCCAGATTAATTATTTATGACAGTGTAGGTTGTGATGTGAAAAGCAAAAACATTATTTGAGAAAGATGATAAGGACCTAAAACACCTCTCATATTTCACATGATGGGGGAAAAGCAATTAAAATGAATGTTTGCAAACAAGTATGATCTTCTTTTGTTGACAAGAATAAGACACTTCAGGACCCATTCGATTATTCTTCATGCGTGAGTCATTTTAATGCTAATTACATTTAGTTTGGCTTATGTTTTGTCTCAGCAAAACATAGCCTGCTAGCCTGCAAAAATGACATAGCAATAATTAACATGGCTTACTCTAACCCTTGTAAATTCAATAAAACTGTATAAACCATATTCCATTATCCAGCTTGAAGTACAGACAAAGACTAGATCTGCCAATAATTTTGAAAGCATGTTATCAAAAATCCATATAAAAATAACTCATAAAGCATGTCAAAACATGATTTTAATCACAGGGGAGAGTTTTTATATTACTTTATATTATTTACTGAAGGCCCAGCCCAGGGAGAAGTAACAGAAATACATTATTTGAGAAATTTACCTTTATTATTGATAACCATAAAAGAGCTCAAATTTATTGAGCATCTACTCTTTATAAGGCAATGTTATGGATTTATATTATAATTCTATAACTGTGATATTATAATAGACTTTTTCAGAGAAGGCAAGTAAGGCTCAGAAAGGTTCAATATATTACTCGGGTTGTCTGGAGCAAGTTATATAAGGAGTAAAGTTGAGAATCAAATTTGTATCTCTCTGAATATTAAGGCTGTTTTCCTTTCTCCCATACTGAGATGTCTACAAATTCAAAATATTTACTTTGATTTCATTTTAAAAACTCACAAATATTCATTTTTTTGTGTTAATACAAACTTGGGAATCACAAATATGTCATAACTATTCAACCATTGATGGCAGATCTAGTTCAGGAATTTACCTTTTCTCAATAAATATTCTATTTTTATATATGCTCATTACCCACATATGATCCAAGCAGTGTATTGTGAACAATCTTGGATTACATGCATAAGAGCTACTTAAAGTAGTTAAACCCACAGAAGCAGAAAGTAGAAAGGTAGTTTCCAGGAGCTGTGGGAACAGGGAAGTGGAGGGTTGCTGTTCAATGTGTACAAAGTTACAGTATGCAAGATGAAAAAGTACTAAAGATCTGCTGTACAACAGTGTGTGTAGGGGTAATAATACTGTATTGTACACTTGAAAAAAAATTAAAGGTGTATAGCTCAAGGTGTGTGTGTATGTTTTTTCTACAATTAAAAAAATGAGTTTTTTTAACTTATTATGTGACTTTTTTGGTGCTAACGTCCATCACAAATCTCCAAAAGAGAAGAGAATATGCCGTTCCTGGTAATACAATCCTTTGCCATAAGACATCTCAAAGTTAGGTGAAACAAATTTGGGGAATGTTGATCTAGTCCTTGTTTCTCAGAATATGATATCTGACAAGCAGCATAGACATGGCCTGGGAACTTATTAGAAATGTAAAATAGCATTCCCCAATCAGATCTATTGAAACAGATTCTGCAATTTAGCAATATCCCCAGAGGCACATTAAATTTTGTGAAACACTAAACTAGGCCACATCACAAGAGTTGCTGCTAAATATAGGCTTATTATTTTTATTTGCATTCATACCATCTGCCTTTCCCAAACCATTAGCTCATCAATAAACACATGATACCACTTAAGGCTATCAGTGAACATTTCATTTAGAAGCCTCATAATTCACTGGAAAATTATTGTCACTGGATTTCTCTTAGAAATATATTTTAAGACTTGTAAATGATTAAAAGTAAGCCTCTGCTTATAGACCTATAGTATGATTTCATTATGCCATCTTATTTGCATTGTTTTCTATTTAGTATACTTATCTTTGCAGCTGTTTAAAATGTCTTTTATTCTTACCCCAAAAGAAACTTAGGATAACACAAATATGGTGAATCAATTATTAATGGATAATGGTCAACCAGAAAATAGGATCTTGTACTTGTAGTAGGAATAGGTAATGCTTATTAAAAGGGGAAAAAACAAAACAACAAAGATAAAAACAAACTATGAGACAGAACTTAGAAATGTACTCAGATATTTTAATTTTATTATGGTTCTTATTTGCTGGCTAACATGTTGGGACAAGTCCTTTGTAAAATTATATAATTTCAGATTGGGCAAATAAGATAAAATCAAAAGCTTGTATACCTCACCTGAGACAGGAGCATGGAAATGCAAAATGTCTCTATGGGTAGAAATTTCAAGCTTTCCAAAATATCCTCTTTATTTCGGAATGTTTACCTTGATATAAACCTTTTCAATAGATGTTCGTTTCTCAAATTAAAAACAAACTAGAATTGCTCTTACATTAGCGAAAGTGGTTAATACAGTAATTATGGAGTCAGAAATTATAGACTTTTCAGAAGAGATGGAGAATCTAAAAATGATCAACTCTGACAACTTGGTTGTATTAACAATGAAAATAACTTTAAAACACAGTTTCATTTACTAACTGTCAATCTGCAAGTCAGCAAATCTCTTTCTATAAACCTATATTTTTTTCAGATGATTGAGATTTAGATTCTTTCAGAGACAGCACTTGTAAATCTCTCATTTTTAGTGTACGTGTATTTATTAAAAACCTGTATCTGCCTTAAAGAAAAACAAGAACCAAATTAATGAGCTTGGTTCTGTCTCCACTTCAGTTTTAAAGTTGTTTATGTATATCATTGTTTATAACTGGTTCATATAATTTTATTTCTTCTTGTGAAGTGGAAGATATAAAATTAAAGTTTACTCATACTTCAAACATTTTTCTTTTTACTTCTTGAGACTAAAGCTAAATCCAACTTTATGCACAACATCTGTAATTGTATGCTAATAGGTATCTCCAATTTAACATGTCCACAACTGAACTACTGATTACCAAGCTTAATCTTGTTCCTCATAAGCTTTTCTCCATAAATTGCAACTCCTTTTTTGGAGGTACTCAAGACAAATAATTTATAGTTATCATTGACTCCTCACTTTTTCTCATACTTCACATCCAATTCACAAGAAGGTTTACTGTGATTGCCTTCAAAATATCTACAAAATCCAACCACTACCCTCTACCATGCTAGGTCATTATACTGACCTAATCCATAATGATCTGCGAACAATGTCAATTAGCTTCCAGTGCCTCCCTGCTTCAACACTGGGTCCTACCACCTCTTCTTAACCCAGCAGCCTTTCTGGTCCTGTTAATGTGTAAATCAAATTCTATCCCATGTTAGCTCTACGTCTTCAAAGTTCAGATTAAGAGATGGTCTTTGCAGGCACCAAAGAGTTTTTACATTGTCTATTCTCCTACTACATCGTTAATCTAAATTCTTACCAAAGACTCCTCTCAATCATTCCACTGCAGCGCCAATGGCCTTCTTGCTGTTTCTCGAACCTTCCAGGCAAGTTCCCTTAGAGCATTGCTAGTCCCTCTTCCTGTAACAGTCTGCCTCCAAATGTCTGTAAGGCCCAAAACTTTAATTTGTTCAAGCCTTATCTAAGTAAAATAGAAAACACCCACTCTCAACAGAAGCAACCCCTAATCTCCTTTCCCAGCTTGATTTTCTCCATTTAACATTATTATCTTAAGTTATTTGTTCATTTAATTTCTGTCTCCATCACCCAAAGGTAAACTCTATAAAGGCAGAAACTCAGTCGGTTTAATCTCTGCTATAGCCCCACTGATTAGTAAGAATAGGCATATATTAGGTGATCAGCTAGTATTTTTTGAATAAATGAATGTTTCTTGTCAAGCATGTACAGAATGATGAAATATGAGGTTGGTTATATTCACTGTTTAAGAGTTTGGATTTTGGAGTCAGATAGAGCTGTTTTAAAATCTGACATTATTCCCATGCTAGTTTTATGATATTGGATAAGGTATTTAACTTTTTTAATGTTAATTTTTCCCTTCTGTAAAATGAAAACAAATACTAATGTCTATAGCATAGCTTATTGTGCAGATTAAAAGAGATAACATATAAAGAAAACTAAGCTTACTAAATTCTTAATGCAATGTTAATAATTAATAGTGGTGTATGCAAGATCTGATTTTCAAACTTTCCTATTAATTTTATTATTTTTCTTAAAAGCCCATGGTTTTATATAATTAAGTTTTTAAATTTAAAACATAAACTATATCATTCTAACTAGCTTAAGATCTTTACATAGCCACAATTTATTCATTCACTATTTTAATTTCTTTCTTTTTTTTAATTACCTAATGTGTCTGGCCCTTTGCTAGACACAAAGGGGGTGACAAACCTATGCTAGTTTCAACGAGCTCATTGCATAAGAAGGGTGATAAAACATGTGCAGATTTAATTATGAAGTAACATATAGCATGACAGAGTATACAGAAATGCCACTGGTATTTAGACAATTACTTCTGACTGAGAATTCATTCATTCAACACATATATAAAGTGCTACACCTGTTGGGCTTGGATCTAGGAACACACAAGTGAGCAAAACAAAAACCTCTGCCCTTTGAAGTTCATATTTTAAAACTTGTACTCCAATGTAGAACTGGGAAGTTTTCCTTTACTCAGCTATTCAACATAATTGAAGGCCTACTTTATGCCAGGCAGGCACTCAAGATTGAAGGAAAAATGAAGATAAATGACACTGATCTCATAGAGGTCACATTTGAATTAAACCTGAAGGTCGAGTAGAGAGAAGAGAGGACATTTTAGGTCTGAGTGAAGTATCTCAAGGGGGCAGGGCAAGAATAAGGTAGAGTTTTCCAGAAAGAAAATAGTGAAATATGGAAATGTGTATCAGGTTAAGTATGAAAGTCTATGCATTTTGGTTGATTTGTTTGCTTGACTGCTGATGAAGCATGACAGGAAAGCAGTGATTTGAGGGCAATGTGTATGGAGTGGACTAAAGTGGAAAGTGACAAAATGGGAAGAGTAGTGGAAGACTGTTGGAATAATGTTAGTTAATATATAATAAGACCCTGTATAAAGAAAATGATCTTACTAGACAGACTAAGGAAATATATTTGAAAGATAATTATAAATTTACAAAGTAAGTCAAAACTGTCTAGCAGTTTAGGTAATCAATGTAGTTGGATGTTCTATCTCTGCAGATATAGAAATAAAGAGAAAGACAGAGATTCTTCTAATGCTTCTGTAGTGTTTTGTTTAAATTTATTAATTTTACAGAACTAGGCTTATTTATACATGATTCTAAATTAAGAAATAAAATTATGACTAATCCTAAGACTCAATAGATCTTCCTTTGGTCAGTTTGGATAATAATTTTCCACTGATGGTAGATGAAATCTTCAGGAACTAAGGATGCTGCAGTGAAAAAATTACAACTTTTTTTCCTTTTTATCTTCTTCCCAAATCTCATTAAATAGTAAAAGCTGGCACTATGTCTATTACACTAAAGTGTCTTGCATTTCAAATGAGTCAATTAAGCCAAGAACTGTGGGCTTTTTTTATGTCATTCGTCATGAAAGTTCTTTAGAATATATGTATCTATTTATGATGGTTGCTGTTTAACAATAAATCACAGAAGGAATTTGAATGGGGGCTCAAGCTTCTGGCATGTGATAGTGAAAAGATGAAGGCTCACGATGACACCACCCATAGGAGGGCTACTTCAGACTCCCTACCTCAACTTCAATAAGAAAAGTCACAAGATTTAGTTGCACTTATGTCTCATTATCTGTGTGCTGCTGGTTGAGAATAATTGCTGAATAAATTAGCATCAGATCAGAGAGCATGAAATTAAGGACACAAATAAAGTGAGTTGCAACATGGTAAATTAAAAACAAGTTGGAGACTTCCTAAGTTGAACATTAAGAGCTAAATTTATAAAGGAGAAATATTGTTTCAATTCATATGGAATAAAAA
Source organism: Homo sapiens (assembly GCF_000001405.40). Classification (NCBI taxonomy): domain Eukaryota; kingdom Metazoa; phylum Chordata; class Mammalia; order Primates; family Hominidae; genus Homo; species Homo sapiens. The sequence continues at coordinate 65,362,489 of NC_000004.12, forward strand.
GTAAAAGCAAATAAATATTGTTGGTATTTACAGTTTGCTTTACATGTATGTGTAGCCTCATGCTGAACAGCATCATCCAGCAGAATATTTGATTAAGAGATCAGAAATTTAAAACTGCCTTTCTAACCACAGTAACATTTTTTAGAATAGAATTCACAGAATCTAGATATAGTCATTTGTTAATATTGACACTAGCTCCTAAAAAATGCATATACAATATATGAGAAATCTGTTTGTATTATTACAAGAAGTTGTCTTAAGTTATCTCAATCAGGATCTGTTCAAATAAACAAGTTTTGTAATAAAGGTCTGTAAAATATAATATGTTTACATAAATATTTAGGATACGATCTTTGTCTTCAAGGAACATACATTTTTTAGCTAGAGAGCTGAAAAATATAAGCAAAAGAGACAAAATTAAGTGAGATTTAAATAAGACTTTTGAACCAAATGAAGAAACGTTTTAGACTTCAAAAATTGTCATGTACGCATAGTGTTCAAAAGAAGAAATTACTTCAGGACAAAGTGGAAGGGATTGTTTCACAGAGTTGGTAGACTTTGAATAAGGTTTCAGTGAAGTTGAAAAAGTAGTGAACATGAGGGTGTACATTTCAGAGAAAGAGGCAATGAAGGCAGGGCAAAATATAAGGTACTTTAAAATGGACTAAGCATAGAATGGATATGGAGAAGTTCAGAGCATAGGAAGAAAGATAAGTGGAGAAGTAGTAACTATGTACTAAATAAGTACTTACTTTGTGCCTTGCCCATTCTAAACCTCATCTATATTAATTAGTGTCATCTTCACAATAATGCTATAAGGTATTCTCACCCCATAGCATTAATGTGGAAACTAAGGTTCTAAATGTTTATGATGTGCAAAACCACATAATTGTTTATATTCAAATTAAAATTCAATTGCATCACTAGATGCAGAGTCCATGTTCTTGACTATTATGTAACGTGGTCTTCCATGATAATAACAGTAATCTGGCATTGTTCTAAATATTACATCTTAACTCATTATGAAGGGTAGATTGGCTGCCTATGGAGTTTGCATTTACCCTGGGGTAACGGGATGTCATAGTGAGAGTTTATTTTCAGAAAGTTGAATTTGGTAGCCATGTGAATAAGGTGATGGAGACAGAAATTATCAAATATTTGCTTACTATTATTACTGGTACCATCATTAAGAACTATGTTTTATATTAGATAATACCATTTCTGCATAGCAAATAATTTTACTGAATTTTTGTTGTTATCATTCTTGCTTCTACGGTATCTATCGACACTTGCTATCACAGACGTTCTTTCAAGGTCCTTCCCCTCAGATAGAATACAGCCACGTTCAAATTCTGATTTTATTTTATTGCATCTGTGACCATATTTTTATATTATATTGTTATTTCACATATTTCCACACATCCATTAAAGAATATCCTCATTATAAAATATTTTTGTTTTATTCCATTAAAAAAATGCTGTTTCCTCTGCCTGCCTCTTGATCCTGCCTCTTGCCTTTCTTTAGCAATTTACACTTTTCTAATAAGACCTCAGGATTGCCTTCTTGCTCCAGAAATGCCGTGTCTGGGTTGCTATCAAGTAAAGAATAATGTGTGGGTATATACTCAACTGGAGGAAGAAACACATCTAAGATTTGAAGAAACCCACGTATGTAGTTTATTTTATTCTTTTCCTACATTCCTCTCTGAGCATGCTTCCTGGAGATGTATATCTCTTTAAGATATGGATTTCGGTAACTTATGTGTGTGGTGTAAGGAATAAAGGAAGGAATCAGAACACATAGAAACAGTAAAGAAACAATGAATACAAAGAAAATGAAGGCCTCAGCTATGTGCCACAAAAATACATTACTTGTTGACTGAAAATGATTTAAAATCCTTGTATTGCAAGGCTCACCATGCTAACACATTTACAAAACATTAACACAAATTAAAAGAGATGTAAAATTCTAGATATTTTTGAGAAAGAAAAACTAGATTTGCTTTCACAACAACAAAAATTCATTAAAAGGAACTTTTCCTGTCTTCTGTGATTGTTGCTTTCCCTTGAACTATTAACATATCTTTAAAAAATGAATAAACAAAATGAACCTGGCCATAAAGAACTGCTTAAAAGGTGGCATTGCTATGGTTATAGTAATCCTATTGAATGTTAAACTTCAATGCTTCAATCAAAACTTTGAAGTTAATATTTCATTAGGATAAAAAGTAAAAGAGCCAATAGTTAAAAAAAAAGTTGATATATTTACTGCTTCTTTTATCTGGATACATTTTTGTCTGACATTGAATTCATAGCAAATGGGTTAAAATATATATTTTAAAAGATAGATGAAAATTCAAGTTCATTGAAGATTAGCTTTAACAAAAATCTACTAAAATACAGGATAAACATTAATATTAGAGAAATTAATATATTACAATCTTGGTTTCTCTTTACCCTAAATTAATAATAATCTAGACAGATATTGAGGATATGCACACACATGTATAATTTGCCATCATACTTACTTTTGGTCACCACACCTTCTAAATGGATGATGTTAGGATGATCAAACTGTCCCATGATACTTGCTTCACCTAGGAAATCTCTGCGTTGCTTTTCAGTATAGCCTACTTTAAGGGTTTTGATAGCCACAGGTAATTCTCTTTTTCCTGGTAGTTTCAAACGTCCACTACAAACTTCACCAAATTCACCTTGTGATAAAGATGAAAAAAATGCAAAAACTCATTTGAAATTGTTAGTCTATTAACACTTGTATGCCCTCTTAGACTACTAAGGCTTAGATGAAAAAACAAACAAACAAACAAACAAACAAACAAACAAAAAGCAGTCAGAAAAGGGTAGTCTACACTACATTATTGATAGTAATGAAAATAAATAGTACATTGGAACAAATCATAACAGAGGATCATAAAACACTATAGGGGCTATTAACTTCCTCTATCTCACTTACAAAAACCTTTTAAAAAAGAATGAAATTAAAAGTAACTAATGAAAAATCACTTTTTCTTCTTTTTCTGTCTACCGTAGTAGTAATAAGAAGAGAAAAGCCAACCAGGTTATAGCTAGAAAAAAAGGAAACAATTTTAAGGCAGATATGAACTGAATTACATAAATACTTTTGGGTATTACAAATTCACTATATATATATATATATATATATATATATATATATATATAGTGAAACATTATCTATTTAAAATATATTTTTTGCTGTTTTTAAATTTTATAAACCAGATATTTGCTGGTTTAAGCTTGAGTTACACTGAAGGTTGTATTAAAATGTGATCAGTTACATATCACTTTGAATGCAAGCCAATTAGAAAAGATTAAAAACATTCTCTGTTACATCAGGACACTGGTATATTACATTCTGGAATGCAAACAAAAGTTAAAAATGAAAGTCAAACACATTGTCGTACCTGCTCCAATAACTCTCTCAATGGTGATACATGATGCTTCTATCTCCTTAGCAAATTCGTGGACAGCTTGATTGGGATCCTCATAGGTATGTGGATCAATGTAAGTTCTTACTCCTGGCAGTTTAACTGTAAATATAAATTGGCATTAAAACAGAAGTAGTTGTGATGGATGAGCAAAATTATGAACTTTATTAACATGCAAGTATGGCTTAAATCTCTAATTCCTGGAAGTATTCAAACTGCAAGGACCAGCCCTCTCCTGAGTTACAGTTGTTTGTACAACTATATCAGTTTTATAATTTCAGAAATCTGTTTGCAGGCACAAGAAATGCATATGTGATGACATATCTGAGAAAATACACCTCTCAATCATAATACTTAGAAAGTCTCCAAGGCAAATTAAGACAATGTTATTCACCGAACTGGACAATGCAATACTAGTGCTTAATTTGCTGGTTTATTATTCTATATTTCATATGGATGATATTCGATATAATCCCATTAGTATTAATTTTAATTTTATGCAAAATGATTTCAAGTAACTTTTCTGGTGCTATGGTGCAAAAAGGCTGACATATAAGTCAAAAGAAAGTATTCTGCTTCTCACTGTACTTCTGTCACTGCATGACATTAGACAAGACTTACGCTCTGTGAGTTTCAGTTTTATCACATTTAACGGCTACTAACACTGCCTCATCAAGTTTTTTGGGAATAAATAATATTAAATAAGATACGATTAGGAAATGAACTCAATGCTTTGCAGCATGAGTTATGGCTTTAATGATTTTGACATTTAAGATGGCGGAGTGAAAAAAACAAATATATTTGTCACTCACTTGGCAAATCAATTCACATTGCACCATTTAAGGAAAAATAATAAAATATCAAAATTCAACTCATTTAGGCTAGTTGTTCAAATTCTTTATTAAAACATGATTTTCTGCATTATTTTTTAAAGCAAGGTCTTTTTAAGTCATTTGAACCAAGATTGCTGCCACAGGACCTGTTCAGGTAAATTCCCACTAAAAGCTAGAAGAAAAAAAAAACCTGAGAAATTTTATTTATTTAACCTGGTGATGCTACTTATTGATAGATTTCTACTCATTGTGTTGCTAGGAATTAGAATATTCCAGGAAATTTTATTTGAAATATAATAGTTCTTTATATTAAGCAAAAAGTTTTTATTTTGATTATAACAAAAGTATTATTTAAATAATTGAATAAAGCATTCAGCTATTGCCTAAAGCCTTCCAGAAATACCCAAGCCCGTATTCTTTACAGGAATGTAACAAATAGAACACTTTTAAAAAAAAAAAAAACAATATTTTGGTCAGTTATTATAAATCTTGTAGCCTGAAAAGAAACTTAAATAACAATAAAGTGTCCCCTATTTTATTCTATTTTTATTTTTTACAATTTGCTTACTGTGCCCATTATGAAAATGCATCTTTTCCTCTTCTGGATCTTGTTTTGCTTTGCTGTAGCCACACCGCCTGGAACAAAGTAAGCTAGAATTAGCCACATCTGAAAGTGGTGAATCAGTCACATCAAGCCCAGAAGCATGAAGCACAACTGAAATTATTGCAACCCTAAACTGATTTTCATACTAGTAGTTTGGAATGATGCCAATACTAGTAGTTTGGATGAGACCTATGTCCCTAACCAGTGTTTCTCACTCAGCAAATAATCTTGCCCAGATTTCACTGAGGAGCCTGAAGCCATCCAAACCTGTTTTTAAACTTCCCCTCACCAAATACTGTATACCAGACATTGTTGTTCTCTTTTCCTCTTTTACTTTATTTTATTTTTATTTTTTGGCAGTTCAAAAGCCACTGCCTCTTTCTGAATGAACTGCCCAAAAATGTGTGTCTGATCTAATAGTTTCTTGCCTTCATCACCCTGCACAATAGATTTTTGATTTTTGTTTTTCTCTCTACTGTTTTGGAATCCTCAGTTGCTCCACTGGCTGTTTTCCACTCACATCCACCCAGAAAACTATGAAATTCACCACAACTTGCAAAGCCTCTCAGCTTCACTTTTCAAACCTTTGTCTCTCTTCGTTTTCTCAATAATCCACAAATTTGCAAGTTTTTGCAAATTTCTCTTATTACTAGGAAAAAAAATCTGTCCTCCTAAGATTCACAAATGACATCTTAACCTCTAAATACAATCTTAGTTTTTCATTATTCTTGATGGATTGAAATCCCTCACTACTTTTCTGATGCTTTTTGCTCTTCTCCACATTGATGTATGGACATTTTCATAGGTCCTCCACGTGAACCTCTCTGGTTCTCTCCTCTCAATCCATCTATTTCTATCCGTTTAATTAATACTTCTATCTCACTGGTTTAATTTATTTTGAGAGTTATGTTCTTATTCCTGGTAGATTTATTTTATAGGGGTATTCCACCAACATTCAAACTCAATGGACCTGAAAATGAAATCAGTGCATTTTTCTTTACTTCTTTCAACCATAGTCTGCCTTCTTTTCCTGTTAATAACTCCAGTATGGCCTTGGTCCCTTAAAAGCAAAGACTTATTCTTGTGTCCTTCACAACAAACTAGTGCCAAATCCCAGGAACTACGACCCATCTCTTTCTTTTCATTAACTCTAACATTTCCTCAATTAAGTCCTTAACATTTTTCCTCCACATTACTATAAGTGCCTTCAAAATGATGCTCCTCCACTCTGTAACTCCTTTCCTAAACTCTACTAGACATGGCTATAGCCAAATTACAGTATATAAGATGCTTTTCTATTGCATTACCTATCTACTGCAAAATATTTAATGAAATAATAATATAAAGATTCCTAAATGTAGCCCTAACACACATTTCCTGCATCAACTCCAACTGTTCATCTTCACATGTACTAAATTTTCTCCTGAAATCTCCAGGATATTTCTCCATGCTTCCATAGGTTTGCACATATTGGTTCCTTCACTGAGGATTTTCTTCCTAACAATTTCCAACTGTCAAAGTTCAGTTCCATTTTTTCCTTCTTCACGTTTTTCCCAATACTTAAACTTAATGTAGTATTTTCCCTTTGGAGCACAGTAGCTTTCTGCATCCCCTCATGTGATTTCTAGTCTATGCTGCAGCATAGTCATTTGAGTGCGCTTGTTGGCTTCCTTACTGCTTTTTAGCTTATTGAATGGCAACAAATTTTATTCATCTATAAATCCTTGCAGTGACCTGGCACCTGACTCAGAGTTGGCACTAAAAATATTCGTCACATTGATGAATGAATAAATGAATGAGAGAAAGATGTTTTGATTATGTCTACACAATGACAGGTGTTTGGAGAGGGAATGTGCTGAATGAACACTGAATTGATGATTAAGTGTACAACATTAAACAACTGGCTAAAATGAAAATATTTAAATTATTTTTAGTGAAACTCTAAAGAAGTGATTTTACTATTCATAAGCTCTCAGCACAAAATTCAGTTTACTAAAAACAAAATTTCCATTGATTTATGCATTAAGAAAAGACAGCCAAATGACAGACTGATAAAATATTTTCATTACAAAATTGGTTGAGAACTACCGTGTGACGTAAATGAAGTTTCTATTACACATGTACTAACAGAGACTTTTCATTACATATTCTAGGATATATTTAAAATATATGTATATTTTGATATTAAGGGAATATATTTTGTTGTCATTTTACAATGTGTAACTACATATATATTACAAAAATGGCCAACCCAATCCATCTTTCATCATTTTTGGAAAAAATACAGTTATCTGGCTGGGCGTGGTGGCTCACGCTTGTAATCCCAGCACTTTGGGAATCTGAGGTGGGCAGATCCACGAGGTCAGGAGTTTGAAACCAGCCTGGCCAACACAGTGAAACCCAGTATCTACTAAAAATACAAAAATTAGCTAGGCATGGTGGCAGGCACCTGTAATCCCAGCTGCTTGGGAGGCTGAGGCAGAAGAATCGCTTGAATCCAGGAGCCGGAGGTTGCAGTGAGCCAAGATCTTGCCACTGCACTCCAGCCTCGGCCACAGAGCTAGACTCCATCTCAACAACAACAACAACAAAATACAGTTATCTTTATCATATTAAGAAACTGGCAATGTATTAGTAAAGTAACACTAGTAAATTTTCAGTAAACTTGAAGTAATATTCCTAACACATATAATGTTCTTGGGTGAGGAAAAATACACAACAGGGATCTCATGGCTTCAAATTTTATTCATAACACTTAGATACATATGTCATTCCAGGGTCCTTAAGACATCTTAAATCACCTCACCAAAATGAAAAGGAGGGAAGAAACAAATACATTAAACCATACTGAAATTGTATTTTGTCTTTCAAGCTAAGTTTTAAGTTATTTTAATACATTGCTCATAATTTTGCTAGATATAAAATTATTCTTTTAGCCTTTAATATATGTGCCTCTAGAGAGAACAGTTATTAATGTTTCTCTTTAATAATATTCTAAATACAATTGTGTAAAATTATCCAGAGATTTATGTTATTTAAATAATACTGACAAAAACAACTTTGTTAGACGAATTCTACAGAGACCTGAAAGCTATACATGTTCTCACAATTTACGTTAGAAAACAAACATCTATTCATCCACCTTCAACTCTCCCACCTTCAAAAAAATAAATAATACGCTTTCAAAATTGTATCCTCAAATAGCCTTTATCATTAAATAAGCCTCACGGATATTTAAATTACATGAAATTTCCTGGTATGAAAATGAAAACAAAACTTTGGATCTCATAAGAAAATGACTTGGAAATACCTTGGTGAGGAGCAGTTAACATTGCATTACCTAGGGTGAGAGTCAGGAGGGCAATTGAAAGGAGTTATTTTTGACTATGGGCATCTCTGGAGCTCCATAACATATACGGCTGCATATCACATTAACGTATGGAATTAAGTTCTGGAACCTCCCGAAGCATCATTAAAACAAGCCTCAACAAGAAACAGCAAGTAAAAGTGCAGCTAGCAGAGACTGGTACTCAGGCAGCATTCAGTCTCACTGAAAAAGCATTTCAGGAAGCCTGTTCATTCAGTATCATGTTCTGTACCTGCTCCAGATGCATAATTTTAACCAATCAGAAAAACAGTCAATAAATATGTCATTCTGTATGTAAATTTTGCCTCTCATTTTCTGGAAATGATGTCTTTTTTTTCTGAATGGAAAATAAACTATTTTTTTAAATTTTGTTTCATATCACGATTTTAATGAACTTTGAAATTATTTTACTAAAAACATCTGTAGTGTCTGTATTTAGAGGAATCACATCCTCTAATCATTTATACTCATGTCCTTTTGGAAAACAATGTGCTTTTGCTCTTTAGTAATAGAGATGGGCAGGAGAAATTATTCATAGGCATAACTCATATTCATTAATTAATATTTATTTAAAAGTCCTAGAGAGAGATGCTAGATATATAAATATACCAATGACCTTATGGCTTATTTAGAAATCAACCCATTTTCTCCCATGCTTTTTCTAAGGATTTGGATAATACATTTCTGATACTATTAATGCTGATCTTAAAAATTTGGTTGCAGTTATAATAACAAATTTGGATATTTAAGAATTTCATAATACATGAAATAAAAAATATTTATGTAGAGATGGACAGCCAACGAATAACTTAGTTCTTGAGTATAAATTTGGGACTTGATAATGAATTTGGGATATGAATGTCAAGAATTTCAGAGTACCAAGTAATGTACACAAGCAGTACTTTATAAATGGCACTCTTGTGACCAATGAGGAAAGGTAAGTGAATAGAATAGCCAAAACAGAGTGTAAATCCTTGCAAAACAATAGCCTCCATACTATCAGATCTTTCCATTGCTTTAGTCTATAGAAATATACCCTAAATAATTTTTTTCACCTTAATCTAAATAACGTACAGTGGATCACAATAGGGGAAGAAGTGGTTTTGCACTTAATTTACTCAAAAGAGTGAGCATATGCAGTGTCTAGCTCAGAAATGGATACTCCTGTATTGTTTCTCTATTTTCCAGATTGATTAAGAGACGCTTTTCCTATATATTGAAGCAAAAATATTCAAAAAGCAACAAATTACAGTGAACATTAATATCTATATGAGATGAGAAAAAATAAACACTCTTAATTTAGCCTCGTTTAAAGCCACATTTCTTCACATATGCACACTCACGTGTTCTGACATAACAAGGACCTCAACCATTGCATAATGTTGTATATAAATGACAGTATATAAAGAATTTTATATACTGCTGGAAACTTGAAAGGAATAATACTGTTTTTTAGAAAGTACTTTGAATTTTTCACTTCGGGATTTTCTCCAACTAGACAAAGATAGGATTAACAAAAGCTCAGCTAACTTATCCTCATAAAATAAATAAGCATATGAACATTAAGTTATTAACATATCTAATAAAAACTGAACATTGATTAAATTTTGTTTTATGAGCCAGTATTCTTCAATAAGAATGCACATGAATAGTACTAAAATGGGGCATTGGATATTTAGGCAGTCTTGCTAGCAAAACTGTGTGAGTCATTTATATTTTCCTCATTTATAATACCAGAATATTTGCATTTTGGGTTCTTCATAGATAGATTTAAGTTAGACAAAAAGGGCAACTAATCTATTTTTACTTACTAAATATTTTCAGATATACTGATTAAGAGGAATTTAGTTATTTAGAAAAACGTACTTCATTGAATATGGGAATGATGTAAGATTATACCACACAAAATGAGAAAACAATTTTCTGAGTTCTTATCTCACATTTGATCAAGGGTGCTAACAACCCTATGATTAATGCCATGTGAGAAGCTAAATTATATCTTACTTGATGTTTTATATATCACTTTGTATCTTCATATTCTATAAAACAAAGAATTTTAAAACTCTTAGAATAAATCTCCCAAAATATTATACACATGAAATGGCAAATCTCTTACTAATAAATTCTTCAAATCCTTTTAGAATAGCTATAATAGGAAAACCTGAACAATTTCAAATTCTTCAAAATATGCAAAGATAAATTATACACTATTTTCTCTGTTGAATTCAATTGTAATTGACAGAATTTTGATATAACACTATCTTTAATAAAGTGTGACCTATGAAAATTAATTCTCCCTGTTTTTTAAAAGTTTTATTCTAATGCTAGAGTACGTAACTTCCTATTAATTTTTAACTGTTTCATGGATGCCACTATTGGATTTCTCAATCTGAGGAGGCCCAGTTAATATCTCCTGTAGTCTGAAGCTTCATAGTTATTTTTAAAAATAGATAGTTTGGAGCAGTTCGTGATTATATTTTGCTTAGCAAGCCTTCCATTGAAATTTAATATACTCTATATACATGTCAAACAACACCCCCATCTGCCTACCACAAAGCACTTTAAATGGAGTTCTAGAATTATTACAAAGGGATGGCTTTATTCTTTATGCCACTTTCGTGCTGTATAAAAGGGAAGAGTACTTCCACACTCCCCCCGGCAGATATCTTATAAAGATGAATAAAATAATTAATGTAAAGTGTGTATGAAAATAAAAATCTTCTCATTTCACATTTCAAGAAACAGAATTAATATAGAGAAAGGAAAATATATTTAAAAATTAGGATAATAGTTAATGTTTCAAAGACATCCTGATCCTTTGGCCAGAGAAATTTGTTTTGTTCGGATTTTGTTTTTAATTTCTGCATTGTATGTCTGAATTATGAGATACACTAGACTTCATTTATTATGTCTCTGATTTAAAATATTTTTGAAATTAAAAAAGTCTTTAAAAATGAAGTTTATTATCTACAGATCACATAATAGGTAAATGCATAAAATAAGAATTTAACATCTCTATTTTCAAAATAGTGACTGCTTTTCCCTTGCCATTTAAATCCCTCAGAGGATGGAGTAAATAATATGAAGACACTGAAAAGCATGAAACCTAATGAATGAAGAAAATAATCTGACTAATTTGAATTTAAGAAATGCAAGAAATGGCTACTTTGGGACTAAGGGATATTTTAGATGGATTTATAATAAGTATTATGCTATAAATATACATTGGTTTCTGTAAGCACAAACACAGATGAATATTTGAGGATAAAGGGTAACATTAGAAAGTAGAGACATTATTACATTAAAACCATCAATTCAAAATTGGTTGTTTGTAAAAATAGATTGTCTTTTTGAGAAGTAAAACTATGATTAGAACGTTAAGTTGGTTGAGATGACAATAAAGGCAACGGCAACTTAAACAATACCTTTGCTAAAAATGTGGGCAGCCTTGGGGATATGGTGCTTAAACTTTAGGCGTCTGAGTTTCATTCAGAAATAGTACAGAAATAGCTTTTATCACTGGGTAGATTTCAGTCAAAGCAGGGAGAACATTTGGAATATTAACATTATGTTTATGAATGTCACAACAAAGCAAGCAGGCAACTATACTGATGAAAATAATTTGAGATAAAAGGATTTAAAAAGGCAACATGTAATTACAAATATCATCTTATAAATGGCACACCATGTATTTTTAAACTGATGGATGTGGTTTCCTGGTGGGAAACATGAAAGATCAAAAATTAGAATCGCAGAGCCTTGCAAAAGTGTCAGCACATTGGAATTGCTGAGCCAAGAATCTAGATGAACGGTTTTGAAACAACGTTCTTCGGAACGCTAAATTTCCACAAGTTATCTCAGGGTATTTCTAAGAGTTAATGCATTTACAATGGCCAGTTTTAATGTATATGTATCATATTATATTAAGGTCAAAACTAACCACATATATATTCATGAGTGATCTTTCAAGACACGAAAAACAATGGAATTCTAAGATTAAGAATGTCTACAAATTTCTGTTCTAAAACTGTAAATGTGTCTCTTCACAAATGATGATGATAGAATGTTTTTGAAAATTATTGACATGGTGATTGGAAATGCTGGTATGATGAGACATGCAAAATTAGATGACGGGATTTCAGATTTCTTAGTATTTTACTGACTCTCCTAGATAAATGATTCTTCTCAGCTCTTAATATTTATTAATAAGATTATTTTCTTCCTAATGCTTTAATCTAAACAAATGTCATCCTTAATAGAAAATTTGTAGTAATTTGAAATTATAAAATGAAACTTCACAAAATATAGCAATAAAGCATTTTTAGTCCTGATTCCTACCCAGTAAAAATTTTGGAGAACTTTTTTATTGTTTATATAAGCTCAGTTAAAGTTTGTTTCTTTGGCTTTAATTTGTTTTATTTTACCAAGAATATATTTTTTAATATTTCCAGCTTTTCCAGGGGGTCTTTCCATGAAGACTGGTAGCATTTTACTGAGTGCCTAAATGCATTTGTGGCTAAATCTTTTTTATTTTTTTTTCACAAACACACACACAGGCAAATACACATGCACATATACAAACAAACTCATTGCCTTCACAATTTCTAACATTATTGGAAGAAAGATATTGTCATCTTCAGTTTACTGGTGTGTTCTTTATAAAATAAGAATTCTGCCCTTCTATTTTCCTTCTTTTATTCTATTCGTTTTATAAACCACCTGAAGCCAAAAGTACAGTAGAAAAAGATACTATCTTTTTAAATCAAGAATTTCAATCTGGCCAAAGCTAGCCTTTTCCAATACTTTCAAAGCCATAGACTCATAAATGTTCACACTTCCATTGAAGCATTTTTGAGATGTAGTTCAAGGTAAGGCATCAATATCAATGTTCTTTTCTAAGTTGTAGATTCTGCTTATTCTGCTTCAGAGATAATTTATCTATGTTAAAAACTATAATTGACACTAAAGTAGAATAGACAATTCAATGACCATTTTTAGTTTTTCATAGCACAGAAACACACACACATACACACACACACACACACACACACACACTGTAAAGCCAAACTTTATACTATAGCTTTTACCAGATTTTAGTTTGTATTTAGTTTGACACTGAAGCCCCATGCTCATAAGAATTTCCCATGTAAGTTATTTGGAACAAATCTTTACCTTCATATTAAACTTTAAAACTTTCTCCAAATTCAAAATTTTTAAGAAATTGACAAAATATTTCTAAATTACATCATCCTGTGTTTGTTCACTCTCTCTTCTTCTCAGATCATTGGCATCCATTCCACAACTTCTCCCATTTGCACATCTGTATACACTCATTCACACATAATTTTTTAAGCAACAAAAATTACTTTACACCTAGAGAATACATCTAACAATTTAAAAAGCCCCTAGGAAACTCTATAGTCCTCTAACATGCATTAGAAATCTTTTCTTGGCAAATTCTGACTACAAATGACACTGGGTACAATAGTGCAAGGATTTAGGCTATTGAGTCTAGGAAGAAATTATCTGGAGTATTTCACTTTTCACAAAGTAGCTCCCATTGTGTAGGAGTTCCAATACATCTGTGAATAATCGTAACCCCAGATGTATATTTAGGATTTGTATTTATAAATAATTAAGAGTATGCCATTTGGGCACTGACTGAAAAATGTGCATATTTTCTACTTCATTGGCATCAAAGTGAGAATATCACTTCTGATATCTGTCATAATTCAAGCTTAATGAAATTAGGTAAACCATTTGAAATTACATGTGGCTTTGTTTTCCAGTGCCACGTGTATTCACAATGATATGACAATAGAAGATCCAAGTTATATTGTGGTCATTCCATGGTTTTGGGAAACAGAAAAGGTGATTTTGCCTTGACAGAAGTAGCATTCTACTTCCACGTGTGACATGATTTTTACTTCATGGAACAACAAAAATGGTGACATGTTAAAGTTAGAACATATAACTATAATCTCGTAACTCCCTAGTTTAAATCAGGACCACAGTAAAAGCCTCAGAAGAGACGTATGAATGCTTGACATAGGGATGATGTGCCATATGTATAATATTTATTTGAAATAATCCATTGTGAAATCACTTGTTAGGATTCACCTTGGGGAGCCAGTTTTATTCTACTCAAATGTACACAAATGGAGAAAGAAAAGGAATGCCGACGGTAATACATATAGGTGGACATCACATAGGAGTGAAAGTGGGAGGGAACACTAACCATATTAGGCTTGGATGGGCAACAGCGCACAGGGAAGAAGCCCTCCCACAGCCACATTCGCAGCAACTGAAAAGCAAACAAGAGAGCCCAAGATAAGGAAGAGATCCCACTCCCTCAAATATAGCATAAAGACACTATGAATTTACTCAGGTGTCTGCTTTCCTTTTCAAAATCAAAAACCTCTAAATGCATACAATTAATTTTTTTCCACAGTGCCTTTCAAATTAAGAAGCATTTTATGGATTTAAGAAATATAGAGTTGTAGTAAATTGTTATTTTTATTTTGCTTAAAGTGGTTATCCAGTAGGAAATGTCATGAGCCAATATATTCGAATTAATTGTATGCAATTCATATAGACATATAAATAAAGATGTAAGCCCATTCTAATATATCTCTCCTCAGAAATTCCCTCAAAATTTACATCAGAAGAAATCCTAAATAGCCCTTTAAATACATGTTTTGCACATAGCCTACAACCTTGGAAAGAGTATAAAGACTTTCTCATGTGACCCACCAATTTCTTATGCCTGTGGTATTACTTATCATAGCCTATTGAAAATGTTAGGCATACATAACTCCCCAGATCATTTATTGAAGCCTACCAATTTAATTTTACATTTCCAGATTTAAAAACAGTATCTCCAAATATATATTTTCAGAGCAGTTGCTATATAAAAAAGCAAACTATACAGAATACATGCATTTTTCCAGATATTGCAACACTCAAGATTCTTTTAATTTGTCCACATATTCATAGTAATAAATCCAGGAAATACAAAGTAAACTATTTTATAAAATGCACTTTATTGATAGAAAACATGTAAACTGGTGGCAGAATAAAAGACATAAGTTATTTAGTGCTTCAATGCATTCAATTCTATGTATTTTTTAAATGAGTAGCATTCACAGTGATCTCAACAGAACTATAATGTGAGCTCAGTAGAGATAGGATATACCAGCAGGTCCAGGCTTTCATTTAAAATCTGTTTTGAACTTTCATTTCTAGAAATGTATCTATTCTTTTTTATATCAAAAAAAGTAAACAAAACATAAACTTCCAATAAATTTGCAAACACTAATGAAGATAGATGATTATTTCCAAATAAAATTCCAATGGATCTTTTCAAAGAAAAAGTAGACAATTTTTATATATTTTCTTTTGTAGCACTGACAATATTTTAATTTGTAGTACTACTAAATGTCTGAGGATTTGACTGCTGTCACTAAAATGAAATTCTAATAAAAATTGCTACGTAACATTTATTTCCAATTTGTCTATTTATTATATTTTAAAGAATATGCCAAATCATTATTTTCACTGTAGAGATATTGAGAGTCAGAGTTACAGTATATCAGATTATTAAAACAATCAAAGAGTAGTTAATACATCTGTAAAGTATTTTGGCAGATCTTGATATACTCCTTTACAGTAACACCTGTTGCATTAATGTCTCCAACAATTACTAAAATTTTATATAAGTTAACTTTCCTACCACTTCTGCCTCGTTGCAGCACTCAGATTAGGGGTTGGCAAACTACAGAGCAAGGGCCAAATCCAGTTCACTACTTGTTTTTGTAATTACAATTTTATTGGAACACTCACTGCTTGTTGTTTATGGCTTCTTTAGTGCTGCTGTGGCAGAGTTGAGGAGTTGGGGCAGAGAATGTATGTCTTATAAAGCCTAAATCAAATATCTGGCCCTTTAAAAACCGTTTGCCCTCCTTTGTTAGACTGCTAGTTTTCTGAGATGAGAATGACTGCTCTTGTTTGCTTGTTTTCTTTCTTTCTTTCTTTTTTATTTTTTTGCATGGTTTAAACACAATGATTGACACTTGTAAGCAGTCAATGTTTTACCATAATTGGTATTAACTAACAATAAAATTACCTCAATTTACTGATATCTACTAATGTAGAAAGCCTGCAGATATGGGTTCATTTCAAACAGCAGTTTCAACCCAACAAAAAAATGAACAATTACTGGTTGTTAACAAATGTATCCAATTGTTTGTTAATGAGGAAAAAAAGATGTCATTTCCTAACAAAACACAAATATACTTCTAGTTGAAAGTGTGCACAGTTTATAAATTCATATAGAATTGTGCATGGGAAAACAATAACTGCATCGTGATTGGCTATTATCTCATAGAATTTGTCTAACACTTGGTCAGTGAAATAAATGTGTCAAGAAACACATAAACAATTCTAAAAATAATAACATTTTATAAAGTTATCTTAATTAAAAAATAAGCTTTGTGTCTTATGAATAAGTATGCACATACACACACACACACACACTCACACAGAATTCACTATAACACCAAATCCAAGAATCTAAACCAAGTTACATATCATTAGAATTCTACTTTATAATTTCAATAAAATTTGATTTAAAAACCTAGAACCATATTAAATTAAATATTTATACTTCTATTTTATTGTATTTGTTTTAAGATGACATAAAAATTGCTTTAGATAATTTGGTTAACCTTTCTTATTTAGGTTGACAGCTATAAAATAGTGATAAAAATAGATGT
This sequence comes from Homo sapiens, assembly GCF_000001405.40. Lineage (NCBI taxonomy): Eukaryota > Metazoa > Chordata > Mammalia > Primates > Hominidae > Homo > Homo sapiens. The sequence goes on from NC_000004.12 coordinate 65,379,534, forward strand.
TTTCTCATAGGTTTTGTGAAAATAAAGTGAGAGAATACATCTATTTTACTTTGATCAGTGTCTGGCATATCAAGTATTTTGGAGGAAAAGTGTTAGCTATTACTCTTAATTTTATCATAATCGATGTGACAGAATAGATTCTCATTATCTCAGAGTAATTTATATTTTTCATAATTGATATGACATTACTAGACTAAATATTTTTATCCATAATAGAACTAAATAAACATTACATTCAGATTAACTAATATAAATACCTAATGGCCAATGTAATTTAAAAAATCATTTCCACGAAATACGTTTTCTAAGGATTTGGTGATTAGATAATACTGTGCATTAATATGTTATTAAGAAAACTAAGACAAGTTACTTTTCTATGAACATCTGAAGTTTAACAATGGCCCCCTAATAACCTTTTAAAATAATTTCTGAAGACGCTTTCACAGTAACAGCTTGACATCAGATGGTATAAAAAACATATTTTTCCATCAACCAATAAATATGCAGATAAGTACAGGTTAATGCTTAGAAGCTCAGAGATGATTTAGAAATAGAAACCAAAATGTGCTAGAAATAGCAAGCAATCTTATCTGTGAGCTCTGATTCAACACAGTCTACATCTGTATTCCCATCAGTGTTTAGTACCTAGAACACTGTACATAACTGCATGCAGCTATAACAAGATTGTTTTAATCCAAGTTTAAAATAGCTTAGCTCCTTTTGGCTTAGAATAAAAAACTGTTGATCTTTGTTTTAACAAGATATTTCCATTTGTCCTTCAGCAGATTAAAATATGATAGCATAATCTTTTCAGACCCAAAGAAGATTCAAATAAAATTACTTTAGTCAGCTCTTACACAGAGTTGATCAATATAGGTATGAAGTGTGTCTATGTAAGTATGATAACCTCCTTCCTATGGAAGCAAGGTGATTATTCATCTAGGGAAGGAATTCTCAGATGCCAGAACAGAGAAGCAAGACTGCAGGCTATGGATAAATTATGACTTAAATTCTTAAACAAGAGATCATAGAATTGGATAATAAAAACACTAAGATGTCAACAGGTAAATGAGAAAAAAGCAAGAAGAGTAATTTCACAAAAGAAGTACTTGAATTACATAGAAAATATTTTTATTTTACTTGTAACAAAGGAAGAAAACTAAAAGGCTGCATAATTTTCCTATTTCAAATTAAATTAACAACAAACGATGATATTCAGGGCTAGAGAAAACAGAATGGAGCTAGTGTTCTTATGTGTGGCAAGTGACACTGAAAAGTGGCACCAATCCTTTAGAAAACAAAATTCTAAACCTATCAAAAGGCAATAAAATGTTCTCATGCTTTGGCCCTATTGTTTCACAAAATGGTTAGATCATGGGGTTTGTAGTCAAACTAGAAGCAGTCTTGAATATATCCATTACTAGATGCATAGCTTTGGATAATCTAGTCACTGATGAAATGAGATAATAAAACCTGCACCACACAGGGTTGCTTTGAAGAATGAGTTTGATCATATATGTCAAGCTCTCTGCACTGTTTGGGGCTCACAGTCAGCACTTAGAAAGTTTTTAAGTGATATTACTATATTAAGACAGTCTTAGGGCAAAGAGTGAGCTATATTATTATAATGTATATTATTTGTAATATACATAAGGCTGAGCATAGCTTTTAAAGCAACTAAATGATAAAATATTTGTTCAGTAAACCAAAGTATATATGTGGAGTCTATGAAGCAATTAATGTAAATATGGTATAATATTAAATTTTTAAAAATTAGGTAAAAATCGGTGTGAAGAAAAGTAAAATGATGGCATAGGCATATGTCAAATGTGTAAGAGACATTGTGCTGAAATGTTACATTCATTGCATTATGGAAAAATTTTTAGTTCACCCTGGTTTCATTTTTTAAAAGTTGTACTTTATAATTTCAAAAAAAATTAAACAAATCCAGTAATGATACTTATTGCAATATATTTCATTAAAGGCCATGAGTTTTTAAGTGATTAAAAAGAATTTAAACACATAGCTAATATTAACCAAATAACACTGAATAAATTGTTCACTTGTAATTAACACTACAATGTTAATAGTTTTATACATTCCTTAAAATATTTCAGGATGCAAAACTGCATAGTACTAAATGTGTTTCCGCCAAATTTGTATGTTGAAGTCTTGACCTCAAAAGTGATGATTTTAGGAGGTAGGGTATTTGGAAGCTGATAAGATCATAAGTGCCCAGCCCTCTTGAATGAGGTCAGTTTTCTATCAAACAGGTTTGAGGGAATTCCCTTGTCCCTTCCCTCCATATAAAGACACAGCAAGAAGGCAACCTTCTGCAAGGTGGTAAGAGAGCCCTCACTAGGAATCAAAGAGGCAAGCACCTTCAACATTAAAATATCAACACCTTAAAAATACTTGATGACCCAAACTCTACCACATTATTTAAATGCAAGTTTTAAATAGAGATTAAATCATATAAATGACTGAGGTGCACCTTAAATAAATTATGCACTTAACATGAATTTCTTTGAAAAATCCCCCAAATTGTACAAATCTAAGTGTCTCCTGTGCGGCCATTCATCTTAAGGAAAAAGTCAAAAACACAAACAAACAAAAACTAATTCACATTAACACTGTAATCAGACACTCTCCTTATTTCTTACTCTAAAAAAAACTATTAGGACCTAGAAATATCAAACTAAATGAAAGCAGAAAAAAACTTGAGGTGAGACATATTTAGAAAACACTTCAATTATTTTTTTTCAAGCTATACTTCAATAATGACTCTCTGTTTTTACTTTGTTTCATTACTCTAATGGGCCAGAGATCATTATAAAACATTAAGTTCTTCCTCCACGAATGCCACAGGTAAAGGAATTGATTCAATTAGCAAATGTTATTAAACGTGTTAGATACAATTTGCTTATTCCAATATATATTTGAACTCAAAATAAATTTTATCAAATATTAACCATCTTTCATAAACTTTTTGCTGCGGTAGAAGATACAGTCATTCTCATTATTAGTAAACATTTACTGAGAATCTATATGCTATTCTTTAATAGTGAAGAAATTACATAACAACAGTTCTCTACTCATGTGTAACACAGTGGTTCCAAACCTGGCTACACATTAGAATCAACAAGGAAGCTTAAAAACAAAAGTCCAGGCCTTACTTTACAATAATTAAATCAGAACATCTTGATTGTGGAACTCAAACATCATTATTTTTCAAAATCTGTAAGTTGATTCTAAATTTTCTCCAGGTTGAGAAACACTGATCCAAGAGATACTCAATAAACACGTATTGTATTGAACTGATGTGTATTATAATAGTTCTTTGGGAATTTACTTAATGAATACAAGGGAAAGGCTTGTAATTAGCATATTAATGGCCTGCATGTAAGCAGAAACTTCAAAAGTGCCTGGAGGTGCTTATAAATAATATGTTCTTTGGTAAGTATGTATATATAGAGAGAGATTATATATAATTAAACATATAATTTATATATACATTATATATATGTAAATTATGTACAAATTTTATATGTAAAAATCTTATGCATAAAAAGTATTAAAAACATATATATCAGATATATGATATGAAGAAGACTTCAATAATGATGTATATATATCATATATATGGTATATATGTATCATATATACATCATGATGCATATATGATATACACACACACACACACACACACACACATATACATTAATCAGGTCCAATTCCATTAAGAAAATTAAAGTCAGATGTGGTTTCTCCTTTGCTCTCCCAATTAATATTTCCAATAATTATGAAAGGCCTGGACATGATATTAGTGGCAACAATAACAGGTTAGAAAGAGTTATGTTCACTCCTAAAAATCTTTCCTGTATTTCTTGAAGAACAAAATCACAATCACCACTGCTACCACCATTATCACTTTCACTGCTACCAGTAAAAACAAAGCAAGAAAAGAAATATTAAGAAACACTATTTTTATCTTTGGCAAGAACATTATAGGGAAAAAAACCCAGCATGGAACTATGACTATTGTGGAGTTCCCTCTGATATTTTGGGATGATGGATTTTATTGAGCTCACTCTAGAGCGCATATCCTATTTTAGAAGACTTCAATAATGCCCTGGTCATAATATCTGCCAGTCTGAAGGAGTAATGGTATCTTCCTACCAACTTATTATAAATCAGTGACTCAGACACTTGGACATCTCTTCTTCTAATATTTGTTTAAAAGTAAGAAAAGGGGTTGGGGGAAGTAGGAAGGAAGGTGTGGTTTTAAAATTTTTGAATGCCTTCTCAGTGATTCATAACATAAAAAATATATATGATATGAATCACGTAAGCCATATTCCCATTTGGAGCCACAATAAAAACTAAACAATATTAAACACTATCATATTCTGGAAAAATATAATTTTTTTAAAAAGAAAATCTTGCATGTGTATGATGTGCATGTAAAAATTAACTTCCTTATTTTTCAAAAATCGGTTTGTATACGAGAAAGTTCCTGCCATTAATGAGTCAGGAAGGAATAGAAGATGAGGTTGTGCAGGGACACAGGAGAGGCTGTGGAAGGCCAAATAGTCTGGGCTAAGGAGTCACAGGAAACTGGGCATGCCATATGCACTCATACCCATGCGCCTTTTTCCATCATACTCTCCCGACCATCTCTGGTAAAATTTATCTTCACCCTCAAGGTGTAGTTCAAATCTACCACTCCTCTATCAATATTTCTGTGTTCATTTAAGCAGAGATAATTTTATCTTCTATTCTCACACTGATTTCTTCTCAATTTGTTCCAAATACTCACAATCTATAGCAACTGGTCCAAGAAGTCAAACCATAACCTTTGTAGCAATCAGACCAAATGGTTAGAACCTAATAACTGCAAACTTCCCTAATTTTTGGTCCCTATTTCCAATTCAGGATCAAACAAAGGAAGCCAAATCACCTAGGATGCTCTGATTTTAGGTAGCCCATTTCCAGCTTCAATATGCCAACAACCTCCAAATCTGGGCCTAACTGAAGCCTTCTCTTTGTCCCCATTATTACCCTATCCTGTCTGCCTTTGGGTTTCTACCAAATGCATGTGATGTTGGCTGATCCTCTTCTGTAGTAAGCTGTGGAAAAAATACTCTGTGTTTGTTCTCAGCTGGGTGATTTCAGCTTATTTCCACAGAAGAGATAATCTTTACTAGTTCAATAAAGGGAAAATATATGGATTCATCTTTGCAATCAACGACCATCTTATTTCTGTTCCAGCATAATAATAGTGTTGATATACAACATACTGAATCATGTTTCTTACTCCTGCAGAACGATGCCTACACTGAGCAAACATCAATTACCTCCATTTCTAGGAGCCTAAATTTGCTAAGCTTCTTCCACTGAGCTCTTCCTCCCCCAGTCATTTCACAGCTGAAACACGTCTGTCTCGGGGGCCTCTTAGAAAAGAACGTAGGATTATCATGATGAACCTATTTGTGCTCAGCTATTTTAGGTTTTAAATTATTTTGAGAAAAGGAGAGAAAATTTGAAAGCAAATAAAGTTGCAAATAAGTGATGCTGTTTTCGTCAGCTCAAATAAATAACGTTTATAAACACAGCTTTGAAAGTACTGTTTTAAATACTCATTTAATGAAAAAATAACATCAATTAAAAATATGAGTGGGTTCAAAAAAAGAAGAAAATAAGTAAAAGAAACAAGTCAAATATGTACATTGTTTAGCTCCCTCCATTATGTCTGTCTAGTATTTTTCTAAAATTGAATCACATCTATCAGCATGAAACTTTTAAGGTGGAAAAATCAGAAAGACTAAGCTTTCCATTTAATTATGTCTCTCTCAAATAATAAAAGTAATTGCGGCAATATACTGAAATTACCAAAACTCAAGGAATGTGTGTATTTTGTGATAAACATATTATGATAATTGAACATACTCTAGAATGACTTAAGAGGAAGCTAAATGTCACATTTTCATATCACACTATTCAAATTCCATGCAACTACATTCTGTTTTTTATTAGTATTGATCAGTAGCATTAAAATCACATATTATAATAGTTGCCATAATTATTTAAAATTAAATATTGTGCTGGTGATAAATGTGAAATATTTAATACATTGTATACATAACAGTGATTAATTATGGTTACAATTGCTTTATACATTGAATTGTGTATAAATGTATGTGTGTGATTATATTCACAAAAATGTACCTTTATAAAATATTCGTAATTGTGACTATATATGATCTCCAACAGGAATTTACCTGACCAAACATTGAAAAATATTTTAATATTATAATATTTATATTTGTATAATACTGATAAAAATCAGACAGATTAATAGAACGGCTTTCATAGCCCAGAGCCAACATAGACAAAATAATACCCGTGTAGCTGCTTATTTAGTACATGCTACATGTAGAAACCTATAAGATTTTTGGAGGAGAGTGAAAACCACTGCTGAGTACTCACATAAGTCTTTGGAAAATATCAATTTAAATCCCCACGTACACAAAATTAACATTTTAAAGATTTTTTTATATCCCGTGCAAAATAAACATTACTAAAACACAAAAGTTGACACTTTCAATAATATAGCTCTGTTCTGTGAAGTGCTACAATCCCACTAGTTTTAATGGGTAAAGAGCCTGTTCATGCAATTTACAAAACAGATGTTAAAACAGCTAATGACTGTACTTTTTGCTTATAAGTGAATGATCTCATTAAATCTAAAAATAAAAATAAATTTAATTATAAATGCACAGCTATTTTTCTCCTATTAAATAAGCAACGATGTTCTAGGTTGTGAACTACCAATATCATGTACCATTGAGGGGAATGCTAATTGTACAGTAGTTCAGAAGGGCCATTTGTCAATATGTATAAACAATCTTAAAAATATTCATATGCATTGACCCTTACTTTGAATTTTATGAATGTGTTCTAAGGACATTAATGACAGAAATAGTAAGATACAAAACATGCACACACAGAGGCACACAAAATCTTTCTCTCAAACAATAACAGTTATACACACACAGAGAGAGCAAAACATTCATGACAAAGATCAAACATTAGCATACCTAACAGACACTAAATTTTTGCTTTTAAAATATTTTTAATTGCTCATATAAATTTTATATTGTTATGTTAAGTAAAAAAAACAGAAAACAAAACTACCAATTAAAAATTCAACTGTACAAAAGACATCTTAAATATATATGGCAAAATATTAATACTGTTTGCTTCTGGTGGTATGATTAACTTTCTTTCTGAATTTTGTCTTTTATGTTCTTTGTAATTTAAAATAAGAATTAAGAAATGCCTACCTAAATAAAAATAGCAGCTTAGTGAGAAATTAGGGCAATTGACTTAACTCTGCCAAATTTGTAACCTGCAATATAAAAAAAAAAGGCTGAAACTTATAGGAAAGTGAAGAAGCAAGACGTCTTGGTAATGTCAGCAAATCAGGGCATTCATCTAAGGACGTGGCCATTAATCTAACCTCTAAGAATATGTTGGAAAATAGCTAAAGTGGTGCAGGTGCAATCTGAGCACTTGGAGTCTATGGAGACACAATGCAGTGGGGGCGGGGGTTGGGCGGTAAGTGGAAGCAGGATTGATAGTGATTTTCACCTTAGGACATTTGGTTTATACTGAGATGATCCCCTAATAGACTTCCAAGCTGGGTTATTTCAGAGTCCTCCTTGGAGCTGGGGGCGCTGTCCAAAGGCTTGGATACACTGGAGCAGGATCCAGTCACCATGGCTTTGGAAACTGATAGGAACAAATGGGCTAAACTGTACAAGCTCCATTCAGATATTTGAGATATACAGAAGTTCCTTCTCATTTCAATTTATTGGATGAAGATTTAGAAGCCCCAAGGCTTAGGCAGAAAGATACAGGGTGGTAAAATGCACATCTACTTATATTTAAAAGTAGCTTTTTCCCTATTGGGGCTGAAAAGCAACAGTATACACTAGCACAGGTTTGAAATGATTAATAATACATCATTAAGCCTTAAAAAAAAGCCTTACCCTGGCCCACTACTTCCCAAATTACTAGAGAAGAGGTAAATCCAAAAGACTACAGTATGTACGTTTGGAACAGGTAGAACAGGGCTGAGTCAGGAAAAGTTAGATATCAACAACACAACAAATCATTAAGAGGTTCCCATGTATTACAAAAAGCATGGAAGTCATACAAATGTAGAATACTGGTTTATTACATATTTGTCCATCTAAATTCATTTTTTTTGTATGTCTCATTCTTTTTTTTTATTATACTTTAAGATTTAGGGTACATGTGCACAATGTGCAGGTTAGTTACATATGTATACATGAGCCATGCTGGTGTGCTGCACCCATTAACTTGTCATTTAGCATTAGGTATATCTCCTAATGCTATCCCTCCCCCCTCCCCCCACCCCACAACAGTTCCCAGAGTGTGATGTTCCCCTTCCTGTGTCCATGTGTTCTCATTGTTCAATTCCCATCTATGAGTGAGAGCATGAGGTGTTTGGTTTTTTGTCCTTGTGATAGTTTGCTGAGAATGATGATTTCCAATTTCATCCATGTCCCTACAAAGGACATGAACTCATCATTTTTTATGGCTGCATAGTATTCCATGGTGTATATGTGCCACATTTTCTTAATCCAGTCTATCATTGTTGGACATTTGGGTTGGTTCCAAGTCTTTGCTATTGTGAATAGTGCCACAATAAACATACGTGTGCATGTGTCTTTATAGCAGCATGTTTTATAATCCTTTGGGTATATACCCAGTAATGGGATGGCTGGGTCAAATGGTATTTCTACTGCTAGATCCCTGAGGAATCGCCACACTGACTTCCACAATGGTTGAACTAGTTTACAGTCCCACCAACAGTGTAAAAGTGTTCCTATTTCTCCACATCCTCTCCAGCACCTGTTGTTTCCTGACTTTTTAATGATTGCCATTCTAACTGTTGTGAGATGGTATCTCATTGAGGTTTTGATTTGCATTTCTCTGATGGCCAGTGATGATGAGTATTTTTTCATGTGTCTTTTGGCTGCATAAATGTCTTCTTTTGAGAAGGGTCTGTTCATATCCTTTGCCCACTTTTTGATGGGGTTGTTTTTTTCTTGTAAATTTGTTGGAGTTCATTGTAGATTCTGGATATTAGCCCTTTGTCAGATGAGTAGGTTGCGAAAATTTTCTCCCATTTTGTAGGTTGCCTGTTCACTCTGATGGTAGTTTCTTTTGCTGTGCAGAAGCTCTTTAGTTTAATTAGATCCCATTTGTCAATTTTGGCTTTTGTTGCCATTGCTTTTGGTGTTTTAGGCATGAAGTCCTTGCCCATGCCTATGTCCTGAATGGTAATGCCTAGGTTTTATTCTAGGGTTTTTATGGTTTTAGGTCCATCTAAATTCCTATGTAAATAATTTTAATTCACTTATCATGTAAATATTGAATTCATGCTAATTTGATGATTCCTTGTTGGAGTTTTAGATCATCTTTGGTATGATTACATAGAAATTAATAATTTAAGTGGCTGAATTTCATCTTAAAAGTTGTCTGAGGAAGATTGGACCTCTAAATTGGTAATTCCTTATATTTTTCCTTGCAGCAAATTAGGAAAATCAGAATACTTGTGCAAGCTTAATGTGTCTATTGCTTAAATAGTTATACTGAACTTTGCATCCTTAAAAATATAGCATTGTGGTGCTGGCATATCCAAAAATCTCTTGAACAACATTAGCTTTGCAGATTTTTGGTAAAATTCCAGTATATCTAGGAAAAATTAACATTAATATAAAAAGTACTTGACTTCATCTTATATTCTTGAATATTTCTGAAGATTCAACTCTTTTCTCTGTAATTGCACATTATGATTATCTTTTACATTGTATGTGTAATATTTCTCCATATTTTGAAACAGGTTTCTCTTTGTATTAAACACTAAGGATATTAATAAATGTATTAAACAATTGAATTAAATGATTAAATAATCAAAGCTACATGACTTCAATTGAAATTCAACATGGATAATAGATTATTTGGTCTTTAATGTTGGCAGGATCTGTGCATTATCTATGGAGAGGATCAGTTTAAACAAAGGCTACTCAATTTGCTTCAGGAAAAATCAAGGGGAATAGGCATAGCAATATCAGAGAAGCATTAGGATTCTCCAACATCAGAGGCATTGAGAACTATTGGAGGTAGGCAAGAGGTACTTGTGAGGTACATGGGACTATTTGAATCTATGGAATTATCTGTCTGGAGGGACACTAAAGAGGAATTACAAAGTTGGTCTGAACACAGCCTAGAAAAAACTTGGGAAACAGAGGTTTTCCCCAATTAATTTCCACAGGGAGGTCAAACCTTGCCAACTTGATGAGATCTTGCCTTCTGCATGGAAGTAGGGGTGTAGTAAGGGGGAAAAAAAAACTACACTAAACTTTCAACTATATTTCTTGGCTTTCATTGCATTTCAACCTATCAATCTATCTTGGTCCAAGAGTACTCTATTTTTTATATATTTTCTCTGTCTGTATATTATGATATTTTGACATCTTGAAAACCTCTCTGGCTGGGGAAAGACTGCCCCTCTCATGGCTAGCCAGTTCCTAGAAGTAGCAAAGTACTTAGCCTACAGCATGTATTTGAGATGCAAACTAACCAATCTGGAGCAATACCTTTTTTAACCTCCCATTAACTTCAGGAGGCAATATTCCCCTGCCTTGATAACCCCAGGCCCAGGTTCCAGGCAACTAGAGACCTCTTCTATAAGCCCAAAGTTTGCCAGAATTCTTCAAACTAGCCAATATACTTTCACATAGAAACACCAACAAAGGCTCACTCCTAGACTTTCCCCTCACTCCTGTCTTCTTCCTCCTGACCAAAATCTGGTGTTTCTCTGATGGCCCTGCATGACATGCCATACCTTCCGTTTCTAGGACCGGAGAGTATAATAAACTTTGTTTTCCTATGCCTCTTCCGTGTTTCTTCCTGTGGTCATACCTTACTAACCATCAGTTAGATGAACACAGGGCAAGAACTCAACAAACAGCAACCATCATGGGTATGCAGATTCCAGTGCCGAATCTTGCAAACAGGAAGAAATGATAATATGTTATTTAAAACAACAGCAAGGAAGAGTCCCAAAATAACAACAAAATCAACTGAGATTGTCATTTATAATAACGATGGCTAAAACACAGTGTGACGATGAAAGCAGACATAACTAATATTTAATACATAAAAGTATGCCATTTTTCTGTGAGATTAAAACATTAGAGGAGAAAAAAAGTAATGAGAGAAACAAGGAGTAAGAGACAGTACGGGAATTTTGGTAAGCAAAATAATTGGTGTATTAGTTTGTTTTCATACTGCTATAAAGAACTGCTGGAGACCGGGTAATTTATAAGAGAAAGTGGGTGGAGAGGCCTCAGGAAACTTACAATCCTGAATCATTGTGGAGGGGGAAGCAAGGGACGTTTTTCATAAGGCAGCAGGAAGGAGAAGTGCCAAGCAAAGTGGTAAGAGCACATTATAAAACCATTAGTTCTTGTAAGAACTCACTCAGGATCATGAGAACAACATAGGGGAAACTGCCCCCATGATTCAATTACCTCCACCTGGTCTCTCCTTTGACATGAGGTGATTATGGGGATTATAATTCAAGATGAGATTTGGGTGGGGACACAAAGCCTAACCATATCACTTGAAATAGAATATGCTTTTTATCACTATAACTATCACAGCCATCAGCAGTATACAAAGTCAGTCCTTCCAAATGGCATAATAAAGAATTCAGCTGCTTGAGATTGAGTTGCTGATCTATTAGAAACATTTTCTTTTTTTCCTGGTTCATGTAAGACCTTATAAAGCACAGATCTTGAACAAATGTGGCTTTTAGCTGATGTTTAAAATCATCTGAGACACTTTGATTCATTTTTCAACAATGAGTATACTTCCAGACATGGCTCAGGAAATTAACTGATTTCTCTGTTGAATAGATGTTCTAGCCTTTGGCATAGGGCAGTGCTATTGATTTTCACTGTGGAGCTGGGTATCAGGTTCCTGTGAAAGGCTGTGTTATTGTGGGTTCTGAGAGATGTGTAAAATTCCCAGAAACCTAGGAGGGTCTTCTGCCAGAGCCCAGCGTCTTCTGGAGTGCCAGCCTGTACTCTTTCAGATAGGGATCACATTCTTAGAGAAATGGAGCTTTGAGCAAATGGAGCTTTAGACAAAAAGTGTATTTTGCTCTTGTGGTTAGGCTTTTGACCTGCCCTTTGCTTCATACTAGGTGAAATCTAAGTCATTTGATTCTTTACTTAAATAATTTATATCTTTGCAAGTGAGTGATATTAACTTGTTGTTTCCAGTACCATAAACTGAGTTTTTCTTTCAAATGTTTGCCTCAATATAACTTCCTGAGCATTGCAGCATGTTTACATATTTGATTTGCTCAATAGTGGATGTTCAATAGTGTTGAGCAATTGAGCCAGTAACCCTCTTACGTTCAGTTTCCTAGGACGGTTTACTTCCCACAGTGGGCAATTAGTTGTTGCTATGTTCCTTGTCTTCCTGGCATCACTCTGCCCTAATCCCCATTTGTCAGTTATTAATAAATTATGATGTGCTCTCTAATTATTTTGATTCAGAGCCTTTGAAGAAAAAAGCATGTAATCATGGGAAAATAGAAGAGATAAAAACCCTCAGATATTAAATCAATACACGTCTGGATTTTTTCCAGTTTTACAAAGTCACATCTATTGCTAACTCATAAGCTTCTGAGATTTACTTTTATTGAGCTTTTTTCTAAAATCAGGGATTGTATATATGATTACAAATGTTTGGTTACCATTATTTTAAAATATAATATTTATGAGATTAAAATGTTTTCATAAAATTTATTTTTCTTATTAGAACTTATTAAATTCTGAAACTATACAAGCCTAATCATGTTATAGATGCCAAATATATCAATTTATAAAAGTTATTGCTGCTTGACGTCACCGGGTACATCATGACAATGGTATAAGCATGTCCAGATGTCAAAGAAATAAAATCAAAAGCTAGTGAGGATTTATTAACTCCTATGCACTACTTCTTGAAATCATTGCATTTACTTTGTGATGGGATCAAAAGGATTATATTTGTTTATTTAAAGGTGTATTTATGGGTTGAGCATTTCATTATGTTTATTTTAGAGATATTAAAGTTTTTCATTTTCTAAAATGTCAACATTAATGGGAAAAATGGACAAACCACTTCAAATGGAGATTGATGCACAGCTCATCTTTAATTCAATAACTTATGAGTTATTTATTTAATTAAGTTATGTAGGAAAGCCACAGAAGCCTTTATTCTCTAAATACTTACTGGCCGGCAGAAGAGAGAAGATATTTACACAATGCCCTATAATTTGTGGCTGAAAGTGTTAAATTCTATGAGAATACTGATACATTGTTTTGATATATTGTTCAAAGGAGAGAATACTTTGGCTAAAGGGATTGAGGAAATTTCTTTTTCCTCTATTCATGACAGAAAGTTTGATATAAGACTTCACATGTCAGTAAGGCTTAAATATTGAGAGATAATATGAAGCTTTTTCCAAGCAAATGGAGGATGTGAAAAAGAGTGTAGAGTGAGAGATTCTCTTTCCTCATTCTCAGTCCACGTGCTTTGTATGAAACTGACCCTATTTTCAGTTTCAGTTGTGAGTTCCTATGGTGTTGGTCACAAAGTGTAACTTCTCTATCCTCTCCTTAGTTAAGGTCTCAGTGCTACTGATTGACTTACTCTGTGGAGCTGGGTATCAAGTTTCTGTAACAGCCTGTGCCATTTCAGCTCTGAGAGTGAAGGGTGAGAGCCCTAAAGTCAAATCTGTGTTCAACACAGTGACCATTTCCCCTTAGTGACCCAGCAGTTGCCTGATCTCTTCCAACCTCATGGGCCTCTCCTTCTTAGCTGACTGTGGCTGGATCTTATTCTTCCACCCTACTTTTCAATATCACAGTGTCCCAAGGTTTTATCCAATAACTTCATTTTAATCAATGCCTTTAAATACCATATTTGTTCAACAACATTCTTGAATTATGTCTCAATTGCATAACAGACATTATTTTAAACACCTGGATCTATCAGTACCTGTTCTTTAGACTTAATGTTTTAATATCTGGGAACTTTTCAGCTGCAAGATCAATAATTTCCTTTTAGATTAAGCCACTCTAAATTATGCCTTCTATCATTTGCAAGCAAATAAATCCAAGACAACAACATATAGTGATAATTCTGGAAAGGTAGTTTGAAGCACATTTTTAATAGTCTTAAACTCCAGCTGCACTCCTCCAGTCATACTTTCATTAGACATTTACCCAGGACCTACATTGTAATCTGGATATTCAAGATGAGTACATATCTACTGGGGTGACAGATACATTAAATGGTGAACTAAAACTACTTTAGTGAGAAAATAAAGTTTTAAGGGTAGACAGAAATGGAATTAACCAGGGTTCACAAAGTCAGGAATGACCATGGAGTTGGTGACATTTAATTTGCATGATTTTAGAATGAATACAATTTACTGGATATACCTGTCCCATGAAGGGAGGAGGATCTACTAAAATTCAATGTATTTTTTAGTGTCAAGTTACCATTAATATTAATTTCTAAGAGATGTTTTATTCATATTTCTGATAGTTTCTAAAGTTTTAAAATGTAAATTCCATTATTTTTAGCAGCAGAAAATCAGAGGCTTCCCACACAAAAGTTCAAAAGTTGAATAATCACAAGTCTTGGGGAAGTTATATCCTAAAGAGCAAAGGCCCTGACGTCAGAGCTGGGTTCATGGTCCAGGCCCTTACTGACTGGTTGTATACAACAGTTTATGTTCTGGACACTTTCCAAGAGGAAAAAAGTCACAGATAAAAATCTCTATTATTTTGTATCCTTCTCTAGTAGGACAGACAGACTAAAAATGATGCATGGTGTGTAGAGGAAACAATCAGGTCATCTTTTTAGTATGCTCAATTGAGAGAACAAGATTGAGCAAAGATTTGAAAGAAGAAAGAAGCTATAAGGTTCTCTGTGTCAAGGAAGTTTTAGACAGTAAGAAGAGCCAATGCCAAAGAATTAAGGCAGGACCATTCTTACAATTTTTAAGAAACAGCAAGAAGATAATTTTATCAGCTATAAATTAGATAAGATCTAGTATTGAGACATCGTGGTGTTGTGAGATATTACTTGTAAAACCTTTAGAACATTGCCTAGTAGGAAATGCTATGTAATTAATGTTAGATAATGATATACTTATCATTATTATTACCATGTTACTTCCATTAGGCAAAGAAGCTTCTCTGCAGGTTTTAGCACCTACCCTTCATGAATATACTCTTCACAAAGTACTCATTCAAGAAACTATGATGCTTTGATATCAGATGTAGTCAGAGCTCGTTGATGTGTCTAAATTAAATAGCTGCATTAAAAACTCTGACATAAATATTTTATTTGGCCCCAAATGAGCTTGAAGAAAACTTTCTAAGTTCAAAGGATTTTACTATCAAGTCATTGCTTTGACTAACATAAGAACTGTGCCAGGCATGTAGCAAGAACTCAGATACTTCTTGAATTAATGATTCAGACTAACTGAAAAGTTATCATGAAGGGACAGATTCCAATTGTACTGTAAACTCTTCTTCTATGCCTAACTACTGTAATTGTGTTTTATAAAAGTTTGACTACTTATCACGCTACTAAGTAAGAGTAAAAACATTTATAGAAAGAACACTGCTTTCTTATATCATATGTCCTGGACTTACCTTTGTGTTTATGTGCAATAAGTGTCCAAAAATGTTTGTAATGGATAATTGTGAAGACGTCATTTACAACCTATCTTACTTCAAGGGACTTAAAAGTAAGTACAAAAGGCTAAATTTTAATATTATTTTCTTGAAACAATAAAACCTACCGTTTTATACAAATTTACTTGTTTCTCTAATTTCTACATGGTCTGATGATCATAATTATGATAGCCTCTGTTATAGTATTGGCTGACTTCTAAAGAATTTTTGCTTCAGAAAACTGAGACATTTCAAATGGATTGAGTTTCAATTGTTGAATAGAACATAAGGAGAAATAGGATTGAGCAGTTTTATGTCCAGGTACATGATTTGAACATGATCATGACAATCAAAGAGAAGACTGGTTGGCCAGAAAATATAACTTTTAACAGGCATTAAGCCATTTCTCAAATTAAATTTATCATCTAAGGAACATCATAGCATTAAACTCACATATAAATAGCCTTAAAATGGATGGCAGTGGTGGCATGTCTGGAATGACCACTGCAAAGGCACCGACTGGAGAGGGGGAGGTGAGGCCATGGTTATGCGCTCTATGGAGCCAGCAGAAGATGTCAATGGATGGAAACCCACCCCCTTCCAAATTGGCAGGGCAGGAGCCCTGCTCTTCTAGGCACAGCTGCAGCCACCCAACTGTGGATGTAGATCTGGGCATCCCTGTGCTTTGGGGAACCCCAAAAGACTCCCTGCCCCTGTAGGCTCAGACGTGCCTGCTCCTGCTGCCTGGCCTCTCGCTGCTACTGGTGCCAGCTCTGATTTCAAAGCAAAGTTGAGGATAAGCTTGGGCACTGTTAAAACCTTGCTGGTGTGTGTGCATTCGGGGCAGTGCTGACACACCAACCCCCTGCTACCTAGATATTGATTAGGGTCCTAGTTCCCTTTTCTCTACAGGACTTAAGGCTAATTAAGGGGAATATTGTAAAGTATTCAGATGACCTGACAGTTATATAGAAGCCTTCCAGAATTTAACTCAAGTATTTGAACTCACCTGGAAGGACATTACGTTACTTTTGAATCAGACCCTGACTACCACTGAAAAGCAGGCCACCCTGCAAGCAGTGCAGAATTTTCGGTACGACCTTTGTATCTCATATAGTTTCAGAGAAGGGGATGAGCCTTATCCCGTTGGAAGAACAGCAGTACCACTGGAGGACCCTAAATGCGACACCAGTGATGAAATGGAAGAATGAAAGAGGAAGCACTTTCATGTGTGTATACTGGAAGGGTTACGAAGGACTAGGACTAAGCCTTTCAATTAGTCCAAGCTATTCATGATAGAACAGGGATTAGATGAAAATCCCACTGCCTTCCTGGAAAGGCAAAGAGGGGCCTTGGTAAAGCACATGTCTCTAACTCCTGATTCAGTTGAGGGACAACTGATCCTGAAGGATAAGTTCATTATTCAAGCAGCCCCTGATATCAGGAGGAAGCTGCAGAAACAGGCCATGGCACCAGATAGTACTTTAGAGAACCTCCTGAAAGTGGCCACCACAGTCTTTTACAATAGGAATCAGAAGGAGGCCCAAGAGAGGGAAAGGAGACACAAGAAAAAGGGAGAGGCTCTAACAGCTGCCTTGCAGGCTCACAAATCCCAAAATCCCTTGGATAGACCTGTTAACTGCTACAAATGTGGCAAGCTGTGGCACTTTAGGAAGGACTGTCTGGACAGCAGGAGGAGGCCACTTTGGCCCTGTCCAATTTGCAATGGGGACCACTGAAGACCAGACTGTCCTTGGAGACAGGTCACTGCGTCCAGCCCAAATGGTCCAGCAGGACTGATGGGCCCTGGGGTACTTCTCCCTGGCTCTGATGGTTCAGAAGTCAAAGGGAGAAAGGTGGACCTCCTCCTGGACACTGGAGCTGGTCTTTCAGTTCTCTCCAATACAGCTCCCCTCTCCTCTCTTAGCAAGATTGTGGAGTGGGGAGGGCATCTCAGGAACACATCTAACCCAATATTTTTCCCAAACCCTTAGTTGTAGTTGGGGAGACCTCTTGCTTACTGTTCTCACCTTTGTTCTGTTCCCCACCTAAAACATTTTTGTCAAGGACTCCTTAATCCTGAACTCCCAAGGGATTATCTACCCCCTCAAAAGAGTTATTTCTCTCTTAAAGTTTAACTGCCCCCATACAAGACTTAATTTTTTTGACCAGGATGAAACAGCTCTAGTCACAACATTCTTTTTCAAAATAGTCTACGTTTTAGATTTCTAGTTTTTTTTTTTCCTTTTAGCTCCTCTTTGTATAATACTCACACTTGATCCATGCACACTTAACCTCCTTGTAAAATGTGTTTCTTCTTGTCTTGAGGCCATCAAACTCCCAGCAGTCATGCAACGGGAGCCTCAGATGATGGCTCCTTTCTTACCAGGGACCCTTAGATAGGCCTCTGAGAGAGATCTGACTGCTGTTTTCCCCAGAAAAATGCCCCCTATCATATGAAGCAGTTAAGAGTAGTCATTGTCCCTATCCTAATGGCAGTTAGATGTACCTCTTCAGAGGGGGGACTGATGGCAGTGGTGGCCTGTCTGGAGAAGCAGTTGCAAAGAAGCTGGCTGTAGTGGAGGAGGCATGGCCTGGGCTGTGTGCTCCATGAAATGAGCATGAGCCAGGACAAGGTAGAAGCCTCACCACCCCCCTTCCAAGTTGGCAGGGGAGGAGCCCCACCCTCTTAAGTGCAGCTGCAGACACCCAGCCACAGCTGAGGAACCAAGCATTCTTGTGCTCTCAGGGGCCTGAGAAGCCCCCTGCCCCTGTAGGCTCAGAAGGGCCTGTTACCACTGCCTGGCCTCTCCCTGCTCCTGGTGCCCACTCTGATTTTGGAGCAAAGTTGAGGATGACCCTGGGTGCTGTTGTGACCCAGGCAGATGTGTGCACACTTGGGGTGGTGCTGACACAGCAGTCCCCTGTCACCTTGGCTCCCTCTGGACTTTGGGCACCAAAGAGCACAGGAGAGAGTTGAGGGAAATCTGAGAGTGGCTCAGCATGGGCCTGCAGGAACCCCTCAGCATGAACAGCCTGGGTGCTGTGGACAGCATATTGATGGTGGCAGGAGGCAGACAGGATCCTGGACAGAAGACAGTGGCTCCCCAGTGAAGCCTCACCTTCAAGCCAGGGATGGCCTGAAGCCTGGGGGCTAAGCTTTCACTTCTGTGATCCAGAGTGAGAAGTTATGGTGCTTTCTCTCGCCTGCCTATGGCTGCCCACAGTCCACTCAACACACACTTTCTTCCTTTGGAAGCCCATAAAAACCCTGGACTCAGCCAGACTGGGGAGACAACAGGACTTCCTGCCTGCAAATAGGAGCTACCCACTCTGGGTCTATTCTCCACTAAGGGCTTCAGATATTGGGACAACATGCCTGCAGATAGGAGCTACACACTCTGGGTCTCCTCTCCTGAGAGCTGCACTCACTGGGATGATCTACCTGCAGAAAGGAGCTACCCACTTTGGGTCTCCTTAAAGCTATACTGTTACTCAATAAAGCACCCCTTAACCTTGCTCATTCTACAGTTGTCCATGTACCTCATTCTTCCTGAGCATGAGATAAGAACTTCTGACACTGAGTGGTGAGAGTGGAAGAGCTGTAACAAACAGGGCTAAAACACGCCTCTCAACTACACTCACCATATTGCTGGCAATGAGAAGGAGAGAAGAGTGGCAACCCTTTGGGGAGCCCAGACCTATGGGTGCTCCGAGTCAGGAATGTGACACCCTCTTTGGGGCTTTGCAGTTTCTGGCATTTCCAAGTTTCCAGGCATCACCACATTCCCCTCATCCAGACATGGTGCCCACAGTGAAAGCTACTTGCAATGCATCTGATTCAGCTGCAGCTGGCACTAATTAAGTACTTGTGCTGGTATCAGGAGCAACCCACCCCTCCACAGCAGGAAGCGTGCCAGGCTGTGTGCTCAGTGGCCAGACCCTGTGCTCACTCACTCATGCACCCCTCACTGCTCCATGCCTGGCTTGCCCTTTGCAATTGTGGGATTCAGGCTGGTAACACAAGATGAGTGCAGCCTGCCAGGGCGAGTGGGCAGAACGAGCCTAACAGGCCTGAGCAAAACTCAGGCAAAGGTGCCCCTGGCCACAGAGGCTTCTGCCTGGAAAAGCAACACCCTAAGAATCCTGTGACAAAATCATACATAAGGCCAAGCAGCATAACAGAATTATTCTTCCTCTTCAGAAGATATTTTTGGCTTTTTTGTTTCCTGTTTTTAAAATTAACAAAAAGTTTTAAGTGTTTTGTTTATATGCAAGAACATGTGCAAACAAGGGTGGAAAAGTACATGTGTGCAATGTCTATGTTTTTACTTCTAATTGTGTATGTGGACTTAATTTAATACAAAAAGTGAAGCTCTGCATGCTTGAAATTTAATTAAATTCAGGATCACATAATAAATCAGTGATCAGAAACATAGTATTAAAAAATATTCTTTAATCCCATAATGAAGGTTGTATTGAGAAAGGTTCCAAAAAGAGATTGCTTCTATAAACTAAAAGATGTTTTCCTTTGTATGTCTATACCACTAAATCTTGTTACTTTAAGCTTTTCATCAGCCTCTGAACTATTCAGTAGTTAATTTTCAGAATTTACACTGTCTGAAATAAGGACACAGATAAATAAAAAAGTCAATTTTATATCAATAATCATATTTAAAGTATTAAAAAGAGGAAAAAGTAAAGTGAAAAACTTTCTCAAACATTTAACTGGAAAACAGTGAAAATATTCATTGGTGAAAGACTGGTCAATTAAACATTTACAAATCTGTAAAACAGTAAATATAAGAGATAAACTCTACAAAATTAGGACAAAAGAAAGTTATCAATGCCCAATGTCATTAGTGATAAAAGAGACAGATTAAAGGGCAATTTCAATATGCTGTGCATATAAAGAGGCTTAATTTATTTCCATCCTAAGATGATTAGCTCATAGTTTGTGGAAGGCATATCAATTGTTTTATAATCCTGTAAGAAACATTTAAAGGTTAATGGGAAACAGTGAAGAGAGTCTGAACCCTGCAGAAAATACCCCATAGATTACTTAACACATTTAAAAAGGAAGATCACCCACATTCTAAAATTGTCAAGAATTCTAACATGTTATACTTCTTTGCCATTTTGTTAAATAGGATTTTTCCTTCAAGATGGATACTTTACATTATTTTAAATTGTGTCTAGGTAGGAAGATTCCAAAAGATTTCTGCATAATCAATTTAAGCCTGAAAAGATTAAAAAGTCTCTATATTTGATTTATTTTTCATCCTTGAGCATATTTTAGAATTTTAAAAGTTAACCTTTTTTATTTGAAATAGATCAGTTTCACAATACCCAGTGTGTCATCATTTGCACTTTTTTTGTCTAAATAAAAATACAAATTTTCAGTGAATATGGATCTTCAAGATATATTTCCTCTTAGACCCAAATCATAAAATAAATTGCCAATGAATATTACATGCAAGTGATGTTAATATTTTGCAATGTATCAAAATAAAATTAACTTATTTAACCAATGATGAGTCTAATTATTTTTACTTAAATGATATGTTACCTAGGAGCAAATATCTGGGTTATCATATCATATTCCAGATATTAGAAAGTAATAAGGGTAATTTCAAAGTGAGATGGTAGTCATGTGTGTGTGTGTGTGCATGTGTGTGTGTGTGAGAGAGAGAGAAAGAAAAAAAATCAATCATGTTTTAGCACAGAGAGATGGGAGCAACATATATAATCCTATATTTTTACATCTTTCCTAGGACAAGCTTTTTAAAATAATTTGCTATTACTCAAATATAGTTTCCCAAATTTATGTTAGGTTTTGGCCACATTTCTTCATTTAGTTTTCCATTTATTTAACAAATCTTTACTGAGTTAATTCAGGACAATCTAGGTACTGCAGGGTGAGTTATATTTAATGGGTCCAAATAAAAATTACAAAGTTTATTGCATTAAGTGAGATAGAAAAAGTCTTTCAAGAATCATATCATTTAGCTTTTAGTTATATTTATATAATAAAATATAAAGTAGTTTGTCCATGAAGAGTACAATACAATGGCCAAAGATGTTTCTATCACATGACAAATGTCCCCCGAAATTCAAGAAAATACATCCAACAAATAAAGTAATTAAAATTTAATGCAAAAAGTTGGTTTCTAAAAAACTATAAGCCTCAGATTCGTTTTTGGCGAAATGTGCTGTCTTTTCAACTGCAAATTCCTAGTGTCAGCATCTTAAACTATGTTGTGAAATTAAATTGGATTAGGAAAGAATTTTAATATGAATGAACAATGTACTAATTGCTAAGATGTTGCTGTTTTTAAAAGTAATTACACTTTCATTAGACAAAATGTTCAAAAATTTTTTTACCAAGCTTTGGATTTGGCAGAAAATTAAGCTATGTGTTTTGGGTACATACCTGATTCTAGTACAAATGAGACATTATACTAAAATTTCATTGTTCTTGAACAGCAATTTCAGGTATATATAGAATTTGTGTATGTGTGTGTGTGAGAGAGAGAGAGAGAGAGAGAGAGAGAAAGAGAGAGAGATAGAGATGGTTAGGCTTTGTGTCCCCACCCAAATCTCATCTTGCATTATAATCCCCATAATCCCCACATGTCAAGGGAGAGACCAGGTGGAGGTAATTGGATCATGCGAGCGGTTTTCCACATGCTGTTCTCATGATAGTAAGATTGTTCTCAGGAGATCTAATGGTTTTTTAAGGGACTCTTCCCCCTTGGTTCCTCCCCTTTCAGCACTTCTCCTTCCTGTTGCCTTGTGAACAGGTCTCTTCCTCCATGATTATGAGTTTCCTGAGACCACCCCCTCCATGTGGAACTATGACTCAATTAAACCACTTTTCTTTATAAATTACCCAGTCTTGAACAGTTCTTCATAGCAGTGTGAGAACCGATACAAAGTGTATGGGTGACTTTGTAGGAATGTGCGCACGTATGCACTAAAATGATACTATCCTTCGGTTACCAAATAGTAAGTAGATTGAAAGTTCTTTCAAACATTTTATCTAATGTGAAAGATGCCACATAAGGGTAAGTAAGAATCCATAGTAAAATGTCACCAGTAAATTCACTGTGCTAAGTCTACACCAACATATTTCTTATATTTGATGTGTATTCCTTAATAAATTTTCAAAAACACAGATTTATTGGATTCTAGACCTTGGTTCTTTTTTTTCCATTTTTATTCATTTCTCCTAAGTGCACACACAACAAATACAGAATCTTCTTATAACCTCCATGGCTATAAATATAACTAATGTTTATTTAATTTATTAGAAAGGAAATCACTAACTCTTATCTCAGTCAGAAGTAAAGAAATGGCATTACAAACCAGCTCCACAAAGTCATCATCTATACTTTGGGGTAGAAAAGACACATTGTCACATGGTAGTTTTCCTAGTAGTTACAGTTCTTGCAACTTGATTATACTATTGGATCAAAATCTGACAAGACCGATGAAATCAGCTTATCTTCCAGAAAGCAGGGATATAGGTTGTGCATTCTCCCCAGGTGACTTCAGAGAGATGAAATCAGTGGGGCACTAGATAGCTATCCCCCTGGCTGGGATGGGCTTAATTGTCCTCAACAGAACACAAACTGTCCCCTAGGCTAGAAATTCTAAAAACGCGTAAATGCTAATCTAACATTAAAAGTAAGCAATGAATTACTGCATATATTCTTAAGAAAACTTCAAACACTCAAATAAATAAGGACCAGAAGTAATAGAATTTTCATATACAATGAGGAAATGTTCAAAATAATTTGCAATATTTTATAAAAATAAACTGTTACTTCTGTAATTTAAGGATATAATCAAAAATCTTTTCAGAGCACAATATGCAGTACATTGAAAAGTGCCCAATTCTGTATATTTATGAGTCGAATAGGTGCTGAAGAGTCAACAGTAAATGAGTAGAACGGTAACAAAATCAATATGAACATTGATTTCCTGTCTTTTTTTTTGGACCTTATGGTACATTTTCACTTTTTTTTGCTCAGAAATAAATATTTCCATGAAGACTTTCATTAAGTTTTCTATAATGATCTAACACCAAAATATATTTTCAAATGGACAGCTCCCATTACTAAATATTCCTTCTAATAATGGCCTGGATTTTAAAAATACGTGAAACTATGTTTATTGTAGGAAAACAGCATACTCTTGTTTTATATAGTTTATTTTGTTTTATTTAGTTTATTTTGTTTTATTCTACTTTATTGCATTTTATTTTATTTTTAAGGAGGTTGATTATGCTCAGCTTAATATCAGAAAGCACCTAGAATAGCTATTGTTAAGACTTTATCTCTTTTTGGTATAAAATGAAAAATGTAGATATGTAATATATTATATATTCATGTATCTATTTAGATAATATTTAATACAATTCACTTCAAATCAGTATATATCATGATTGAAGTATTCAGGTTGAAATCACTTAGAAGCTGAAAATAAAAGTGGTCAGTGAAAATGTTTGGTCATTTTCCAAGTAGCTTGTTTGCCATAATTTCTGCTTTGTATACACCACCCTGTTAGGATAGAATGCTGACTAAATAGAATTATTTCTTATTCCTCAAAAATATACTTGGTACAGAGATAGCTTTTCCCAAATGCTAATTAAACTTGAAGCAGGCAACCATAT
Source organism: Homo sapiens (assembly GCF_000001405.40). Classification (NCBI taxonomy): domain Eukaryota; kingdom Metazoa; phylum Chordata; class Mammalia; order Primates; family Hominidae; genus Homo; species Homo sapiens. Next base: position 65,404,056 of record NC_000004.12, read on the forward strand.
ACAATTTTGAGAGATAAAAAATTTTCAGATTAAAAAATATGTGTCATATAAAGAGATATAGCTATATTAACCGAATAAACAATAACACATCAATACAGCTCTTGTGAAGAGAGCATACCTAAAAAGAGAAATTGTGGGCTTAAAAAATATCAATAATATGAACAAGATAAGGCTCAGGAATTGCATCATGTATTGAGATTATCTGCTGATATATTGCTTGCCTGATTTGTTTTGGGATGTGCTCAACAGCCAAATGGTCAGATCAAGGTGAGGAAGAGATCAGCTGCAGAACTTCAGAATCACAGCTTCCTCTCTTACCTTCCACTGAGGAGGACGCCGATAACCACTGCCAACAAAATGACTCCCACTGTCACAGACACAGCAATTACAGGAATCTGGCTTTGATCGCTGGATGCTGCAACTGCTGATAGGAGATACAGAAAATGGAGCTTGTGGTTAAAGTGATCACATGCATTCAAAATAAAAGTTGCTTAATAGACAGTAATCAATTCATGATTTAAGCAATTTACCCACACTTAGCTGAAATTTCCCCTAATATCCTTTCTTAAAAGTGTGTAATTGAAAAGTCATCTATAATAGAAAATATTTACTTTCCAAATAGAGATTTGAGAGCATCACTAAGTCACTGATTATTTCCTTGTCATAATAAAAAATGAATGCATGTTGTTTGCATAGTATTCATCTAGGGGCCTTAGGTCTGTGAATTAAAATGGAACTCCTTTATTGACTTCAAACACCTTAATCTAAATAGGAGGTGCCAGGTATATAAGATTTGACATTTTTAGAGTTTGTATTCTGCTGTTCTCTAGAAAAGAATCTGATGAACCCAGATGGGATTTTTTTCCCCATAGACATTGGAGACATTGATGACCAAAATAATGTGACTATGACCTCATTGAAGTAAAATATAATATCACTATTCTGAATATTATTATAAAAATACAATGTAAAGCACAATATATTTCATAAATAAATTCACTTTTTGAAAAATATGAAGGTAAACATTTAGAAGTATAGAAAACTATCTTACGATTGGATACATTTACATCACCTACTCTTTATATACATAGATTTAGATGAAACATTTTAGATTTTAGCATAAAATTCCCATTATAAGAGGAATATGAACATGATTAGGTAGTTGTACTTAAATAAGCAAATAAATTTTATTTTTGTGCTGATAACTAATCTTGATTAAAATAAAACGCCTTATAGGGCAAAATAAATTGTACTAATGTTCATGAGAATCTCTCCATAGAATATCTAGCATGCTTCTTGTTTAATGACATGATCAATTTGATAACTTCAAAGTAGCACTAGTTCAGCTTCATGGTATCAAATATTGTCATAGAAATTAATAACAATCTGTGTTTTGTTTTTCACAACCCCATACCAGATGTTGGTCTACCAAGAGATTTGGATCTCCAAATACCTCCCTTTCTATTTTAGTCACATTGTTCTTGATTCTTTCTACCAAAACTAAGTGATTTGCTGAGGACCCTCTTGCACTGATCTACTTTCAAATATTCTAGACCAGTAGTTAGATCCCAATATTATTAACAGCTGTTTTGAGTAAAACTATTATTTTCAATATAAGTCAGTGCTCTTACCTTCTCTCTTTTTGCATAATATATACAATAGTATTACCCTGTTTTCTCCTAGTCTCTGACGCTAAGGTCTATGGTAAGAAATTTAGTTATTGGCTACAGTATAAATGAGGTAGGAAAAAACTACCCCCAGAGTCGCTAGTACCCTTTCCCCAAGGTCTGCTTTATTAATCTCTAAACTCATATTATTTCTACCACTATTTTTTTTCTCTCTTTCTCCTTCTTTTTTTGGCAGAGGTCACTGTTTCTAGAGAAACCCATCCAGACTTCACTCAGAAACTCAATGTTACTTGAGTGAGCTGCAACTGCTGCTTGAATGCCTTAATTCTCTAATTAATTTCCTAGTAAAATCATCCCCGTAATGAGACGTCTTCATTTGCTCCGTGTATTAATCCATTCCCACTTCCCACATTTGAGAAATGCTAAACTTTCAAAGATCTCCCTCTGGGAGAGGGTTTTGCTGCCTTATAAACTACTCTGCTGCTTACAAGCCTAAGCAGATATCACCTTTAGGGAGAAATAAATATTTATATCTAAACTTACTAGGGTTAGTTCAATCCAAATTGGAAAATAGGTCCAGCATTTTAAAATTCTGTCTGAAATTTTTTATTCTTCTGCCTTTGAATTCCACAGATGATATTTGCCACATGCAATGAGTGCTTCTCTATTTAACTTACCCTCCACCATTGTAAGGCGTTTGACTTAGCTAAACGTATACCTTAAACTTGAAACTCTCCTCCTCTTGGTTTCTATGGCATCAGACAAGCTGTTTTACTCCGTCCCTCTCTATGAAGCACTGCTTTGTCAGTTCTGATGGCTTCATATTCTCTTCCCACAGCAATGTATGAATGATTCTTCATGAATGCTCACTCCTGACCCTTCTCACTTCTCTCCATTTCTTTCTGTATTTTTGTTTTTTATCCTCCCCTTCTTTCTCCCTCTTTCTGATACTTCTTCCTTCATGGTGTCAATTAACAACTCTCAGGGTGACAAATTTATATCTCCAACCCTTATTTCTCTCCAAAGAATCCTTTCATTTTTTTAGAACAAACTGTTTAGCCCTTTGTTTGGATTTTATTGTTACATAAAAATTAACATGTTTAAAATTGGCCCTTATACCACATCTACCCCCAAAGGCATTAACAAAAACATATATCAGCAAATAAACGTATCATTAATCAAACAAAAAAATCAAACTGGTTTGATCTCTTTCTGGTTTCTTTGAACTGTTACTAAATCTTTCTTAACTTCTGCTTGTTCATTAATTATCAGATACTATTGTGTTTCTTTTATGTTTCTCCCCATACATCAATTATTTTTATCCATCACTCACCTATTTGATTCAAATCTGTATAATGAAAATGGTGGAATATGGTTCATAGCATTTTAACTGTTCTCTCAGCCTTCTATGTACTCAAATTAAATATCTAAAATATCATTTTTATGATGTTTCCCTGATCAAAAACTTTAGAGAGTCCTACTACCTTTGGAAGAAAATTCTCAAATGCTCAGTCTAGCATTCAGAAGCCCTTCTAATCTAAGTCTGATAATTATTCCCACTCTTAATGTGCCAGTTTGGGAACTCTCACAGATACAGTTTTGGAGGAAGAGTCCACAATTACTCAGAAATAAGGGTAAAAACAGAGTAACTTCAGATTGGCCAAAGTATTAAATTTGAGAAAAAATATAACATTTTGGTAGTGTCAAATTCTTCATTTTTAGTAATTTCCAAGACCTAAATTAACAATGTGCTAAAGTAGTGCACCTCTGTGTAGAAAAATATATTGCATTAAAATAATTGCTAATGACATTCAAAAGACTGTTAAAATGCTAAGACATTTTATGAACATATTTTATAAGTAACATCAAATCGCAAACATTAATATTCTATGTGTTTATCTAATGTCCTCTGAAATCAGATCATTTTTGTATAAAAAGCAATCAGAGCCTATTTTGTGAGGAAGAATTTAAAGAATATATTTTTGTTTATTATTTTAATTTAATTTATTTATATAATTTTATTATTATTATTTTAAATTTACAATATTTTCTAAAGTCCTTGATGGGTTTTACATTTTCTTTTTTTTGTGGAGACAGGGTCTCACTTCGTCACCCAGGCTGGAGTGTAGTGGCATGATCTCGGCTCATTGCAACCTCTGCTGCCAGGGCTCATGTGATCCTCCCACCTCAACCTTCCGAGTAGCTGGGACTACAGGCCTGCACCACCACCTATGGCTAATTTTTGCATTTTTTTTTGTTTTTATTGTGAAGGGGTTTCACCATTTAGCCCAGGCTGGTCTGAAACTTCTGAGCTCAAGTGATTCGCCCACCATAACCTCAGGTTTTAATTACTAACTGTTTCACATGCATGAATTAATTTGTGAGCTATTTCTAATAAGAAATGATTCATCAAGATTTTTGAATTGTTTATTCTTTTGTTGGACCTGAGGGCATTAATGATATCATTAATTATATTAACTCAGGTGAAAATAAATAATTTACAGGGTACTGTCAATGCCTTCATGCTTGTTGGTTTGTTTAGGAGTGAGAAAAAAATATTTAGGTCAAGTAGGAGATATGGTAATCATGTTAGCATATTGTTAAAATTTTAATCTTTAAGATATATACCTTTAGTTATGCATGTTTCTTATTTTCTTATGTTTAAGAAAATTAGTTTATTAATGATGCTGTTTTGGAAAAACAGCTGGGAAATATCATGGGAACACTTAAAAGAAAATATTGAAGCAATGTAACACATTATGGTGAAAGGTCATCAATTATAAAAATTAACATTCTGACAAATTTACAAGAAAAAAACAAACAACCCCATTAAAAAGTGGGCGAAGGACATGAACAGACACTTCTCAAAAGAAGACTTTTATGCAGCCAAAAAACACATGAAAAAATGCTCACCATCACTGGCCATCAGAGAAATGCAAATCAAAACCACAATGAGATACCATCTCACAGCAGTTAGAATGGTGATCATTAAAAAGTCAGGAAACAACAGGTGCTGGAGAGGATGTGGAGAAATAGGAACACTTTTACACTGTTGGGGGGACTGTAAACTAGTTCAACCATTGTGGAAGTCAGTGTGGCGATTCCTCAGGGATCTAGAACTAGAAATACCATTTGACCCAGCCATCCCATTACTGGGTATATACCCAAAGGACTATAAATCATGCTGCTATAAAGACACATGCACACATATGTTTATTAAGGCATTATTAACAATAGCAAAGACTTGAACCAACCCAAATGTCCAACAATGATAGACTGGATTAAGAAAATGTGGCACATATACACCATGGAATACTATGCAGCCATAAAAAAAGGATGAGTTCATGTCCTTTTTAGGGACATGGATGAAATTGGAAATCATCATTCTCAGTAAACTATCACAAGAACAAAAAACCAAACACCGCATATTCTCACTCATAGGTGGGAATTGAACAATGAGAACACATGGACACAGGAAGGGGAACATCACACTCTAGGGACTGTTGTGGGGTGGGGGGAGGGGGGAGGGATAGCACTGGGAGATATACCTAATGCTAGATGACGAGTTAGTGGGTGCAGCGCACCAGCATGGCACATGTATACATATGTAACAAACCTGCACATTGTGCACATGTACCCTAAAACTTAAGGTATAATAATAAAAAATAAATAAATAAATAAATAAATAAAAGAGCTTTGTAAGCCGGAAAAAAGGTAATATTCTTTAGTAAATAATAATGTTTCTTAAAAAAATCATTATACATTTGCATCATGCCTGGAAATTTTAAGGCAGCATATACTGAGAAGTCACATTTTTAACTTCACTTTGCTTCCCACACTCCTGGTTGTAGACCCATATTATGTGGATATTCTCTAGACTTTATTGCCTCAGCTATATGTGTGAAGAGTTCATCACTGAAGGTTAAAATAATTGCAAGAGCCAGATTATAAGGCTACAGGTCAGAGTAAGAATTTGGGATCCTTCTCTCACAGCAATAGGTATCTATAAACTTTCTTAATCAGGGTAACTTAATCAAAGGCATAATTTTTAATAAGTAATGTAAGTATGTAGAATCAGTGGAAACATTAAAAACAGTATGGTAGGCAAATAAGTGCATGAAAAGATGTTGAACGTAATTAGCTAACAGTGATTTTCAAAATAATGAGATATCACTACCCACTTATTCAAAATGACTGACAAATAAGTAAATAAATAATGACAATTCCAAATGCTGACAAGGATGTAAAGAAACCAGATCAATCATCCATTGCTGGTGGAAACGGAAAATGATAGAGCCGTTTTGGAAAACATGTTGGCAGTTTCTTACAAAATTAGATATACAATTACTATACAATCCAGTGTTGTACTTTTGGAAATTCATCCTAGGGAAATAAAAACTTACTTTGACATAAAAATCTGTATACAAATGTTTACAGTATCTTTATTTGTGATAGCAAAAACTGTAATCAGCCCTGACATCCTTCAACAAATTAATGGTGGTTAAACAAATTGTGGCACATACATATTATGGAATATTATTCAGTAATAAAAATAAACAAACTTGATATACACCACAATCTGGATCAATCTGCAGGGAATCATGCTAAGTGAAAAAAGCCAATTCCAAATTAAAAGGCACGTACTGCATGTTTCTATTTATAAAACATTTTTGAAATTTGAAAACGTTATACATAAACAGCAGATGAATGGTTTCCAGGGCTTAGTGATAACACATTTGTTCTTAAAGGCAGTGGGTGTGCTTATTAAAAAGCAACACAAGGGATCTTTACGGTATTGGGATTGTTTGATGACTTGAGGTCGGTGGTAGATACACAAACTTGTACAAGTGACCAAATGGCGTAGAATCTAATACACATACGTATCCACATACACATTTACAAAGGAATACAAGAAAACAGGATTAAGATCTGTGGATTGATTGCATCAACGTCAAATGTTCTGGTTGTGATATTATACTATGGTTCTGTAAAATATTACCATGGTGAAAACTAGGTAAAGTGTATAAGAGTGGTCTGTATTGCTGTTACAATTACATGCAAATCCACAATTATCTCAATACAATTTTTAATAAAAAACACAATATCATTATTTCCTCATTCAGACTACACAGATTTGAGACAAATAGATATAGTTAGATAAAAGGAAGTGATGCATTTTTAAAAATTAAAAGAATCACAAATGTGATTGATAAATCTTGGGCATGTAAAGGTTAAGATAGATTCCGTTACAGTCTCAAAGCTTCAAGATAAATTATGTTAAAAGAAACCAGAAAAGGGTCTAACGAGTTTGGCTGAATGGTTTTATTCATGGTAAGTTTCTTTGTTGATATATTGTTTTGTTTTGTTTTGTTTTATCACTGCTGTTGAGAATGGGGGTAATGTAAAAAATCAATTTTAAATATATTATTTTTATGCATGATAAAATTAAAATGAAGAAGTTAACAGTTATAAGACATAAACTAAAGCATGGCAGAGGAAGAATAATTGGAGATTTTCTACCCAAATCTTCATATTAAATAGTTTTTCTAAAAAAAAAGTTTTGCGTTTCCTGTTGGTACTACTGTTTGCATTTCTCTTTAGGGCTATATTTTGACTTACAAGATAATGTCAATGAAAAATAAAAGCACTCATAACATTTTAACTTTTTGTTGACAAATGACGGAAATGTAATATAAATTAGTAAAAATAAATTATATAAAAATGCCAAAAAGTGTCAATGTTTCATTATTTGTATCATCCTTATGAATTGAACAGGCAATTGGAAAATTCTTTTTAAAAAGTATACTCAGGGAAATTTTAAAATAATTTCCTATTCTTACATACCTGACTGATAAAATCAATTTTTCTTAGTACAGATGGCTCATTAAAGCCAGAACTCTTTAACTATGACTTACCAAATAAAAATCACTGATAGCTTAACGAGGAAAAATACCAATAGGTTGGGAAATAATAAATGTACATAAAGAATTAAAATATGGTATGAAGTAAATAATTGCCCAGTAAAATAATTAATGTGGATTTCAGAAAATACTACAAAAATACAATACAAAAGTTCTGGAAAAAAGTATTAATTTAATTATCATTGTGTATCTTCTTTGATTCTTTATTAGACAATAGGCCTTGAGAAAGAAGGGATTATTCCTTAGAATTATTTGAGTCACTTACAGCATCTTGAGCTAAAAAGAAACCCTTTGATGGCTAGAAATTAAATAAAATCAATTTTAAAATAATAAGCAAAATTAGGCTGGGCACGGTGGCTGACGCCTGTAATCCCAGCACTTTGGGAGGCCAAGGCAAGCAGATCACCTAGGGTCGGGAGTTTGAGACCAGACTGACCAACATGGAGAAACCTCATCTCTATTAAAAATGCAAACTTAGCCAGGCGTGGTGGTGCATGCCTGTGATCCCAGCTACTTGAGAGGCTGAGTCAGGAGAATCGCTTGAACTCAGGAGGTGGAGGTTGTGGTGAGCCAAGATAGCTCCATTGCACTCCAGTCTGGGCCATAGAGTGAGACTCTCTCAATATAAATAAATAAACAAGCAAAACTATTACTCTAAAATGCTCTTTGAAACAAATATTCCATATTTTAGAATTAAACACAGTATATTCCTTTTGTCTGGAGAGAAGTTTCCATGTGTTGTTACTCATGTTGATTTCTTCAGGGCCTAGCAAAGCCTAATATGTTATAGGTGTTCAATAAACTATTGTTGTTGAATTATATTCAGAAAATATTATACATAAAGATCAAAAGGGAATTGATATCTAATAGATACTCTCTACAAATAATACATTCATTCTTTAAAAAGTTTTTAAATATATTTGCACATATATGAGTAGAAAATAAGATTTTACTCGTAGCTAGGAGGCAGTATGATATTGAAGTATTTTCATTAGCTATTAAAAATAATGCTACAATCTACTTCAGTAATAAAAAAACAGTGGGAGATATTTCTTTTTCTTTAGAAATTATATAGGAAAAGTTTTAAAAGTAGCTTATTTCAGGTAAAATTTTGTAAAAGTAAACAGGAAATGATTAAGTATTAGTCCTCTAAGTCATCTGATTGAGTTTTGGTGTGCCTGGTAGCTACCATTTAATACATATGTAAATGATAGAATATTGAAAAGCCTGAAGAAAAACCAGTTGCTGAATGTGCCAACATCCTAAAACTGAGTAGAATTTACAGTTGTTTTTTTAAATGGGATTTTTCATTGGTATAGTTATCAAAGCACTCAAGCATAGTTTGAGATTTCATTTACGGCTTTGTTCCCAGAGTTGGTAGACCACATAAGCAATATTTATTACTAATTGTACCTAAATAGAATCAAGTCTTGTTAAGATGGCTAACTTATATAGCATACCTTTTTTCCTACATCCCTTTTAGTTTCAAGGTGCAGGATTAAACAATCCATTACTAATATTACGAGAATTTTCAGACTAATATCACATGTTCCTATTAAATCTAGTAAGAAAAGAAAATTTTCTGAATAGCATTAGAAGTTCAAATTTCAGTAGCTTCAGTTAAACTTCACTCATGGATTTTCCTTTGCGTAGAAAACAAATTTATAATTTTTTACAATGGCACCCTTTTCTTTATAAAATTCAGTGAAACAACATTTAGAAAGCTATTTTAAAGGAATAAAAAATATTTTTAAATAATTCACTTAAATATGCTTTAAAAAGAAGATCTTGATTTTCAAAGGGGATGTATAATATAGTTTTATTCACATTTTAATTTAATAACTCTTCTGATTCTTACCAAGTAAATTCATAACTGAATTATCATTTCATTGATTTTTGAAAAAAGGAAGCATGCATTTTATTTTCTTTATTTTAAAATTACTAGTTCTTATGTAACTTGGCTTAAAGCAAATACACACACACACAGACACACATATATACTTCTGCCATTTCACAATACTGTGTATTTCCTCACAAATAACTTTAATAGCGTCTATTTCTGTCTTCGAATTCTTCTTTCAATGTGTTTAGGGCAAGTAAGTAACATAAATATTTTGTTGAAATTAAAGGAAAATATTTTACGCTATTTTTATAGAGAAAAAAGTGATTCAAAAAGGGTGCTCCAAAAAATATTCCCAGATTCTCCACTTAAAGACAGTGCCAGAGATTTAATATATTTTATGAGATCAGATTAGTTCCTGAGAGCACCATTTTCTTGCCAAACTCACTGCTAAAGAAAGCTCCCTGTGGAATTTTCAAAGAAAGACTAAACCTAGTAGCCTAGTTCAATAAAACGACTAAAAAAGTAAATGGGAATAATTCAATAAAGTATGGCAGCAGTAGAAAGAAAGTCTTTAAAAGCAAGTTTAAACATTTTTAAAGTATCTCCTGAAGTACCATCTCCCAGAAGACTGAATGCAATGAGGAGCACGGACCAACGTGTTAACCTGCCGACCTACCATAATAGCATGACAGATGCTTCCTACCTGAAGGGGTCATGCCTGGGAGAGAGAGAGGGAGAGTGAGACTGACAGAGTGCCCAGGGAGGGTATTGATCCACTGACTCTTTTCTGGTAACCATTACTGAGACATGAGCTGACAGTAATTAAAATGACTTACACACTGGGGTGGTTTCAAACTCAAATCTTCGACTGAAGACACCATAGCCTGCTGCTGTACGTGCTCGAATTTGGAAGACATAAACTGAAGCTGGTTTCAAGCCCTCTGCAGTAATAGTTGTCTCTTTAGATTTGATAATCGTGTAGCTGGTCTCTTGGTCCTTGGGATGCGCATGCATATACAATAAAAAAGACAGCATATAAATTACTAATGACAGCAAAATTTAGAATCATAGATCAGAAAATGAATCAGAAACCAAAGGACTCTATTAGTACAAATATAACATTTTAGAAAAAAATCCTACACATCCTAGGTGTGCTATTTACATAGAATATTAAAGTCTTTTCTAGAACTCAAGGTGGTGGGTGACATACTGTCCACCCATCCGGAATACATGTCTTCGGCAGTAATAAATTTCTAAAACTTTGAAAACATAATGTTGTAGGAGACTGATTATTTTACAGACTCTATTTTAGTATTGTTATTTTTGTGCTTTTTTTCCCTCCAATATAGTTAATCGGAGCATGTCTAACATACTGCCTATTCATACAGAAAGTTAACAACATCTCCCATTCTGTGAGGTAAGACTTATGCTTTAACTCATTAGTGAATTCAATTTCTAATTGTATTTAGTTCTTAAGGTAAGAAATTAGTACTTCACTGGTGAAATTTAATTTCAATTCACTAAGTCTAAATAGAAAGCATTAAAGAAAAATGCAGATAAGCAAAACGTTTTTATTTATCTTTGAAAATGTCCTGATTTGGAGGGGCTAAGTTAATGGAGATGTACTAGGAAAAAAATTACTGGAAAGATAGTTTTGGGAACTGAAACAAAGAGGAACTTTTTATTTTGATGCCAACAAAAGTTTAGACTAACCATCCATAGCTCCTTATTATCTCTGTGAAGTTACCACACCAACTTTACCATGGATACAGAAATCACATGCTCAAATATAACGGGTCCATTTTTGCTTTTATATTCAGTTTCCTTATCAGTAAAACTGGGTAGAGACTTGCTTGGGTTTCCTCACAGAGATGTTGTAAAAATATAACAGGTAACATATGTGAAAACAGTTCATAAACTACAATATATGTTTTAATTTTCATAATTATTTTAAATATTTGTAATTCTTTCTTATATGTAATGTCAAAGTTAACTACCACTAATACTATCTAAAATATACAATCTATAAACATTTTTCTTTTAAAGCAATTTACCATTCCTTTTGTAATATGTTTAATCATATAAAATTATCTTAGAGTTAAGTAGGTCCAAAATTCTCTCTAAATAGGTATGGTATAATTTATAAGCCAAATAGCACATTTTCTGATTCATCCTAGGCAAATGATTGATCTTTAATTTTTTAAACTGCAAATTAATTTAATTATCTAAACTTTCATATATTTAGGAAATTTTATTAAATTTGAGCCAAGGATTCAAAGTAGGTAATTAAATCTTGTAAAACTTTACCTAATAATACCAGGAAATTTCTTCATTGACAAACGTGTAATGCTCTTCCATTATCCACTCTATTACCCCTTCTGTATGCTAGGATCATAGCAGTAAAAAGCAAATAATTTCTTAATGTGTTCCTTTTAACAACTGTAAACAGCTTCTATAAACTATGACAGTTACTAATTTTTCTGAGAATGCACAGGTTCTTAATGGAATAAACCTGATAATATTATTTATTATTTCTCCATATTATTGAAAAATATTATTTTCCCATATTGTTTAAAAGCAATATTTCTCAATAATATTCAACTTTCCAGTCTGGCTATGATTGCAGTAGTAACTCTCAGTAAGTAAGTTAAATGTCTGTTTGCTGATATTTGTTTAAAGAAAATTTAACTTAAAGAAAAAATCTAGTCAGAATTTAAGTATAAAATTCTGATAGACTTTATAAAATTTTCATTTTTACGTAAAGGATTAACATTTATAATATAAACAATTAAAAGAAGGCCTCAATGACAGCATTAGAATTCCAGCCATATTATTAAGTAGATGAGAAAATGTGGGTAAACAACTCTGAACCTCAGTTTTTTCTTCCTTAAAATGGAGATAAAATTATTTACCAAGAATATTGGAAGGAGATAGAGATAAAAATAATGCATGTACCACCAAGCGTAATCTCTACAAAATAGGTTCTATGTAGAATGGATTACTTTTAACTCTATAGCATGATGGTAAGTTCCCCCATTGAAAAGTAAAAAACGAAACAATTTTTAAAAGCTTCCACAGTTGTAAACACTAACTACTGAAGGTACAATGAATACATTTTGTAAAAATATTAGAAATTGATACTTTTTTGCCAAAAAGGAAACATATACAAGGAAACTGGGCTGCTGCTCCTTGAAATAAGGTGTGATCTAATATCAATTGCAGAACATTCTGTCTGATTTAACTGTTAACGTTATGTATGTCTCAGTTGTTCCTTAGCTAGAGTTTAATTGTACATTGGCTCTCTCTGAGTTTGCCATACATAAGTTATTGAAGAAAATTTAGGGAAGCATATATCTAGTGGATCAAAACCAACGAATACACATTGTGAATCATCTAAGCGTCTTCCAAAATTTAATTATGTTTCATTCCTTTAAATCACTCTCATATTGTAATTTTCTACATATCACAAACTTTATGTAAAGATTGTCAACACCCACAATTGCCCTGCTGCCAAGTCCTTGGTCAGGGCAGTGACTTTTCCTGCCTTCGTGCCCCAGCTGAGCAAATGAGCTACATTCCCCAGCTGCTTAGCAAACACTGTTCACATGCAGTGAGGGGACGGCCTCAGCAGAAGGAGCCAGCTGGCAAACACCCTGCCAAGGGGCAGCTTCCCTTTGCCTCTGCCTTTAATTAAGAGATGGCAATGAGCCCATCATCACACGGTAGCAGAGAAGCCCAATGACCTCTATTAGAGCAGGGCAATCACAGGCAGAAATGCCAGCTGGCAAATGCATGTGCCCTGGAAAGCTCTGCCACCTGTGTCTGGCCAAAAGCCATCCAATAAATGGTGGTGTCATTCTGAAAGCTCAAAATCAGCTTTGAAAACCTATCAGGACCCCTAACTCAATACATGGTATAAAAACTCATAATCCATTTTTTTTATAAATGAAAGTCTTTAAAAAATCTTTATAGGTATAATGTAGATATGCTCAAATATTTGGCTCACACACGATGGTCCGGGAATTAATACTTTTATTTTAAAAAGGAAAACACTGACCAAAATAATCACTTCCACCAATATATTATATAAAGATTTTTCTGCTTTTAATGAATGTAAATAGGCAACTTATTATTAATTTATTGGAAATATGTTTAGAAACCTTTTTCCCAAGTCATTTTTTCTTAATTTGAGTTATACAGATCATATAATGGAATATACAGCATTAAATTTGAACTATTAAATATAAGACCAAATCATACTGAGATAAATGTAACTCAAAAAAAATTAAACTATAAAGAAAATAATATCACAATGTGGATAAATATTTAATAGAAACTCCTCCCTACCACTTGTTGAATAACTCTTTGTTGTAACAGAAGCAGCAACGTTTTTTAAAAAGATAAATTCTTCTTAATATTGAATATTATATACATAATGAAACTAATGCATATGCTGGGAAGTGGTCACAAAAATATCAAAGGTTATTCATAAGGGGAAAAAAAATAGGATGCTTTCCTCAAGGACAAAAAAGAAAGCCAGCATTAATCCAGCTAGTTGATTCAGAGATAAAAGAAAATGTAAGTACTTGTTAAACTTTTAGTCTCCCAGCTATTAACCCTTATTGCATCTCAGATAGTCAAATATACAGTTTTTGGTGACTGGATGTTTTACAATTCTATTTTGCATTTTACCTTCTTTTAAAATCAACTTTAATCGCAATGAAAATTGAGAAACAATGTTCACAACAGAATTCAGCATGTGTTAATATATATTTATATAACTCTACATAGCTTTGCATCAGTATAGAGTAACAAAGGTTACAAAAACTTGAATAAGAAATATAAACCTTAATTTTACAAATTGTTTTTTGATATAGCCTATGTTTAAATTGTAGACCTCTGGAATTTGCAATGCTGTTTGTTACTAGTAATCTCACGGGAACAGTAATCAGTGAGAAAGTTTAATGTCACTATATTCCACTTGATTAACTACAGTTTTGTTGACAATAAACAGTGTTAACCATATCCCAACATAACTTTGTCTCAGAGGTATTCTCTAAGAGCATTTTTGGTGAATAATGTATTTAATAACCTATTTTTGAAGTATGTGTCATCATTTATGTTTCGGAATTATCTGATAGTTGCATTTAATACTACCAGTAAGACATTCCTAGAAAGATGACTATTTCAAAAATCGTTGACTATTTATCTACTAGTAAAATCAATATACGAACATTGTAGAAACATTAAAAACCTGTAAATATGTAGATAGCCTTTCTCCATCCCTCCCCATTGTTTTATTCTTTGTTGTATTTTTACACAGGCAATTGTTGAATCAATGAATGAAAGAAGAAAATTTATTTTTGAATTTTGTATACTGTGACAAATTAACATTCAATACACTTACCTAAACTCTTTTTTTTTTTTTTTTTTTTTTTTTTTTTTTTTGCTTCGAGACTGAGTTTTGCTCTTGTTGCCCAGACTGGAGTGCAATGGTGCGATCTTGGCTCACTGCAACCTCCGCTTCCTGGGTTCAAGCAATTCTCCTGCCTCAGCCTCCTGAGCAGCTGGGATTACAGGTGCCCGCTACCACACCCAGCTAATTTTTTGTATTTTTAGTATAGACAGGGTTTCACTACGTTGGGCAGGCTGGTCTCGAACTACTGACCTCAGGCGACCACCCGCCTCAGCCTTCCAAAGTTCTGGAATTACAGGCATGAGCCACCGCACCCGGCCCTAAACTCTTTTATCTATGCATGTATATATGTATATATATAGTTGCACTTTTAAGTAATTTTCATTAATAGGACATTAGCATTTTTCATGATGGTGAGGAGAACCATTTATTCTCCCTCTCTTTTCCAATGCCCTAGCTTGGGCAAGTTCTTAGGTATTGTAAAGTAAGATTTTGTATTTCCTACCATCCCTTTTACTCTTCCAGAAAAAACGAAGGAGTGATGTCTCTGTGAGTCTGGAAAAGCAATTGAGTAAGTAGCGTGGTTCAGTCCTTCTCTTCTTTTTTGGGATCTGCATGTCTGCATTTTTTACTTGTTCATTTCTATTCCTACCTCCATAGGACCAATATTTCTAGCTCAGACTCTCCAACCCACTTCTCAAAGGCTGGTTTGGGTACCCATCTATCTTTAGCTCCTCTTTTAGAATTCAGGTTGTCCTAAGGTGCGTATGCCATTCAGGTCCAGCCAGTAGAAAAATCACAGATGAATGGGGCGGGAGTAGTAGGAAGACTCATGGTGGCTACATCTCTGAGCCACATACTCCAGCCCAGTTTTAGAAATTAGAAGCTTTTTCAGCTTCCATCTGTATGACTCTTTCATCAATAGCTCACTTGCTTGTGAATTCAGAAAAGAGGAAAAGAGTTTATTACAACCTTGAGACCTCGACAGCTATTACGGTAAAATGTTTAAAAGTGGCTATAAGAGACTCAGAGAACAAGGGGAAATCAAGAAAATATAGGGAACGTGATGCATACATTTTTTATTTTTTACCTGAAATTTAAACATAAATTTTATACTACAGTGCCAGATGTTTGCTAAGAATCTTTAAAAAATGTATGTGATATATGTGTCTCATCTTTTTTCTTATCTCCTTAACAGTATAGGTGTTATGTTGAGTTACTGGCCATAAGCACACATTTCTCTGTTAGCACACTGCAGTCACTACTGAAAGTCTATAGCTTAAGTATTTGTAACACTTTCAAATGCCCTATGACTTCATCTTTTAATGCTGTGCAACTCAGTTAAGCCAATATTAGACTATATGGCTATATCTAAGCAGTGTAAACTATGTGGCAGCAGCAGAACATGAATAGAGAGCTCCCTGTACACTTCTAGCCTCCATAATTATGACTGCAGAATCAATTGTCATTGATTTACACATAAAATTGCAACATACTCTTCTGCAAGTTGGATAATTGTAGTTGCTAAAATGAAAAAAAAAAGAAAGTGAGGACATTTTTTATTCTGTTAGTCTTACCTTTTCAAAATACTTGATTTCATACTCTAGGATGATTCCATTGGGACGATCTGGTTCTTGCCAAGACAAAGAGATGCTGTTTTTTGCAATTTTCCCTTTTTTCACATTGGTGACTGGAGATGGAGCTGCAAAATAGTTTAAATAAGGAGCAGTATGATTAATAAGGCCCTAAAAGTAAACCTGTTATGTTTATTACGTATATTGGCATTTTGAGAACGTAGCAATATAAAAAAAATCCCAATTAAATTTTAGTTTTTCTATATAAGGTTTAAAGATTGTGAAGATTTTTTACAAATATAAATCAGCTAAATATCCTCAGGATTTTTTCATAATAAAACTATTTGTATTCTATATTGTTTCCAAGTTGTTTAGAAACATAAATTATTTTATTTCATAATTTATAGAATAAAGATATTCCTGATTATTTTATGTATCTTCTACATTTCTAAAATGTATGAGCTCTATATGACATATCCCATTATGCTAATAGATACATGATTATATTACTGCATTTGCACAACACAAACTCTCTTTTATAATTTATTACATTTGAAATTACATGGATCCTAAAATCATTAATAAATGTATATATTAAACATGGGCAGGTTCCTTAAGAAACATGCCACCAAAGATATGATACACTTTAAAATAAGAGCAAATAAAATAAACTTTTTTTATTCTCGTTTTTCTCATATATTTCCTTAGAAATCATAATCACTTCTGGTGATCATCACAATTTTATATCGGGTCTATGAAACCACCACTTGTCTAATGAAAATAGGACTTATATATCTGCTCTTTCGGGTATGTCTGGATATTTTGAGTTTGCAAAACATCTGAATATTTGAGTCAAAGTTCTTTTTATCAATCTGCTGATATATGTATAGATAACATGTCTAAAAGACATGGCAACATAGAATAGTAATCTATGGGCCTCCTAGTTCACTGTAGTGTTTATTGAAAAGTACTAACATTACTGAAATAGAAACAACAGAGGGTTAAGTAAGACAATGAAGTTTTGAATATATTTTGTTCAGTAGTGAATATCTGTATGAATTATTTTGAATCATGAATTATGCTCAATTTCCCATTATCACTACATATGTTTCATAACACAACAGTAAAAATCGCAGAGAAAGACTAAGTCTTCAAAGTTCTTCACTCACTTTACTATAGTAAAATCATTTTTTTAGATTTACTTATTTCTTGGAGATAGCTGTCAGTTTTTACCTAATGAATTGGTGGTATTACCACCTTGCTATTCATAAATTATATTTAATATGTATGCTTCATGAAGGCAGGAATTGATTTGGTTTAGTTCACTGCTACATTTCTAAGATGAGAAAATTGTTTAGCATATAGAAATTTAATGAATATTTGTTGAATGAATTGATGGATGGATGGATGAATGAATGGCAAATTCATATTTAATTATGTGTCATTCAAAACTGAATTTGTCTCATAGGTGCACATACTAGGATAATATTAGTTTGGGATTTGTGCTTCATTTTAAAACTTAATCAGTTCTTCAATAAAATAATCATTTGTGGGTAAAGACAACAAATAAATACCAACACAGAAACAGCCTAAGGTGGAATACTTTGTTATTTACTTGCATTAATCAAAGTTAAGCATAAACTATTTCACTTTCAAACACTTAGTTAACAAACGCCAGTGTTTTCCAAACTCAGTTCAGTAGCTAAGAATACACTTTAAAATACTGGTTTAGAATGAGGGGAGAAGACCATTTCTGAGCTCAGAATAGGTCAGGGATAATTTCCTCTGTGACAAGAGCATCTTTGCATCTTCTGGGTAAAGCTGATGAAAGTGGGGATGCTGACAACTCCTGGGGACATAATGATGATGCACAAATTGTGAATGGCAGCAATCCTTCACCACTGCAAGTATTATGCACATTAAAATAACTGTAACCAGGTTTGTCAGCATCAAGGAGCATGCTCAATTTATCTTATTTGTCTCCCTCACTGATACCTTTTGCCCATTCTCTGCCTGCTCAACCTTTTAAGTCTGGTATCAAATGAGAATGATGACTTAGAGCATTTATGCTTGTAGAATTTTGATGGGTGATGTCAAATCATAAAACTATTACTGTCCCTGTATAAGGATAGAAAAAAGTACCAAGGAAATCAAGTTGTGAAGAGTATAAAATAATTTCCAAACTTCTGAGTTGTAGCTTTAAGATATGTGGAAATATTCCAAACTCTTTCCATATTGTACCTTCTGTGTTAGAGCTAACCTTTGCATACTAGTATGATATGCAAAATGGAGATCCTTTAGGCTACTACAGTTCCCATTATGAACTGATTGCCTTGTCTGTTTCAAATTTTTAAAGTTTTAAATTTAGAATAGCTTTATTTTTATAGAAAAATAAGATAATAGCATTCCCACATACCTTACATCTAGTGTCGCCTATTAGAAATATATTACATTAGCACATTATATCTGTCACAATTAATTAACAAATACTGGTAGATTATTATCAATTAAAGTCCACAGTTTATTCAGATTTCCTTAGTCTTTAATTAATGTCCTTTTTCTGTCCTGAGATTCCATCCAGCAAACCACATTCATTTAGTCATCATGTTTTCTTAGGCTCCTCTTGGTTATGGCAGTTTTTCAAAGTTTCCTTGATTTGATGACCTTGACACTTTTGGAGCACACTGGTTGGGTATTTTGTAAGCAGTCTCTCAACTGGGATTAATTTAATGTTTTTTCATGATTAAAATGGGGTTGTGGGTTTTTTGGGGTATGACCACAAAGGTAAATTGCAAATCCTATTACATCATATTGAAGGTACACACTATCTACCTATCATCACCGTTATGTCACCTTTGATTTCCTGAGTGACATAGGGTTTACTGTTCCTCCACTATAACATTTTTTCCCCAGCATTCAATATTGTACTTTTTGGAAGAAAGTCACTATTTGTAGCCCACATTTAAGGAGTGGGAATTTATAATTCACTTTCTTGATGGTGGAATATCTACTTAAATTATTAGAAATTCTTCTGCATGGGAAATTTGTCCATTTTTCTTCATTTTTAAATTTATGTAATTATTTACATCAATATGACATGGATATTTTTATACCTTGGTTTATAGTCGAATACTTTATTTTATTACTTAATTTGCTAACGCTTTGGCCATTGGAAGCTCTTTCAGAGCTCCTATGTCTCTTTGATATACCCCCATCATTATGGGTTTGTCTGTTTTTTTTTTTTCTACATTATTTTCTTATCTTCTGGGACTAAAAGACCAGATGCTCTAGGCTCATCTTGCTTATTCACTGCTCCAGTCCTAGAGTCATTCATTTCTGTAAGGAGCACTGGTTTCATTTATTAGAAAAGGCATTAGAAACCAAGATCTGGGTGTTGAGTGTGTTTCTTGCCACTGAGGTGCCATTGCTTCTAAGCCCTCTAACTGACAGGACAAGGACATAAATGTGTATATTAACTTGTGTATATCTATACATATTCCTATACATAACTACCTATATCTATATTAACCTAAAGATGCATATATACTGATGTTGCGAACTCTAATTATTACATAAATAATTCTAGCTTTCACACCTTACTTATCTGTAACCTCCCACTCTAATGGTGAGTCCCACCATCAGCCATTCAACTGAACTTAATTATTCAGTTCCAGTACATATGTCTAGTATGTACTGAATTGTTCAGAATTGTTCATCTGTGTCTGTTTGACTTATTGATAATGATATAATGTAGAAACCTCTAATATCCCAATGACACAAACAATGATATCAATGATATACAAAATCCTGTCATCAGTTGTATAAAACAATATATCTTCCTTACTTTTCAGATATAGAAACCTAGTTTAAGGCACAGTGTTCCAAGATGGAAAGGCCTGCCATGGTACAGATACGTTGAAGCCTGATAGAATTGACTTCAGGTATTTTGGCAGCCAGACATTTCTATGTAATTCTGTTAGTTAGTTAACTTTTATAAATGTGCTTTCAATCTTTATAATAGGAACAATAATATAAATTCATTTTTTGAAGGTTGACATCTTATTCTTCAGGTACAATGTCAGGTACAGGGTGGGTGCCAAATAAATACTATTTGTAATAATATCGGTTGTAAAATATTAGAAAATTGTTTAAGAAGTTTTCAATGATGAATTTTCCACAATTCTTTAACTGTTTTATCCTTTATCAGTCAAAATTATTTGTCGCTTCTTCTCTGAACTTGGCACTGCTTTAAAATGCTCGATGAGATCCAAAGGCAAAGTGCTTACACAGATGAGATGCTTTGTTTTCTGCATCCAAGGCTTCATGACTCTAAATTAATAAAAAGTTATGAGTAAATTTCCTTGATTTTATTAATTTTATTAATTAAAATGTTGGGCTTTCTAATGTCAATTAAAACATTGATAGTTACACTTAGTATAGAACAATATCTTCCTCATTCTTTAAAACAAAGTGAACATGATGAAAACATGAATCTCAGCTGTGTCAAATGGAATAAGAAAATACCATTCACGCATCCCTATAGCCAACACTTTTTGTGTAGGCAGTAAATTATAAATAGAATCAAGTATTGGTTACTTGTATTTAAAAAAATAAATAAATAAAACTCCATGCATTTGATTTATATACCCATATTTTAAGTCTCAAAGACTAGAGAGAGGTAAATAAAACAATATTGAAATCTTTTCAGTCTATGACAGTCCATGAATGTGTTAAAAACTTCATCAGATGACACTTTTTAAACTTTCCAACTGAAGTCCCTACACGTCAGTCATGTGTTAGTTCATTTAAACACAAGGTTTAAAAATACATGTATTTTACATTTGATTCTATAGGTTAAAATTTGGCCAAATGAACTGTCAGTATCTGCCAGCTGGAAGCCCCCACTTCTCACTGCTATGCACACTTTATCATATTAAGGTACTTCTTATTAATGAAGCAGGTCTTATTAATGAAGCATGTCTAGGCCACTACAGTATTCCAAAACAACACAGAGTATTAGGCTTCTCTCCAGAAAATTCTGACTCTGTAGGTCAAGTTGGGACCAAGATTCTGTATTTTCAGTAAAGACTCTGGTGGAATCATTTTGTCAGTAAAATTCAGGAAGTAATTAAGGCAAACCATACTAGGATTAATTCTTCTTTTTAAAAAATATTATTATTACTATTTTAAAAATAATAATTATTATTAATGCTTCTTTTATAAAAAATCAAACTTAGAAAGCTGAGGCTGAAAGTTGGATCAGTATTGAGGTTTTCTGAACTGCTGCTGACTTGAACCAGTGGCTCACTATTGTTGCCTGTTATCCTAATCATTGTTAGCAACTTTGCCTTTCTGTGAGGATTATTTCTGCTTATATTTGGTATTTTCCTGACCCTTTAGTATTTGTTGGTAATTTGATTTGTTTGTTCATTCATGCCATAATTCGGTTTAGTCTGTTGATAATCTATAAAATTAGAAAAATCTTATGTCTGGTTCATTGTTGCTTGCTTAGTCCTTAGAATATTTTTCTGACAACTTCGTAAAATGTATAACCGCGTCCACCCTCGTTGAAGACGCCATGATTTTTCTCTTAATTGGACTACTTCTTTACACCTTCCTGGCCTTCAGGGAGTTTTTCTAAGAACAGCCAGTGTGTTATTGTTCATGCTGTAATTTTGTCACGTCACTACCCTGCCTTATGGATTACTAGGTTGCACATGCTCTATCCTCTGCCTAAATTTCTCAAGTCATCAAGTCAACTATCTTTCCTTGATTTTATTTTATCTTTCCTTGATTTTCCCTTTCATGGACATGACCTTCTATATGTTTCTTGAGCACTCTAAATTTGTCCTGCCTCAGACCCTTTACACTTGCATTTCTTTTAGTTTAGAATGTCCTTCCTTATCTTCCTCTAAATTGCCCTTCACTTTATTCAAGTCTTTAAAATACAAGTCATATTTTCAGAATTAACTTCCTGACTGATTGACCATTTGTTAATTTCTTATTTTTCTTTATAATGGCACTGCTTGAAATGATATGCTTATTTCTTTACTTGTGTATTGTCTTATATTCTACAGGAATATAGCTTCCATGATGGGAGGTACTTCTACTGTCTTATTTATTGATATATCTCATGTGCCTTGAAAATTCCTGGAGCATAGAATGGCATTTAATTTTTCTAACATGCATAAATTATTTTTCTGGGATTTAAAGCTAATAAAGGATATATAGCACATGGTCCTACTTTATAGTTTTTAAGTCGAATCAATTATTGCATGGATCGTTCTAGTCTCCTCACTTTATTTATCTGTAACCTCTTGCTCCAAGAGTGGCTCTCACCACCTGTCATCCAGTTACTTACCTGTTTAATTTCAGTATAAATGTCTTCAAAGCAATATATTTTTTATTTGTTTTTGGCACAGCACAATATAGGTAGAACTATATTTGAATCTAGTATATATTGAATATGTATCTGACTTACATATGAATAGGACAGGGAATAGTAAAATGAGTAAACAATGTTATTAAAGAATTTCAAGGAAATCTAGAGACTTCTGGAGCAAAGAATAAATAAAGAATTAGAAGTCAAGTGACTACCACCCCTAACTATTTGTATAAAATAAGAGTTACTGGAAAAAAAGTCCAAGAATATATATGCGAATATACCCACACACAATTTCATATTTATATATAGAGAGACAATTATATGTATAAGTATGTTTAGTAATTATAAAACTCGAGTGTATTCTTTTTTTTTTTTTTTTTGAGATGGAGTCTTGCTCTGTCACCGAGGCTAGAGTACAGTGGTGCGATCTCTGCTCACTGCAACCTCTGCCTCCCGGGTTCAAGCGATTCTCCTGCCTCAGCCTCCCGAGTAGCTGGGGTTAAGGCGCCTGCCACTGCACCCGGCTAATTTTTGTATTTTTAGTAGAGACAGGGTTTCATCATCTTGGCCAGGCTGGTCTCGACTCCTGACCTCATGATCCACCTACCTCGGCCACCCAAAGTGCTGGGATTATAGGCGTGAGTCACCGCGCCCCGTCCTTGAGTATATTTTTAAGATAAAATATATTCCTTCAGTAAAGAACAGATTTTTGAAATGATGAAAGACAAAGTATGGTTTTAAATCTATGTGTCTTATGACTCTCTTCATAAGGCTTTCCATTCTTTCACTTCTTCACAAAGGTGGAAAAGGGAAGAGGGAAAAATAGGAAGACAAGCCCTAGCTAATCTAAAAACCTAAGCTACAGTTATAGAATTTCCAGAGAAACATGGGAAATTACAAAACCTACATCCAATGAATTTATCTTTGGTTTATATTTTCTAAGATGAAATAGTATTGGCATTAGCATAGTGAATACATCTTTGATTTTCATGTCTGTCTTTCAGTATCTATCTGAATAATAGTATAATACTGTCTACACTGAATTTTGGTATAATACTGTCTTTCAGTATTTATCTTTACTATCTATGTGTATGATCATGTAACAATTTAACTGCCTCCCACAGACTACATATATATTTTTAAATGAAATGCAGATATAGATAAATCCATATTTTATTTTATATATACATATATACACACATCACATAGACATACATACATCTCTAAGAGAATCATGTACGTCTTCTGTAGCTGGTTTAATAAATAAAGCTACATATAGTGATTACTTTGCTATCTTTGTTTTGGGGTACATATTAGCATTTGAATGTAAGAAAATGAGTAACTAAATTTCCTAAAGTAAATGAGAATTGCAGTTATTGAATTATAAACTTATTCAAAATTATTAACAGAAAAGTAAGGCAGACATAATATACACACTCACAAATGTGCAATATTATACCCTTTATATTTTTATAATACATAACATAAATTTTATATACTTACATACTTAGTATATCCTTCTTACTGTGTTGTCATTTGATACTGTTGGGCCAGGAAAAGTAACTAACAGTGCATTCTCAACACACTTAGTACCTAACCATGTTCTGTACTAAAGAAAGAAGGTATTTTAAAGGTTTCTTTCTCAAATAAAAATTCAATCTGCTCACTCAGACAAAAACCTACAATCACTCCATCTTAAAAGCCTGCAACTGGATCTTTTGATATATGACCTCAGTAAAGTTTTGAAACGACCATTTTACCAAAACCTGGCCTTAAATGTCAGTAGTTCTAGAGAGACGGTATCTGTTTTAATAAAAAGAATTTATAAACTAAAATGCACCATTCAGTATAGTTTGGTTTTTTTCAAAGACTTGAAAATCACAAAATATTAAAAATTAGTTGCTTCCAGCAGGAAACGAAAGTAACTTAATTGCCAAGAAGTAATTTCTGGTGTGATTACAGTTCATAGTTGAAATCATACACTTTAAATATTGTTTTGAAGTCACATTCACAGTGATATTAACTTGAAAAGAAAATGACAATAATAAAAATAGAAAACTATATCACTGGCACTCATAGTATTCTGTAAAATAACAGTGCAAATCACAGTAACAAATATTAAATGTAACAAGGTGTATAATGGCAACATGCCTCCTTCTGAATAGCAAAATTAATCTCACACCAAATTAATTGTCATTGAATGTGTTTTCCATTCATTACTTGTTATTATCCTATAATAGAATTTTTAATACACGAAGAGTCCTAAGTGTCAATGATTATTTGATCTTAATAACCACAATCCCCATTTTACAAGAAACAGAATTCAAATAATTTTTACAGTATTGTAGTAAAATAAAATGAGGCTATATCTAGCAGATAGCGTGGTGCATTTGGAAAACTTTAATCAGCTCAGTATTATTCAGTTATACTATATTCAAGAGAATATAGTCCCATATGCAATTTTCAATAATGTTTTATCAATATCAAACTTCCATTATGGAATACTGCAGTTTGTTTTACAGGAAATTAAGTAGTAATTAGCTCAGAAACAAATTTTTATAGCTTATGTTTAACAAGAAAAAATTAGTCTCCTCTTATAAATCCACATTAAATAGGGTTTTGGCAACCACAGACTAAGTCACTAACAGTAACAAGGCCATAAAGTGCAAACTCTAATTCAGTTGTTAATTATTTCAAAATTTTCACAATTTAAACCAATCTGATCAAGCATTTTTAAAAGCAAAACAAACACATCATAAATATAGAGAACCTATTCATTTTCCTTTCTCACTTCTCATTGGTCTTAGTCTTATATAGCCAAATGAACAACAGAATAATTTAATTCACTAGGAATTGTGATATTAAATTATTTATCTATTGATTGTTTAAAGAACCAGATTGAATTTCTATTATACTATTAAAATTCAGGACCACCACATCTTCTCTGCTGAAATATATTCTCGCTGATACCATCTGACATGATTTCTTCAAAATCTGATATTATGCCAGTAGACACAAAAAAATAAACTTTATGGCTACAGAATGACTGGGAGACCTGAGTAGTGTTTATCAGCAGCTCTCATAAACATCCCAATCACAATATCTTTAAATAGCATCATTTCTAACAGCAACATGACAGCCTGGAACTAGAGAAAATACAGGATTAGTGATTGCAGCTGGTCAACCTTTTAAAGTCCAGAAAAAAAGCCAAATCACAACATTCTGTTCCACATTAGTAATGTTACCAGATATTTAATTTTTAAGCCATGG
The DNA here is from genome assembly GCF_000001405.40 of Homo sapiens. Classification (NCBI taxonomy): domain Eukaryota; kingdom Metazoa; phylum Chordata; class Mammalia; order Primates; family Hominidae; genus Homo; species Homo sapiens. The sequence continues at coordinate 65,430,093 of NC_000004.12, forward strand.
GACCAATTTTAGTGAATGAAACCACATATTCTTCAGTTGTGGGAAATATCTGCTGCTCAAGTCACATGTAAGGCCATTTTTTACTCAAACAGATCACGCAGAGAAATTTCTAATGCTGATAAAATATATAATTATATATCTATCATTATAAGTTTAAATGGCATAAAATCCATATTTTTTGTTCCACTGGAACAGTAGTCTAGATTCCTATTTATTTTAAAAAGTAAATAAAATGTAAATAAAACTGGCTGCAAAGTGCTCAAGATGTATTTTGAAAAAAACTCAATTATTAGAAAGAATTAAGTCCAAATTTTGCTTTGAGAATTGTTTAACAAATATTGGCTAAGTGAATGAACAAATAGATGTATGTATGAATACATAGATAATGAGGCTACTGTAATTGCTGTACCATAAGAATACATAATATATCACATTTATAAGAAACATTATGTGCCAGACAGTTTATAGTTTAAGCACTTTATATACATTAACTCATTCATCCTTCCTAACATCATTAGGAAGTAGAAACTATTATCGTCCCTTTTTGATGCACAGAAGTTAATTATCCAAGTTCACCCCACCAGGAATTGGCAGACCTTAGCAGTCTTTCTTCAGAGTTTGTATTCTTGAGTATTATTCCATAGAATAATGAAAGAATAGCTCTAAATAGAGTGTTACATTTAATATGTCATCGCACATACAATTATGTTAAAGATTATTCAGATTATCTAATTTCTTCTTTGAGTATATAAATGTCTTAATTTTTGCTCAGTTTCCTTACTGCTTTGCAAAGCTGATTATAAAAAGCAATAGGAGAAACAACTGTCTTTGATAAAAACTAAGCAACTTTTTATTGCACATTCTGTGACGTGTAATTGTAAAACTCTTAGTTGTATTACCTAAATCAAAGTTTTACAACTATTTTTGATCTACCATGATGCATTTATGTAATAGCATTCAAATATATGAGAAATATCTCTACATACTCCTATACCGATGCAACTTGAAAATTGTCTTCTGAAAATAAGCCAAGATAAATCCTCACAACGATTAACGGTACACACAAAATGACTGCTCTCCGCATGCTGCACCATAGATAAGATGAACTGTGGATTTTGAGAAATGCCCTGCATGCTAAATGCAAATTCAATTTTCTCTACCACTCAGGAATACACATGTAAACACTTTGAGGCAAATATTATAATACAGATAGCCATAAATATCCTCTAGTTTATATATATTTAAAATTATGTATGTATATATTTCACAAACTTTGATACTTCACGATTAATAAATAATAACTTGTAAAAAGTAACATAAAACATGCATGTGGAGTAACAAAGCAGAGATCTGAAGGACTCATATGTAAGTTTCTTCCTTATTTGTACCAGCACATTCCTTTCCTCAAAACTCAAAACATCTCTTTCTCCATCTCATGGACTTTTAACAGGTCTTCCCACCGAAGAAAAAGTGCTACTGGCAATTCTCCTCTTCCCGACCTCCCTCCTTTCCTTTTTTCCTAATATTACTGAAAACCTACTGTATGCCAAGCGCTAGTGAGTTGGGTTATCGCAATCAACAATTCCACGTGTCCTGGCCAGTGACCATACAGCTGGGAATATTAAAAATAAATAGTTTGGGAAAAGTATTAGATATCACAGATAGAGAAAGTTAGATCATTCCTCTGAAAATCCATGTACCTGCATTCCATATTATACAACCTTGAGCACAGAGAGTGGCCTCATTTATCTTTGTATCCTCTACAGCTAGAAAAAGAACAAGCATGTGGTATGTGCCCAATAAAAAAAAAGATCCAATCCATCAAGAAGCCAATGAAACAGGAAAGTGGTATGAGATATTTCTGACAAGTAGTGAAGATGTAATATCATCACTAAAGACATAATAGAATATTAGTTTCTCAAAATTTATGGATAAAACTGACAAATGTCAGTTTACTTGTAGATGAACTTTTATTTAAAAAACCAGAATTGAGTTAACTTGAAAAAAGCCTTTATGACATTATGTTACAAGTTTGATTCTAGCTCAAGTTTAATGATTAACTGTACATTTTATGAGCAAAAATGATACAAAAATAACCAATTCTTGTAAATTCAAGGAGGAATTGAGGCAAGTGAAAATTGCTAAGGAGTACAATAAATATCATTTTAATTTGCTTTTTGAAGTAATGGCTGTATAGAATTGACTGCTATAATGTAATGTTTGCAAATGTAGAAACTTGCCATAGATATAGAAGTGAAATAGGTAAGAGTAACCTGCGCTCCAATAAAATTGCTTAAAAATACTGGAAATAAGGTTGGTTAACAACACTTTCTAGAGAAAGTCTACAGTTAATTAATGGAAACAAGTCAGAATATGTTTGAAACCTTTGTTGAAAATCATCTAACTAGCTTTAGACTTCTGTGTTGAGTTCCTTTTCGTTGTTCTGTTTTGTTTATGTTTTTGTTCATGTTTTTGGTTTTGTTTTTCTTTTTTAATATGGAGTCTTACTCTGTCACCCAGTCTTGAGTGCAGTGGTGCAATCTTGACTTACTGAAGCCTTGAACTCCTGGTTTCAAGAGATCTTCCCGCCTCAGTCTCCTAAGTATCCTGGAATATAGGTGGGCAGTGCTACACCCAGCTAGTTTATTTATTTATTTAATTAATAAAATCACTTTCTACTACTGCTTTTACAGCCACCTAGAGCAGGTTGTGTCTTATTTTTATTTGAAGTAGATAAATTTTGCATATAAATTAATAAAGTATATATTATATATAAAAATACATTTGTAAATATATTTAGTGCCTCTATATTTTAAGTATCAACAGCTCATAAGTAGTGGATTAGGGATTTAAACACATATATGATTCTAAAGGTACTTAACCTGATGCTTCTAAATATAATGATACAATGTGGTGTTTAGTAAAGTTAATTCAAAGAGAGATGTAGCATGGTGATCTATGCAAAACACTCGCTAATGCAAAACATTACATACAGGTTATTAAGTATGCAAACCAGAACAAAATAAAATTTTCGAGTGCTGAAGCAGATTATTCTTAGTTCATTAAAAACACTGTAGGGTATTTGTTTTTGACATAGTTCTGTATATAACTTAAAATGACTTCCATGATATAAATAGTTTCATTGTGCAGTGAATACAGAATCTAAACTTAATTTAGGTAAAATTTTGGGAAGCTTCCATATTCAAATACACATAAATATAAAACAAAATATTCTAATGCCCATTCTGATTACTAGGCCTCTCTTCAGTGAAACAAAGTTGTAAGACCACACCAACATATTGGATATTCGCTTAGAATGCATAGTGATAACATTATGTTGGCCAGAACATGCATAGTTAAAATGTTATGTTGGCCATAGAATATGAGACTCTTGATTCTATTCACCCAGAAACTCAGATATATTTCAACACAGCCTTGCCAAAGTATCCTATCATATAAATTTCCTATTGCTGCTACAACAAATTACCAACAAAGTAGTGGTATAAAACAACACAGATCTATTATCTTACGGTTCTAGAGGTCAGAAGTCTAAAACTCAAGGTGTTGGCAGGGCTGTGTTTCTTCTGGAGGCTTCAGCAGAAAATCCATTTCTATGTCTTTTCTATCCTCTAAAGACTACTGGACTTCCTTGGCTCCAGCCTCTTCCTCCATGTTCAAAGCACTTTCACTTGGCTGGGCGCAGTGGCTCATGCCTGTAACCCCATCATTTTGGGAGGCCTAGGCAGGACGGATCACCTGAGGCCAACATGGCGAAACCCCGTCTCTAATAAAAATGCAAAAATTAGCAAGGCGTCGTGGCAGGCTCCTGTAATCCCAGCTACAACTACTCTACTCGGGAGGCTGATGCAAGAGAATCGCTTGAACCCGGGAGGCGGAAGTTGCAGTGAGCCGAAATCGTGCCACTGCACCCCAGCCTGGGCAAAAAGGTGAGACTCCATCTCAAAAAAATAAAAAAATTAAAAAATAGCACTTTAACTCTAGCCTCTGGTTCAGTAGTCACATCTCCTTTTTATCTAACTCTATTGGCTCTCTTATATTAATATAATCACCCTTAGATTACAGTGGGCTAGGATAATCTCCCTATACAGGATAACCTACCAATCTCAAGATCCTTAATCTAATCACATTAGCAAAATTCCTTTTTTCCATTTAAAGTAACATATTTAGAGATCCTAGGAAATAGGTTGTGGACATTTTTTTTAAGAAGAGCATCATTATTCAGCCTACCACATCTACATATATCCTGGTTTTCGCCATGTTTGTGTCTAATCTATATCATTTTATAGTCTTCTCATGTTCACATTCTAGGCCAAGACGATATATTTCTAATATCTTTATTATGGATTTGTTAAATGCATCTATAAAATTATATTTTAGGTATACATATCCAAACACTTTCCACGGGACTACTTAAACATAGTTAGCAAATTAATATCTTATTTGTATTCATTTATGGAAGGTTTTTTTTGGATATTGATCTAATCTTATTTGAAATATCACTAAATATTTTTTAAATGCATCCCTTCCCTTTGCTCTTCCAAAGCACTTCTCTATTCATCACTTCCCTTTTACATAAATTAATGCAACTTTTCATCAAATGTTTCAAAATTCCAATGGAATAGGCAGAAAATTCCCTCTTGAATCAAGATTGCTGCTTCACATAATGTTGTAGGCCATCTCACTACTAAATTGTTATGTTGAAATCAAAACACTGACTATTTTTTTAAGACCATGAAGTACCCAACCAGGACACCCTGTTTAGGAAGACTTTTATGTGATTTTTTCAGCCTGTTCCAAAAATGAAAAACACAGCCAGCCAATGTCTTGTTTAAGATATAGTGATTAAAATCAAGTATACATAGGAGACACCACAGAAATATAGGTCCTTGTAATTTCCCCATTGCCCTCTCTATGTGCAAATTATGGTACACATAAGGATAGGAATTTGCCATTAACTGTCAATATTACATATAAAAATGACATTAAAAAATAGAATCACCTATATTATCCACATTTTAACACTGGTCGTAAACTATATATACACCCTGGGCAAGTTCATGAATATTTTATTGCTACACATTAAATTTCACCTCACTGTCACTGAGAATTTTAGATTTGTGTAATAGGCGTCTTGGATCAGTCCATGATTTGTATCCATTGTTAGGTTTCTTGGCACAGAGTGGAAGCATTTTCATTGATGAGTCCATACATATGGGCTAAGAATAATATTTACAGAATTTAGATTAAGTATTCTTGAAGGCATACAAAATATTCATAATGGCATTTGTATGGTTTTTTCATCTTCAAAGGATTCTTTTAAGTGTAGAAGATACTAAGAAATCAAAATATTACAAGCTTTGATACTGATTCTCATAGCCACAAGGACAAGGGGAGAGCTAGGATATCTAATTAGACTGACATATTCTTGAAATACTCCCAGATAAATTAAGGGTTTATAAACAAAGCACTTGTCTAGATGTTGCACTGTCTTTTTCTTTTTCCGCTTGTTATCTGAAAAATCATTATGGCTGCTGGAAACCCCAGATCTGGAGTTGAGGAGAGCTTCCATTCTAGCTCTGTCACTATCTTAGCATTAGGGGTAAAGAGCTGAGCCTTTTTATATGTAAAATTAGAGCGTTAATGGAAACCATTTTTGCTAGTTTCTCTCTGATGGTTAAAAACATTCTGCAAGCATAGAAATGAAGCACTGGAAAAAAAAATCCATCCACAATTGGTGGATTCAATTATCTGACTGCATATTGAACATCTCCAATTAAATACCTGCATTAATAAAATGTAACTATTCTATAAAATTTAAATATGATTTTTTTCTTCCCTGTGATTTTAAGCATTTATTATAATGTTACAGTTAAATTACACACTTTTTCTCAGTGATAGTAGATGCTATAATGTTCTCAATGGATAATGATAACAACCCTTAGTAACGAAATAACTATAAATAATATCAAGTTCTTTTCTGTGAGGTAGATTAAGCTGTTACTGATGAGAGTTGCTTAATTTGACTTATATTTGTAGGAGTTAGGTCAGTTTGGACATATTCATCTTTTGACACAGAGTTGTTCTGATAAAATAGAACTTGGGGAATCAGAAGCCATTATATAAATTCTTACAAATGGATGATTTGTATTCTTAAGACAGTATTTAACACTTTGGAGAAATGTTTCTATGTTTCCTAATCAACTACTATCAAGATCTACTAAAATAGTGCTATAAACAGACACACACACACACACAAAATGTAACTAACATCTATTAATTCACAATTTCTCGAGACACTCATGTTAAATAAAAATTCTGTCCGTCATATTTTAAACTCCTGGTTACTTAGAGGATAAGATGATCATATCTCCTATTTTTAAATCACCCCCAAATAACTAAATGGAAGTACTGATGGAACAATTCAGAGACAGATAAAACAAAAACTAATTGGTACCACATGCACATGAAAAGTTCACTAATTTGTGATTCAATGTTTGTACTTCTGAATATGTACAAACTTCAGTAAAATATCCTCAGATTGAACAGTGTAGTATTTATTTTGAAATCTACATGTTTGAAACAGTTAAATCACCATAAGATCAAATAAACATAAGATTACCAGAACGATAACTAACTATTTACACATGAGACCACTTATCCATCACTAACTTGCACCTACTGGTATGTGAACAGTTTAATGACTCTCTGATCAATTACATAATGCCAAAAGTCTTTTTCCCCCCTTTATTTAGCACTCATTTGATTGTTATTTTTATGCCCTCTTTAGAAAATGATGCCAGGCTTTTGATCTAAATATTTTCATTATAATAACATAGTAGGGAAGAAAAGAATCCTCTTTCTATAGCATTCACTGCCAGGAATTTATTAATGGTGTGCTAATTTTTATAAGTATGCCTAAAGAGAAGGAAAGGGATATTTGAAGAATATGTAAACGAGATTAAAATGTAAAAACAAACAATAATTTCTAACAGAAAAAATGAAGTGTTAACACTATGATAAGTTATTTACAATATTATTTTATTTTTATTTCCCAACTTTACCTACGTGTAACAAAGGCATTTTTGTGAAACTTATTCTAGAATCTCAGCTTGCAATATTGCAAAGAAGGCAGAGCCATCCTACTGAGTTTATAAGTTTCACAAAGAGACTCTGGCTTCCTGCCAATCAGAGCCTATTTCTTATTGTACTTAGTGGCTATTGTTCTTGCAAGTGCTGGGAAAACTTCCCAAATAGGCCTTAATGGTGTCCATCATCCTACATTAAAATTAGGCATTTGTTTCTTTAATTAATTAAAAAAGACATATCAAATTTTAGAATACTTCACAAATAGTAATAAAAGACTTTTCACTTTTTATTAGATAATAATGTACAATTGACCATATCTTCTTAGAATGATCAAGAAATAATACATTTTCTTGAAATCTATAATAATTAGGGACTGACCAACACTTCTGATGCAAAGTTACCAATTACTGACCAGAAAATCATTCATAGGATTTTAATCATGTTGTTTCTGATTATGCAACTGGATTGCATATTGGATTCAGAGTGAATCTAGAGCACAACTTAAGTTCTGCCAAAATGTAGTAAAAATCAAGAATCCTACCAGTGCCTCAATATAGTCATTTGTAAAATTGGGGTTATATCTGTTTTACCTAACTCACAATGTCATAGGGATTTAATACCATACTAAATTTAATTTTAAAATAATTAAAATAATAAAATTTCCATGTTAAAAATTTAAAAAATCATGAATTTACATAGTTAAAATTTAAGCATCATTTTTTCTCTGTCCTATGGTGTCTTATCAGATCTCATAAGCCTCATACTGCATCCTTTTAAAAATATTTCAGAAATTAAATCCTCTGGATTCAGAAAACAGTATTTATCTGCTTATACAGCATCATAGTAGGATCATTCTTTTATTTAATTAAATACTTGGAGGGAGCCTATCATGTGCCAGGCATTATTTTAATCGCTGGCAAAACAGCAGTAAACAAGAACAAGGTCCATACTTTCTTGACATTTGCATTTAAAATGCTATTGATTTATCTATAAACTCATTCATTTAATGACTAAAAGACCATCAAAATAATCATAACAATAACAAAATGTTCAATTGAAGCCAAGATTATTGCAAAAGCCTCATATTTGATTTTTCATCTTATTTCTCCCAATGTGAATTCCCTGTATCAGTTAAATAATTAATTAGTTATTATTTAACATTTAATTGTTGGAAATATACATATAAATATGGATATTAATGTAAATTTAAATATATACACACACATGTATATATGTATCCATATATATATACATTCATGTATAAATTTTCATATGTTTTCATCTTTGAAAGGCCTCCCCACATTTGATTTATAAAATATGAGCAGAAGGCTATAGAGACACAAAGAAGACAGTGAAGAACCAAATGGAGCTGAGGAGAGTTATGAAAGGATTTCAATAAGAAAATATGTGAGCTGAAGCTTAAAATGGAAACTCTTCCATTGGACAAAGAACATTTTAAAAGTGTGGAAGTGAACAGTAGAGAGATATACCATAGGGACTTCAAGCAGAATGAAACTGAAAACTAATTTTTAGAGTTAGCTACAAGATGGTTAGAGGTTTTATTTGGAAAAAAAAATAGCAAGAATGTCAACGCAAAAGGAGGAAACCATATAAAAGAAAGGACATTAAAGGTTTTAAGTTGTAACTATAAGATAATATAATGTGTAACTATGAAAAAGGAGTGAGAACTTAGAACTGAAGTTCTGAGAAGGTGAATAAAATATAAGGGTTGAGGCAGTTTACATTTAAAAATAGCTGTAAGAGCTAACACTCTACACAATGACTTAACTAAAATATACTAAACCCTTACATACACCAATTCACAGAAACTTCTCAACAATCCTATGAAGTAGATACTATCATTATGCCCATTTTACAGGTGAAGATACTGAGGTAAGGAAAAACTACAACTAGCAGTGCAGTTGATAAAATGCAGCAAGTCTGGATTCAGAGTCCATATGTCTAACCATTGGTACCACCATACTATATAATAGGAGTTATATCCTAGAAGAGGCGAGAAAACTTGGAATACTTGAATACATTCGTATATATAAAAACTACTTTATATTTTGTAAGGTAAATCCAGATATTTAACACTTTGGTACTGCTTAGATTTACTGTACAAGTTAGGTTAATGTTTGTTCTATTTGTGTCTAATTCCTAACATAAAAGGTGCACAATCTTTGCTGAACTAAGTAAAATTTTGTTCCGCTGTTCCACATCTCCACCCCCACACCACCCCCCGCTGCCCCATACCCTGCTTTGGGATACCAAGTATCAGAATCAACCACTCTTTAAAACTCTTTATAGTCCAAGAGTTCATATCTTGCAAGTGCTGGTTGAAAATTCCTCCCTAAACCTGAGTAGAATTACAAGATGCTGACATAAAAGCATTTGAGTTAAGAAGAAAATGTCCATGAATCAACAATTAAGTAAGTATAAAGACAGACGACAGGGTATTTTAATTTGTCTTCTTAGGAGTTTGAACTGAGAATTCATGATCTCTATCAAAAACTACTCTGATTTACTTTGGTAATTTCAGTAGTATATTTTATTCTGTACACAATGTACCTGTATTTCTTCTATTTTCTTTCGTATTTGCATTTACCGAAAGGAAAGCCGAATGCTTAGGGTTTCTGCATTTAATTGATTTAGATAAACTAGTGCCTTTGATATTTTTAAAAAGCAAAAAAAAATTTGTTTGCATTATGAAAGATTATGTCATGTTTGTAGCTATCATGTTAATTATGTGGTATTTTACTTATCTTTTTGCAATAGTTTGCACTAAATGCTTATATCCTAATTATCAGAAAATAAATAGAAATACTTCAGAAATACTTGACACTAATACTATGTTTTTATATATGGTCTTTGAGAATGTTACTGTAAACATTTAATAATATACTTATTTAAACCAAAATAGACTTGTTTGCCTTTTAATAATATATTTGAAAATGTTATTTCTAACTTCAGAAATATTGTCATTAACATTGTCATAGACATAATCAATATGAATACTACTAAAATATTTAAATAGATGTTATTAAAGAAAATAAACAAAGGTATTCTCGGCTTTTATGAATTCATTAAAAAGTTTCTTCAATAAATATATAAGTAATACACTAAGAAGAGAATATGGCCATAAAACAGGACACTCCAGAACAGAGCTGGAGATATGGATACATATTAAAGTTAGTATTATGTGTGCAAAAATTTAGTAATAATCATACAGAAATAGTGAGATTAAGGAAAATATGTAAATCTTTTGTTTTTATTCAACTTATACTTTTCCTAAATCTTACACACACACACACACACACACACACACACACACAGAGGGAGGAATTTTCTAATCTTACCAGAAATAATGTAAAGTTATTTTCGATTACTTCATAGTAAAAAATACACTTCAATTAAATAAGCTAATTTTTTTGTAGCATCAGGTCTAGTAATCATAAGCAATTCAAAGATTTATTACTCATCCAGGCATATGCAAAGCAAGCAGGGGGCCTTTGAGGAGGAGCGATACCACCTTGAGGAGGGTTCTCTGATGTCTGGGAAAAGGGAGAGAAGGAGAAGAAAAAGAAGAGGAAAAGCCTTGTCTCCGGAGCCATTTTTAGTGGCCCATCTCCCTATGGGTGTCTTCAGAGGTGGTAGTTTGGGGAAGAAGAGCAAAGAAATTGAGGAGGCTGCTTTGTGTGCAACTTACCAAGCTTACTAGAAGTAAGTAAGGCTAAGATTTCTGTCTGTAGTTGTCTGCCCTAGGCTTGTGTTAATGTTTCCACCAGATGTCATTTTGCTGTCAGTAATTTACTGTTTCCAAACTTATTTCTCCACAAATAAAATATCAAAAATAAATTTACTACATAATAGACAAAAGGTTAACAATTTAAAGATGGATAATCCCTGTCAATATACTATATTAATTTTCTAATAACTTCAGCATCTTTAATATACTATATTAAATTTTTAATACCATCAGCACCTTTAATAACCTAATATAAAAGTTGGTGATATAAAGTAATTAATTGAAGAAAAATGCAAATGACCTGTAAACATGAAAAAATAAAAAAAGTTTAGCTTCATGTGAATTAAACTATCCAACTGGCAAAATTAAAAATAATCTAAAAACATATACTACTGAGGGTGTGAGAAAAACAGTATTTCCATAATTTATTTGAAAAAATGAAAGCTATTTGCAAAGTATATTTATAGTATTTACTTAAATTTGAAATGTATAGATCTAAAATAATTTATCTTTACCACTAGTTAAATATATCTTTAAAAATGCTCACTCTGGTATTACTTATGATAGGAAAATTTTTAAAAAAGGCAGAGTGGAAGAAAGGAAAAAAGGGAGAGAGGAAGAGATAAAGTAAGAAAGAGAAAAAAGAGCAATTGGAATGACCTAGAAGAACAAATTATGGTGTATCCATTCTATGGAATGCACTACAACTACAGATATTTCTGCATTTCATTACAAAATAACTGTTTAAAAGAACTACTGACTCGCACTGACTCTGTAAAACATATTAATAAAAAAATGGTTTGGAACATTTGGAAATTGAAGGTATCAGAAAAAAAATTCTTCTCAATTAAGAAATATAATCTAAGCTAAATAGAATAATTATCAAGGAAATCTACTAGCTAGCCAAATCAATTGCACTTCTTGATTACATCTTTGTTGTAAGTGCATGCCTATAATCTTTTTATTCTAACATTTATAGAGCGTTCACCATGTGCCAGTACTATGCCAGGTGTTTGACATAGATTTCACCATTTAATCTTCCAAATAACCAAAAGACTTAGATGCTATTATTACCCTATTTAATATATACATAAACAGGCTATGTATAATTTTCTAAATAAAATGTCCAATGTAATTCAGTTTATAAGAAGAGGTTATGACCTGAATATTTGTGCCACCCCCCCGCCACAACACCCCATCCAAATTCATATATTGAAGTCCTAACCACCAATGCAATGGAATTTAAAACGGGGCCTATGGGAGGTAATGAGGCTTCAGTGAGGTCATTAGGGTGGGGCCTCCATGAGAAGAGCTCTTATAAGAAGAGGAAACCTTAAAGAGATCTTTCTTTCTCTCTCCACATGTATGCACCAAGGAAAAGCCATGTGAAATTATAGCAGAAGGCAACTGTGTGCAAACCAGTAAGAGAACTCTCACCAAAAATGAATTGGACAGCACATTGACCTTGAACTTCCCAGTCCCCAGAATTGTGAGAAAATTAATTTCTGTTGTTTATGTCAACCAGTCTATGGCATCGCTAGCTGATTAAAACACAGTCTGCCTACAAAGATTGACTCTTTGTGTTATACTGACTCCACAAATCTATATATCAGTGCCATTCTGTGTACTTGTATGTGTGTAGAAACTGGACATCCAGATATGTAAGTGCTCACACACACTCATGCATCCACACAATAATTTTTACATATTTCATATTAATATGTTGCATTATTAAATTTCTGAGTTTCTATAAATAATAAAGCAGAATAAAATTACATATGCCCACCACAACCATATTTTTCCTTAGAGCTAGTAGCAAAACATTTTTGAAGACACTTTATGTTGTCTATAATGATAAGAATAGTCATTATGAATTGACAGTGCCCCATAAGGTGAGAAGAAACTGAAATGCAGAGGAGGGTAAGTGACTTGTGGCAGTCAGAGTCACTGCCTAACACTTGAGATGACAACTCTAAAGTCTCAGATCTTTACTAAGTTCACCAGATCATGATCATTTATACAGTGAACTTCTGAAGTTAGAAACCCTTTAAAGTCGCTATTTGAACAAACTATATATTCTCCAACAGTTCTTTTCAAAGAACGATGCTAGAAACCTAAAACACCTTGGAGACTTGCCTTTTAGAAGAGCAAATCTAAAATGTCAGGTATAGTAGATGAGAAGGTCCAGCTGTAGTATCCTGGGGTTTGCCCTAGTTATTTACAACTTGTCTAGACTGAGGCATTGTACTTCATAGATGTTTCTGCTTTTCATTACTTTTTTAAAAAGTGTATCCATATATAACTTTTCCCTATCTGAATTACATAAAGCTATCCAAGTTTTTCTAATATGTTGGTGAATTTTAGCTGCACAAAACCGGTAATTGTATGAGATGGAATCTTGTTAGAAAAATAGTAAACATACTAGATATTTCAACAGAGGGCATTTAATATAGGGAGTTGTTTATACTGTTACTGCGATACCGAATTAGATGGAAAGGAAATATTGAGGTAACCCAATGACAATCACTGAAAGAGGCAGCTATCATTTCCAGGTTGAAGATAGGAAAAATTTAAGGCATATCAGAAACAAGAAGCCTGGCTGAAGCTACCTTAGAAGCCTGGGGGAGGGCCTTTGAAGGGGTGCAATGAGGCTGGTTCTAGCAATGCCTAAAGAAGACCGAGGCTAGAATCTCCTGTTGCTGTGAAGGCAAAAAACAATTACTAGAGCAGTAATACCTAGAATGGCAAGCTAATAGGAAAGGCAATTTCCCCTCCGCACTCCATCTGCTTTCTAGTCTCCTTTGCATTCTCTCTTACTGGTGAACTCTGACAGAAAACCATTGGGCAAAGGAGAAACATGTTTGCTGGGTCTCAACCCTAGCAATAGCAGAGTAGCCTATAGTAGGATGACCTATTTCCTTGAAAAAAATAGTTTCTACTTGCAGATGTTTGTGTGCCTGTGTGTGTGTGTGTGTGTGTGTGCGTGCACGTGTGCACGCGCACATGCGCACTGGGGGTACACATCTATGTGTGCAAGTTTCCTGTAGATTTGATTTGTACTGTAACAGGAAACATCTATTGCTAAGAAGTTGACTCTTATTTGAAAGGCTGATATAGTGGACCTGTGTACTTATATAGTAATTTTACTAATGTTGCTACCAAGTAATTAGGCTACATGTTTTCATTAAAACTGTTTTACTTTTATAATAGTGCAAATGTGAACTTAAATTCCAGTTCTGCCACTTTCTAGCTGAGTAATTTAGGGAAAATCACTTACCCGTGCTGAAGATCCTTTTGTCTCTGCAAAATGAAGATAATATCTATCCTTAAGTTGTTATAAAGATTAAGGATATGATATATATACATATAATCTAGCCAGCATCTATTATATAGTACTGCCCAGTATAATATTATTGTAGATACAAGTCACTTTCATTTGAATAATCTCATTTAATCTTTATAAAATCTCAGGAGAAAAGAGGAAATCAAAGATCCATTTATTGAATGTTACTATGCACAGTACACTGATAGAAGAATTTTTATAGGAGCTATCTTGTATATATACCTTGTCTGGTTTTTCCAACTGAGAGAAATTAAGTTTAAACAGGTGAAGTGATTGGCTCAGTCCTGCACAGTGTTAACATCCACAGCCAGTGTACTTTTATTGCCCTGAGTTTAGCTAAAATACTTAGTGTATAAATTGTGGATTTACTTCAGATCAGAAACATTTTATTTATTTTTTTGCTGCTGTAACCAATATTTACCTTCTTTCTTTGGTAGTTCTTCTGTATTATATTACCACTTCATCACTATTTATTGAAAAATATAAAAAACCTAAAAATTCTGATGCCTTTTGCTTGGTTGCTTTTAGAAGTAATTGTATTTTTCCCCTCAAAAACTTAAATTCTTTTATCCCTAGTCTTTTCCTCATATTCCTGGGTACCTAAAAAAATTGATATTTTTCTCAGTTTTTCTTTGAATTAGTCACTTAACACATTTTTATTTTGTTTAAACAATACAGAAAATATAGCAAAGAAATAAATAGTATTGGAGTTTAGAAGAGTTGAATTCAGAAATGTTACTGTGATTTATGTTTTATCCTGCACTTCAAAATAAATAAAATACTTCTTTTTCTAGTCTGCAAATGTCTCTTATTTTTTATTCATGTTTTGGATACACATTTTTATAGGATATCCATAAACTGAGGGCCATGGTAACTTTAAATCAATCTATACTTTAAAAACCTTGAAATTTAGTGTTGGGGTTCATGATTTAAATTTGTTATATGCACATTTTAAATTTACAAACAAATTGTTCAAAATAATTTAGATTTTCTTTATCTAATCCAGTATGTGACTATGAAGTTTATAACTGATTGAACAAAAATATTACATTTTTAAACAATATGTTATTTAATTGACTTATTCATCAGTGTTTAAGAGCATTGATAATCACAGATGAAAAAGCCTAGTTCAAAGCAAATGATGAATAGCTGGAAGCCTTCAAATATTGCTTCTTTATGAGAAAAGTTAATTGGTCATATAGTTTCGTAGTAATGAAGATGCCAACAGGACTGTGAGCATTATAAAGAAAATTTATCATCAAGAAAATTCACATTAAATATAATATCTGTGTACTCCAGCCTTAACTTGCAAGCTTGAAAGAAATCGGTTGCTATCTAAAATTTTAGCCCTTTTTTCCTATAGGTTGGTGTTCCATACCTTTACTTGGTGACCTTCTGTTTGACAGATTACACTTACTACATTCATTAAACAAAAAGTTTAATGTTCTTGTACAAAAATATTAATTTTGGTTCAAATAGCTATACGTCAAACTACTTCAAATCCACATATGGATAAAACCTCAGGAGCAAAGCTAACAATTTCTTCTTTTATCTTCTCTAGTAGTTCAAGGAATAGAAATATTACCAATTAGGGATGGCGTGCTTCTTAAATACTGAGTTCATTCTGAAATTGAACATTCAAAATATACCATCTCCTTTGTCACCAGTGTCATCTGGGCCACCACTATCTCTCCTGAGTCCTGAAATAACATCCTAACTGGTGTTCTTTCTTCCACTCTGGCCACATAGCTATTAGCTACATAGCTGTCAAAGCGATCTTTGTAAAACAAAAGTTAGATCATGTCAATTATCTGCTTCACCCTCATGATATTTTTAATATAATAACAAATGTTTCAATGGGTTACAATGCCTTCAATAACTACAGATGTCTGCTTAATGCAATTGTACCAATTGTCTATTATTTTTAAAACTTGGTATTATCTTTGCTTTATTGTCTTAGTATGAATAACTTTATATAATGACTAGAATTAGGTCTATTTGGAATAAAATCCTATCATAATCAGTCAAAAAACTTATTTGTTCATTTAATCATTACTTTACTTAATAAATATGCTTTTTCCTGTATATTTTATTAAAAGCATTGATAGATACTGTGACACTACAGGAAAAGGAAAACAAGCAAACTGTGAAAGCCACAAGCATTATTCTTGTAGAACTTAGCTTCTAGTGAGGGATACAAACAAGTAAAAGAGGCTATTACAATGTGGAAATAACTATAGTGGTAGGATAGTGTACTATGGGAACACATATGTAAAACACCTCTTCTGGACCTGAAGAATCAGGCAAGTCTACTAAAGGAAATGAATTATAACTTAAGATATGAATAATGTACAGAAATAGTCACATAAAAGAGTGTAGGGATGCTCATGTATGCACATGGGGTGCATGTATGGACATAAAGTACATTATATGTGTGTATGTGTTGTGGAGGGATTGGGGGTCATTGTATGATATTGAGATACTTAAATATGTTTCTATATGGCTGCGACACAAATGGTGAAGTTGGAGAATAAAACATCAAGTAATAACAAAAGCAGGGACAAATAACATAGCTCCAATAAGCCATATTAAAGAGTTTGAATAATTTATTCTAAGACCAACTGGTTATATTCAATAGTTAGAATTAAAGACTGCTATTACCATGTCTGCGTTTTTAAAAGCTCATTTTTTTTTTTTTTTTTTTTTTGTTCCTTGAGACAGGGTCTTGTTCTGTCACTCAGGCTGGTGTGCAGTAGCATGATCATAGCTCACTGTAACCCTGAACTCCTGGGCTCAAGCAATCCTCCCACCTCAGTCTCCCAAGTAGCTAGGATCACAGACATGTGCCACCACACCTGGCTAATTTTTACTTATTGTTCTTCTGATTACATTGAGAACAATGGATTGCGGGTTGGGGGGTGGGTAAGGCTGTAAATAAAACAGTTAGAATATGGCAATAGTTTCTAAGCAGATATTTGCTATTGGGTGGAGACTATGATATTCACTTAGATATTCCACATACCCCTGCAAAATAATGTTACTGCATTCAATATACTATGACAACCATTATAGTTGATGTCAAACAAAATTATTGCTCCTTTTGTACCAGTTGCTACTCTGAAAAGAGGATTTGGGGCCAGATAACTATGAGAAATAGTCTGTCATATATTAGAAACACATATATATATATATTAAACTTTATATAATATATATATTTTTTCCTAATTCTGAAGCCTAGACTTGAGTGATAAAATTTTATTGAAGCAAAAATTGACAAAAACTGGAAGACCTCTAAATCTTACTACTATTTTTGCTTAGACAACATTAAATCAACAATATGCATTCATATCCCATTCCTTGCCAACACAGACAGCTTAAAATGTTAAATTATTTACCACAGATGAATCTATTTACTTGTGAAAAGTGCATTCATTGGACAGGAGGAAAACTAAAAACAATTGGGAATTTCTGGTATTACTTGAATAAATTTACCCTTATCTGACCAAAAAAAAAATGATTTGAAGAAATTACAACAAAATGACAAATTTTTAAGATAACCTAATAAGAGGGAAAAGACATGAAAGATATAATGAGAAAACCCAGCATTTATCTAACAAAAGTGTCAAAAGAATAAAGTAGAAAGAACAAGAACATAAGATTTAAAGACACAACAATGACCAATTTCTAAAATAGATGAAAGTGATAGATATAACTGCATATTCAACAATCATGATGATTTCCAAAACCTATAAGTGAAAATAATACCAATATCAATTTCTTGTTATATGAAAACTGTAAAAATCATAAAGACAATAAAAAATTTAAGAGACAACAGAGAAGAAAGTAAGATGATGTATAAACTGTGATTTACACTGATAACAAGCTCTTTTAGAGGACAATTAAAAGTATGTCATGAGAAATGAAAAAAAAATCACCAAGCTATAAAAAAAGCAAAGAATAGTCAAAACAAGTAAAAAAAAAAGGACAGAAAAAATCACAGACACATTGTAATTTTATAATAATTATGACATTGTAATTATTATATTTATTATTAAAAAACAAAAATACATTTTAGGGCTGGGTGTGGTGGCTCATGCCTGTAATCCCAGCACTTTGTGAGGCCGAGGAGGACAGATCACTTAAAGTCAGGAGTTCCAGAGTAGCCTGGCCAATATGGCGAAACCCCGTCTCTATTAAAAATACAAAAATTAGCTAGGTGTAGTGGCACAGGCCTGTAGTCCCAGCTACTTGGGAAGCTGAGGCAGGAGAATTGCTTGAACCCAGGAGGCAGAGGTTGCAATGAGCTGAGATCATGCCACTGCACTCCAGCCTGAGTGACAGAGCCAGACTCCATCTCGAAAACATAGAAACAAACAACAACAACAACAAAACGACTTTGTACTTACAGTTATTTTGAATAAACAAAGCACACAATGGAGAAACTAGAGAAAGAGCCATGTATATGTGAGTGTATTATATATTACAGAGGTGTCATTACTCATAAGAAAATGATAAACTCTTTAACAAGGGGCACTGAGAAGCAAATTATTCATACTGAAATGACACTCACATCATAATATATAAGAAAATAAATCATAGGGAAATTAGAGATCTCTATGTGAAAATCCAAATTTACTTTTAGATGGGAATATATGACCATATCTTTATATCACACTCCAAGAAATAATTTTTAAAAAATTGACAAGGTACAAATCACACAGAACAGATGGACAGTTTTATACTTGTCAAAGTAAGAAATAACGTAACAAAAATGTATTTAAAAACTACATATTAAGAAAAAAATTCATTGGGTTAAAAACAATAAAAATTACTACCTAGTGAACATAAATTTTAAAAAGGATTATTCCTAAGTAAAAGATTGTTTAACTATGACCAGGCAATTTGTAGAATAAACTCAAATGCCCAAAATTATATGAAAAGTTTAAAACCGTTTTTCAGAATCAGGAAAATGCAAATAAAATAAAATGGGATACATTTAGCACCTTAAATTCAAAAATATGATAAAAGCAAGCATTAATGAGGGTTTAAAAAAAGAGCCTTTTGCACTGACTTACATTTTTTATAGTACACATTTGTACACTTTGGTGGGAAACTTGAAAACTTCTGCCACAGAATAAATTTAATTCTATGTATCTGCCACAACAAAACCCAAGAACAGAAGCAGAAAGGGATATGTACAAAGATTGTCATAGAACAAGAAGTTGACAATATCAAACAGTCTTATAGTGGAAGAATGGACAAACTGTCGTATATTCATATAACAATTATATAGTGAAGTTGATATCTAAGTATTGTTATGGGTTGAACAGTGTTCCCCAAAAAGTAGTTGAAGTCCCCAATCCCATTACTCGTGAAGTTGACCTTTGCAAAAATAGGGGCTTTGCAGGACCATGTTAAAATGAGATCATTAGGGTGAGCCCTACTCTGATATGACTGTGTCCTCATACAAAAGAGAGATTTGGAAACAAATACACAGGTATCACACAGGTACCCTTTTTCCACAAGAATGCCTTGTGGACACTGGGGCTATGCTGCCACCACCCAGAACCTAGGAGGGAGGCCTGAAACAGGTCCTCCTTTAGTACTTTCAGAGAGATCAGGGCTCTGTCTACATCTTGATTTTGGATTTCCAGTCTTCAGAATCATGAGCCAATAAATTTCTGTTGGCTAAACCACTCAGTTTGTGGTCCTTTGTTATGTCAACTCTAACAAATGAATACAGGTATCAACATAGATAAACGTTTAAAGCATTAAAAAGAAAAATGCAAAAGAGTCATGAATATTACGTTTTTAAATATTTTTTTTACTAATGTCTACATTTGCAGTGAAACTACTGAAACACATATGCAAACAGGATACACCCACTTAAGGATGATAGTATATTATGGAGAGATTGTGAGAGAGAAGAAATTAACTATAGTCAGAATTTAACTATAGAAATTGTTATATCTCATTTAGAAAACAAAAGCATTTAAGCAAATGAGTGGAAATGTTTCTTATGTTTCAGCCTACTGCTAAGTACATTAGATCATTTTATGTAAGCTTTTGTTTCATCATTAAAAATACTATAGTTAAAAGTGAAACACAGAGACCACACATTACTCTATATTTTAAGGTCCAATGGACCCAGACACATATGTCAGCATTTCACATGCAAAGCCACCCATGACCATTATGCTGAGGGGCATAGATCCAGACCAATGTAAAATCTGGTAGACACTTGTTTCATTTTCAATTCCAAAGCATAATGGCAAATAATATGTGACAATGTGAAATACTATAAATATCTTTTCTCCATCTAATTATTAATCATATCAAACAATTAAACCTAGAGATAATTATAATACCAGCCCAATGTTTGGATTAAAAAATAAAAGTGACATACTTGCAGCTCAATTCATTTTTTTGACAGAATGAAGTCACCTACGCATTGACTTTCCCATTTAATCTCCCAAATGATTAGTTTGTTCACAATCTAATCCCAGAACAAAGTATAATATCCCTAAAGAACCTCAAAATAATTGTGGCAACTAATTCATCAGTACAAATCCTAAATTGCTTTTCTCTTTTATGCACTTTAACTTAAAATGGAAACATGAGTAGTACTTTGCCTCTTTAAGTAAAACATTATACAGTCTCAAAAGGGTATTCACGCACAAGAGGAAACATCTTTCCCATTTTGACTAATTCTTGGAACTTGAACAGGAAAACCTTATTCTTCAATACAGACCTTCTAATGATACTTCAAAGATTTACAAGCACCCTAGAGACTGTTGAGAAGTGCCCATTGTTACATGATAAAGCTGCCTCACAGAACAGGTGGCTTCAATCACTTTTGGATAAGTAGCTTCTTTCTGTGAGATATCTTGCATCACATACATTGACTGGTCAAAAAGAAATACTAGCTTTTTATTTTTTCATTTAAAAAAGAAATGAAAAAGGCCGTAACCATATTTGTTCTTACAATATGTTTTCAAGTATCTTCAAATAATCTTTTTTGATACAAGACATTTTAAATTGTTTTGGATTGAATATTTAAATACTATTCTACTACATTTTTACCACATTTTACAATCCCAATTATATACCAAAATAAACACAGTCCTTTTTCCTAGCCATTGATTATAGTAGGCTGTAGGTATATAGGTTCAAAGTTATATTTAAAAATAGAATTAATAAACATAGTTGTGGCACCTAAGTATGACATTCAAAGGATAGAATTACACTTTTATAACAATTAAACAGCAATATAATGTGAGTCAAATATGTCCTTGAGCAGGGTAAAGCTGTTTTATCAAAGTTAGTACAGCTATAACAAGTTTTTATAACTATAGTCAGGTGCTGTTAAAACTAGATTTTTTTGTAAACTTTCTATATAATAGCACTGACAAGGCAAGATTCCTAGAATAACCTAAATAGGCCTAATGTTGTGGTCAGATATTCATATATGTATAAATGAGCTATGAGATATGTTTACGAATGATTGTGTGTTGCCAATTAAGAGGAAGGATGAATGTGACTGCAAATGAGAAGAGTCTGTGAAAGCTTGGAAAAATCAGACATGGGCTATTGAGGTGACTGGCTGCTGCCAGAGGACCTTTTCTTCCTACTAGTTTAATTTTTAACATTTTCTTCTTTAAATGTCCAAAAAAGTCATATTATCTTGTTAGTTAAAGCTAATGTTTCATCTCTTTAAAATTATTTTGTGGGTGATGATGAAGTTTGGGCAGGTGGGGAAATCTATCCAGTAAATATTTTTAAATCATCAGAAGATCAGCAATAGAGAATAAATCAACAATAATGAATAAAATTAATTCCATTGAAAAGTTTCATGGACTTTCAGCTTTTCTTCAAAATGTTATTGATCATGCCTGTACATTTTATTGGTAAGTTGTGTTTAACCACTTCAGAGATTACTATTTGGTGTGGTGGGAGTTAAAATTTATAACCAATTTCAATTTCTGTACAATTTTTTAAATGCAAATAGATTAACGCATTTATTTTCCTATGAGACATTTAACATGTATAACAAATGTGAAATAGATTAACACACCTATTCCTAACACAATTGAGAAGGTAATTCATATACAAATGTTATTTTAAATGCTGAGATATGTTAGAAAACTTATTTTGTAGTGTTCTTTAAGTTACATAAACACACACACTCCAGCGAAGGACAGAGAAGGGTAGTTACTCTAAGTAAACTTGTGATGGAGACTGATTATTGCTAATAAATAAATAAATAAATTAGCTAGCTCAGCTAAAATACCAAAAAAAAAAAAAAGACAAACATCCTATGGCTGTTGGAATGCATAAATTAAAAATCAGAAAGTAAATGTGTAAACATTCACTTAAAGCATAGTGTCAGTTTCCTTGAATGCAAGCAAATAAACTAAAATGTGTAATGTTTGTCCTTAAATTTGAAAGAACTAAAGCAGAAATGATAAGGAAATTAGTGTATTCAAAAGATTCATAGCTAAAAACAGTTTCTGCACTGTATTAAATATGTATTCTATTTAGCATCTTTAACACTCTAGGTACAATAACCTAAACTTAATTGAAAAAAGAAGACGAAGAAGAAAAATCCTCCAAAAAGAAGAAATTGTGCTGACTTGGTCAGCATTCTTTTTCTTTCCTATGTTTTCCATTTTCACTGAGTAAAAGTTTCTAGGAACTTCTTTCTTCAATCTTTGTCCATATAAACAATGGTTTTAGTGACTCAGAATTATTATAAGTTAAATGCACACAGTTTGGCAAATATTTGCTTCCATGGATAATCATTTTTTGATACTCGTAATGTAAGCTGTTTTTCTCTTGAATTTTACTATACCAGCACACATAAAAAGTTATACCTACTTAAAAATCCTAATTAAAATATTCAATAAAAATAATATGCTCTTGTTTATGTGTAGAAATTATAATGGAAAGTTAACACAAATCTACATAAATCACTAAATATTTCACTAAGCAATACATTTTGTAAACATGTTTTTACAATCTGTCACGTCTTTTTTTCCAAGATATGTGAAAATAAATTAAGGTTAAGATTTTTAATTCTCCAACTCTTTAGGTCAATGAAACTGCCGTGGGCCACAGGTTGGACCAGCTTGCTCTAAAACAATAATTGGTCACAGAGAGAACCAAGGAAAGACAGTCTCCCAATAAACAGAAACACCTGAAATTGGTGATCAGCAGCATCCTGATAAGATCTCAGGAGCTGGGTAAGTGGACTTAAGCACGTTCATTAAGAAGCAAAGTAGCAGAGTTCATCTGGTATATGACCTTCTAGGGACATTCAGCTGGTAAGGGAAGAATGTCTCAAGTAAGCATGTGTACAACTCCAGTAAACACACCGCACATGCTCCCCCGACCAGTGCTAGTAGTCCACTGTGCTTGTGGATAGCCCACCCCAAGGGAAGAATCAGGGGAGAAGGGATGCAAGACCCTGGAAGCATGCCAACACATAAAACCCTAAGTCAAATGTCAAACCAGGCAGTTGATCTGTCAAGTCACCCACTTTTCCCTCTTTCAAGTGTAGTTTATTTTCTTTCATTCCTGCCCTAAATCTTGCCTAGGTCTCTCCTTCTGCCTTATGCTGCCTCGGTTGAATTCTTTCTTCTGAGAAGGCAAGAATTGAGTTTGCTGCAGACCCCTACGGATTTGCTGCCACTAATAATATGAATTGTGGGCCAGGCACGGTGGCTCACGCCTGTAATTCCAACACTTTGAGAGGCCAAGGCGGGCGGATCACCTGAGGTTGGGAGTTCGAAACCAGCCTGACCAATGTGGAAAAACCCCGTCTCTACTAAAAATACAAAATTAGCCGGGCATGGTGGCGCATGCCTGTAATCTCAGCTACTGTGAAGGCTGAGGCAGAAGAATCGCTTGAACTCAGGAGGCGGAGGTTGCAGTGAGTCGAGTTCGTGCCATTGCACTCCAGCCTGGGCGACAAGAGCAAAACTCCATCTCTAATAATAATAAATAATAATAATAATAATAATATGAACAGTGTTGGTCCTATGCAATGGTCCTCAGCAAATATGGAAGAAAGGTAATTTATTCAATGAAAAATCTTTTTAGTTGTGTACAAAAAGTATAGATCAGAGTCAGATGCCTACTAGACAAATGTCAATGCATGAAAAAGGCTATGACTTGTTCTATTTAAAGGCAAAGAATAGTGTAAATGCTGTAAGGTAACTTTGCCACAGAGATTTCCATAGATTCAACAGCTTCTAGAATGTACACATTATACATGTGAGTCTATCAGATAATGTAACTGCTCAAAATTGCATCCTGACACTTAGAGTTTTTTGAGAAAGAGTCCATCTGCTTCCACAAATTTCAAAGTGGATGAAACCAGTATGTTTTGGAAATTGATGCCTATTATAACTTAAATTGACCTGACAGAACAGCAAAAGTTCAGTTTAAAACTTTAAAGCACAGACTGCAAGTACTATTTAGTGGAAGTGCATTCAAAATTGCAAACTTTATCCTTTCTTAGTCATGCTGAAGAAATGGGTTATGAATAGCCTTTTGGGAATTAACTTATTTTTAAGTAGAGAGATGCCTATGTTAGTCCTCTTTTCTTTCTCACCTCTGACTCTCTCTCTTTCTCTTTCATACAAATACACATTTTATGAAAATTATATTTCTGCTTGGCACGGTGGCTCACGCCTGTAATCCCAGCACTTTGGGAGGCCGAGGCGGGCAGATCACAAGGTCAGGAGATCGAGACCATGGTGAAACCCTGTCTCTACTAAAAATACAAAAAATTAGCTGGGAGCAGTGGCGGGCGCCTGGAGTCCCAGCTACTTGGGAGGCTGAGGCAGGAGAATGACGTGAACCTGGGAGGCAGAGCTTGCAGTGAGCCAAGATTGTGCCACTGCACTCCAGCCTGGGAGACAGAGAGAGACTCCGTCTCAAAAAGTAAAATAAAATAAAATAAAAATAAATAAATAAAAATACAAAACTAAAAAATGAAAATTATGTTTCTTTCTTCTTGTTAGTGGGAAATCACCTAAATTTTAGTTTGCACATCAATTTACTAGAGTGCACACAAGCAAACAGCTGGACATCAGGCCTGTCCTTTCTTATTCCTTGCTAGATGTTCTCTCTAGTTCTTGAGAATACTTATCATAAATATTGATCATTTCTTAGTGGTTGCTAGAAGTAACTTCTCATAAGGAACGCTGATCTGCTTACAACTCAGGTAATTAGTGTAGATTTATTTTAACACTGTGAGGAAGCAATATCAATGCATTCATAAAATCATTGATACATGCAAGAGAAACAGTAAACAATATTCTGAACTTTGTTTCTATTTCCTTTTTTAACTTATTAGAAAATAATTTTATTTCAGTAACATTACTATGTAATGACAAATGTGACACACATAAAGAAAAAAAGCAGATGGTACAATTTAGTGCACTGTCATTGACATTTAACTCTTAACAATCACTGCTCAATCTAACCTTCATTGGCCCAGACTTGATTAGAATGAATTTAAATACAAATGCCCTGAACACATAGGATCGGTTTTCTTAAATTCTGAAGAGTTATTAACATTGTTAAAACATTATGCCCATAGTAAGAACAAAAACTGAGTCCCAAACTCGTTTCTTACACATTTTATAGTTGTACATCTTTATTAACTAAATTTGAAATATTTTTCCCCTTCTGTTCAAGTAAACATCAGATTTCAGAAGCCATTCACAAGTACATTATTTTTTCTACTTAAATGGACAGTAGAAGATCCCAGAAGGAAAGTTGTGGGGAGAGAGAAACTTGTTAAAAGAACTTTGAATCCGTATGAATAACTAGTTCGCAAATTTGCTTGAAAATGGGTGCATTCAGAATGAATGCCCTAACAGTGCTCTGCTAGCCTGTCAGTGGAAGAAAAAGGAATTTCTATTGCAGAGGCAGATCTCTACTGTATTTGCCTTCCTTGGCCGATTTCACAGCATTAATTACTGCAGTTTTATTTCTGAACCCTTCTTTACTCTGTTCTTCGATTTTTTTTTTTTCTTCACAGGAGTGGAAGAAAAGGAAACAGTAGTATAATCTGCCATATTCTAAGCATTCTAAGCATAATGTAGAAGCTGATCTATTGTCTCCAATTTGTTAAAGACCAATAAGAAGAAAAACTATGCACTTTGTTTTAGAATCATTGATGAAATGTTAATGCTGATTAGTGTGTCACAACAAGACTGTCGTATTTTTAACCAATCTCACATGCTGCTTAATTTATGATAGGAGTGCTTGAAGGAAGCCAATTAATTAATGAATCTTGGAAATGTTTAATTAAATTTCTAATCAACATAAAAGGTGCATGAGAACACAATTATTTTAGTGAAATATTAATCTATCAAAGGATATCAGTTGTAAGTGGAAAAATCATACAAAATAAACATATACACACACACACACACACATACACATTGCTATTAGCTGATTTGTAATATGTCACCTATCCACTTTCCCAGAGGTGATTAGTAATACATGAAAATTTTCTTTCTGTTTCAATCCATGGAAGTAAGTTGATATACTTGAATTCATCCTTTCATTCCTTTCTATCT
Organism: Homo sapiens; assembly: GCF_000001405.40. NCBI lineage: Eukaryota > Metazoa > Chordata > Mammalia > Primates > Hominidae > Homo > Homo sapiens. Next base: position 65,456,887 of record NC_000004.12, read on the forward strand.
AATTAAAGTGCTTAGTGCCTGAAAATTCATACCTCCAAGAGTTTATTTGCTATCTCATTGTAGCAATGAACATTATATGCATTATAAATATCATTGTTTTATTAGGGTATAATGCAAATCTGCATAACTAAAAAGACAGAAATGATAACCTGAGAACTGACCTCCTTATACTTAAAAGCAGGAAAAAAAAATAGACTTTTAATAAGCTACACATACTTTCAATTGTGAACTGAAATAAACATACTGCGTTAATTCCTCCAGTAAGAATGAGTGGGAGAAAAGGAACATTGAGCTGCACAGGAAGAGACTGCATACTGTTTTTGTTAATGGGATTTAGTTCAGTGAAGGCTGGCTGGGTTATTTACAGTCTTCTACTTAGGCTTCTAGTGACTTCTGTGACTTTAGCAAGTTACTTAAACTTGGTGTCCTCGCCTGTTAACTGGGGAGACACTATACCTACATCATAGGATCATTATAAGCATTGAATGATTTGATTGATAAAAACCAACTATAAGTTATACCTTAAATAAGTAATAAGCAAACTATAAGTTATACATTAAATAAGTAATTCCTTTTCCCCTATTCTTCCACTATGGAACATATTTCTCTTTAATTTGAGAATATATTATATTTATGTGAACCAGTATTTGCTAAGAATTGCTTAAAGGTATACATCTCAGATGAGGTGTCAAGAACTCAAAATTTGAAATAAATACTTTTTCTATATATATAATTATTTCTATACATATTATCTTTTTCTAAATTATTACTTTTTGGTCAATGAAGAGTCGTGTAGCATAACACAGTAGTTTTCTAAGCACAGCTAAGCACCTACTACACCAGAATCAACAAGTAAAATTATTCGGAGTGTAGATATTATGGCTAATGCTGTTTCTGTTATATCAGGTGGCTGATTTTGCAATGCCAATATAACATATAAATGTATGCTACTTAGATTTATTTTTAAAGATTGCTTAAGAATAACTTTTTTTCCTAGCTAACAGGGTGAAACCCCGTCTCCACTAAAAATTCAAAAAGTTAGCCGGACTTGGTGACTGGCGCCTGTAGTTCCAGCTACTCGGGAGGCTGAGGCAGGAGAATCGCTTGAACCCGAGAGGCGGAACTTGCAGTGAGCCGAGATTACACCACTGCACTCCAGCCTGGGTGACAGAGCGACACTCCATCCCAAAAAAAAAAAAAAAAAAAAAAAAAGAGTACCTTTTTTGAAGGAAGTTTTTATACTAAGATAATTGACAATATACATATTCAGTGTAAGATATTTTTGCATTTCAAATTATTCTTTGCACTTATTTTATCTCAAAAATGTGTGAAGCAAAATTTAGTTTCATACGAAGAAATTGTAATGGCTCTTCAATGCATAGAGAATTAAATGAAATATTTATATTCTAGTATTGAAGCCCTCCAAAATCTTATATCAATTTACCTTTCCAAACATATCATCCCTTATACAGCATGAACTAGACCATTCTAAATCTTTTATGCATCTTTGACAATGCTACTTCTCTGCCTTTACTCAATATGTTTCCATAACTCAACATGCTCTTTTCCATCTTAGCATGTCCAAATCCTACACACAATTGATGACCTTATTCAACTGTCTCCTTAATGAAATCTTTTGAGTGTCTCATCTGGAAATAATCACTGTTTCTTCTTAATGTTCACATTAATTTATTAATCTTCCTAATAAACCTACTTTTAACTTTATCTTAGAGTTACTTGTATCCATATGTAATTCCCATATTAAACTGTACACTCATTGAAGACAGAAATTTTGATTCATTTCTATTTTTCAAGTATTACCTACAATAGTACCTTTCTAATAGTAGGTATTCAAAATTATTATATAGTACATGTATAAATAGAAACAAGCCTACAGTAAATATTACCTGTTATTAATTTGTTCAATAATTTAGTGAACCGTTCATTTACAAGATTTATTTATGCTCCATTTGGCTCCATTTAGAATTTGAGATGAATATCGTCATTAAGAAGGCAAGTTAACATATTCATTAATATAAATCAAAATATCTTTCTCTTTTATTAATTTTAAGTGCTTAGTCACACAGTGATGATGCATGTGAATTTTCACACCTGTTATTTTTTGAGAGTAAGAATCAATTGCATTTTCACATTCTAACACCTGCAAACAAGATAAGCAAGAAATGCATAAGCAGAAATCTGAATTATTATGTTTCTTTCCTCTGAAGTTTAAACTGGGGCCAATTTGTGTTACACACATTCAAGGGATGTAAGGACCATACTCAATACTTAGTTTAGTTCCTAATTCAAATAGGATATTGAAATAAAGTAAGGTAAGTAACACATCTTAATAATGGGCTTCAGTTTAAATTTTCTGATCTGGAACTGGCAAATTATTGTATCTCATCAATAACATGGAAACTAAAGGAAAACAAAACAACAATTTCAAAAGTTAATCCAGCTTTATGGGAAACTACTTTTCCATTATTTATCACAATCTATTTCAGTTGAGATAAATAATGCACAAATCACTGTTCTTTTTGAGGATTTTAATATATCTTAGTATATATATAAATACTTTCATTTACTATTGCATATGGAAAGTAGGAATAATTAGTTGAATAAAAGGCTATCCCTTTTACTGTGTCAGTGGTCTGAACTGTAACTTGACATACACAGATTTACCTCTAAGGCATGATTACTGTCAATTTTTCTTCTCTTTTCTCACATACTGAAACTCATACCAAGAACATATATAGAGTAATAATATACATGTGTTTATTAAAGCTATTTACCATTACAAAATTTTCCAAACATGGAAACAATAAAATGAAACCTAAATTTTTATATTTATGCATTTCAGTCTCTCTTTTGTTAGAATGGAAATGAAACATTAAAGCCAATGAGTCAATATGGGAGACAGTAATTTTTATAAAGGAAATCTAAAAAAGAAGATAGTTAAAATCAGCAAATGAAAGAAAAGCTAATGAAAAATATTGATTGATTATAAAATATTCAGTTATCCAATAACTGTTTAGTACATTAAAAAGGAGAAAAATGTGTACTAGTGCTAATGCTGGGTATAGGGAACCCTATTCAAACCATATTTTGAAATAATCTACCCTTAATATTAAATTAGCTTTGAATCTCGACGTGAGAAACTGGAAAATAATGCATTCTTGACCTTTCTTTCCAATTTGATTTCTGTTGTAATCTAATGTAAAGATAATTAAGGACACTTTTATTTTAAAATTATATATACACATATATGTACATGTATTCTGCTGATGGAAATATATATAGGAAATTTAAATATATATAGGGAACAGAATTATGTTAATGTATGTAGAATTTTAATATTATATAGTCTCAAGTTTCAAAACCATATTTACATTACTATATATTCATATTTCTAAATGTGAATTTAACTGTCTGAATGAAGATAGCTAGCCATAGTTTGAATCTCAACTTCACCTTCAACTATACTATTAAAACATTATTTAGTTTCCTTATGTCTCAGATTTTTAGCTTTGAATGAAGACTCTACATAGGAATACTAGATAATTAAATGAGAAGTTAATGTAAATAACTTAGTTTTGTGCCTGGAATATACTAAATACTCAGTAACTATTATTTATAAGTAATGACTTTTTAAGGTTAACATCCATAAAAAGTAAAAAAGTCAAAAGTATATTTAAATATTTTATATAATATATAGGCATTTAAAATATAGCAATATTACTCATTGTCTTAGTAGATAGGCAGGTAGATAAAAATTAGAGACTTCTAAGTGTTCACAGTAGTTTTTTCAATTGATTTGTATGTATTTGACATTTGGGAATTAATTAGCCTAAAGAAGTGTTTCTCTCATTGAAACTGTAATGGTGAAAAGGATTTGTATGTGTGTTGGTATATGCTTCAATGTACGTGTGTGTTTGAGGTGAATGAGGGGAGATAGAGAATTATTTTATACCACAGTGATTTTTATTATAGATAGTAGTTTAATGATTTTTCTTACAGATTTTATATTTAATCACTGCACAATAATTTAATGTGGTTAATCATCAAATTGCTATTAGTGTCATGGATTGTATGTGTGATAAAATAACCATAACACTGGAAATAAACAAAAATTTACTATAAATATTCCACATGATCACTACACTTTCATTTAAATCATAAATACCCTCATAATTACATACCATAACACTAAATTTTAACATTTTGAAATCTGTCTTCACCTAACAACAAATCAGCAATTAGCAATAAGAGAGTTATTGTAAATGTACACCTAGCAACCAAGACTAAACTTAAAGTCTAAAAACTAGACTTGCTTGTGATGAAGACTTTAAGTGAAGAACAGATCCAGTCACTATCTGTGATTTAATATTATGTTTCCATTTGGCTATACAATCTTGATGTTCTTGTTTGTTTTATTTTTATGCAGTTTATTCACATGTATTAAAAGGATGTCACTGTAAATCACTGAAAAACAGAAAATTTATATTACTGTAAATCTAAATATGTAATGTTGCCGTTCTCTTAAAGGACTTCCAATTTGCTCTAACATATTTTCGATATACAAATTTACTACCATGTAACAGGTAAACTAATAATTTCCTCAGCATTATCTTTTGCTATTTTAGAAAGTATTTATTTTACTATATTCTTCATACAAAAATTCCATGAAAACATATCACAAAAGAGCAGATTAATGGAGGACGTAGAAAAAGAAAGACTATTAATCAAGCTATCTAGCTTATAAAGCTGTAAGTCATGACTTTCATAAAAGATATATAAACCTTGCAACCTCAGAAGTAAAATGACACATTTAATGGGTACAGCAAAACTTCATTAACAGCTACAAAAATGGGGCACATTTGAAACCATGATGTATCCAAAGAGCTGTTTCTTAAGCTTTGAAATATAGACATGAAAATATTGTGAAATATAAAAAGGAGAAAAATGAGAACAAAAGCTAATGAGGAAATATTATCATAAAAGAAACCCAGGTCAAGTCTACAGAGATACAATAACAGAATATAATTGATATTGAATCATTATGCAGTTAACCAAGCAGAACATGCCGTCTACTGGAGAAATCAAGCATATGCACACATTAGATTATAAAGAGATAGTAGACAGATTGATAGGCAGATAGATAGAATAGAATATTAATACATAATTAATACAGGGCTATTGGAGAAGTGTAGTCTTTTACATTTTAGGAATCGTCTGTGTTGATTTCCGAATTATCATCTTTTGAGCACTAATGTGGTCACGGGACACTTCTCAAGCCAAATTCTTTAGGTTCAAATTCTGAATTCTTTACCTACTAGCTAAATACAAGTTTCTTAGATTATTTATATATTGTCTTTCCCCTCAGTAAGAAGAACAATTATAAAAATGATAGAATAATTTTTATTTTATTCTCCAAGTATTGCTAGGCATTTTGCAAGTATACCATGATATTGACTATTTATTTACCAACTGCTGTAATGAAACTGCTCCCAAATTTGATGACAGAAAAACCACTGTTTATTCTCACAATTCTAAACATTGATGGGGGGGTCTTCTCCTGGTCTTGACTAGATTCATCCACAGGTCTGTATTCATCTCAAAGACTAGCTGGGCACTAGGCTTGTCCAAGATAGCCTCCTTCAGGAGTCTGGGGCTTCAGTGGGGGAGGCTAGAGTGACCAGATGACCTGGTCAGGGCACTCCCTCTCTCCACATGCTCTCTCATCTTCCAGGAAGCCAGAAGAAACTTTTTCAGATAGTGGTGGTCTCAACGTTCCAAGAAGGTGGAAGAGGAAGCCACAGATCTTTAGAGGCATTAGCAATAGAATTTATACATCCCTTCTACAACACTCCATTAAACAAATAAAGTGACAAGGCCAGCCCAAATTCAGGGTTGGAGAAACAGACTCTAACCTCATGATGAAAGACCTTTAAAGGTATCTGGCCATATTTTTATACCCTACTATATGCATTATTTTTGTTCTGGGAACTGGATACTTAAACAGAAATCCCTATCTCTGAATAAAAGCAGAATGACATAAACTCTTTACTTAGGTCTCTAAAGAAATTTATGATTAACAAATGCAATCTTCAGAATATAACTTAAGCTTAATGGCCATGATCTATAAATTCTGTTTAAAGTATTTTTCAAAAAGGTAAGTATGTAGTACACTGACATAAGTATTGGTCTATATTAAAACTGTATCAATAACATCTTTTTTTAAAGTGGAAAATATCTCTCTACTACTTTGCCACTTACAATATATGTGTTCCTGTGTGATGCAAGTTTGTTCATTTCATATCCAAGCTGGCTTTTTATTTGCAAAGCCGTTCAGCACAGATGACTCTTTAATTGGGTATTTAATAGTGACATTCACAAGGTAAAATCTTATGAAGTATATCTCTTATAAGGTTATATTAGGCATGGAATTTGTGGTTTCTATGATATCAGTGAAGTAAATCATTTTGTTCAAACTGGATTTTAGTTACTTAAAATGTTCCAGTCATGTGTTTTAGAAAATGATTCTACAAAAGTTATGAGAAAGATCACTACTGTTAATACAGGCTCTTCAAAGTAATAGAAAACTCTTTAAATCAGCATTGTACTGTTATAAGAGAATAAACCCAAAGATATCAACAAAGTAAAATCTGAAGATCACTAAATAGGGATTCCAAACCACTCTATTACAGTATCGCACCTTGCAGTAATTGTGTTGCCTTTAACAAGTACCTCATTTTCTACTGTCCTCATTTAAGTATAAGTTCATTCAGATGTCAAAAAAAATATTGTCTACAAGGTGAGTCATACAGAAATCATAGTTTTTCTCTTGTCATGTAGTTATTTTTTTGCACAATATTTCTCTTGCCATGACTGGGAATACATTTGACATTTAATATTTTGCCAGAAAATGAATGCTTATATACATAGAGATCCTGAGATAGGGAAATAATTTTTTAAAACTATAGTCAAAACTCTAGTGTAGACCTCAAAGCTGATTTAGTAATTTGGTAAAAATGTGTCCTGACTCTTAAAATCTATCTAAAAATTTTATTTTCAATAATTAAGACTAAGCATTTCTTCTATTTGTCCTACACTAAAAAATAAATAAATAAATATTAAGACTACAACAAGAGGAAATTTTTTTTTGGAGACCTCAAAGCCTTGTCTTTCATCCATTCAAAGAAGAACAAAAAACTGTAGTACCAGAGTAACATGAAATATAAAAAGAAACTCCAAGCATGTACAAAATAAAGTAATAACTTTATTTTGGGAAGTGTAGGAGTTCACAAATTTGAATTGACCCTCAATTTTACTCATTATAAATAACTAGGCTTCAAAACCCATCAAAGTTCCCATATGTAGCTTGTTTTCTACAAATTCTTTTTTCTATTTGGAACCACTTTAAAATTACTGACGTGCCTACAAAATTTAAATAAAACAACAAAAAGAAGAAGATATGTGATACTTGGCTCAGGAGATTGATAAGGCAACACAAAGGAGAAGCAGGCACTTTTATTTTAAGGCACTCAATTAACCTACTTTAATCTAAATAGATAATAATTTACACAATATTATAAAGAACCAGAAAATCAAACGTTGTGATAGTTTTGCCTAACAGTAATTTTGATGTAACAACTTGTAAAATAATTACTGGTAAGATTGAATAATGTACACATGATAAAGCACATTTATTAAAATCATTTTAAAAATAAATTAAGCAGGACTATTTAAAACATAGACATGATGACCAAGGGGGAATGTTGACAAAATTTTAATAATTCTATCTGGAAAACAAAGTTGCTTTAGGGTGACTGAAATGTTAGAAATAATTAGTATTAGTATTTAGAATAAATCAGTTTCAATTGATAAAATTAAAAATACGAATTTGGCTATTAGATTAGATACTGAAGTTTTTTCTCATTTTGGAATTAATAGCATTTAAATGAATTACATTCATTTATTTATTCATTTAAAATATTTATAAATACCTATTATATGTTAAAACAGTACTAATCACTAACAATTCAGTCATTAACAAAATATGGATAATTTCTGTTCTCAAAGAGCTTATAGCATAGTAGAAGAGACAAATAAGAACATTACAACAAAGTTATGTAAGAGTGATGAAATTTCCAGAAAATTGAAATTTCCAGAAAATTGAAATAAGACATCTATCTCAGATTTAATTATTCAAAGACAGCTTCCCGAAAGGAGTCATATTAGCTGGTAATAGAAATTGAGTAAGAGAAGCCAGGAGCGGTGGCTCACACCTGTAATCCTAGCACTTTGGGAGGCAGAAGCAGGCGGTTCACAGGGTCAGGAGTTCAAGACCAGCCTGGTCAAATAGTGAAACCCCGTCTCTACTAACAATACAAAAAATTAGCCGGGCGTGGTCGTGGGCACCTGTAATCCCAGGTACTAGGTAGGAGAATCGCTTGAACCCAGGAGGCAGAAGTTGCAGTGAGCCGAGATCGTGCCATTGCACTCCAGCCTGGGCAACAGGGTGAGACTCCATCCCCCCACCCCTCTAAAGAAAGAAAGAAAGAAAGAAAAGAAAGAAAAAGAAAGAAAGAAAGAAAGAAAGAAAGAAAGAAAGAAAGAAAGAAAGAAAGAAAGAAAGAAAAGAAAGGAAAGGAAGGAAAGGAAGGAAAGGAAGGAAAGGAAGGAAAGGAAGGAAAGGAAAGAAAGGAAGGAAAGGAAGAAAGAAATTGAGTAAGAGCTCACCAAACAAAAAGCGGAAATAATAGGAATATGACAGATGTTGCCCATACGGGTTCCCCTGCTGTTGGACTATGTAGTAGTAGTATCTTTCAATATGAGATAGCAGATAATTTAAGAATGAGGAAAAGATCCCCGCTTTAGCTCCATAAAAGAGCAAAATATAACCTGGAATTTCCTAAGAAAAAAATACCCATTTGTAAAATGATACAGAATCTATAATGTCATACATTCACTCGTTCACTCATTTTTTTGAAAATATCAAGTATTTTCTGTGTGTACACACAATTCTTGGCATTTGACGATACTTCAGTAAACAAATTATACTATCCTGCCCTAATAGAACTTACATTCTCACACTTTCAAGGACAAACAAAAAAAGACATAAAAATTAAGTAAATCATATAGTGTTAGAGGGTAATATGTGCTGTGACAAGAATATCGTTAAATGGGATAGGAAAGGTTAGGGTGAGAGAGGTTGTATGTGTGCATGTGTGTGGGCATGTGTGCCCACGTGTGTACACATATGCACATAACTTTAAATAGGATGGTCTGAAAACACTTTTGAGAATGTTTGAATGAAAGGTAACAATAATGCCAAAGTTGGGAGAAATGTGGATATTTTAGAAAAGATGGTTCTCGGCAGACATAAAAACAAGCATAGAAGTCCTGAGACTGAAACAGTCCTGGAAAGTTCAATGATTGGCAAAAAAGGCAAATGTACCTGGTAAAGTGAGTGAGTGAGAAAGCATTGGGAGACGAGGTCAGTCAAATAAATGATAAAGTTCCAGAACCTGTAGGACTATGTCTCCCATTCTGAGTAAGATGGCGAGTCATTAGAGGGTTTTGAGGAGGGAAGTATCGTCATTTGACACATTTTAAAGAGATCCCTGTGGCTGCTGTATTAAAAATAAACTGTAGAGATCCAAGAGAGAAAATAAGGACATTCACCAGGGGACTGTTGCAATCTAGTTATGACATAATGGTGGTTTGGATCAAGGTGTTAGCAATGGAATGGATGACAAACTACTGAATTACAGCTATATTTAGGTGTAGAATAGTTAGAATTCACTGGATGATTAGATGTGGGATGTGAGGAGAAAAAGCATCAAAAGTGTTTCCAAGATTACCGAAGCTCTTAAACATTACCTGGGAATATCTGATTGTAAGCATAGACTCCTCATCCATGTGGCTCCTTTTCTTTAAGTTTTTATAGGCCGAAAGTCCTGTTATTAAAGTCAGATACTTAGGATGGAGGCATCCCTTCTGTAGCATTTCCTTTTCGTTCTACACAAGCCACCCCACTGCACTTGAGCATATAGTTGTCCCACATGAATTTCCCACATCTGGGAACAGAAAGCAAGAAATGAGACACAGAAAAAGTGATAGCCCCTTAATTACCATTGGGACAAAAGAAGTGGTTATTTAAAAATACACAAGAAAGATGGCAATAAAGCAGAATGAAACCTGACTCTTTTATTTGTCTTCCAATGGACCACCTCCATAACAAACCAAAGTACAAAGAGATTACTTTGTTTTCTACTCAGCAGAATGAGCAAGGAAAAAAGATAGGGTGCCAGCCAGTCAGAATGACATATATAAAGACCAGAAAGCAAAAGAGAGTTTGTCTGCTCAGAGAATAAACCAGTCATTATGATGATTAAAGGTATTCCAACAGTGGTAGATTTATTGCAAAACTGGCCCCAATTCTCCACCCCTGTCAATTTCTAGGCCATTTGTCATGTGATTTTTGTAGCTTCTCCCATTAAGGGTGGAATACTTGGATTTCCCACCATTTGAATCTGAACTGATCTTTTGACTAATTACAGCCAGTAGAAAGTAGTGCATGTAATGACATGCTATTTCTCTTAGTAACTTGACTTTACAAGAGACAAGCCTGAGCCAGCCTGCTGCAGGTTGAAAGACCATAAGGAGAAAAATTCAGTTATCTCAACGAAAGCCATCCTAAATCAGTCAGTGTGCTGATCTTCAGATGCCTAAGAGAGTCTAGATCACTTCCACAGAGCCATTGTTGTAGGCATAATAATGGCCCTCCAAAGACGTCTGTTTACTAATTCACAGAACATCTGGATATGTAACATTACATGACAAATGGGAATTAAAGTTGCAGATAGAATAAAGTTTGCTAATTAGCAGACAGGAAAATTACCCTGAATTATCTGGGTGGGCCCAATGTAATAACAAGGGTAAAAAGAAGTGAAGAGGGGGGCTGAAGATGAGGTCAGGGCGAAGCAATGTAAACATTTGAGCCATCATTGCTAGCTTTGAAGGTGGAAGAAGAGGACCAGCAGCCAAATGCATCTTTCCTCTAGAACCTAGAAAGGATAGTAAATGAATTATGCCCTAGAACCTCCGAAGAGAAACACAGTCCTGCTGACACCTCGATTTTAGTCAGAGAAGATACTACTGGACTTCCAACTTACAGAATTTATGATAATAAATCCATGTTGTTTAAGCCACAAAGTATGTGGTAATTTGTTACAGCAGCCATAGGGAATAAATGTAGTTACCTATCCAACCTGCATCTGGCTGTATATACATATTTATCAAGTAAGCCAGCTGAGGAAACATGGAACACCTAATAGATATATAGACACATGAGCAAAAATAAATGGTTATTGTTTTAGGTCACTGAGCTTTTGAGATGGTTTGTTACATATCACATAGCCAAGCATGCTTTTGGAATAAAATGTCACAATATATATTTTTTCAAAGTGAGAAAGATTCTAGGGCAGAACTTTGAGTAATAGAAATCTATAAATTGATGAGAAATATAAAATAATTTATAAAATAAACTGGAAAAATAGCCAGGGGGGAGATATATATCATACACACATATGGTATGTATACACACACACACACCTACACATATATACAGACACACACCTTTATATATATATATAATATATATATTATATATTATATATATATATGTAAAATATATATAATATATATATTATATATATTATATATATATGTAAAATATATATAACATATATACATATATATGTAAAATATATATAACATATATACATATATATATAAAATATATATATATATAAAACAAGGTTTGGATGTTCCAGAAGCAAAGGTTATGATTCATGAAGACAGCTTAAGTACTAATAGACAAGCTTTCACAAAACGCTTATGAACTAACACAAAATTACACAAAAATACTGCATGTGGGCAAGAAAACATGCTAAGATTTAATCCCTAAATCCATTCCATTTACTCTCCATTTTGTCACAGTTACAAAGTTTTGATGGGATTGACTCTACATCTGGGGCCCTGTGGAGTTCCATGGGGAAGTCTGTGGGGAAGGAGCCAGCTTCATCACAGTGATAGGTTTTGTGGTAAGCACTATCTTAAACGGGCCCTTGAGTGTGAAGTCTAGGACTTTTAGCTGATGAACGGAGGAAGAGAAGTTTCCTTTCCTTCTGGATGATGTGGTATGCATATGTGAAGTCTGTAATTGCTCCAGCCATTTTGCTATTATGGTAGAACTTCAGCTTGAGGTAAAGTTGGTGAAGAAGAAGGTCAAGTTCTGCAAATTTCAGAAATGAAGCCAGACCCATAATCAAAGTGTTCCTGGAACTGGTGATTTTCAATGATAAAATATATTCTCTGTATTGTTTAAGTACATTCTGGTTAAATTTATGCTACTCGCAGCTTCTAGACTGCTGTAGGGTCAGAAAACTATGAATTTAAATCTCTGGCCTATTAACTAGGGTGCGAAATAGGTATTCAAGTTATGTATTCCAAATGATTAGTATGAGGTGTAAAATGATGATGAGTAATGCTCTTTATTGTTTGTATTTTAGAAAGTATTAGTAAAAGGTGATTTATATAGGGCAATTAAAAACAAAAACAATGTTCAAAGTAGAAGAAAGCTGAGACACCTTTAGCATCTCAGAGCAAAAGGGCAGAGTTGGACGCCAGCAAGGAGTATAAGGGCCACTTAATAGCTCTTTGGAAAGAGGATCAGATTCAGGAGAAAAACACAGATTTTGTCTCTGTTTCTAATTTAACACAAAAAAATTAGATATTTCTGTAATAAATGTACTTAACATATCCATATAAAATTTAGGACAATTTGGCATGTTGTAATACATTTTTTGCTATAATCATCATCATTATCAGCATAAAACAAATTTAAAGAATATGTAAGAATTTTAAGATGAATCTGGATTAAATATCTTAAAAATCTGTTCACTTAGTAAGAAAAAACATGTATACACTACTGTGTGCGCACAAAAATTGTTAGAAGATAAATAAAATAAAAGTTCATAGCCACCTCCCCCAGAAAAAGCCAAAATAGCCATTAGGCTTTAAAAAAGAAAAGAAAATCAAAGGAGAGTAGATTGCTATTAAACCAGAGTCTAGTTGAACCATTAATGTGATACCCTAACAAAATAAACAAGAGTTATTTTCCATGACATTCATGGTTAGTCTTTATAATAAAGTTAATACAATGTTGAGCCCAGGAACTTCATCTCATGTGGCAGTAACTGAAGAAGTCTGTGAAGAGTTTTCTTTTTCTTTCTTTGTTTTTTTTTTTTTTCTTGAGACAGAGTCTCGCTCTGTCACCCAGGCTGGAGTGCAGTGGCATGATCTTGGCTCACTGCAACCTCTGCCTCCAGGTTCAAGTGATTATCCCACCTCAGCCTCCCGAGTAGCTGGGATTACAGGTGTGTGCCACCATGCCTGGCTAATTTCTATATTTTTACTAGAGACAGGATTTTACCATGTTGTCCAGGCTAGTCTGAAACTCCTGGCCTCAAGTGATCCATCTGCCTCAGCCACCCAAAGTACTGGCATTACACGTGTGAACCACCACACCTGGTGAAGATTTTCCTAAATATATAATAGTAGAACATGTATTTTATCTGCTGTCTTGTAATAACCATGTACATGAATACCATCTCTCTCTATTAAAGATAGCACAGTGACATATAGAGTTGGATATTTTTCTTTAAAGGCGATAAAGTAATGGTAAGGCAGAAATAATGATGAAGCAAGATAAGATAATGAAAAATTCTTTAGGAAGCAAAGAATACAGTAAGTCTACATGAAATTTAAGGTCACTATCAATTATGTTACATATGCGACTTCACAGTTTTGAAGAACAAGCCACTAATATTTGCAGTCCTGTTAAAGCAAACTAAATATGGCCTGAGAAGCACTGTGTACTTCTATATTTGAGCCCTTGTGGATGAACTGTAACCTAACTTAATAGATAGACAATATTGAAACCCTAAATTAGGAGTATGTGCCTATAACAATATCTGAATTTTGGCAAATCCCAGCAGCCATACACTGCTGTATTCAAACTGTGTTCAAATAAGGCAAACACTGAGCAGAACCAATCCAGCTGTTTCTGTACCTCATGTCCAATATCTATACATCAGTTCCTTTCTTTGTCTATACATTTGTTCTGATCATGAGGCATCCTTGGAGTCCCTCTGAATCTGCTGTGATTCTGGGGGCTGCCCGATTTGCAAATTGTTCATTGCTCAATTACACTCCTTTAAATTTAATTTGGATGAAGTTTTTCTTTTAACAGTCCTAACTCCTAGAAAAACAGACATAAATCTCATAAACAAGGGCATATCTACCTTCTTTCTGATGGATACCAATGCCAACATCATATTGGGAAATGTTTAAAATTATTCAGTCTTTGAAACCATTTATTCTCATAAAATTTAATTGTCTAAAATGGATGAAAACAAAAATAAATCACTGTTACCACCCATATCACTAACAACTTGAAAATCTTAATAATTATTTTTATGTCAACTTTTATTTAGGTTCATGTGGTATATGTTCAGGTTTGTTGCATGGGTATTGTATTAGTCTGTTTTTACACTTCTATAAAGATACTACCTGAGACTGGGTGATTCATAAACAAAAGAGGCTTAATTGACTTACAGTTCCACATGGCTGGGAAGGTCTCAGGAAACTTAAAATCATAGTGGAAAGGAAGCAGATTTGTCTTGCATGGTGGCAGGTGACAGAGAGAGAGAGCAAGAGCAGGGAAAACTGCTTATAAAACCAACATATCTCATGATAGATTTTTCATCACTCACTATCACAAGAAAGCATGGAGGAAACTGCCCCCATGATCCAATCACCTCCCACCTGCTCTCTCCTTTGACATGTAGGGATTATGGGGATTATAATTGAAGATGAGATTTCGGTGGGAACACAGAGCCAAACCATATCATTCCTTCCCTGGCCCCTCCCAAATCTAATGTCCTCACTTTTCAAAACACAATCATGCCTTCTCAACAGTCCCCCCAAATCTTAACTCATTACACCAAATTAACCAGCGATAACCCAAAAGTGCATAGTCCAAAGTCTCATCTGAGACAAGACAAGTCCCTTCCACCTAGGAGGCTGTAAAATCAAAAGCTAGTTAGTTCCTCCCAAGATACAATGGGGATACAGGCATTGGATACATGCTCTCATTCCAAATGGGAGAAATTGACCGAACGAAGGGGCCACAGGTCCCAGGCATGTCTGAAATCCAGCAGGGCAGTCATCAAATCTTAAAGCTACAAAATCATCTCCTTGAGTCCCTGTCTCACATCTGGAGCACACTGATGCCAAAGGTGGGCTCTTATAGCTTTGGGAAGCTCCTTCATGGGTTGGCATTGAGTGCCTCTGGCTTTTCCAGATACAGGGTGCAAATTGTTGGTGGATCTACCATTCTGGGGTCTGAAGTGGCCCTCTTCTCATAGATCCACTAGCCAGTTCCCCAGTGGGGACACTGTGTGGGTGCTCCGACCCCACATTTCCCTTCTGAGGTTTTCCATGAGGGTTCTGCCCTTACAGCAGACTTCTGCCTGGATATCTAGAAGTTTCCATACATCCTCTGAAATCTAGGTTCCCAAACCTCAATTCTTGACTTCTGTGCACCTGCAGGCCCACCAGCACGTGGAAGCCGCTAAGGCTTGGGGCTTGCACCCTCTGAAGCAATGGTGCAAGCTGTACCTTGGCACCTTTTAGCCACAGCTGGAGCTGGAGCAGCTGGGACATAGGACACCAAGTGCCACAGTTGCACAGAGCAGGGGCCCCTGGGCCTGGCCCACAAAACCTGGCCCACAAAACCTGGCCCTTCTCTTCACAAGCCAGGAGACTTAGGAGAGAAGGGCTGCTCCAAATTCTCTGACAGGCCCTGGACACATTTTCCCCACTGTCTTTGCAATTAACATCGAGTTCCTTGTTACTATGCAAATTTATGCAGCCGGCTTGAATTTCTCCCGAGAAAATGGGTTTTTCTTTTCTATCACATCATCAGGCTGCAAATTTTCCAAACTTTTATGCTCTGCTTCCCTTTTAAACATAAATTCCAGTTTCAGATCATCTCTCTCAAGTTCAAAGTTCCACAGATATCTAGGGCAGAGGCAAAATGCCACCAATCTCTTTGCTAAAGCATAGCAAGAATGACCTTTTCTCCAGTTCCCAACAAGGTCCTCATCTCCATCTGTGACCACCTCATACTGGACTTCATTGTCCATATCACTATCAGCATTTTGGTCAAAAAACATTCAAGTCTCTAGGAAGTTCCAAGCTTCCCTACATCTTACCTTCGTCTTCTGAGCCCTTCAAACGATGCCAACCTCTGCCTGTTACCCAGGTCCAAAGTTACTTTCACATTTTCAGGTATCCTTATAGAGGTACCCCGCTCTCTGAAGTACCAATTTCCTTTATTAAACCATTCTCACACTTCTATAAAGATACTACCCAAGAGTGGGTAATGTATAAACAAAGGAGGTTTAATTGACTCACAGTTCTTCATAGCTGGGAGGCCTCAGGAAAGTTACAATTTTGGCAGAAGAAGAAACAGACACATCTTAAACGGTGACAGGCAAAACAGAGAGAGAGCAAGTGCAGGAAAAACTGCCTGATAAAACCATTGGATCTCATGAGAACTCACTCAATATCACAAGAACAACATGGGGGAAACTGGCCCCATGATACAATCACCTCCCACCTGGTCTCTCCCTTGACACATGGGGATTATGGGGATTACAATTGAAGATGAGATTTATGTGGGGACACAGATCCAAACCATATCACTTATATTATGTAATGCTGAGGTTTAGGGTACAAATGATCCCGTAGTGAACAAACATCACCCAAGTAGTGATCATAGTACCCGACAGGTAGTTTTTGACACCCTTTTCTCCCTTTCCCATTAGTAGTCCTCATTACTCTTTCAATGTTTTGTAAGGGCTTTTTTTTTTTGTCTGAAATAGAAATATTTCCTTTAATATCTATAGCATATTGAGGATTAAGTACATGTATAAGAAATGAATTCTTTTTACACTTGGACACAGGAAGGGGGACATCACACACCGGGGCCTGTTGTGGGGTGGGGGGAGAGGGGAGGGATAGCATTAGGAGATATACCTAATGCTAAATGACGAGTTAATGGGTGCAGCACACCAACATGGCACATGTATACATATGTAACAAACCTGCACATTGTGCACATGTACCCTAGAACTTAAAGTATAACAATAATAATAAAGAAATGAATTCTTTTTAATATGAATATACTGTAGATGACAGAAAAAATAACTGAAGATTAATAATTCATTAGATAATGAGAGTTTTCATCTTCAAACGTCATTTACTATTTTATTAGTGAAGAAATAAAGAGTATTTAAAAAATAAACACAAGCTCTATAAATCATATACATTAAATAGGCAGATACAACCAAAGCAAATAAAATTCACTGTTAGAATAATGTTATATTTATATTTTGTTCATACCACAAGTCTAGAGGAAACTATTTACTGAGTTATAATGTAAGCATCAGTTTGCAGAACAGGTCATATCCTCAGGCCTTCTAGGCTTGAAGAGTCAATAAACTATCCTCTATTTTCTTACTAATGGAGGAAAATTCGAAAATGTAAGATCAAAAAGCCACCATTCAAAGTATGTTTTGTCTAATCAAAAACATTTCACATCTTCAAAAAACCTCCTCAAGCTAGATGCTTGTTCTGATAAAGAAGATATTGGTGTTTTGCAGCCAAACTACAAAATAGCTAAGTTGCTTTGACTATTTCAGTAATGTATCCAATGAACGGTTAATTATTAATAAAATCAAATGGAATAAATAAAAATGCTCCCAAAAGTCAATCTTAAAATATTTCTTTACTCATTTCATTTTATGTTAATATATCATTTAACAATAGGTCTTCATCAATAAAGATCGATTATGCTGGCATTGAGACTCCCCAAACAACTCACGACCTTTTAAATAGACATAAGAGCTGTTGCAAAATGGTTTGTCATCTATTTTTAATAATTGCATTTCCATACCATGACTAAGTGGATTTGAGTAAATGCTTTCACAGATGTGTACATTTGATAAAGGAGGCAAAATAGAGACTAAAAAAGATAGCGTAAACAAGTCAATCTATATTGTCACTCAAAGGTAATAGATTTGATGCTATTACTATTGAGTTCAATGCCCAACTGCCATTCATTCATTTCTGTTTTATTTTATTAGCCTTTATTATTCAATTTTTTAATTCTTCAGAGGGGGAATAGAATACTCTAAAGACGATGCATGCTTTTGACTAGCTTAATATCTTTAAAAATGTTCAATTGAGTATAACGAATGCAGAAGGTGCTGAATAAATACTTCATGTGTGAATGCATGGCAATCAATTTCATAAAATCACATGAACAAGTTATTTCAACATGCTGCATAAAAAATCCTTCTTTCCTCTAAGTGAACTTTGTTTAGAATCTAATAAAGGACTCATGCATATGCTTGATTTAAACATAACTTTGCCTCTCTGGGTTCAGTGTTATACTACATCTACACAGCACACTAAGAAGATGTATATGATTTCAACCACTGGGAAGGCTTTAAGAACTGTGTTCCCTAGGAATAGTAATAAAGGGGAGTGAAACCTCAGCATGAGGTTTTAAGAAAATTGATAATCTATGCATATCAATTTACAATATGCATTTTTAACAAATAAATTCATAGCATGTATGCCAATGAGAAGAATGATTGAACAGTTCAATAACTGAGCTGCTCTGATTATGAGCTAAGCCACACGAATGTTTGATGAATTTCTCAGTTAATAGATTGTTGACCACGTTTACATTGAATAGCAAATCTGTTTGCAACCAGATTTGACACGAAATAGTAGAGTTTAAAACTAGTTTCTAGGTGAGCAGTGGGCAGAATAGAGCTCACAGGTGAGACAGAAAGAAGATAGCATTAACAAAATCATTGCTGGTGCAAAAATAGACTATCAGCAGGTATTTTGTACAGAGCATTTGGGCAAACTGACATCAAACAACCCTGATTAAGGGTGTCACCATTTCCCTAGAGAAAAGAGATAGAAAATAAATATCAGAACTTCCTACAAATGTAATTTTTTTTCAGAATGTCAGACAAACACTCCCTGCATCAAAATCACTGAGAGAGAGAGAGAGAGAGAGAGAGAGAGTGTGTGTGTGTGTGTGTGTGTGTGTGTGTGTTAAAATATGCAGATTATTGGCCCCTACATTGTATATACTAAATCATAAATTCAGGGCATGGAGTCCATGAAAATGCATTGTAACAAACAGACAGGTAATTCTTAAAACCACTAAAGATTGAAAATACTGTGAATTGCCATTAAATAACACAATACACAAAATTTATCTCTAGAATGGGTTCAGTCACTTTCAATGGATCCTTTGTCATGATTTTAGTTGTCTTCCATGGAACACTACACAGCCACAAAAAAAACAAAATCATGTCTTTTGCAGCAATATGAATGTAGGTGGAGGCCATTTTCCTAAGCAAATTAATGCGGAACAGAAAACCTAATACCCATGTTCTCACTTATAAGTGGAAGCCAAACATTGGGAACTCATTGACATAAAGGTGGCAACAATAGACACTGGAGTCTAACAGAGCACGGAGTGAGAGGAGGGATAAAGGGGTGAAAAAATAACTTTTAGGTAGTATGCTCACTATCTCAATGACAGGATCATTCGTATCCCAAACCTCAGCCTCATGCAATCTACCCATGGAGCAATAATTAATTAACTAATTAATTAATTTTAAAATATAGTGTCTAAAGAAGAAAGATTAACTAAGTAGGCTAAGACCAGCTAAGCAGGTAACCTTAAGCTATAATGCCTTATTTCAGGGTTCTGGAAAAAATCTGAACCTATCTATTAATTACAATTAGTGTACTATGTCTGGATCCTTAATAATAAAAAAGAAAACATCAAGCATAAACAACAAAAAATTGATGTAAAATTATTTGAAAAATTTTCAAAAGTTTAAAACATATTATTTACCATCACTACCAGACATTGAAATTATAACACTGATTTGAAGAACAGGAAAACCATTGAACCCATCATTTATGAACTATTTTAACAATCACGAGTGGTAAGAACTGTTGTGCTCCTAAGAAAAGATTCCAGAAAAATAGACAACAGAACAAATTGTTATAGCACCTGTGCTTCGAGTTACCTTAGAAAGCCATGTTCAAACTGGAGAGCAGAGAAAGCTTTTCTCAAGAAAGCAGCAATTTAAGTGAATTTGAAAACTGAGCTATCTAGGACAATGATATAAGAAAATAGATTTTAGGTAGAGAAAATAGCATGTGCAATTTTTTTGTCATGATTCAGAGCATTCTGGCTCTAGTATAAGAATTGGTTTAGATTTCTATTCCCTCACTTACTAGATCTGTGACCTTGGGGGAATCACTTCATGTTTTTTGTTTGTTTTTTTGTTTGCTTGTTTGTTTTTTGAGACAGAGTCTCACTCTGTCGCCCAGGCTTGAGTGCAGTGGCGAGATCTAGGCTCAGTGAAACCTCTGCCTCCCGGGTTTAAGTGATTCTCCTGCCTCAGGCTCCCAAGTAGCTGGGATTACAGGTGTGCACCACCACGCTCAGGTAATTTTTGTATTTTTAGTAGAGTCAGGGGTTTCACCATCTTTGCCAGGATGGTCTCGATCTCTTGACCTCATGATCACCCCTGCCTCGGCCTCCCAAAGTGCTGAGATTATAGGAGTGAGCCACCGTGCCCAGCCCACTTCATGTTCTTAAACTTCAGTTCCTTCATCCCAAAAATGGGAATAATATTTTGTCAAGAGGATATTGCTAGTATCAAATAAGGAAATTCAAATAAATTTCTTTGCAGCACACAATTAGTGCTGAAACATGCTAGCCATCATGTCTCTGACATCACTATAGATAGAAGGGAGAAAGAGAAGGAACAGAAGGCCCTGACGTGCTTTTTTGGAAATGAGGTGAGTCTCTGGCAAGACTCTAAAGTCATTGAACAAAATATGAATTTTGATGACTTCTAAAAATATTCTATCCCAACCATAATCGTTATTGAATAAATCAGAGATGAATTATAGACATATTAATTGGATTAGAATCCCATCTTTGAACTGTTTTCCAAACAGCAAACGCACAAGGTAACAAGCACAGAACTTGAGTGTTGCTGAAGACAAATTTCAATATTTCAATATAGACGGGCAGCTTTAATTGGCAAAATGAAAAGATTTTTGTTGGCAGCCATAGTCAGAACACTAATCTGGTCACAGAAGCATCAGTGTGAGGCCAATATAGATATATTCATGACATGTAATGAAACAAAACATTCATCTCATATCTGTCCTTAGAAACTTCAATGATTTATCAAATTAATATCCATCCACACATTAAAATGATAAGTTAACAAAATTTGTACATTTTCAGTTTATGTTTTGATGAAAATCAAATTACAAATCTGTTTTCTATATACAATATATTTCCCTCCATTTGCTCTTAGTTTGATACTGTTATGCTCTTTTTTTTCTAAAACAGGGTCTTCCTCTGTTGCACAGGCCAGAATGCAGTGGCACAACTTTGGCTCACTCCAACTTCCCCCTCCTGAGTTCAAGTGATTCTCATGCCTCAGCCTCCTGAGTAGCAGGGATTACAAGTGTGCACCACCACATCCAGCTAATTTTTGTATTTTTAGTAGAGATGGGGTTCCGCCATGCTGGCCAGGCTGGTCTCAAACTCCTGGCCTCAAGTGTTCTGCCCACCGAGGCCTCCCAAAGTGCTAGGATTGTAAGTGTGAGCCAAGGGACCCGGCTTTGACCCTGTTAATACTATTGTTTCTTTATGTTATTGTTCTGGATATTTTATCAAAATTAGAAGAACTTCAAGATTAATATAAGCTCAATATTTTAAGAAATCATTAAAAATATAGTTCCCATTAGAAAAGGAATTTTATTGGTTTACTCCTGCAAGCTTGAAGCAGTTGTCTTTTGTTATCTGTAGAATCATGGTCCTACACATTATTTTTTGCTTTTAAATATTTATCCTCTTTCCATTTTACTTTACCAATGAGTCTGTCTATATAATATTCATGAAGTCTAAAACCTATTTTTTCCATAATTTATTCCATGGATTCATGCTACTGAGTAGATTATTGAAGAGTTTCTTAAATAATACTATAGTAACATTTATTTACACCTTACTACATGCCAAGCATTAAACTAATTGTTTTGTATATTTAGCTCATTTGATTGTTGTAATCATTGTATGTCACAGATACCATTTATTTCCACTTTACATGTGAAAAACCTGAGGCCCTGTGATATTTACGTAATTTACTCAAATCAAAAAGCTAGTTAGTAGAAGAGATAGGATGGAAACCAGAAAGTCCAGAGATTTAACCCATACACTAATCTGCTGTTCTATGTACTAGATGCAAGCAAACAGAATTTATTCTGTTTAAATTTCTTCTGTTTAAATGTATTTCTTCTGAAATAAATCACATTTCTTGGTGAAAAAAATAGAACTATATTAGGTACCTTGTATAGGGAAATGGGGAAAGGACTAAAAATGTAATGAAACTAGTGTTATTGTTTTTGTTTCCCTTCTCATATTTGAGAAAACAATTAAGGAAACATTGTGTATCCTCAATTAAAATGACTGTATCAGGGCTTTACACTGAATACAGAATGTCCACAAATTAGGCAGTAAGAGAACCTGGGTCTCTGTTACTGGGTGAGTTGATATGAAAAGTGCAGTGAACATGGATATATGATGCACATTAAATGGCCATAAGCAACATGTATGGATTTATAAAACATGATTATGTAGAAAAAATTATATACAATAAGCTATACAACCATTAAATAAAAAACATATGCGTATGATTTTAAATAAATATATTCATAATAATACTTTATGAAAAACAAACAACATATTAAAATGGTTGCTCTTTAGTGTAGATAAATGGCAAGCAGATTTGGGATAAAAATGAAAGTAGGTACATAAGAAAATATATAACCCAAGAGAGGGTCCTGTTTGGTTCAAGATGGAAATGTGCCATGAATTGAGGCACATTATTAACTCAGCCCTCAACACATGAGATACAAACAAACAAACAAAAAACACAAGAATACAGGAAAAATAACAATAAAGGAGACAAGGAAAGAAGGAAAGGAAGAGAGAAAGGATGAGAGAGGGAGAGAGGATGAACAAACTTCAACTAATTGTAAAACCAGATTTTCTCTAAATATTTCAGATGACTCATTTAATAAATTATAGGTAGAAATTTTCATTCAAATTTGAATAAGTATGCAGTGAAATGTGTCAACTTCATTGGAATGCATTATTTTTTGAATGGCAATTTATATATTTAAAAGCTCTGGTAGGGAAGCCTGTCTTTCCAACAAAAATATCAGAATTCAAAAAACTCAGTTTCCGTTTCTCCTCGCATAAAGGTATATGGCTTCAGATATACCAAACCAACGGGCCCAGGCAAGATCTTGATTCAAATAGGCAAATTAAGAAACCACGTTCTTCACGAAGTTCTCGTTTTTGGCTTTCTGCTGATGAAAGTGAAGGAAAAAAACATGAAGATGTTGCTGGTAGAAATACTGATGATTTCTCTTTAGTTTTGAAGTTTGAGATCCAGAAACGGCAATGCTACTTGTGGCAATAGCAATTGCAATAAAATCAAGACCTTGTCATTCATTGTTCAACAGCTGCCATGGCAATGTTCAGCTTCATCAGGCCAGATCTGTGGTAGCGTTTTGGGCATTGTTCCTCTAAATTTATATTCTAATGTTTGAATCTATTCTCAATGAGTCTATGAGCCACTTCATATCCTTTATTAATGCTCTTTTCTATTTCAACTAGCCAGAGTATATTTTGAGTGCAACTAAGAATACAAACATTAATAATAATAATAATAATAATTCCCAGGAGAGGAGTGTTGTAGGCAAGTCTATTAAGGAAATGGGAATATAGGATCAGTGATCAGACTGTTGTGTTTCAGTGTAACAAGGATCCATTTGGTGTTAAAGAATGGCAATCTGACAACTTCTGGCATATAGGGGCATGCAGCTCATTGCTTGTGCTCACCTCAAATCATATTGAAGATTATATTTTTGGTGACTCAAATTCCACCATAAACTCATGAGAAATTTAAGAAATTCAACAAAGATCGTCTGTGTCTAAATGCACTTCATAGTTTAAAGAAATAAAATCACCATCTCCAAGATTAAGTTCTTAGTTTAAATCACATTGAAATGATCAGAGCATCTCTTGTCTCTTATAGTGGAAAGGATGACATAGCTATACATCAAAACTCAAGTCTTTTTCCATGAATTCCTGAATTACAAAGATGATTTAATTTATTTTTTGCCTTTTGAGAAAATGAGACCATTGACTGAGGAAAAAAGTTAAATCATGAGCATTGGAATATTTGGATAAATAGGAGGATTCAGGTGACTGAAAATTTTCTCATCTGCTAAAACTTACTGAGTCCTTCTTGCTAGCAGATTCAGCTGTCCAACACATGACTGAGGAAGCTGCTCCTTCATTTCTTCAATATCAAGTCCATACTTTATTTAAGGTGGTTAACTGATGGAAGAAAGCAATATTCTTTCTGACCAAATCTATTATTTCATTTGAACTCAAAATCCCAACATCCTCTTGGGAGCCAATTATCTAGTTAATACTGAGGACTAGAAGCTTCTTGAATATGAGACTTGCAAGATTTTATAGCTAAATTTGTAAATGCATGGGGGAATATGTGTGAAAATGGATTTTACGTGTTCCTGATATAGAACCAAGAAAGGATTTTAATTCAAGCTGGTATAAATATCTGATTAGAGATTCTAGATTCAATGTGCTACTTCTGGTAGCTGGCTTAGGTGCTAAATACTTCTTCAATTAGTTGACCAAAATCTGAACTGAAAAACAGGCTAAGTTAAATAAAGTTCAGACACTTGGAGTTCTTCCTTTTAATATACAAGGAATTCAATGACCTACTGAAATATGAAAGTTAAGGTGGAATTATTGTTCAAAGCCTGTGAAATAGGCTGGATGCAGTGGCTCATGCCTGTAATCCCAGCACTTTGGGAGGACGAGGCAGGTGTATCACCTGAGGTCAGGAGTTTGAGACCAGCATGGCCAACACGGGGAAATCATGTCTCTATTAAAAATACAAATATTAGCCGGGCCTTGTGGTGGGTGCTTGTAATCCCACCTACTCAGGAGGCTGAGGCAGGAGAAGTGCTTGAACCCAGGAGGCGGAGGTTACAGTGAGCCAAAATCTTGCCATCGCACTCCAGCCTGGGTGACAAGAACAAGATAAAAAAAAAAAAAAAACAACCTGTGAAATAACCCACTGATTAAATTTTCAGAAAGAGCTCAGAAGATACTTTCTTCACTATAACAATAAAAAAGAATGATGAGCACAACAATGCTATCTTTAAAAAAACTCTATAATTTATATTTTCTATACTGGGGAACACAGACATTGAAGCTACATTCAAGTGATTTCATTTCTTTAGGGTTTAGGAGTACTTTACCACTGGAATGGGGGTGGACACGGATCTCATAATAGGTAGCAGGATATGAATGGTAAAAAACACAGTACTCTAGCATGCAGAGACCAAAATAATGAGTCATCTGACCCTTGGCAATGACATCAAGGTCTGGGAAGAAAAAAATCTAAATTTAGTGACCTACTTAGTCATGACCTGTTAATAGTGTTCACACTTGAATTAATTTACTTACCCCATGGCCACTTAAATGAAGAGAAACATGGTTACTCTTGAAGAAGGACTCTGCAATAGCATCATATGTTAGTATTGCACATCTTCTAGCTTTTCTGAAAGACATTGCCTACCATTTCTTTTCCTTTTTTTTTTTAGAGGATCTTTTTTTTTTATTATTATACTTTAAGTTCTAGGGTACATGTGCACAACGTGCAGGTTTGTTACATATGTATACATGTGCCATGTTGGTGTGCTGCACCCATTGACTCGTCATTTACATTAGGTATATCTCCTAATGCTATCCCTCCTCACGCCCTCCACCCCACAACAGGCCCCAGGGTGTGATGTTCCCCATCCTGTGTCCAAGTGTTCTCATTGTTCAATTCCCACCTATGAGTGAGAACATGTGGTGTTTGGTTTTCTGTCCTTGCGATAGTTTGCTGAGAATGATGGTTTCCAGCTTCATCCATGTCCCTACAAAGGACATGAACTCATCCCTTTTTATGGCAGCATAGTATTCCATAGTGTATATGTGCCACATTTTCTTAATCCAGTCTATCATTGTTGGACATTTGGGTTGGTTCCAAGTCTTTGCTATTGTGAATAGTGCCACAATAAACATACGTGTGCATGTGTCTTTATAGCAGCATGACTTACAATCCTTTGGGTATATACCCAGTAATGGGATGGCTGGGTCAAATGGTATTTCTAGTTTTAGATCCCTGAGGAATCGCCACACTGACTTCCACAATGGTTGAACTAGTTTACAGTCCCACCAACAGTGTAAAAGTGTTCCCATTTCTCCACACCCTCTCCAGCACCTGTTGTTAAATACGTTAGGGAGGGAAGGAGGTGGGTGTAAATGCCCAGACCTTTCACAGATTATTGAATACTGCCTTCAAGCTAACATTGATCTTGGTGGATTCAGACTATCACCAAAAAAAATTTGCGTAAGTAGAAGTTATTAGGGTCACGTGATGAATGAGATTTTTGTCTTGGGTTCATATTACAGTTGATACAGTAATATTTCCATTTCAGCTTTTGATTATTTTACCAGATCTTTGGTGTGTATTTGGAAGAGTTACACTGTAAGTGTATCTCAGTGGCCCCTGAAGTCAAAGCTGTGAAACTCTAGTAATGGCCAAACTAAAGACCTCTGAGCATCTCTCTCCTACAAAAACAGTAAACATAAATCCCTGGGAGAATGTTTCAACTAGAGCCGTCATAAAGAACATGGAAGAAAAAAGGCTGGTGCTTATGAAAACATTAGCAGATTTAACTTACCTATTCAGTCTACATGGAAGACAAATTAATCTTGTAAAACAAAAATACCTTTAATTAGGTGGTGGTTCAAGTACAGGCAATGTGGTTTCTCCACTAAAGAGAATCAACAAAGACCCTGGCACTCATTATTATAATAATAGTCTAAAAGGTGACCTTTTTTTTCTTTTTAGAAGTTCACATCTCAGTAAACAGAGATTGCCAACAAGTATTTGCCGCTTTTTGGCAGAAGCAACAGTGTGCTTTCACCATATTGTTCTAATGGTCTCTGAAATTTCCCGTTTTACAGCCAGATTTAGTCTGTGGGAACACTGATCATTTCAATATTTTATGAGACACCATGCTTGTCAACTACAAGGATGGCATCAAATTGAAAAGACCCATTGAACTGGTATTATAATGTCCTCCAGACATTTGGGCAAGAACTAAGAAATAAAACCCATGAAAGTATAGGTAACACCTACCTTGGTGTTATTTCTGATAGTCTGGGACAGCTTGGAACATGCCCTCCAAGGTAAGGTGCAAGTTTGCTGCATTTTGCTACCCATAGCATGTCAACATAGCCCTCTGGAAAAAGGTTCCAAGAGTCTGAGCCTACATTCAAAACAATTAAAATGTGTCTGTTTCGGCCCAGAATTAGAATTCTGTACCTTGGCATGTTAATTATTTGTAATTTTGGTTTTCTGGTTAGAATGAGCTTATTTTCTATTGGGACAAAATATACATGTATATATATTAAAAGAGCTTTAAGCTTAAGCTTAGAAATTCCTAGTGTAAAATTATTTCAAAATAGAAACAAAGTATATATTTATAGAAAAACATAAATACACACTATTTTGTAAAAAGATAAAGAAATTTCAGAGTAACTGTTTTTAACAGAATTTCAAAATTTTACACTATGAGTTGCTATGTCTCTATCTGTATAGATAGATACATTTCATAAGTCCTAAAAGAATAGAACAGAACAACAGAAGTGTTGTCATGTAAATAAATCTAAATATTATTTGGCAAAGAAAGATTATCATGTGTAAATCAATTTTGTGTAAGAATGTATTATATATGAAATACTCATTAGAAAACTTGAAGAGCTAAATAATTTTATTCATTTTATAAGATTAATAGCTTAATAATGAACATATCCACTATTTTATCCTCTAATTTGTATATCCACTATTTGCATATCTACTATTATATCCTCTAATTTTTATCCACTATTTATATTTTATTCCCTTTGTAATTGGCCAAAGAATTCTTTATATAACTAACATATTGACATTTTATTTTCTTATCATTTTTCCCTTCATCATAGCCACTATTTCTTTACATTATGTAACATCTACTTTTTTCTTGCTTTTCTCCCCTTTTACATTTGCTTATTTTTCTTGACCAAGAAAAGTCTCACAATTTTATAATTCTTTCTGGTCAGTAACATTATTATAACCATGTTTTACAAGAACTATAAATTTGAACCAATTCTAGTATTTGACTTTTCCTTAAAATTTTGTAGCTTGATTATTACATGCAAAAAAGTATTGTTTTAGTCCAGATAGCTTCCCCTAAAAGCAAGTTCCTAGGCTCCATAATGATATAATGTTTTGGAAAATGTCTAAATACTATGTATACATTTATAAATCATTTAATCGCTTCTATAGACTATCAGCCTAATGCAAAATTTTCAACTTGAACACACCTATTTTTCCTTCTTACACTTTTTGAATCCAATTTTGAATCTGGACATTCATTGTTGTCACACGCACAGAAATACATTGTTGGAATGCAGAGAGAAATACCACAAAGAATGGTGCTTTGGCATGATGAGCACTTTGAATTAAAAGAAATCAGAAGACCTTAGATGTTCCCTCAGAACCACAAACTTTCTAACCTTCCCTTGTTTCTTCCCTGTCCCCTACATCTCACAATTGCAGGGAGGGACTCTCACTGAAATTTCCTTATTTTACTAAGGGAAACTCCTTTTCAAAAGAAATGTGATTGTCTTAAAGCATCCTTCCTGAAAATCTCACAAATAATCAGGAAACATTAACCACCAGAAAAGAAAAGAGAAGAGACTAAAAGTCATCACCATGTCCAGACAGACTTTTTGTTTATTATTCTAAGGACACCTCCCAGAGATTACCTGGGAGACTTTATTTTTATAATAAGAAAACCTTTGTTCACAGTGAAGTTCGAAGTTCCTCCCCTCATCTTCTCATTACTGGTTCCCCCAGAGGTCAGAGAAAATTTATACCAGGTCATTGTTCTTTGAGATCATTCATTTCCCCATTTACACCCCCCCACCCCCATTTCCCTCTCTATATGAAGAGGGTATTTAAGCCTCAACCATCTGGCCCTTCTTTGAGTCTTATATATGTGGGATACCACATCCAAGTGCGTGTTACTGAATTTATTATGGATGTTTTTCCCTATTAAGCTGTCTATTTTCAGTCACCACAGCAAACTTACAGAGAGGGCCAAAGGGATGCATTTCCTGTACCCCTACAAAATCAATCAGAAAATATCAACACAACTGTTGAGGCTAATTATAAATTTGAAATCAATTATTTAAAAAAGAAACATATTTCCTGAAAACAATCTTTGGAGGATCTCAAAACTAAATTTAAAATCTGCTGAAAAAAGTTTTATATAACAACCACATATGGTGAAGATAACTTTCTTCAATTTAATTCTTAAAAGATATTTAGGCATTAAAAACTACTACAAAACACTTTCTGCAATTTGGGTACTTAAAAAGTGTTTTGCCATGGTGGCATTAAACTTAAGACATTTTAGGAATTATTCTGAAACCACCTTTGCAGAGATTATAACAGTGATATGGCTTGGGCCTGTGTCCCTTCCCAAATCTCATGTTTAATTGTAATTCCCAATGTTGGAAGTGGGGCCTCCTGGGAGGTGACTGGATCATGGGGGCAGTTTCTTGAGAACAGCATATCCTTGGTGCTCTCATGATAGAGAGCAAGTTCTGAAGAGGTCTGGTTGTTTAAAGTGTGCAGCACCTTCCCTGTCTCTTGTATTCCTGCTCTCGCCATGTGAGATGCCTCACTCCTTCTTTGCCTTCTGCCATAATTGGAAGCCTCCTGGGGCCTCACAAGAAGCAGAAGCTGCTATGCTTCTTGTACTGCCTGCAGAACCATGAGCCAATTAAACCTCTTTTCTTTATAAATTACCCAGTCTCAGGTATTTATAGCAGTGGAAAAAGACTAATACAAACAGTGAGAAAATTATGACAGTTAAAGAGATCTTACTTAATTGACTCCATCTTTCCTTTAACCTCCAAGCTGCCCTTGTTCATTCCTCGGGATAGACTGAACTAACTTTGGGGGGAATTTAGTTTATGGTTTAGCTTTCCAACAAAAATGATACTAACTCCTATCTGAAACAAATCCCCTCCTTGCTTAGGGACCAGACAACATTTGTAAAACTAACAAATTAGCCATAAGATTAAAAATTATGGCTCAGGGGTCATGCAGCCAGAATCCACAGGATTCCTAACCTCCCCAATGGCTCCCATGGCTAACATTATTATTTTAAGACCTTTGATTGGTGTTCAAGATATTTTTCAGACACTGCAGCATTCTGATGGATCAGCTGGCATCATACAGAACACTTAAACTGGCTCATTTGGTCTTGTAGCCCTCACCCGGAACTGACTCTGCAGGAGGACAGATTCAGCTTCTTATGATTTCATCCCTGACCCAACCAATCAGCACTCCCCATTCCCTAGACTCCTGCCCACCAAACTATCTTTAAAAAACTCTAGCCTCTGACTTTTGACAGAGCTGATTTGAGTAATAATAAAACTCTGGTCTCCTGCTTAGCTGGCTCTATGTGTATTAAACTCTTTTTCTGTTGCAATTTCCCTGTCTTGATCAATTGACTCTCTCTGGGGAGGGGGCAAGAAGAAACCATTGGGTGGTTACAATTAGAAGTTTCCATAATTTTTGTGTAAAATAAGACTTAGTGATTCTGGAATGCTGATACTGAGAAGAATCTTATTTTGATGTTTTGGGTAGGTTTGCAAAATGTTACAGTGTATACAGTGAGAAGTCTAACCAATAGCAACCAAAAGTCAACAAAATTGTCTGCTGTGAATATAAAAATTTGTTTTACAAGACACCTATGTCTTGACCACCTGGATGAAAATTGATCTTTTTTTGGTATTTAAGGTATTCAAGTTTCAAATAATATACTTGGGAGGCTGAAGGGGCCAGAAAGTTAAAGACAACTATAGCAAATATTTGTTGAATACATCATTAAAAAATAAACAGTTATTTTCTCTACCTAGTTTATCAAAGGAATACCTTTCAAAGAAGTTAAGGTTATGCAAGCTGGAAAATGTACTTCTAAAGGAACACAACTCGGTGATTGTTCGATATGCTTACAATATGTTGGTAGAAGATTCATACGTAGAATCAAGTAAAGTTGAAAGATGTTTCGTAAGAAGGCTGAAGCCAAAGGTTTCAAGCCAATATTTTTCTAACATGGGAAGAGAGTTCACATTTACCGAACACTCCTGATGTCTAGATACAGTGACAAAAAGTCAACACATGCTAGCATTGCCTACAGCTGAGTCTATGCTGAGGGAAAAATTGATTTTCGCTATTCCTGTCCAGCTCTTTAGCACTTCTATTAGTTTCACCTTAGGTTAGGTAGTAAATGGTAAAAAATATAAACGATTCACTGGGGAAAGTGGCTTATATGTGTGCATTAT
Source organism: Homo sapiens (assembly GCF_000001405.40). NCBI lineage: Eukaryota > Metazoa > Chordata > Mammalia > Primates > Hominidae > Homo > Homo sapiens. The sequence goes on from NC_000004.12 coordinate 65,488,706, forward strand.
ATTTTCTAATAGGAAAAAAAATGCCATAGACAAATATTCAATGTGGCTAAGAACATGAAGAGTATAGAATAATTCCTATTGCATTAATCACATGCTTCACACAATCTGGGCTAATTTTGAATGTTTCCGTCAGCTTTATCAATCAGTAGCAACTATCAACTCTGAACTCAGCTGCATGCATTTTTTTTTTTTTTTTTTGAGACGGAGTCTCGCTCTGTTGCCCAGGCTGGAGCTCAGTGGCGCGATCTCGGCTCACTGCAAGCTCCTCCTCCTGGGTTCACACCATTCTCCTGCCTCAGCCTCCCGAGTAGCTGGGACTACAGGCACCCACCACCATGCCCGGCTAATTTTTTTTATTATTATTTTTATTTTTAGTAGAGACGGGGTTTCACTGTGTTAGCCAGGATGGTCTCGATCTCCTGACCTCGTGATCCACCCATCTCGGCCTCCCAAAGTGCTGGGATTACGGGCGTGAGCCACCGCGCCCAGCCAGCTGCATGCTTTTTCTTATTCTTAGAATATAACCACTTGATTTACCTGAGGTATCCAACAATTCAAATTAATTATTTTTGCTGAGACTTTGTAACCAACAGCATTCCCACATCAAGGCTAGCATCCCGCAACCTACAAACTTACACTAATATTGTATAAACTAAGCCTGATTTCATTCAGTCAAACATGTCCTATTTCTTTGTGAGTACTGGTGGCAAGGATGTGCTCAGTGACCAAAGCCCACCTGAAGTACTAAGGTGATGACAAGGTTACTACACTTTGGACTGAGAGTTGTAGTCAGTTGATAGAGGAAAGTTACAACTTTTTGGCTTTAATGCCTTTTTCTTCCCCTCCCAGATACCTGTTGGTGGACAAAACATGCTAGAAATTACTCTTAGGTTTAGAATGCCACATAGTGGGTTGAATTATTAAATTAGCTGTAGTTTATATTCGGTTTTTATCTTACCAGGAAAGAAGTCTTCCATGTTAATTTGCTTAAAAGTGAACATTTGAGGGGAAAATATAGACAAATCAGTAGCTCAGACACGACTGTATTCCCTACTCCCTAATAATTACTTATTAATTCCAAAATTTCCATATGGAATCTAGAAGTGTTTTCAGGTGGTTGTATAATAGTTCATAGTTACTCTAATTTTGATAAATAAACTTAGCAAAGAAAATTTCATTGCATGCATTTTTGCTACAATAGTTGAAAAAATATGAAAAGATTTATGATCTGCAAGGAAAATTCATCTGTGTTGCCAAGCAAGCAAATAAACAAGCAAATAAAACCTGCCTAATCACATGCTAAATTAATGAGTTTTTAAAAATTAAAGGAAACAAAAAATAGATTTGAGTTGTAAAAATGAATGCTATGAAATTATATGAGATAAATTTTGCTTCAAATGGATTTGATCCAGAAATGTATTTCTAATGAAAAAATTCAATTAAAAAATGTTTTGTTTTGTTTTGTTTTCCTGTAAATGGGATTGCTAACAAAGCTTTAACTATTATTTATTTAAAACTGCAAAAGCGTTTTTGATGTGTTATACTTTAAGTCCTGACCTTCCGGTTGAGGGAAAATTCTCACACAGATTTCAGTCAACTTGGCCGTCAGCTATGGAAATAATTGACAGAACTAGGCCTCACATACACAATTGGGTTGGGCATGGCACTTACCTGCTTGATTTGTGGTTACATTTACAGACACATACTGCCGGGCTCCTGGGCTCAAGTCGGACACTCCATTCACTGCCTCAATCTCAAAGGTATAGTTTGTGTGAGCGAGTAGATCCACCATCATGACAGAGGTGTTTTTCAGGCCGCTTTGCCGGGGAAGGTACCTGACATGACCGCCACACTCCTCACACACACCTGCATGGGAGTTGCACTTCTTGCATGCAATATAATATGACACGTCTTTCCTTCCACCAGTGTCAGCAGGCGGAATCCATTCCAGAAAGACACTAGTTTCATTAACATTTGAGATGGCATTCCGAGGAGCAGAGGGGGGTCCTGGTTTACAAAGTAAAGTAAGAAAAACATATTTTAAGATGGTATTAATTAGGCATTATTTATCACACCAATTCCTGGTCTGAAGGAAAAAATAGATTTGCAATAAGTCCTTTAAGTCATAATTTGTAGTTTTGTTTTCATAATTTTGTAGGGACAATAGTGGGGTTTATTCCCTATGGAAATGACTTATCTTGGCATTGTTATAACACTAGTTCAGTAAAAGCAGAACGTTTTGCTTCATGTATATGTAAACAATTATGGAGTAAAACTATGTATGCACAAATATTATAAGATAAAATTAAAATTATATATTTATAAACTGGTGAGTTTCCTTGGGGATTGAACTGAATGTTTCCTCATTGGTGCTAATCCCTGCAACCTACAAAGTAAACACAAAGTACCTACTAAGAAACAAGCATAGGAAAATACAGAATTTTCAGCGTAGCTCCTGACTACAAATGTTGTAAGTAAAAAAAAAAAAAACCTTAGCATGCTTCAAAATAGATTGCATATCTAGTTGCTAAATCACCAACAGAATTTGAAACCCCCTACTGTATATCAAAAAAGCATTAGAATTTAAGTAAATGGTCAAAATTACAATTTGCAGTAAAACATATTTTACTTTGATATTGTTTTTATATTACAGTTCTGCAAGTTGTGAATTTTATTTAATTGAAAATCTAAAATTTATTTTAAAAATAACCCTGAAAAGGACTACAATAGGATGAATAAAAGCGTTCAGATTTTGAAGGATCAATAGAATAAATTTCAACCTCTAATAACCTACCAAAATAAGAAAAGAAATAGATTTAACACAAATATTTTCATAGAATCATAACATATTAACTACGAATAGCTTTCAGGAGTGAAACTTCCTAACTTCATGAAGTATTTCTTGTACACTTTATTTTTTGTATATACCTTAATGGAAACTGGGTGTAGCTTTTAAAATATATTTTATATTCAGAATCATCTTATTTCAATAAGATGGAATATTTCCACTAAAATATGAGTAATGAAATCCATGATCAGAATTGCTTTATGAATTTCATATATTAAGGGTAACCATATCTTATTTGTATATTATTTTAATTATTCCTGAACTTGATTAGAATAATAGAGAGAACAAAAATTAATTAGGTAATTTCTAACACTAGAGTCAATGTTTAGATATTTAGTTAAAACTTCAGTCAGCTGTTAATGTTATATTATTGGATAATCTCAAAGAAAAAACACATTTATATTTGTTCCAGAGACAATTTGGACATCTCTCCTTACAGAGAATAAAATGGAGTATGGTGGTAGTTGAATGGTTCATAAGCATAATTAAGCTACTTAGGATGATCTGTTATCCTAATATGCATTGTCTGTTCTAAATATCAAAATTGACAATTTTTAACTAACATTTATTAAGTCATGACTTTTGAGGGATTGTTTTAAAAGTGGTAAGAAAGCTAATTGGCATTTAAGATTTAGCTGGATAGAATGTCATTTATCTATTTATTTAGGGACAGAGTCTCTCTCTGTCGCCCGGGCTGAAATGCACTGGAGTGATTTTGGCTCATTGCCACCTCCGCCTCCCAGGTTCAAATGACTCTCCTGCCTCAGCCTCCCGAGTAGCTGGAATTACAGGGGCCCACCACCACACCTGGCTAATTTTTGTATTTTTAGTAGAGATAAGATTTCACCATGTTGGCCAGGCTGGTCTCTAACTCCTGGCCTCAAGTGATCCACCCGCCTGGGCCTCCCACAGTGCTGAGATTACAGACGTGAGCCACCGCGCCAAGCCAAAAGAACCCCTTAACTAAAAAACTTGACATCTTTGCAAAAAAAAAAAAAAAAAAAAAAAATCCCCACCTTGACCATGTTTGAATCCTATGAATTTTGTCATACCGGCCATCTCACATACTTCAATATAAAACAGTCCCCTTTAAGTTGAAATAATGTCTTAAAATGGAAATATCCAGTCTATCAATGATGGGCATTTGGATTGTATTTGCTTTGCTTTACTATCGTAAACAGTGCTGCAATAAACATACTTGTGCATGTGTCTTTATAGTAGAATGATTTATAATCCTTTGGGTATATACCCAGTAATGGGATTGCTGGGTTAAATGGTATTTCTGGAAATACACGTGTTCTTGTTTACTATAAACTTTAGCTTATTTAATAGTACAAAGTTATAGACAAAATGAAATTTAAGATAAAAAATTACAGGATTAACCTCTGAGAAATATCTCTAAGTTAGAACAATGTCAAACTTCTGTTTTGTTTTGTTTTGTTTTTTAATTTCTGCCAACTGAAAAATCCTTGCATTTAACACATTTCCTCTAAATCTATAAGAATGCATCAGCAGCTGAATCCTCCTTTTCTTCTGACTCTTCTACTAACAGCTAGGATGGGGGCACAAGCAGCTTTAAAGTCAAAAGGAAACTCAAACTCAAGTGAAACCCTAAAATAGAGGTAAAAAGTGGAAGCTCGAACTAACACGCACCTACAAAAAACATATAATAAAATTCCTCTGCCCCAATCATAGATATGATGCGTCAACCAAAGTAGAACTGTGAGACTAACCTTTAATTTAAGCAGATTCATCAGGATTTTAGGTTTTATTTTTGTTTGATTTTTTCCTGTAGGCTTATAAAATGTTGTTATATAGATTTAAAAACTTTGTATATTCTAGAAAAAAAATTTGAAGTTGGAGCTATAAATTCAATTCCAAAGAGCCAAAGGCAAAGTGAAGCTCAAGATCTTCATCTGAACATCTATCAGGCGATAAGGAAATCATATGCAGTATTTGTGGTATTATGAATGCAACTAAAAACATACACACACACTCATAGATTATGTATTAGAAAGATCTTATACATAAGTCCTAATTTTTTAAATTTAATTTTATTTTACTTTTAGAAATGCATACAAATTAGTGCTCATTTGACAACACAGTATTAGAAATTCACACACCTGGAAACTGAGAAATGTGAAGCCTGACTGTGGGCTTTGGTCCTAAAAAAGTGCTAAGCAGTCCTTGCCACCAAAGTACAGCTTCCCCCCTCACGCCCCACCCCCATTTCCAATCCTAACAAATTTGCAGAAAGGGAGGCTCACATTTATGCTGAAAAAAAAAGAAAGATAATGGGTAGACCACTTAAAGAAAATAACAATTAGAAAATTAATAAAATTTGAAAGATAATTTAAAACATGGTTTTCTCTTTAATTTACCACTCTGTTGTCTAGCCAACATTTTCCCTATTTGGGCATTCATTTGCTCTCATAAGCAAAATAATTATTGAAATCTCCACTGGAACCAAAATTCATCACATCCAATCATAGTTTATATCTTCTCCATTGATATGTATCCTTACAAAAGAGCATATAAAAATTGCATTTATTCATTTGAAGAGGAAATTATTTTTCACTAGTAATCATCTAACCCATGAAATCATCAGCTTTGGGATAAAAGAATGGTCTTCAGAATGTAAAGCTAATTAATAGCAATGATTTAAGGAAATCTGAAAACATGTTTCACTGACACTATGAAATTTAGACACTATGAAATTCAGATAAAATTTCAATTTGTGATTATTTGATAACAAAAAATCTTCACTGCTTCTTTAAATTTAGAGACGGATACTAATATTTCAAATTTTTGTGAACAACTTTGAAAGCAGCTACAACTTTCTGGGACCTAAAATAGTAAATCCAGGCAGTTCATGGAAATTAAACAATATGAGGAGAGAGGGATTCACTTCCCTTCTCTTTAATTTTCTGTTTTTGCTTGATTTGCTACAGAGACTTTCTTATGGAAAAACTCTGAAAGTATTGTCATCAAGCAAACAAATGCACAAATGTGTTACATTCTCAGAAATATATGGAAAACCAAATATACGGAAAACTAAAAATGTTGAAAGATGTGGCTATATCTACTGCAAATGTCAGAATTAAATGTTTACTATTCATCTACTCTACTTATGATCAGCAAATATATTAAATAATAGTTAAGGACACTCACTAACAAGAAACATGACAGCTGCTTGAGAACCCTAGCAAAAAAATTGGTGTATGTATGACTCTGATCTGATTTAAATCTTGTTTGCCACTCCCAGTTCTCTATGTTCCTGAAATATTTCCTGTGTTCTTTTATAAATGACTTCTTAGTGGCTTTATTGGGGCAGTTTAGAACAAGATGGTGAAGGCTCCATCAGCTACATAATTATGTGATGGGAAAACTGGCAGAGAAAGAGGAAGAAGAAGAAGAGGAGGAGGAGGAAGAGGAAGAAGAGGAAGGAAGAAGAAAGAAGAAAGAAGAAGAGGAAGAGGAGGAAGGAAGAAGAGGTTTTAATGTAAACTGGGAAGTAGATTATCAAAGTCATGTTTAGCTAGCATGAACACTGAAATAAGCCACAAAATAAAAGAAAATATTCTATATCTGTGTCTCAGCTGTTGAATTTGAAGTTAGGGAAAATGGATACTTCTAACAATGAGTGATAAAAAGAGACTCAAATTTTTCAGTGCTTATTCAAGGAGATTGAAAATTGGTGAAAACTGTATAGAGATGATTAAACATTATGTCTGTTTTAGGGGGAAATGTTACTAGACTATAACAGGCTCCATCATGCTGTTTCCTCAAAACTGGTTAAAGTTAGCACCACCAAATATCCGTGGGTTTCCTTACTTGTGCATGCCATTGTGGGTGGATCAGACTCTCTCCTGAAATAATCCTTTTCACAGACACAAGAGGTTGAAGCTTCCTCATGGGTATAACTGTGAGGTGGACATTTGCCGCAGCTCTGGATGTGAGGTGAGGCTTTGAAGAACCCAGGTCTGCACACTGTCAAAAGAAATAAGAGACTAAGCTTTTCCCTGGAACAGATGCAGTGTTTGTTTTGTGAATAATGTCATTATTTTGACTTGTATATGCAGATTACAGATAACACAATCTTTGCATCAATTTCAAGAAGTTTTCATAAGCTTCTGGATCATAAATACCAGGCTATTCATTCAAATAATCAAATATTTATTTAAAGTACTTAAACATTTATGGAATGTACATACTTGTAATGATTTTTATGCTACAGGAGCTTATAAGGAATTATATTGATAAAAGGCAAATATTTTTATGTATTTAAAACTGAAGCAGTGCTTTGTGTATAGTTTTCACTTACTCTATCATTACTACAACTATGTTGAAGAAATAAATATTATTCCATGTACTGCTAAAATGGTATGATACAAAGTAGGCACTCAAAATTGTGTTATTGAATAATAAATTAATTAATTAGTATGTGCTAAATGCCTCATGAATTCTGTTAGATTGGGGAGAATGCATAGATGACCTGATATATCAACTGTATTATTTTTATTTTAAGGGAGTCACATTTTTGACATTTGTTTTACATTTACTTCATTTTAGAACTTTTCTTTGAGACACCTACTGATTCAACATTTATCTATTCTAATATCAGTAAGGCTTATTTACTATACAAATTATAATGATTTCTTAAGTTCAAACATTATGTCTTTTTTTTTATTATACTTTAAGTTTTAGGGTACATGTGCACAATGTGCAGGTTAGTTACATATGTATACATGTGCCATGCTGGTGCGCTGCACCCACTAACTCGTCATCTAGCATTAGGTATATCTCCCAATGCTATCCCTCCCCCCTCCCCCCACCCCACCACAGGCCCCAGAGTGTGATATTCCCCTTCCTGTGTCCATGTGATCTCATTGTTCAATTCCCACTTATGAGTGAGAACATGTGGTGTTTGGTTTTTTGTTCTTGCGATAGTTTACTGAGAATGATGATTTCCAATTTCATCCATGTCCCTACAAAGGACATGAACTCATCATTTTTTATGGCTGCATAGTATTCCATGGTGTATATGTGCCACATTTTCTTAATCCAGTCTATCATTGTTGGACATTTGGGTTGGTTCCAAGTCTTTGCTATTGTGAATAATGCCGCAATAAACATACGTGTGCATGTGTCTTTAGAGAAGCATGATTTACAGTCCTTTGGGTACATACCCAGTAATGGGATGGCTTATGTCTTACTCAGTTTTGCACTTACTTTTTCCAGTGTTTGACCACAAAAGGCGTTCAAAGAGTTCTATGAAATGTGTGAATGAATGAATGGATTGGCATGAATATTATAACAACTATTTAGAATCACATAAAGAAAGTGTTTTCTGATATTTCTATGAGCATTTCTAAGCTTATCATCAGGTAAATGCGCATGAAGTAAATCTTTTTATTCTGTGGATTTTCTACATGTTCATATTATTCTTATTTCTCACTGGCTAATAAAGCCAAACTTTAATATGCTAATTGCTCAGTATGGGTCAGTCGAAGACTACCAAACTGATGGTTTGAGTGCTTTGTACAGCTTACTTTAAATAAAGCTAATCAACTACTTTTTTCTATTTTCAAAGCTCACTACATATACTGAAGTATGACGCATATTTGCTGAAGCTCAAAGGTGAACTTGTATTTCAGTAGAAATTTCTGATAGACTAAATGAACTGGGGCCAACTTTCATATTCTATAAATGATTTCATGTTTTAGTAATCCATGCTAAGGCTCTCTGCCATCACCATGAATAATCAGGAATTGGCAAAATTGAGAAGGTACTCTTTTCAGTAGATCTAATTATAGTGATAGTAAAGCCTTAATGCTCTTATAAATTCTGAGAAAATGTGAAGGTATTTGAAAGATAAAAAGAGCTTTTTGATAGTATTAGGGACATTCTTGTAGTTAAATGATTAGGAGAAGATTTAAAATATTATTTTTCTTATAATAGGATTGCTATAGCAGCTTATGCCATACTTAGCTAAGTTATTCAATTTTTCTTCTTTTATCCTTTTAGTAAAACCATTCTCACTTTAAACACTATTTGCTTTCAAAGACATGAAGTGTCAATTCATATGTTCTAAGTATTTGGAATTCATTTACCATTCATGAAACAAAAGTCATTTCTTTTCTTTTTAATGAATGCCTCTTAACTTAAACACTTTATATTATATCACATATAACACTGCTGTTCAAACCCCAAAGGGAGCTTTGGAAATATAAAATAATATAAATCGAAGTAAAAAGTAGATAAATGTATCTTTCTGTTCAGTTCAATAAGATGTTTTCAGCAGGTATAGTGGGCCAGTAACTCTACTTGAACTGGCTTCAGAGGTAAATGTGATAGACACAGCCTTGCCTTTATGAATCTTAAAGGTAGTCCATAAATATTATAAATATTACTACACCAGGAAAAGAAAAAGGAGCTATAGCAGTAAACATAGATACCCAATTTAATCTAGATTATTAAAGGAGATTTCCCTCAGGAAGCTGAGTCTCTGCTTATATTTGAAAGATTATGAAAATGATTTAATTTGAGTTAAAGTGTATCCGTACCTTAAAGGGAGAAATCCTTGCAAAGGACCACATGAGGTGGAGAACAAATAGCGAAATGGAAGATACTAAAGAATTGATCAAGAAGATAGTCAGAATAAAGTGGAAGAGTCAAGTTTATACAGGACAGAGGGCACCAGGCCACAAAAACCTTACATATTTTATTAGATATTTGGTACTTTATTTTATAGGCAAAGGGAGGTCATTGGAAAGTTCCCCTCACCCCAGCTTTATTAAGGTTTAACTGACAAATGAAAATTGTATATTTTCACAGTAACTGCAAAGTTATTAAGCCAAGGAATAATGAGATCAAAGTAGTGTTTATGAGATCATTACACAGCAGCCTGGGTAAAAAAGCAAGATCAGAGGCAAATAGCTCTTTTGTTTCTATTGCATTGGTCCAGAAAGAGACAATGTCACTTAACCAGAGTGGTTCCAGTAGTGATCAATAAAACGAGGGGAATTCAAGAAATGAGAATGGGGTAAAATCAACTAGGTTTCATGATGTATTTAATGGGTTAGATGACTTAGTGGAAAATCGTAAGAGTGACTGTAAGGTATTTGGCTTAAACTTTACAGAAAATACTGGTGCCATTTTCTCAGAGAACAGGACATGAAATGTGTTGGAGAAGATAATGAGTAATATGTAAGGCATTATTTAATTTGAGGTGGTTGAAGTAATGCAAATAGATGTTTAGAGAGAAAAAAAACCTGTGTGGTTCAATATTATCCAAGAAAAATGTCATAAACTGTAATTATTCATCACCTTCAAATCATGACCCTAAATTCCAAGGGGTCATAGTACCCTGCTAGACAAACTTATATTATTCCCTTAGTTAACTTCATTTCCAACATCAACAGGATTTTCTTGTAGCATCGCCTCTTATTCAAACTCATATTATTCCCTTAGTTAACTTCATTTCCAACATCAACAGGATTTTCTTGTAGCATCTCCTGTTCCTTCAAGCTCCTTATGAGCTCTGTTTCTGTTACTATCAGCTGATACAGTCATTTGTCTTGAGAAAATAAAAGTTGTCAGAAGGAAACTTTCTCATTTTCCTACCATCAAATCTCCAAACCTATATGTCATGGTACCCATCTTCTCTACCTTTATTTCTATCAAAATAGAATAAAATGTATCCTTCTTCATATCAAATAAAATTATCTGTATTTGAATTAGGAACCCCCACTCTGCTCTCTGAGGTGAAGCTTCCAAGTAGCTACAATTCTTTTAAGATGCTCAAAAACAAAGCAAAACAAAACAAACAACAAAACTATCAATCTCACATGATTCCAATTTTCCCAGTTTTATTCCACTTTCAGGATATGATTTCTTAAATTATTTTCCATATATACATCTGTAGTTCCTCATTCTAAATCACATGATGACTCACTCCACTCCATTGATACCTCTCAATGAAAACTATTTTTGTTGAGATTGCAGTTACTTTCTTGCCGTACTCACTTCTCAGCAATATTTGACATGCCCTCTTTTAGGAAACTCCAGATATTTTCATTACAAAATGCTAGCATAGCCTACAAGTTTCCAAGTAATATTTAAAAACTCTTTAAAGGCAGTCTCCTACCATACTCATTGTCTCCATCCATCTACTTATTTCCTGTATTTGAGAAACTTTTCTTCTGCCTCTGAACACTGTAGGAAAAGCATTCTGGGCCAAAAGACAAGACATGTAAATAAATAAATGTATAATCTTTTTTTTTTTTTGAAAAAGCTTGTAGTCCACGATAAGAGATTTGAATTTAATCTGAAACAATTTGGAAGACACTGAAGATATAATTCGTTTTTTGAGTCCACACTTTCTGTCAAGAACTGTGACAAAACATGTTTGAGTTGTGTGAGGAAAAAAATGTTCTTCACACCCATGAAGATACAAGTGTATTTCATGGGTGGAATAATAAATAATAATAATGAACAAACAATGATAGAGGCAAAATTGATATTTTACATTTTAATCATGATAATATTTAAGAAATAATTATCTAGATAAGTAGTACAATTTATTTAAATACCAATCCAAAATGGTTTATTAAAAATAAACGAAGCTTCTGGAGCAAACTTGTTTCATATGATGTCTGTACATTACCTAAATATCATTTAGAAAACATTATGCCAGTCATTTAAGTTGAGCAAAGAGTAGAAGACAAAAAATGCACCCATATTGACATGTTTCATGAGACTATTGTGACAAACTCCTGGGGGAAAGAAAATTATGTTTAAGAATTATTTCTACCCATGCTTGAAGGCTCGTTTTTTAAATGCAACCATTTCCATAGTATATATGCTAATCTGCAAGAATACATGTTGTTTCCCCACTTATCCTTTAAACCTTTGAGCCATATATTTAGCACCTATTTAGAAATTTGCTGTATAATCTTATGAGAAATTGTTTAAAGATTCTCAAAATTACCAAAAAAAAAAATTAAACTGACAAATTGCATCGATTTTTCGCCATATTTTCAATTAAATTTCTTTTAATGTCTCCAATATATTTTACCCTTAAAGAGCTATTAACCTTGGGATAACTAAGTATATTCACTTCATAATTCAAAGTCAATACTCCAGAAATATGGCCCACCAAGAAAATGTTTTAAAAATATTAATATATATAATAATTACTGTTTTAATACTTTAAAATACTATACTTCTTTCCATTACAATTAAAATATACAGCCATATATGTGTGCGTATATATATATATATATGCATACTATACATATAAAGGAAATTGAGTTAAAAAGGCACAGACTATCGTTGTTTGCAGTGTACAAGATATAATTAACTTTCAAAAGCATTGCTGGCCTTATCTAAGTATGTTTTATTGAGAAAGAAAATCACTATGAACAAGATTTATTCCCATAGCTCTATCATATGTGAATTATCAGAGGATATAAGCTAAGCTAAGTGAATTATATTTATTTAATACATTTTTCAAAATAAGGTACTCAGAAGATAGTTTAGTGTGGGTTTAAAATATGTGTTTGCTAAGAAAAACAAAATGCTATAAGGGAATTAAAACTCAAAACATGTCATATTTTATATAGTATAAATATTATTGCTTATACCAAAATTTAACATTAACAGCATTTTATCTTCATATTTAAAACATTGGAAGTGTAGCCAGAGCAATTAGGCAAGAGAAACAAATAAAAGGCATCCAAATAGGAAAAGAAGTCAAACTACTTCTCTTCACTGACAATGTTATTATGTACTTAGAAAACCCTAGAAACTTCACCAAAAGTCTCCTGGATCTGATAAATGACATCAGTAAACCTTCAGGATGCAAAATCAATGTATAAAAATCAGTAGCATTTCGATATATCCATAACATTCAAGCTGAGAGCCAAATCGAGAATGCCCCATTCACAATAGCCACAAAAAGAATAAAATACCTAGGAATACATTGAACCAAGGAGGTGAAAGATATATACAAGAATAACTACAAAACACTATTGAAAGAAATCGTAGGTGACACAAACAAATGGAAAAACATTCCATACTTATGGATCAGAGGAATCAACATCATTAAAATGCCATACTACGCAAACCAATGTACAGATTCAATACTATTTCTATTAAACTACTGATATCATTTTCACAGAATCAGAAAAAACTTTTCCAAAATTCATATGGAAACAAAATGCGCCCAAATAGCTGAAGTAATCTTAAGCCAAAAGGAACAAAGTGAGTGGCATTACATTACCCAACTTCAAAATACAGTATAAGGTTCCAGTAAGTGAAATAGCACGGTACTGGTAGAAAAACAGACACATAAACGAATGGAACATAATAGAGAATCCAGAATAAAACTGCACACCTACAACCTTTTGATCTTTTACAAAGCCAACAAAAATAAGCAATAGGGGAAAAACTTCCCATTCAATAAATGGTGCTGGGATAGCTGGCTAGCTATATGCAGAAGAATGAAACTAAACCCCTACATTTTACTATGTACAAAAATTAATTCAAGATGAACTAAAGACTTAAATTTCATGTCTCAAACTATAAAAATCCTAGAAGAAAACATTAGGAAACACCATTCTAGACATTGACTTTGAAAAAAAGAATGTATGACTAAGTCTTTACAAGCAATTGTAACAAAAACAAAAATGAAAAGCGGGATCTAAGTAAACTAAAGAGCTTCTGCACAGCAAGAAAAACTATTAGCAAAGTAAACAGACAACCTGCAGAATGAAAAAAAATTGCAAACTATGCATCTGACAAAGATCTAATATCCAGACTCCCTAAGGAACTTAAACAATTAAACAAGCAAAAAAAAAATATATAGCCCCATTAAAAAGCAGGCAAAATACATGAACAAACACTTCTCAAAAGAAAAGATACAGTCAACAAACATGAAAAAAATGCTCTACATCACCAATCGGAGAGATGCAAATCAAAACCACAATGAGATACCATCTCACAATAGTCACTATGGTCATTATTTAAAAGTCAGAAAACAACAGATGATGGTGAGGCTGTGGAGAAAAGGAAATGCTTATACACTGTTGGTTGGAATGTAATTAGTTCATCACTATGGAAAGCAGTTTGGAGATTTCTCAAATAACTGAAAACAGAACTATTACTCAACCCAGTGATTCTATTACTGGGTATATCCAAAAGAAAATAAGTTGTTCTGACAAAAAGATATATGTGTTCATATGATCAGTGCAGTACTAATCAATATCAATGGTGTAGTATTAAATAGCAAAGGCATGAATCAACCTAGGTTTCCACCAATGGTGGACTGGATAAAGAAGATGTGGTACAAGTACCGCATGGAATACTACACAACCATAAAAAAAGAACAAAATCATGTCCTTTGCAGCAACATGGATGTGACTGGAAGCTATTATCCTAAGTGAACTGATGCAGGAACAGAAAACCAAATACAACATATTCTCACTTATAAGTGGGAGCTAAACTTTGTGTACCCATGAACATAAAGATGGCAACAATAGACTCTAGGCACTACTAGAGGGAAGAAGGAGGAAGGAAGTTGAGTCAGGGATGAAAAGCTAACTGTTGGGTACTATGTTCACTACCTGAGTGATGGGATCATGGTATCCCAAATCTCACCATCACGTAATATATCCGTGTACCAACAAACCTGTACATGTAACCCCTGAATCTAAGAGACAATTTGAAATTATTTTTTAAAAATGTCTTCTCAGTATGAAAGTTGTTATTAGGTTAAAACATTGATACAATTAAAATAAATTTAAACTACGAGCTCTAAAATTTGGCAACGTCTCTTGAATAATATCAAACAGAAACAGGAAATAGGTCCTACTTGAGAATCTAGGGTTAACTGGCTAACTAGAATGTAAGTTTAAATGATTGAAAACAATAAGGCTAATTGTAACATTAGAATATTACATAAGAAAAGGACAGGAATACTATTGAAAAATCATTAAATCTCTCAATACAATGTATTTTTAATTTATGCTCACCAAATATTGGCAGAAATTCAAAGATAATATAATATTTATAAATGAAACATAAAATAAATTTGGTTACATATTCATTCATCTACAATATGTAATAAATCAGAATTTCCTGCCATGAACTGTACTGAACATGGAATATACAAATATAATTAAGACATTTTTCTTACCATTGTGTCATTAAATAACTTAGTTGTGTGGCAATCACTTATACATTACCCGTCACATATTTAGAAACACACTAATTGCTTAATGGTGTTTAATATTAACATACACATTTTTAAAAAGTCATTCAAGACAATTTTAATAGCATTCATGTGTGTGATACACACACACACACACACACACACACACACACACACATATATTTAACCAAATTGTGGACCATCAGTAACAGGTATATGTATATGTTGTAATGTGTATATATGTAATATAAATGGTAGTGTGTGTACATATAAATAAAATCATAAATAAAATAAAGCTGTGTAAAGTATTAGAAATTGATTAGGATTATCAATTTCACATTTTTATATTGTTACATCTATATATTTTATAGAAGTGTTTTATCACATAGTATCAATGATTAATTATAATACTAATTTCCTTCCCATAATTCAGAGAAAGAGATTATTACCTCATTTAGTATTCCAAAAATGGCAAAATACTTTTAAATTTGGTAAAAATTTATTATGTACCAGATGTCACTCCCTGTTTTATTTTTAAAATAACAACTTCTATACTCCATTACCAGCAAAGTTAGAAAATTTTAAAATATATTGAAAAATATATATATATATATAGATAGAACAAATTCACCAAATAATCTAGGACAGAAAGTTTGTCATGCTCAAGTGAAGTACATTGATTTGATTGTTATACATTTCTAAACTATTCACTGACAAATAATGTAGCCTCCTAAGATAAAATAGTTAAGCTGAACTAATTTCAGTTTTACAAGTCTAAATGCCAAGGGTATGGAAAAATATTTATGGAAAGACATTCTGTAGTGATGTGATGGTGTATGTCTCCATCTCGACAATGCGGATGTGCTTGACATATAGTAGCTAAACATGAAGCTCATTTTGGCCTAGAATGAACTGACACATGGCTTTTTGACTGCAGACTATCGTAAATCACAATATTACTTTTTGTTTATCTAATTGAACCTCCACTGAAATAAAAGCCACATGATTTCAGCCATTCTTCAAAGGTTTCTAGGAACAATTTGTATAATATAAATACTTATCATAAATAATATAATTCAGGTATCTTTCAAAGCAGAGTTGATTTCCCCTTGATCATTGATTCCTCTATAGCACTAAGTTCTTTTAGATAAATTTACGTTTTTATTTTACTTAAGATGCTAAGCAGTTCTTCTATCCCAAACAAATAAATGTGAATTAGTTAAGAAATAAGAGTACTTCAATAATAGTGTGTATAAGGGTATATATAAAAATGTAAGCTTGTCTATGTGCAAAACATTTTAAGTATTTGGTTACATATTTCCCACTTCATCACAAATTTTAATTAGATAAAGATTTGAGAATTGGAAAGAAGTATTTCTGCTGTCAAAATGAACAGACTTGGAAAGAACACACTAAAAGACTAGGAAAAGTTAGAATAAGCTACGTTTGAATTAAGCATTATGCCTTCTCTACTCTTAAACTTTTATTTCTTCTACTTCATAGAAAAAAGATATCTATCTGAATGAGAGTTCATCTTGACACAAACATACTATTAATGCTTGTTTTATTGTGTCATTTTGGTCTTATGAACAAATGGCACTTTTGAACAGATTTAACAACTTAAATTCTTCATAAAAACAAGAAGCATCCACTGTCAAATGAGTTTAATAAATCCAGTTTCTTGTGAATTTGTACTTTAGAAAAGCAGAAAATTGAATTAAATTAAATTAAATGACTTTTAAATTTTAAGTGATAAAGCTTCTAGCACCTTATTTTACCATGCCTTCAATTAGAGAAAGCATAAAGCCAAAAATGTCAAGGGATGGTTTCTTCACAAAATATTGAGAAAATGCACTCTCACGTTAAGTTTTTAGAGCACCTAAATTTAGCTCCGTGCCTTGCAAATTTTTCAACATATTTTCATGGGTTAATTGGCAAGCCCGAATTTATACCTCTTTTCCATCTTCTCAAGCAAAACTAGCATTTGTAATTATTTTTTAAGTTTAGGGAAAAGCCAGAAAACTATGTTTTTGAGAGTGATTTAACCAAGGGAATTTTTTTGTGAACTTTTCCTTTTATTTATTTATTTTCTTTTATTCTACTTTAAGTTTTAGGGTACATGTGCACAACGTGCAGGTTTGTTACATATGTATACATGTGCCATGTTGGTGTGCTACACCCATTGACTCGTCATTTAACATTAGGTATATCTCCGAATGCTATCCCTCCCTGCTCTGCCCACCCCATAACAGGCCCCAGTGTGTGATGCTCCCCTTCCTGTGTCCATGTGTTGTCATTGTACAATTCCCACCTATGAGTGAGAACATGTGGTGCTTGGTCTTTTGTCCTTGCAATAGTTTGCTGAGAATGATGGTTTCCAGCTTCATCCATTCCCTACAAAGGACATGAACTCATCCTTTTTTATGGCTGCATAGTATTCCATGGTGTATATGTGCCACATTTTCTTAATCCAGTCTATCATTGTTGGACATTTGGGTTGGTTCCCAGTCTTTGCTGTTGTGAATAGTGCCACAATAAACATACGTGTGCATGTGTCTTTATTGCAGAATGATTTATAATCCTTTGGGTATATACCCAGTAATGGGATGGCTGGGTCAAATGGTATTTCTAGTTCTAGATCCCTGAGGAATCGCCACACTGTCTTCCACAATGGTTGAAGCAGTTTACAGTCCCACCAACAGTGTAAAAGTGTTCCTATTTCTCCGCATCCTCTCCAGCACCTGTTGTTTCCTGACTTTTTAATGATCGCCATTCTAACTGATGTGAGATGGTATCTCATTGTGGTTTTGATTTGCATTTCTCTGATGGCCAGTGATGATAAGCATTTTGTCATGTGTCTTTTGGCTGCATAAATGTCTTCTTTTGGCTGCATAAATGTCTTCTTTTGAGAAGTGTCTGTTCATATCCTTCGCCCGCTTGTTGATGGAGTTGTTTGTTTTTTTCTTGTAAATTTGTTTGAGTTCATTGTCGATTCTGGATATTAGCCCTTTGTCAGATGAGTAGATGCAAAAATTTTCTCCCATTCTGTAGGTTGCCTGTTCACTCTGTCTGCTGTGCAGAAGCTCTTTAGTTTAATTAGATCCCATTTGTCAATTTTGGCTTTTGTTGCCATTGCTTTTGGTGTTTGGTGTTTTAGACATGAAGTCCTTGCCCATGCCTATGTCCTGAACGGTATTGCCTAGGTTTTCTTCTAGGGTTTCTATGGTTTTAGGTCTAACATTTAAGTCTTTAATCCATCTTGAATTAATTTTTTTATAAGGTGTAAGGAAGGGATCCAGTTTCAGCTTTCTGCATATGGCTAGTCAGTTTTCCCAGCACCATTTATTAAATAGGGAATCCTTTCCCCATTGCTTGGTTTTGTCAGGTTTGTCAAAGGTCAGATAGTTGTAGATATGTGGCATTATTTCTGAGGGCTCTGTTCTGTTCCATTGGTCTATATCTCTGTTTTGGTACCAGTACCATGCTGTTTTGGTTACTGTAGCCTTGTAGTATAGTTTGAAGTCAGGTAGTGTGATGCCTCCAGCTTTGTTCTTTTGGCTTAGGATTGTCTTGGCAATGCAGGCTCTTTTTTGGTTCCATATGAACTTTAAAGTAGTTTTTTCCAATTCTGTGAAGAAAGCCATTGGTAGCTTAATGGGGATGGCATTGAATCTATAAATTACCTTGGGCAGTATGGCCATTTTCACGATATTGATGCTTCCTACCCATGAGCATGGAATGTTCTTCCATTTGTTTGTAACCTCTTTTATTTCATTGAGCAGTGGTTTGTAGTTCTCCTTGAAGAGGTCCTTCACATCCCTTGTAAGTTGGATTCCTAGGTATTTTATTATCCTTGAAGCAATTGTGAATGGGAGTTCACTCATGATTTTCCTCCCTATTTGTCTGTTATTCGTGTATAAGAATGCTTGTGATTTATGCACATTGATTTTGTATCCTGAGACTGCTGAAGTTGCTTATCAGCTTAAGGAGATTTTGGCTGAGATGATGGGGTTTTATAGATATACAATCGGGAATGTTTTTAAAAAGAGAAATCTGTGGATGAATGGTATCTCACTTGAAACCATGACAAAAATATTAGTATTTGCTTATGATAATACAACATATATTATTTTCTCTAAATTAATAGATACCCAAATTCCCCACTCATAGTTTTTTCTCAATATAGGCAAGCATAATTTTTGTGTACAAGTTGATTCAATATCATGACCCTTAGGCTCTTTTACTTTGTTTCATATAAATATGATGAAAAATATGAACTAAATACTCATGAAATAACCTTATTTCAGCTTTTAGTTTTTCCTTAGTACATGGGCTTTTGTGAGCAATATTTGTGTTAACATGAATGTTTATTGCCTTGATAGGTAGGGTGCACAGTTTAAATATAAGCTGGATGATTTATTCTGTAATTGAAAGAAAAGCTTAATGGCCTGTGTATTTGATTTGAAGTATACATTATTTTAGACTCAAGTAGTGAGATCTGCTTTGATTAATTCATGTCTATACGGTCATAAAATAAGTCCAGCTATGAATCATTGAGTGAGTATGTTGTGGTTAACGCAATAAAACTTCCATTTAGGGACAAAAGCAACCAACACATTGTTATAAAAGGATATGCAAGGTCTTGGCCTTGATTGCTAAGATAGAAGTAATGTTTTCAGTCATGAATATCTCTCCTTGTACTATTGGGCATTGTATCATAGTTCATTAACTCAGAAGAAAATCCTATGTATCTGACAAATTATATTCCCTTTCATAAAATAAAAAAGTACAATTAACTATGTGCTATTTTGGAATAAAGAATAAAACCATTACATGTAGTATAAAAAGCATTCACGATTACATTCTTTCCTTTAAAATCAAGCAACAATTACAACAAAAAGAAACTTATTCCCCAGTTAAGTTAGATAATCATTGCCCAGGTTGTGTATAATTTAATCAAAACATTGACAATGCAGTTTTTTTTAAAAGCATAGATAGCTAGATATAGATAAAGGTTTTCACACTGTAATTTGACTTAAAAACAAAAAGAAGTGTTAAAAAAAACTATCCCTGATTGTGAGAAAGTCTTCTTGGAGTAGCATATCTGTATCTATGAATATAAATATAGTACAGGAAATATAGAGAACGCATTGGGCATACAGTTGCTTTAAACTACTTTTCTTCAAACTGTATGCTGAGAATTAAAATGAATCAAGCCATTTTGCAAATGTTCAGTGCAAATCTATAAAATATTCCTCTTTTGAATTGAAAATCTTTAAATTAGCAAAACCAACTGGCTAATGAAGTTCATTTGGTAAAAGCAGTCATTGATTTGCCATTAATTTTCAGTGTGCAAGTGTCCTACTGGGTCTTAAATTAAACAATTTCAGGTGTCAACATTTAGAGACATACTTCTTTACTTACAGAATAGAAAATTCACGCTCAAAATAACTTGGCAAAGACTGTCCTTTAACAACATATCTTATTTCTAAAAGTTTCAACCAGGTAAACTCTCAAATATATTTCATAGTATTATATATTATTTATCTACATTTAGTTAACTGTTCGACCTGTTTGATACAATTATTACTACAGAAATATTCAATCCCTCCCAGAGTCTATATTTGTGTCCTAGCTATCTGGGGATATCAATTTCAAAACCCGAATGGGTCTTGGCTTTTTTGCAGAAGCCAGAGAGGGAAGAAAAAGGAAGCCAGGAAAACAATAACTCTAAAAGACTGATTATAGGGATGGTTAGAAAACAGTGTCCTGATTTTGTAAGATGAGAACTTAAACTTTACGGTTATATCTTAACCCATATTAGACTATATTGTAAAGCATATTCCTTTTCCATTGTTATTTTATGATTACTAATCTGCCACTATTTATCAGAACATTCACACTTTTGCGACCCTATGACAAAGCAGTAATACCAGTAGCCACATTAATAAAGCAAACTAACATTTATTCAGCATGTTCACTAGGGTCATTCAGTGAGTAAAATTCTACACTGATTCAGATCATTTCATTAGCATAATCAGATCATTTCATTAGCATAATCATCAGATGAAGTGAATAGTAAATTTCGATTTTATAAGTACAATGCTAGACAATATGCCTAAATTCTTAAAAGCACTAAGTGAAAAATCTGAGAGTTCAGGACAGGTGGATCTGGTAACACAGCTAAGCCTTCTTACAAATGTTCTAACCATTGTGGACGACATTTCAAGTCTATTCTATGCAATTTCAGATGATACATACTTCTTTTTTTTTTTTTTTTTTTCGAGATGGAGTTTCACTCTTGTTGCCCAGGTTGGAGTGCAATGGCGAGATCTCCCCCCACTGCAACCTCTGCCTCCCGAGTTCAAGTGATTCTCCTGCCTCAGCCTCCCGAGTAGCTGGTATTACAGGCATATGCCACTACGTCTGGCTAATTTTGTGTTTTTTTTTTTTTTTTAGTAGAGACAGGGTTTCTTCATTTTGGTCAGGCTGGTCTCGAACTCCCAACCTCAGGTGATCAGCCCACCTCGGCCTCCCAAAGTGCTGGGATTACAGGCATGAGCC
Source organism: Homo sapiens (assembly GCF_000001405.40). NCBI lineage: Eukaryota > Metazoa > Chordata > Mammalia > Primates > Hominidae > Homo > Homo sapiens. The sequence goes on from NC_000004.12 coordinate 65,510,332, forward strand.
ACTACGCTCGGTGGATACATACTTCTGTTAGCAAGACTTTAATTTACTAGTTTTTCTTAATTACTATATTCTCCATATGCCTGTTCCTAGCTCTTCCAGTCCATGTAATCACACAGTATCTTCTCTTTTGGTTGTGAACTTTGAGGTCACATAGACTTGAATTCAGTGTTAATAAGTTTACACTGTTTCTATATGACCCTTGACATTTCCTTATCATAAAATAGCACCTCTTTTGTGGAATTTCTGAAAGGTTTTAATCAGAATGTGTATGTGTGTGAGTATAACTGCTGGCAGCAGAAACTAAGCACTCAATAGCCGTTTTAAAACATTAGGATGGTTACTATGATTGATTTGGCAATGGTCATTGAGTTTTAGCTGCCTTGGTGTCTGTCCACTTCAATCCAAAATTGATATCTCACAATCACTGTAGAACTGAAAATAACTGTTGAGGCACTGGCATGTGCCTGACATAGTCCACAAACATGCTAGACTTGTATATGATGCTCAAGTATAGGTAATTCCAAAAAGCTGTATCTCCCAACTTGGTGGCATTTGAAGATGGGTCCTTAGGGAGGTAAATATGATCACATTAGGTCATGAGAGTGGGCTCTTGTGCCTTATAAGAAGAGGATGAGCCCTCAATCAATCAATCAATCTCTCTCTCTCTGTCTCTCCACCTGTATCACTGAAGAATGGCCAGGTGAGGACACAGTGAGAAAGCAGCTGCCTGCAAGCCAGGAAGAGAGCCCACACCAAGAAATGAATGACTGGCACCTTGGTCTTGGACTTTCTAGACTCAGAACTGTGAGAAATAAATTTCTGCTGCTTAAGCCACCCAGCCTGTGGTTATGGCAACCCAAGCTGACTAATGTTACATTACTCAACAAAGTACAGGGTGGAGATGTGGTAAGTAGGGTGTCTGTTTGGTATGGTATCAACTAAGTTATGTCTTTAAAAAATTATCTTTATAAGAGGTCCTTGAACTTTCAATAATATGTTAAGAACACTTTCTAGGCGTGGACTAACTGATCTGTAGTGTTTAAAAAATAAATGAAAGATTATCTGTGTGTGATGACTAGTTGTGATGATGAGTTTTTTTATCTTCAAAATATATGTATAGTAATGGTAAGATTTCATCAATGGGACTACATCAAATATATTTTGTAAACATTAACTTAAGAAGATTTTACCTTATACTGTAAAATACAGTGCATATGTGTATATATGTATGTATATTTGAATTTGACACTCTGAATCCTTTAATATGTGTTTACTCTATAACCCCAATTCTATAAAACTTATAATCATAGAAAGAGGTAACAATTTCAAATGCTCTAAGAAAAGTTTTGTAAATCTTAGCTCACCCTGTGGGTAATTTAAACGACATTTTTTAGGCAATCAGTTATTTTAATTTCATAGAACATCTTTTAATATCTCAGACTAATACTTTGGTTTTTAAGCAATGCCTGCTAGGCTAAAACTTATTTGTATAAGATAATTTATTTCCAAATCCTAGAAAACAAAACACCTTGTAGGTTTCCATGTACATATGTACACTTGGCTGAAATACAGAGTAAAAGAGAGGTGTCCTAGAAAATAACCAGTAGTCAAGTGAAAACATGTGACAATAATTGAAAAAAAATTCCAAAGTTTATTGAGTGCTATGGGCTAGGCATGTGCTATTCAGGAGTATGTGTAAAAGTAAAAAAGACATGTTTGATAAGTGCTATAAGAGGTTTTTAAGAGAATAAGTGAGAGGAATACCCAATGGTGGGGAATGAAAAGAGGGTCATAGTCTGCCTGAATGAAGTGATATCTTTGTTTAAATATGAGGTAAAACATGATCACTTACAGGTGAAGTGTGGACAGGTTGGGTAAAAATGCACCAAATTCATCATTAACCGTAGCTATTATTAAAAATATTTAATATGGCACTAAGCATGACATTGCTAGTGGTCGGTGAGAGTACAGAAAAAATAAAAATAAATAAATATGTCAGGAAATGTAATAATTTTAATAGACACATGATATGGTTTGGATCTGTGCCCCCATTCAAATCTCATGTTCAATTGTAATCCCCAATGTTGGAGGTAGGGCCTGGTGGGAGGCGATTGGATGATGGGGTTGCATCCTTCATGAATGGTGAACCGCCATACTTTTGGTGCTGTTTTTGTGACAGAGTTCTCACAAGATCTGGTTGTCCAAAAGTGTGCAGTACCTCCCCGCTCTGTCTCTCTTGCTGCTATGGCCATCTGAAGTGCCGGCTTCTCCTTCACGGTCTACCATGATTGTAAGTTTTCTGAGGACCCCTAGAGGCCCAGCAGAAGCCAATAGGGCTTCCTGTAAAACTTGCAGAACCATGAGTCAATTAAGCCTCTTTCTTTTGTAAATTTACCCAGTCTCAGGTGTTATAGAAGTGCCAGACAGACTAATACAACATTTTAAATACAAAGGCCGTTGTGTTTCATACCGATCTCATGGCGAACCATTAAACACCAAGATATCATCAACATGAAATGTAAATGAATACACCTAACTGTCAAAATATCTATTATACATGCCAATATTAAAACAATCTGCTGGCAAAATCTGGAAAAAAAAAACACTTTTAAAAGCCAGATGCGTGATGGCTTTACTAGAATTGAAAGTCTGTTGTCCTATGATTAAGCATGCCATGCAGATTTGGCTCTGAGCCTGTAGAGAAAGAGGGAATCTCAAATTATTATGTGGTTTGGACAATTGAAGTAATTTGTGGTTAGGAAATATGGCATTTGGGAGAAGTTACTCTGATGATTTATGTCATATGTGTTTGCTCTACCCACATTTTAGGACCTTAAAGTAATAAAAAGTTATAAATGTGGTTCTTGAGAAGCAACTAAATATTCTTGATAGATTTTCATTTATGTAAGCACACAGATAGTATAATAGCAAGTTTTTGTTTTTTCTATATTTTTCCTTAGCTCTATTGAGTGTTTAAAGCTGAAAATTATTCCTAATTCTGATGACTCATATTTTATAGTGTAGTATTTCAAAAGATTTGGGGTTTTTTTGTTTGTTTTGTTTTGTTTTTTCTGAGTTGGAGTCTCGCTCTGTCGCCCAGGCTGGAGTGCAGTGACGCAATCTTGGCTCACTTCAACCTCCGTCGCCCAGGTTCAAGCAACTCTCCTGCCTCAGCCTCCCGAGTAGCTGAGATTATAGTCACGTGCCACCACGCCCGACTAATTTTTGTGATCTCAGTAGAGAGGGGGGTTTTACCATGTTGGCCAGGCTGGTCTCCAAATCTTGACCTTGTGATCCGCCTGCCTCTGCCTCCCAAAGTGCTGGGATTGCAGGCATGAGCCACTGCGCCCAGCCTCAAAAGATTTCTAAGTACTTCTAAATCTTTCACTTTTTTTGTGTTTTTAAAGTCTTCTGAAGTTCTACCATTTTTTATATTTATCTTATTTAAAAAAACGTCAATACTTGAAATTTATTGTCTATTATATGCCGGCCTTGTCCTAGGGCTTTTTAACGTTTTTACACTTAACCTCCCATGTTATCCCTTACCTATTGAATCTTCCTCTTTGTATAACTTTGTACAGTCCTTTGTTTTTGAATCCACCTGTCTCACTTCCAAAACTGCTAAAAACCTACTCTAGTGACTGTTCTTCTACTTAAAACTATCAGTAAATTCTTCTTTATCTATAATCTTTTTTTCATATTCTCTTTACCTTTTTGCACAAACAAACATATGGCTTTGTCCTGATGACACTAACTGTGCAGTAGTAGCTGTTCTCTCCCATGCTTGCTATAATGGGGTTCTGCATAGGATAGGTCTCCCCTTTGCTCCTTATTGCACCTTCCAGACCATGCTCCTGACAGTAGATTTTATTTCCCACTGTGGCTGCCACAGATATTCCATTCCACATTCTTTTCTTGCAATCTGATGTTGACATTCTTCTCATCATTAGGTGAGATCCTCTGTCCCCTGAATCTGGCCATGCCTGCGATTAGAGCAGAATTGAGAGTATGCAACTCCATGTAAAAAGTAATACAATTTCTGCCTAAATTCCTTGTGACTTGTTCATCAGCATCTTGAAGATACTCAAGAGGCCACATGAAGAGCTACATGTAGGTATTCTAGCTTACAGTCTACAGCCCCAGCTAAGGCCCCGACCAACAATTAGAATGAACCTACAGACATGTTAGTGAATCTTGAGAGTATTCCAGCCCCTAGACTTTGAGTTGCCTCAGCTGACACCTTGTGGAACAGAAATGAGCTTTTCAATCTAGGCCTTGTCTAAATGGCAGATTTGTAATCAAAATTACTGAGTTCAGTGGTTTTCATCAACTGCATTTTTAAAGGTTTGTTATACAGCAATAATAACAGAACACTCCCATTTTTCTCCCTAAAATGCTCGTCATCAAATCTCATGCCATCAAACTATATAACCAATTCAATTCCTTGATGCTCCCCTTCACTCCTCTAATACTTTAACTCCTGGCTATTCCTGCAATAATTCTTGGTAATTAAAGTGTGCATGAACACAAGCCTTCCACAACACCTAGGCCCTTGACCTCAACTCCAATAATCATCCTATCCCTTTCCTACCTCAGCCAATATTTCCTGTAATGAAACAATAATTCCTATAATCAAATCAAACGTTGTGATTATCAATAGCTGCAAACTCCACAATCTCAATTTTAGACATCCCATTCTCCAACTTCCACCTATTTATAATCCTCTTTTACTTCCTCTAGTGCCCTGACTCTACCAACTTGTCAACTCTCCATGTTCCCTAAAATCCATTTCTCCTGCCAACTTTACACTGTCCCTTTCCATGCTAATAGACTTGATTAAACATATTCAACTGTCTTTACACCTCTGTCACTTTATCTATTACTTAAAGCTATAATTACTAGCTTTAAACAAATCTTGTATTCAGGTAGTAGAAATCCACCTACATTGTTGTTTTCTTTTTTAAAAAAAACAACAACATTGCTTTGGCTCATCCAGTTCATTTGCATTTCCATTTGAATTGCAAAACCAGCTTACCAATTCTACGAATGAAGTCTGTTAAAATTTTAACTCTGGTTGTATTATACCCATATATAAATTTCAGGACAACAAGTATCTTAAAATGAATCTTCCAATCTATTAAGAAGATACATGACTCCTCTATTTTATTTCTCTCAACAATATTCTGTAGTTTCCAGTGACAAGATCTTACACATCTTTTGTTGAACTTGTACCTAAGTATTTTATGGTTTTTTGTGAAAATTTATAGGATTTTTAAAAATTTTATCTTCTAATAACTTGCAGTTAGTATATAGAAACACAATCTATTTTGTTATATTATACTTACATTTGCAAACTCGTGATGGTTAATTTTACTTGTCAATTTAACTGGGCTAAGGGATGCTGAGATAGCTGGTAAAACATTACTTATGAGTGTGTCTGTGAGGGTGTTTCCAGAAGAGATTAGCATCTGAATAGACAGACTGAGAAAAGCATCACCCTTGCCAATGTGGCTAGACGTCATCCAGTCCTTTGAGGCTCTGAATAGAACAAAAAGGAGGAGAAAGGGAGAATTCAATATCTCTTCTTGAACTAGGACATCCATCTTCTCCTGCCCTTGGACATCAGAGCTCTTTGTTCTCAGGCCTTTGGACTTGGAGTACTGAATTATACCACTGGCTTCCTGGTTCTCCACCATGCTTACAGCAGATCTTGGGACTTCTCAGCCTTCATCATCACATGAGATATTTCCATTATATAACACACATAAGTAGTTGATCCTTGAACAATGTGGGGGTTGAGGCATCGACCAGCATACAGTCTAAAATCGACCTATAACTTTTGACTCCCCCAAAACTTAACTACTAACAGTCTACTGTTCACTGGAAGCCTTACCAATAACATAAATAGTTGTTTAACACATGTTTTGTATGTTATATGTATTATATACTCGATTCTTACAGTAGCATAAGCTAGATAAATGAAAATGTTATTAAAATCATAAGGAATTTACTGTTCATTAAATGGAAGTGGATAATCAGAGAAATCTTCATCGTTGCTCTCCTGATGTTGAGTAGGCTGAGAAGGATGAAGAGGAGGAAGAGGAGGAAGAGGAGAATGTTGCCTGGCTATTTTAGGAACAGCAGAGGCAGTAGAAGCTCCAAGTATAAATTTATCTGTGCTTTTAAAACCCTTGTCCAAGGGTCAACTCTGTGTGTGTGTGTGTGTTTGTGTGGGCATGCGCGCGTGCATATGTCTGTGTGTCTGTGTTTCCTACTGGTTCTGTTTTTCTGGAGAACACTGAATAATACACTTATTAAAGTCAGTTATTAATTTTGGTTATTCTTTTGCATATATATTCTATAAGACGCAATCTTCAAAAGAGAAAATTTTCTTCCTTTTAAATCTATTTGCCTTTTATTTCTCTTTCTTGCCTTATTACAATGTCTTTTAGACTCCATACAATGTTGACTAGAAGTGGTATTGTTGATTTCAAACTTAATCCCATTGTGGTCAGAAGTTACACAGTATGACAACAATTGTTAATAATTTATTGAGACTAACCAGACAGCACAGCATGTGGTTTATTTTGATCTACACTTGTAAAGAATGTGTAGTGTTTGTGTGGTATTTTATAAATGTCAATTAGGTCCCATTGGCTTATAATATTGCTCAGATCTATATTTGTACTGATTTCCTATTTACTTGTTGTATCAATTACTTAGAGAAGTGTGTTAAATTTTTCCTATTATATTGTAAATTTATCTATTTCTTCATTAATTCTGTCACATTTTACTTCATGTATTTAGGGACTTTTTAAATGTACATATTTATAATTGCTAATGACTTTCTGAGGAGTTAACTATTTTATCACTTTGAAACATAATACTTTATTTTAACTGATACTCCTTGTTCTGTAATCTATCTTTATCCAATATTAATAACTGCCAACAGAGCCTTCTTATGCTTGCTTCCTTTTTGCTTGGTATGTTTTTATTCATTTTATGTTTTCAACCCATCTGTGTCTTTATATTTAAAATATGTTTCTTATAAACAGAATAGTAATAATTTATTCAGAATATTCATTTATTTTGAGTAACTTTTATTCAGAATAAATTTGAGTTTTGATTTCTTATTGTACTCTAATGATCTGCACCTTTTAATTGTAGAATTAAGCCAGTTATCATGTAATGTAATTATTGATATAGTTGGATTTAAATTTACTATTATATTGTCTGTTTTTTCACCCTCTGTTTCTTTGCCGTTTATTCCCCTTTTCTTCTTCATTGTGGAATACTGAATAATTTTCATATTCAGCTTTAATCTTGTCTTCCTAGCTCTTCTTTGTACTTTTTAGCTAGCATTTAGAAAATTACTGATATGTTATTCTTCAGGTGGAAAACGTTTTCTTTTTGCCTATACCTCACATTTATTCAAGTTGAATCTATAATTTTGTATTAGCAATGATACAAAAATGTAGCCCTTTCCAAAAAAGTTTTTCAAAGTTTAACAGACAATGTATTTAAAACTAGACAACATTCTATATAATTTATAAACAGCATTAAAGATTCTACTTTTAGTATTACATCTACTAAATTTACATTAAAATGTTTAACACCTCAAAATAATAAGATTTGTAAGCAAACTCATATTAAAAGATTAATTTTTGAGTTTTAGAAATAATATGCTCTTACAAAGTTAAGTGATAGTTAATTTTCTGTCTTACAAATCAGACTAGAGAACACAAAGGACATTTTACATCAGTTTTATTTAAAAGTTTGAAGAACTAATTATTTCACCTTTGAAAAGCTGTGACATTTCAAACTTAATGTTTGACTTTTTTGGTCATGATATAAATGCCATTTATTATTTAAGGAGAGTAAATTCATATTTGTTTAAATTAAAATTTTTTCTTACTTTTATTATCTTTTTCTTTATTATCTCTTTCTATACAATTAAGATGATTTTAAGATGTCTTACGTATTATCTTATAATGTGTAAATTAGAGCCCCCAAATCACAAATGTATTAGCTTTTATGTTTCATTTTGCCATATTTTTGTTTGTTTGTAAATACATGTACTTATATTCACACACACACACACACCCACACACACACAGTCTCTATATTTCCATATTCCTGTTTCAAATTTAGTACTTTAATCTCCAAACTTTGCAATCACCAACTACATCCAAATTGGGCAGTATAAACATTGACTGAACAATCTCTGGATATAACAGAAACAAAAGGCAAAATCTGGTTTTAACTAGCCTAGTTTGACATGCATAGATTAAATTTATCATTATGTTCTTACGTCAGATGTACCCTAGGACAGGAAATGTACCCTTTAAATAGGTAAGTTGGCAAAGCTTCTGAAGAGGGGATACATTTCAGGTATTTTTGAAAATAAGAGCAAAGGATACAAGACTAAACCAGGAAGAAGTTGAATCCCTGAGTACAACAATAACAGGCTCTGAAATTGAGGCAATAATTAATAGCCTACCAACCAAAAAAAGTCTAGGACCAGACAGATTCACAGCAGAATTCTACCAGAGGTACGAGGAGGAGCTGGTATCATTCCTTCTGAAACTATTCCAACCAATAGAAAAAGAGGGAATCCTCCCTAACTCATTTTATGAGGCCAGCATCATCCTGATACCAAAGCCTGGCAGAGACACAACCAAAAAAGAGAATTTTAGACCAATATCCTTGATGAACATGGATGCAAAAATCCTCAATAAAATTCTGGCAAACTGAATCCAGCAGCACATCAAAAAGCTTATCCACCATGATCAAGTGGGCTTCATCCCTGGGATGCAAGACTGGTTCAACATCAATAATGTAAATGCAAATAATAAATATAAATATAAAAAATAAATGTAAATGCAAATAAATAATGCAAATCAATAACTGTAAACCAGCATATAAACAGAACCAAAGACAAAAACCACATGATTACCTCAATAGATGAAGAAAAGGCCTTTGACAAAATTCAGCAGCCCTTCATGCCAAAAACTCTCAATAAATTAGGTATTGATAGGATGTATCTCAAAATAATAAGAGCTATCTATGATAAACCCACAGCCAATATCATACTGAAAGGGCAAAAACGGGAAGCATTTCCTTTGAAAACTGGCACAAGACAGGGATGCCCTCTCTCACCACTCCTCTTCAACATAGTGTTGGAAGTTCTGGCCAGGGCAATTAGGCAGGAGAAGGAAATAAAGGGTATTCAATTAGGAAAGAGGAAGTCAAATTGTCCCTGTTTGCAGATGACATGTTTGTATATTTACAAAACCCCATCGTCTCAGCCCAAAATCTCCTTAAGCTGATAAGCAACTTCAGCAAAGTCTCAGGATACAAAATCAATGTGCAAAAATCACAAGCATTCTTATACAGCAATAACAGACAAACAGAGAGCAAAATCATGAGTGAATGTCCATTCACCATTGCTTCAAAGAGAATAAAATCCCTAGGAATCCAACTTACAAGTGATGTGAAGGACCTCTTCAAGGAGAACTACAAACCACTGCTCAAAAAAATAAAAGAGGACACAAACAAATGGAAGAACATTCCATGCTCATGGATACGAAGAATCAGTATTGTGAAAATGGCCATACTGCCCAAAGTAATTTATAGATTTAATGCCATCCCCATCAAGCTACCAATGACTTTCTTCACAGAATTGGAAAAAACTACTTTAAAGTTCATATGGAACCAAAAAAGAGCCTGCATTGCCAAGACAATCCTAAGCCAAAAGAACAAAGCTGAAGGTATCACACTATCTGACTTCAAATTATACTACAAGGCTACAGTAACCAAAACAGCATGGTACTGGTACCAACACAGAGATATAGACCAATGGAACAAAACAGAGCCCTCAGAAATAATACCACACATCTACAACCATCTGATCTTTGACAAACCTGACAAAAACAAGCAATGGGGAAAGGATTCCCTATTCAATAAATGGTGCTGGGAAAACTGCCTAGCCATATGTCGAAAGCTGAAACTGGATCCCTTCCTTACACCTTATACAAAAATTAATTCAAGATGGATTAAAGACTTAAATATTAGACTAAAACCATAAAAACCCTAGAAGAAAACCTAAGCAATACCATTCAGGTCATGGTCATGGGCAAGGACTTCATGTCTAAAACACCAAAAGCAATGGCAACAAAAGCCAAAATGGACGAATGGGATCTAATTAAACTAAAGAGCTTCTGCACAGCAAAAGAAACTACCATCAGAGTGAACAGGCAACCTACAGAATGGGAGAAAATTTTTGCAATCTACTCATCTGAGAAAGGACTAATATCCAGAATCTACAAAGAACTCAAACAAATTTACAAGAAAAAAAACAACCCCATCAAAAATTGGGTGAAGGATGTGAACAGACACTTCTCAAAAGAAGACATTTATGCAGCCAAAAGACATATGAAAAAATGCTCATCATCACTGGCCATCAGAGAAATGCAAATCAAAACCACAATGAGATACCATCTCACACTAGTTAGAATTGCAATCATTAAAAAGTCAGGAAATAACAGGTGCTGGAGAGGATGTGGAGAAATAGGAACACTTTTACACTGTTGGTAGGACTGTAAACTGCTTCAACCATTGTGGAAGACAGTTTGGCGATTCCTCAAGGATCTAGAACTAGAAACACCATTTGACCCAGCCATCTCATTACAGAGTATATACCCAAAAGATTATAAATCATGCTGCTATAAAGACACATGCACATGTATGTTTATTGCGGCACTATTCACAATAGCAAAGACTGGGAACCAACCCAAATGTCCATCAATGATAGGCTGAATTAAGAAAATATGGCACATATACACCATGGAATACTATGCAGCCATAAAAAATGATGAGTTCATGTCCTTTGTAGGGAATAGATGAAGCTGGAAACCATCATTCTCAGCAAACTATCACAGGGACAAAAAACCAAACACAGCATGTTCTCACTCATAGGTGGGAATTGAACAATGAGAACCCTTGGACACAGGAAGGGGAACATCACACACCAGAGCCTGTCTTGAGGTCGGGGGAGTGGGGAGGGATAGCATTAGGAAATATACCTAATGTAAATGATGAGTTAATGGGTGTAGCACACCAACATGGCACATGTATACATATGTAACAAACCCTCACATTGTCCACATGTACCCTAGAACTTAAGGTATAATAAAAAAAAGCAAAGGTTAAAATCTGTTATGTAAAAGTTTTTATTTTATAATTTAGATCCTACTATGCTTTTTTCTAATATTTACGTCTACTTTTTAATTTTGGGGGGTATCCAAATTTCTATTAGAATTGAAGTATGCTGAGCTTGGGAAGCAAGCATTATAGAAATGCCAAACCTAAACTACTCTGGTCCTAATCATTTGAGTCAGTGTTGCTGAAATATGCCCAATAAGGAAGCAAAAGCAAGCCTTTCCTTTCCTTTTCTTTGTGTAATCCAGCTACCATTCCCACCCTGACAAATCCATTTCCCATTGCCTTACATAAACATGTTATAAAGTAGGTGCCTGCAGCAAGTTCAGCAGCAGCTGTTCGGCCCACTGTCTGTGCTTCTCAGATTTAGAGCTGCCAGAGCCTGATTTGTTAAGCTTTGATTCTGAAAATCATTATGTAACTTAACTTTTCCCTTCACTTTACATTTCATAGTCTATCTAAAAATTCTTTATAGTTAACATACAGTGATGACACTCAAAAACCCATCTTGGATCTTTAGCCGACAGAAAAAAAACTAAGATCTCACTGATTAAAATATGCCAGAAGTGTTGGAAAGTCTAAGGTCTGTCCTGTCATGGCCTGTATGTATTTTGTATCTTTCAAGGAGGCTTTGGGTCTTTTGTGTCCTAATTCCTTAAGATTACAAGATGGGGATTTCCTGCTTCTTCCCTAGTCTGTTGAATTCTTTTAGGCAATTGATCATTGTAAATGAACTTTAGAAATATGTGTGTGTATATATATATGTATATATATATATATATAAAATCAACAGTTGCACCTGACTTACTCAAAGTCAACTTCTTGGGTTTTTCTCATTTTCATCTATCTTTCATACTGGCGAGGAAAAGAATTTTGTGCACTCACATATAATTAAAAAAGCAATCCTGACCCTTCTTCAAACCTAGTCGGCCACACACAATTAGTTATCTGGAGTACTGAGACTTACAAGGTGATTGCTTATTAACATATAATCTGAAGTCTGTGGTTAGTAGTGAGGAACAGGTTTATAGTGTCACCCAGCTCATACAATATTTACACTGCAGAGACCTCTGCGCTTTCTTAACATAAATGTATGAATGACAGATTTTTAGTTAGTGTAACAGAAACAGCAGAGGAGCTGTTTAGTTCATGATTGATTTATAGCTGTTCATATCACCCCATCGTCATCTACTCGGAAGGCTGGGCATTCATTTGTGATCTGTCCTTCATGAGCTCTTCACTTCTATTTCCTATTCATCCAATTTACTACAGTTAAAATGGTTCAATATCACTTATACAACAGGCCAAATGTGATGGTCTCCTATTACACGTTTTATTTTAAATCACTCACTCACTCACTGTAAGTGATACCATGGGAATTGAGAATGTTATCAAGGGATTCTAAAAAGCATGATCAACAAAAAAGAGGTGGTGAAAGGTACAAAGAAAAATCATCGTCAAATGGCTGCTAATATAGGATCAGTCAGTGGAATTAATTTTTTCATGCTCTATTTTCTCCGTTCTTAATACTCAGTCACACAGCACTGGTGGTTAGACCAAAACGATATATATTATTTAATGTATGTTTAATATGCTATGTCATATATTCATATATTACATATTTTAACATTTAGTTAGAATCTAATACAGCATATTCTATTACATATTGCCAGAAGCCCATGAAAGTAATAAATATCACATAAAACAACTTTGAGTGTTTTTCCTTTGCTCCGTGCTTCTTTAAGTAAAGTGATTTCTAATGCTGACTTGGTGCTTAGGCTTTGAAGCAGAAGACTATAACAACAAAGATCAGTACTTTTTCACTCGGTTTGATATTTCATCTCTCTTTGCTAATGTAATGAAGAGAATCTGGTTAATTTTTCCATAGTTCTTTGGCTATCAGCCATCGTAAACTCAATGTGACAAAATATCCAGTTAGCTGGTACAAAAGACAGGTTCTGAGAGGAAGAATGTTGCTTTGCCACTTGATGAAAAACTTTTTATAACCAAACATGCAAAGTGGAAGACAGTTTTAAATTGAGTTTGCAAATCTGATGTTCTATGGTATTTTCCTTTATAGAATCTCTCACATATCAGAAACCAGGAACTATCAGTGAAGAAGACAGACTTTACACAGATAATAAAAAGTACATTTCAAATAGCTTTGGTGAGTTTTCAGAGTCCTCTTGATTTTTTTAGTTGCTTCTAGCATCTCCTGAGTAAAAGACTACTGACTAAGAGATTTGAATACATAGGATGCCTAAAGGCACGGTTTCAGGTTCAAAGGATTTCTTCTTCCAACTTAGAACAAAGAAGGGACGAAATGGTGGATACTCCACTTTCATATCACAAGAGTGAAGGTTATTAAGCCAGGTCCATAAAAGCTCTTTGAAAGCTTAGATGTAAATATCAAATGATGAAAATCCTAGAAGTAATTCAAAACAATGAACTAGAAGAACGACTTGGTCTCTCCTTCCAAGCAGTTGAAAATATGTAAAAATTTTACTAATGGCAACATTGCTTCACCATATACTTCATTATATTTTTTCTTTTACTATATTCCTGATTGGCTACAGTTATTAAGTAATCAAACAAGAGGAATGAGATTTTTACAGAGAATTTAGAGCACTATAATGTAAACATGTATGGGTACAATTTTTTAAAAGGTATACTGTTTCAAAGTGACCGAATAAAGGGAGAATAAGTCTATAGACAAAGTCTACAAAGTAAAAAAGATACTGTGCTTTGTCTAACTAGCCAGAGATGACTATGTAGACAAAAATGTGTTTCTTCCAAATTGTTCATATAATATCCTTTATTGTTGCCTTATATTTTTATACTCTAACAAACACATTCTTATGCTCTTCATAGTCTGTACATTTACATACCAACTTACATATCACATTGTTTAGTTCTTATCAATATTCTATGTTTTCTCTCTCCAAACTATAAGTTCCTAGAAGACCAGATTAATGTTGGATGGTATTCCAACATCCCTGTTTAGAAACAGAAAAATATAACTTAAATTAGTCAAATGAAGTATTATTAAATAACTCCTAGAGAAAGGAAGTATTATTAAATAGCTTCTAGATGAAGGAAGTTAAATATTTGCAAGTGCATACATAGCACACTTTATGATTTTTATAAACTGTGCCATTTCAGTACGTTTAAATTTTGAATAAAATCCTGGACATTTCCCATATGAATGAAGAAGTTTTTAGAGTACTGACACCAATAATTTTTCCAAGAAAAATAACAGATTGTATGGCAGCTGAAACCTGAGTATATAAGTAAATATGGCAGATCTAGTAGTTGTTTCTACAAACCAAAGGATGGGCTCCTGAGTTTTGTGTTTACAAGTATCTCATCCTTCAAAGAAAGATCTGCTCTGTTCCATAATGACACGTATCATTAAAAAGTCACATCTTTTTGTGAGTCAGTGTCTGATTGTTTTCCTTTCTTAGAAATATCTACCATATTCTATCATCTTTTAAATTTCATGTATAGTCTTATGGTGTATATCTCATGCCTTAAGAAAACCCTGTATTTGAAGGTAATAACAGATATATTAAAACTTATAATTCTTCAATTTTCCATCTACTGAAAGATTATTAACTATTAACTAGTTATCTCTTTTTAATAATATTAAAAGCTATATTAAAGGAGTGGCATTTGGCAGGAAATACTATAATTTATTTTTAAAGTTCCCTCTATGACTGTTGCTATAAAAGAGAAATAATTTAATATAATTTCATTCATTCATTCACAAGTCTTTAATTATTTTGTCCCAGGACCATGAAATGATAACAAAATTTTTAAAGACAGATTTAAATTTTATCATGAATCTAATATATAGCCTTTTATATATGAGGCTGGAACATTTTCATACAATGTATTTTTTTCCCCTGTCTACAGTGGGGATCAATGTTTGCTACAAGTCTCTTCCTGCTCTTAAATTGTACAGATACACATCTGCGGCCCATTTAAGTAACCTACTGCACCCATTGGAACCATTGGAAAGCTATTTACTAGACTCAAAAGAGCAGTGATTTCTGCCTTAAAGTGTTCACATTTAAACCAACAGACTTTCTCAAATGAAAAACATAAAGAAATAAAAACACAAGAACCTTACTGAAAACAAAGACTCATCATTTTCTCAAAGAAAAGCCCCCTGGCATGAATAAACCATGAATGTACAGATCTAGGAGTGGTATAAGAATAACAAAATTTATAGCTTATCAAATGTTTCTATTTCTTTCCTTCAAACAAGTACCATGGGATTTTTTCAGAATCTGTATTTCTGTTTCTCAAACAATGAACAAAGACTTTTAAAAATCTTTTGGTAGGGGTCGCTGTCTCAGGCGCTGATTATAAAGAGATGAACATTTCCTTTAATGATTCTGTCAGTTACTTAGCCCAAATTACACTCTCTGAATAACAGTTTCCTTGCTGTCAATTTCATCTTATGATTGAAATAAATCCTATCAGTATTTAGCCCAATACCGGGCACATGTTATTCAATTGATGGTAGGTATTACTGTTTTGCATATATCAAATATTGTTTTCAATGTTTCATTTATCAAATCAGATAAATTGATGTCTGTTGGGACAATTCTAATAGTAAAAAGGGTCACTATTGATACTACATGGATATAAAGGGAAAGGACTATAATTGTCCCAGACTTTTCAGTACATATGATTGACATAACGTGACTATGCCAAATACCAGGAACCCAAAAAGCAACAAGACAGAGTATCCAACCACAAATAGTTCAAGGTCTAGAATCCTTTTATGCTGGCTATAATTAAATTGCAAGAGGCACAAAACATTGTGTGAAAATGTTCCAGCCTCATATATAAAAGGCTATATATTAGGCTCATGATAAAATTTAAATCTGTCTTTACAAAAAATTAAAAATTTGATTTCATTGAATTATCATGGTCTCAAAATAGTTTTATTTCTTGTGTTTTATCAGATATTTTTTATTTCATAGGTTTAGAATATTAGGGTGTAAAATAAGATAAGTTAATGGCCAAGCAATTTCCTATTTAGTAAATTTCCATTGTTTGTTATAGTAAGTATCTACATGAGCTCAAATCATTTAGAGCAATAAATTAAGCCTGATCTCTGACATCAACTTAAGGTCACCAAAATGTCATGAGAGCCAAACTTTGCATATGTGTAGATTATATCACTCATATAACAACTGCATGGAATGGCTACAAGGTTTCTACAGTCTCACGTCTACCTTCTTAGAAAACTGCAGCATCTCCCTCATTTTCTTCCTTTTTATCTGCTTTTTTATTTTCAATAAAAGGCAATTGATCTTAGTGATAAATTTCCAAATCACATTAACAGAAATTTTAGAAAATAAAAAAATCTAATGCTACTAAACATAAAAGAGATCCTCATTCTTTCCTCTAAATGGGTAAGTGTAAATGTAGTTACCATTTCAAATAAATCAGACTAAAAATCATTTAAAATATTCATATTGCCCAGTGTTTGTGGAAAAGTGATAAAAAGAGAATTTGTATATAGTGCTTAGGACAAACACACTTTGGGAAGACATTTGGCAGTATCTGCCTAAATTTTACCTTTCTGCATATTTACTATACTAACATTCACATATATGTTGAGCCATATATTAAAATGCTTATTGTGTTATTACTTGCAATAGCGAAAAAATTAGAAAGAACCTATAATAGAATACTACATTGCAATGAAATTAAATTAGTTCTACATTCACCAAAGTGACAAACGATGAAAAATAATGCTGACAGTAAAAGTTGTCAAGTTATACGTGAAATATTTGTCAATTCCATAAAGTTTGAAACCAACAAAACAATAATATGTTCTGAATTAGCGATAGACACACACAGAGCAAATACATGGAGTACAAAAAGTCATAACTTCAGGATAATGTTTACGTTTGGAAAGGTTTATGACAGAATAAGAAGTAGAGTCTCTACTTTTAAAATGCAAGAAGAATGAAAAATGTCTTAAGCATTTCTTTTTTAAATTAGATCTATATTTTCAACCACTAACTCCTATGATTTGGTAGAAAAATCTGAGCATAATAACTGCCGGCTACTGGAACATACTAGGAAGTAAAGTTCTGGGTATCTTTATTAATATTATTTTTTAACTTTTATTTTAAGTGCAGGGGTTCAAGTGCAGGTTTGTTACACAGGTAAACTTGTGTCATGGAGGGCTATCGTACAGGTCATTTCATCACTTAGGTATTAAGCCCGGTGTCCACTAATTGTTTTTCCTGATTCTCTCCCTCCTCCCATTCTCCACTCTCCGAAAGGCCCCAGTGAGTGTTGTTCCCCTCTACGTGTCCGTTTGTTCTCATCATTTAGCTCCCACTTATAAGTGAGAACATGCAGTATTTGGTTTTCTGATCCAGTGGTAGTTTGCTAAGGATAAACATTTTGGTTAAATAAATGAATATTTAAGAGTTTAATATTACCAGACATTTTGTTTTATTATAGGGCTGGAATTTTAAAGTATGGTCAGCTTGAAATAAAATCTATCAACAATTTGACCAGAAAATGTTAGATAACAAAATGTTTCCTAACCCATTTCTTACATAATGAGAGAGAAAAAGCTTGCTGTAGATGTTTGCAAAATATAATTATAAAAGGGGAACTCAGCTAAGCATCACACGTCGGCAAAACCATAGGTGCTCTGAGTCAAAACATCACAGAAGAAATGAGCACCTTCTAAATGTAGCCTAACAAATCTAAAATTAAACTGAAATATAATGTGCCTTAATTTAAGTAATATTTTTTGCAAAGACAAAAATATGTTTCTTAAAGAGTGTAGTGTTTCCACTGAAGTACATTTTGTGCACTCAAGAAATATATTTAATTCGCTTCTTCCTCCGCCCTCCTCCTATCCTTAAGAGAAAAAAAAAGTCGTTAGTTTTCCCTGTTGCTTAAAAAAATCCGTAGAGAATTCAATGTGTACAGGCACTTGTTTATTAAAATCCATCTTTTATTGTTTAATTCACGAATTTCCAAGAGGGAAATACGTAGTTCAAGATATCCAGTGATTTGCATACTATGTACTTGTCAACAAATAGGTAGAGTTGAGATTACTTTCATTTCCCTTTGTTTCATGTTATTTTTTTTCCAACTTTGGTTAAATCTGAATTTTAATTCTGCTCACATTCTGCCATTCCTAGGAAAGTGGCCTGAAGCGGACAGCAAGAGGAGTGCACTAAATCGAGCACTTAAATCACTTCTTTCCCCGTTCCATAACCAATTTAAAGACCATTCTGGCATTAATGCTCGGAAATAATATACTGTCAAGGCTGACACAGCAGAAGGACTCTACTTCAAATTATAGGATAGTCCAGGTGACCATGCAATTACAATTAACCCACTGCCCACAATGTCAGTGATAAACAGCTATGCAAGTCATGGTCTAGGAAAGCACTGAGGTAATATTGAAGTTATTTCTGAGGTTTTAGAGTGTTTAAAAACTATGTTCAATTAAAACATCTCACAGTTTCAAAAATTGGTTGCATAGTGAATGTAATAAATTTTCTTTTAAAACAACTATAGTATAAGACATAATAAACGCAATTCAAAGAATATCAGATATACAATTGGTGCTCAAGAAACTTTTATGAAAAAAAATAAAAGAATACAAGCACATTTGCAAAAATCCACAATCTTTCAAATCCCCAAACAGTGGTCTAATGTTTGGAATGGCTTCTCAAAGCCTAATTTTTGCATCATCAAGTTATACAAATTAATGATTATGCTGATCTACTAACCTTAATATAAATAAATTTATTGTTTCCTTTGAGTCTCATAAACATATATGTATACCTATGTTTATCTGTGTGCATACGTATGCATATTATATGCACACACACAAATGCATATTATATGCACACACACAAATACAACATATTCAGTTATGTACATCCTTCAGAGAAAGAAAGAAAAAAACAACAAAAAAAGAAAGACCAAGAGGGAGAGACAGAAAGACGGTAAAAACCCCTGGAAATTTCACCATACATACTCATATAATTTTCATTGTGCATATGTTAGATACATAATAAATCTACACAATTGCTTATTAATAAATGTCATGGTTTCAGTTTTCAACCCTGAATCACATAAGTGTGCTTGCATATATGAAACTGGAACAATGACATGAACGTATATAACTCTTGCTCTATTACTATATATCTAGGTAGAACTCAATACATTAAATTGGTATGATTGGAATTATAATTAATAGTCTACAAATAACTCAATGATCCATTCTTACAAAGTTCTGGTGGGTGTTGTTATTGGCCATTAGAAAGCAATATTTTCTAATTTAAAATAATATCGAAATTATACACATTGGAAACATTGATACCTAAGGTTATACTAATATATACAAATAAGATATTTGAGAAAGCAATGACAATATCTATCAACAATTTTAAAAAACATAACTATGTGTCCTTTGTTGTGACAGGTGCCAGGTGAATACAGAGATAATATAAGTTTTGAAAATTATTATAATCTAGCTGGGGAAAATCTATCACAGATGTCTTAAAAATAGGATTATTACATTTAGTTCAAACTATTTTGGGGAGGAAACTCAAGAACAACTTTTATAGAAAAAATATATGGAACTACTGGGATTAGAGCTATGCCCAGTAATAGAAAAAACATAATCTTGGCTCAGGTGAAATAAAGAGATTACCAGAGCATAGATTTAACGGCTGTTACTATGAGCAGTTGATTCTGAAAATAAAGATTAAAGACTTTAAAAATAAGACAAATAAACTTAAAATCCAATTGGCAGAAAATACTAAGCTATCGTATATATGTATGTAAACAGGTGTACATTTGTGTGTGTGTGTGTGTGTGCGTGTTTATGATGTGTTTGTTGTGTGTGTTTGTACAGGAGCACAAAGGAATAATATGGTCAACAGAGAACTAAGGATTCTTTGAATGTATGGTCAGTTAGAAATTCAGTGTAAATTATAGAAATTGTTGAATAAATTGTAGAAATCCAGCATAAATTGAGAAACTATATTAGCATCATAGCTTATGTGGATAGCGAAGAAAATGGGGTGTAAGGCAATTTCTGAATGACAGACTTCTGATAATTTTCTTGTTTCTGATTTTATAGAACTAACCTGACCTCTCCTAAGCCTCAGCTTCTTAATATAGGTATTATGAATTGAAATGGATAATAGTACTATGGTGAATACAGCCAGATGCCTATCCACTACCCATTCTTTCCTTTTTGCTTAGGAACAGAATCTCTATATTGGATGTAACAGTGTGTCCAACAATAAGCTGACATTTATCACCTCTCCTTGCAGAATAGAGGTGGAGAGAATTCAATGAGATATAAGTGAAAGTATAATAGTCGTATGTTGCTTCCAGGAATTTGCTTTAAAGGGTGCTGATTTAGCTGGATGGATTTTTTTTTATTTTTTTTATTTTTTTTATTTTTTTTATTTTTTTATTTTTTTGAGACGGAGTCTCGCTCTGTCGCCCAGGCCGGACTGCGGACTGCAGTGGCGCAATCTCGGCTCACTGCAAGCTCCGCTTCCCGGGTTCACGCCATTCTCCTGCCTCAGCCTCCCGAGTAGCTGGGACTACAGGCGCCCGCCACCGCGCCCGGCTAATTTTTTGTATTTTTAGTAGAGACGGGGTTTCACCTTGTTAGCCAGGATGGTCTCGATCTCCTGACCTCATGATCCACCCGCCTCGGCCTCCCAAAGTGCTGGGATTACAGGCGTGAGCCACCGCGCCCGGCCTTTTTTTTCATTTTTACCCTTTCCTCCTTCCTCCCTGGAAAGTGGAGTTGATGTTTGGTGATCCAGAAGTCATGCAGGGCTAGAACAGGAGTTTCTTTAAGAATGAAAGCTATATACTGAGATGTCTTTGCAGAATGACCATGATCCAGGAATCTGATCATAAAGAGGATATACTGAGATGTCTTTGCAGAATGACCATGATCCAGGAATCTGATCATAAAGAGGATATACTGAGATGTCTTTGCAGAATGACAATGATCCAGGAATCTGATGATAAAGAGGATATACTGAGATGTCTTTGCAGAATGACAATGATCCAGGAATCTGATCATAAAGAGGATATACTGAGATGTCTTTGCAGAATGACCATGATCCAGGAATCTGATCATAAAGAGGATATACTGAGATGTCTTTGCAGAATGACAATGATCCAGGAATCTGATGATAAAGAGGTACCATATCAGTCTTGTGCTTAGTAACTCTCAGGCTTCTTTTACATGAAAAAATAAATAAATTTCACCTACCTAGGTCTTTGGGCTTTCACTTGTATTAAGCAAAACTAGTTCTAATGAATACATAAGCCTATCTCAAAAGACTGTTGTATTAAATAAGGCCATGTGTATACGAGGCTTAATATGCTTAAATAATACATAATATATTATTTTCGTCAGTTTTAAATCTACATAAAGTGTTAGAACTTATAAAAACTATCTTATTGTGCCATAATTAAGTACACTAGGCAGGATAAATGTGATTATCCTTATCTTAATATTTGGAAACTCAGGGTTGGTGTAGAAAGCTATCAATTTTTCTTTAAAAATCCTGCATAAATTAAATCTCATTTTTGACAACGAGTACTCTTTAAAAAGTAGAAAAGCTTTCCCTTATTTTCAAGTGGTTATCAATTAGTAATGGAATTTAATGTGACTTTTAAAATCTCCCATGAAGTAATGAAAGCTTCTCATAATTTCACACTTAACTATCGTCATTCTCTATTTGAAAGAAAATTATTTAAATATTTTATTAAACTAATGATATTTTAGTAATATTATAATCTCTAGTTCAGACACATAAAATTCAGGTACCAGGTGTTATTAACTGTGATTTCAGTCTATTTCAGTATAATAATAGACCAATCCTATGTAGCTTTACACTATTTTGAAGTTTTATGTTTTCCATTAGCTTCATTATTTTTGAAATTCCTTTATTTTTCCTGTTTCCTGGGTCCTGTCTTATTCTTTTGAAATCATTTATTATTTTTCCAATAGCTCTTTTTTTTTTTACTTTCAACTCCCCAATTTTCGTTGAATCTCTCACCAGCTGTATTGGTTACAGTTTTTTTTTTTTTTTTTGTAACTCCCTTTTAATCTCTTTTTTTATACTCTCTGTCTAATAAATCTTCTAGTGCATAAAACAACTGTAACCTCTATGCACTTGATTTCCAAAATTATACTTTCAGATCTCAAGTATTTTCCAGCTATAGGCATAGTTTTTTAATGGTCTCTTTAAGAGTAACATTTTATGGCCATCATTGCCAGCATCTAAACAGTTATTTGTCATACACAGTTCATTCGCTCCAATTTTCAATTGTCTTTTCTTTCTGTCTATTTATTTTGGTCAGTAGCACAGTCATGCTTCCATCCCCCTAAACTCAAAACAAAACAGTGCATTTTGACTCTTCCTTGTCTGTGGCACACACTCAGTCAAACTTTCCATTAATATTTTTTTTTCAGTAACATCACCTACTTCCCACTTCAATTTCAATTATTCTAATCCAGGTCCTCATTCTAAATACCAAATCAATGCTGAAATAAATTATTCTGTAAACCTAACTAAGATAAGACAATTTGTGTACTCCTTCTCCTTGGTAGGCTTGCTGCTTAAGGCTTAAGGAATGTTAAAAAAATTAATTTAATTATTATACATATTGTTTTCCATTTGAAAAATTTTTGCCATATCTTTACTTCTACATAGAATGCTGAAATTTATAAAACCATTTTTTTGTGCCATGACTAAATAAGCTAGGCAGGATAAATATTATTATTCTTATTTTAATATTTAGAAACTCAGGATTGGCACAATTTAATGTATGGTTTAAAGTGACACACAAAAATGGAAGTGTCTGAATTACAACTCAGGTTTGTGTCATTTTTGTTTTGTTGTCTGATAAGAAAAGTATATATTATGTAGTATCTTCTTTTATTATCTCATGAGGTCAGAATATTATAACTAAAATTGTGAATATCAAGTTTAAAATTAAATGATCAAGAGATTTTTCCACCACACAAGTCCTTTACTTATTGAAAGAGGGATGAGGGCCGGGCACAGTGGCTCACGCCTGTAATCCCAGAACTTTGGGAGGCCGAGGTGGGCGGATCACCTGAGGTCAGGAGTTGAGACCAGTCTGGCCAACATGGTAAAACCCCATCTCTACTAAAAATACAAAAATTAGCTGGGTGTGGTAGTGAGCACCTGTAATCCCAGCTACTGAGGAGGCTGAGGCAGGAGAGTCACTTGAACCTGGGAGGCAGAGTTTGCAGTGAGATGAGATCCCTCATTGCACTCCAGCCTGGGTGACAGAGTGAGACTCCATCTCAAAAAAAAATAAATAAATAAAAGAAAGAAAGAAAGAAAGAAAAGAAAAGAGATGGGTTTAGCTGAGAAAGAATGAATGATCAGATACTCTGCATTACTGCGTTTAAAGTCCTCTCTGGAAAACTCACTAATAAAACTAAGATAATTAGCACAAAATGTCTGTGCCCAAACATGTTAAATTTACTGGACAATGTATGAATGGCTTAAGTTTCCAACTGTGGATCATACTTTTCAAGTATTTATGTAACATTCTATGAAAGTAATTGTGTTTTTTGGGTAAAATTGAAAATTAAATTTTATTTACACTTATAAACTTTTAATTATTTAGATTTTTAAAAATTAAAGCAAAAACTCAATAATAAACAATCACAATAATATTGTTACTGCCCACATGCCTGAGATTCGTGAAATATTTTGTTTACACAAATAAATTAAGAATATGTGGGAGAAGTTGTTTACATAATGTTAATTTAGAGGATTTCCTCTTTCTATTGAATCTGCAATAACATACAAACAAAACCAAACAAAAGCAAAATAAAGAGATATCCTTTTACCTTAGGAAATACTTTTCAACTTATAAAAGAAAAAATGAAAAACCTCTTCCTCCTAACACTTTCAAATCATTCACACATCCTAAGGTAACTGGGCAGACAAAGATGTCATCAAAAGTAGACATATCAATGATATTCCATGCACATGCATAGCATTTACCTTATGGACAATTTTCTGCAAAGATCTGAAACCTGATCTCAGATAAATTACACAAGTTGACTCAGGCCGGGAGAAGTATGGATCTCATTATGTTTCTATTACAGATGCAATGTTCATATCTTTGAGTTTAGATTATTCTAGATGAGAGAAACACTGCATCAAATACAACAAAACATGCTTAAATGGATATATTATGTTCACTGAAAAGTGGCCATTATGTGAAACAACCTGCAGATAAACATTTTTATTTTTGTAAAAGAAAGTTTGTCCGTAGTTCTGGTTTATCTTTCAGTGGAAATGGACAGCCAGGTAAAATATGTTATCATATTTCTTATGAGATACTTTGAAAATTTCTGAAATCCTAAATTTACTCACTCATGATTATTTTTTCAGTGCAAATAAATAGCTTGTGCTTGCTGTTGAACAGAGTCCACATGCTACAAATAGTCTCCTGGTAAATCACACTAGTAAGTATGAATTTCCACATGTGAACTAAAATCAAATAATTAATTTGTTTTATCATTTGTCTTTATAATTCACCATGGGATCTTCTTACTAATCTATTAATATCATGTAATTGCTAATGAGACCACTGTAATCTTGGATAACTTGCTCTGTTCCCCTTGTCATGATTAACGATCCCCATTGTCTGTGGCAGGATGGAGACATGAGAGAAAATGCTGAATCACAAGACACAGAAGAATGAAGCAGCAAAGTGAAAGGTATTGTAGAACAGAAGGGTGACTGCCCGCACGTAGTTGAACAATTTTGGGGACATGTAAGTCTCAAACCAGAGTTTCTGACTACATTCAATGTCAAATGTTAAAAATGCAGATAAATTCACTTTTTCATCTTATCTATATAGAACATATATATTCATCCTCTTTCCCATCCCATCAGTTAGTATTATAAATTTTTAAGGCAATTTATTACACTTAGTTATTATATTATTTGTTCACACTATTAAGATGCTGTTTTGCAAAGTTGTAGAAAAATATCAATACATGTAAAATGTTAAGAAGTGTGCTGAATATACCACTGTTTAATATTGAGTTGAAGGTGATGAAAAATAGCACCATATTATTAAAATGTACATTATATACAAGAGAGAATAATATGGGTCCAGTGAAGGAAACAGTAGTATTGATTTGGGAAAAACTGAACTGGAAGTGGAGGTTTAACTTTTGCAAGGGATCTCACAGGAATCCAATCTAATTAGAAATAAGTCTAATTAATATTATTATTTATCTGGGGAGTAAGTTACCCATTTAGGTATTATGGTTTTACAATAAAACATTTTTTAAAAGAAAATCTATTTTGTCTTTATACATTTTTAATGTACATTGAAAGTTTGAAGAGACATGCTTTATAAGAACTTTAAAAGTACTAATATGAAGTAATATTTGTGATAGAAATAAAATATTACCTTCATGTTTTTAACATACTTTATATTGATCAATGTATTAGTGTATAAATTATTGTTTGCATTTAATGACTCTTTAGTAACATAATATACTTCCTATTACTTTGAATGGGTGGATCTATCGCTGCCCCACAGTGCTTTGAGCAGACAATTGCTCCATCCTAATCTCTTTTGAAATAGATAGCAATTTATTACTGTGATAGGACTTCTTTCAGTTCATTAACCTTCCTTCAAGTATGACAGGCATCAAAATCTCTTGTAATCGTTCCTTTATTTAAACATTTTTAAAAATCACCGCATTTAACAATGTGTTATAGGAAAGCAAATTCTTATTTTCTTAACAGAGAGATTCTGCCGTTTCTGGTCTAGGGTATAAGTGAAACCATATATATTTTTTTATTAATTGTGTGAAACAAAATACAGTTTTCTTACACTCTTTCAAATGTTAATCCAACAGCTATTTCAGAAGTCAATTTTACAGTACTCCTTCAGACAGAAATTATTCTTAAAACTTTGCAAGACTGCTGAATTCTAACTACATTTTTAAAAGATATTGTTGAAATAAGTTAATACTTTGAATCAAATTACAGGCAATCTGAAAGCTTGCAATAATTCAGCAATTTAATCCACACAAAATGAGACAATTGTACTCTTTGAATTTGAGTAAAAATAAATCTAAAATATAAAAAAAAAAAAATTCACTGTTCCTAAAAGTTAGGTTTGGGAAGAATAAAATTATAAAAATCTTTACATTTAGATGTCAGTTTAATAGTGATCTATGGCACCCAAAGGGAAATGTAAATTAAAATTAATGAAATTTGTTTTTAAATATTGTATTCTTGATTTGTAGAATTTGTGTGTCTGTTAGAATGGTGTTACCATGATGACAACCCAGTTTTACATCCTTTAAATGGTAGATGAATTAATCATTTTCACACTCTAATTGGGTCAGACTATGACTTAGAGGGACAAATTTTCCATAAAACCCTTGGGATCCAAAAATTAGAACATATTTCTCACAGGAGAGAAATAGTGAGTATCTGTATTTTCCCTGTGGTGGAAATAAAAGAAGGTACTGAACAAAAATTCATTTTCAGTTGTAAGAAAATAGGATATGGGCCACTTATTTTCCAATAGATTCTTTGTAACTCAACTGAGCTTGTCTTTACATCTAAATTGGAACATTATTGTCTTACAGTCAAGGAACAAAACTAATATGCATCACTAAGTCTTGTAGTTACTATATAACTATGTGGTGAGAGATATTTTGTAAAAAATTACACCACATAGAAAAATTCAAGTTTTTCAGATAGCAAAATTAAACTATATCTTGCTAATGTGGCACTAATCCCTGCCACTGTAGCAAAACCTGCCAGAGAATGCTTACCTACCCTATAGAATATACTTCAAAATAAACTAAATGTCCCAAAGTAAATATCTACAAAACAGGGTTAAGTCAACAGTTTAATATAGGCTCAATATATCTTTTAGTTTAGAACCATTTCCTACTTTTATCCTATTAAACATGAATGTTTCTGCATATTTGGTATATCTAAGGCCACAAAAGTGATTTTAGGTTCAACTTGCAAGAGACAATTCTGCATTTTTCTTATATAGAAGGATTGAGAAATTATATAGTGGGAGTTCAGAGGCCAGTTAATTTGTTTATTCCTTAACAGTTTATTTTAAAATTTTTTAAATAATACAATTTCTAAGAGTTTACACATCAATTTCATGTCTTAAGGAACAGAGAGAAAAGAGAGGTAGAAAATATCCCCATACAATAATACACATTTAGACACTGAAAATAATCATCACAAAAATTATTTTGTTATTTAAAAACCTCGAAATCAAGAGTATCACTTAATAATCATAACTATGAACACACACAGTCACCTATATTGGGGTGGCTTATTAAAATACTGTTCTCATCTAATACTTTTCTCATTTTAGAAAAATAAAATAACATTCCCTAAAGGAAGGAAGATGTATTTGTCAGAAGGACCTGACTTGAATTCGTCATTGCTCAGCTGGTCATTTAGTTTCCTTGTCTTTAAACAAACAAAAAATCTGCAGTGCACTATGTGAAACAAAGAAGTAAAATACAAGGGAGGTCTAGGGTACGGAGATATATCTAATTGCCAAATAACTTAAATAAGTATTTCTACAAGCATCAAAACTTTTGTCACTTGTTAATATTTAAATATTAGAAAATTTAAATATAAATCAGCAAAAATAGTTCTGGGAGCACCAATTCAGCAAAAATGTTTAGGGTAATCAAAAATTGATTATGTTAAATGTTATGGATGCACATTTAATATACAATGCCCCCACACTTCATTCCCTTCCTATTCCAAGCAATATCCCTGAATGTAGAACTAATACTTTTAATTTATTCCAAAAGTCATCGTGCCTTGCCCCTTGGCCTATTAATGCATCATCTAGAAGTCACCCCGTATGGGAAAGCTAATACATTGGCTAGTTTTTAGTCAATAAAATATACACTCTGGAATTTGTAAAGAAAAATAAAAAGATTAACAGATGGAGTCAAGAGCAGAGACAGACAAGTGACTCCTAGATGTAGTCTTCATTCTTAATAATAGGACTTCCTGTGTTGTAGCTAGGCACATAGCGATCCAAGCAGAGACATTTCTCAGCATGACTTTCCAGTAGATGTGAACATCGGACTAACTTGGGCAGATTGGATATGAGGAAATGACTCATATAACTTCACAGATATCTCCATAAAGCTAAAGCCACTGCTCTGGACTTCTTTTGCCCTCTTGTCTCTGACCTAAAGATGGTAAGAAATGTAGCAATTACCTTAGATCCAACACTCATGTTGGTGATTTAAAGACATTCTGCCAGCAAGAATCTCTTTATGATATCACGAAGAGTAGCCTGTCTAACCTACTCTGGACTGCTAACAGAGAGAAGTAAATTGTTCTCTGTTTGAGCTGTTGTGTTTTATGTTCTCCTTGTTACAGAGAGCAGCCTGCACCCTATCTAATACATAGGCTAAGTGGCATTTGCTTAATGCTAGGAGATTTAAAATAAGCCAACTGTAGGTGGAGAGGCATTATAATAAAATGGGGAAAAAAGTTTCCGAAAACAAACTGACTGCCTTGGAACTGAGATGTCCCATAAATGAGCTGTGGAAACTCTGACAAGTCTTCAAAGAGTGGATCAAGAAGACAAGCTAGAAGAAATTTCTTAAGATGATTAAAATTCTTAAAAGATGGACAGATAAAACCAAGACAAAGGAGGAGGAAGAGAAAAAGAAGTTGTTTAAATACAATATTTAGGAAATGAAGATAGGGCTTTTATGTGTCAGCATAAACAAGAAAGAATGTCTAGGTGTGACAAAATGATCCTTCTTTAATTGTTTTTAAGCAGGTGTGAAATAGAAATGTAGCCAAAATTCCGTTTGATTCTATAACCATGTTCAATTGTAAAGTCTGTTGAAATCATACTGGAAACCAAACAAGTGAAGGGTATGTTCCACCAGCTGCACCAAAATCTGCAATTTGATCAATAGAGATATTGCTCCCTCACTCAAAGAAACTTTCAAATTGTATATCAGAGAATAGTTTTTGGAAAAACAGGAAGCTTTACATTAGGCATGAAAAAAGTTTCTTAAAAGCATACTGTTTTGAAAACCTGGATAATTCAGATAATACTGCATTATTTGTCACTGTCATTGTTATTGCTGTTACTATGAGTAATATTAGTGTTGATATCACCTTATTTCTGTTTTAAAATCATACAATAAACTATACAATAAGCTAAATATCACTGAAGTTTCTTTTACAATAAAATTCTAATGTACCTATATTATTATTATATTATGCACATATGTTATCACTATATTATTTCCCTAAAAAATGATTTTGGAAAGCCATTCTACAGAGGCATTCATTTGGTTTGAAATTTACAAAAAATAGGCAGTTATGTACCATGATTCTTCTACAAGGATGTTCTATTGACAGGAAGAAGATACTGACAAAGTCAGCACCATGCATGAAATTAATCACACTGAAACAAATGTCAAGAATGTACAAAAGCTTATCATAAATGTCATAAACAAACTAGTAGCAACAATAAATGTAATACTAAATTTAATTGTACAGACCAAAGGAAATATTCCTAAAGCCTGAATACTATTTTGAAAAGTAATATTTTTCAAGTGGAAGAAATATGCACATGAAAACTTATTTCTTTTCAAAAGAATCAAGTTGTCTTTTGTATTGTATGCTTTATATGAACAATGAGATCTGACACCAGCCTAACTCTGTCACTGGCAACACTATAGTTCAATCAGCAACCATTTTTTTTTCCCTCTCTGAACTATTATTCTCCCTTAAGTTTGGTGCTCAGAGGATGTCTTTTCAGTAATTGTTTGAAAAATAATTTATATGTTGACAATCTGAAAAATTATAGTAAATGCCCCAAAAAAGCATAGGAGAACTATTTTTAAATAATGAAAGAGAGAAGCATTTTAAAAGATTCTCAAAGCATTTCGAAAGATTCTCACAAACATGAATTTAAGATGGCAGGTTCGTATTACACCACTAATCAAACAATTATTAAAATACTGTAGGAATTTATTGAACCCCTGGCTGGTTTTACCTAGGCTCTTAGATTGTAAGGTACTGGAAAATCAAGTGTATTTAACTGAGTTTTATTTCCTGATTTTTTTTTTCTTCTTTCTCTCTTCCCCCATCCCCTCTCTTTAATGGTATGAGTTTCAGAGATCCCATCCCCACCTTTACCTCAGAATCACATAGCAGTCAATTTTATAAAAAAAAAAAAACAAAAATCATTTCTGAAGTGTTTGGCAGATCTGGCAGCTAACTTCTGTTTAATAAAAAAAGGAATGCTTTTGGACAAAGAAAAGATCATAAAGATGATCTGAACCTCTGACAATGATGAAAATACAACCATAATATCTCTCTCTTGCTCTCTCTCTGTCTGCACCTCCCTCCCTCCTTCCCCTTTCTCATCTCCAATTTTTCTACTTTTAAGAAAAAAATGCAAGCACTAAATATGGAAAGGAAAAATCGGTATCAGCCACTGCAAAACACATGAAAATGTAAAGACAAGTGACATTATGAATAAATGGAATCAACTAGTGTGAAAAATAACTAGATAGTATCAGGATGATAGGATAAAATTCACATATAACAAAATTAACCTTAAATATAAATGGGCTAAATGCCCCAATTAAAAGACACAGACTGGCAAATTGGATAGAGTCAAGACTCTTCAGTGTGCAGTATTCAAGAGACCCAACTCATGTGCAAAGTCACACATAGGTTCAAAATAAAGGGTGGAGGAAAATTTACCAAACAAATGGAAAGCAGAAAAAAAGCAGGGGCTGCAATCCTAGTCTCTGACAAAACAGACTTTAAACCAACAAAGATCAAAAGAGACAAAGAAGGGCATTACATAATGGTAAAGGAAACAATTCAACAAGAAGAGCTAACTGTCACAAAGATATATGCACCCAACACAGGAGCACCCAGATTTATAAAACAAGTTCTTAGAGACCTACAAAGAGACTTAGACTCCCACATGATAACAGTGGGAGAATCTAACACCCCACTGTCAGTATTGGACAGATAAATCAGACAGACAATTAACAAGGATATTCAGGACTTGAACTCAGCTTTGGATTAAGTGGATTTATCTACAGAGCCCTCCACCCCAAAGCAACAGAATATACATTCTTCTCAGTGCCACATGGCACTTATTTTAAAATTGACATTATCGGAAGTAAAACACTCCTCAGCAAATGCAAAAGAACTGAAATCGTAACAGACAGTCTCTCAGACCACAATGCAATCGAATTAGAGTTCAGGGTTAAGAAACTCAATCAAAACCACACGACAACATGGAAATTGAACAACCTGTTCCTAAATGACTCCTGGGTAAATAATTAAAGTAAGGCAGAAA
The DNA here is from genome assembly GCF_000001405.40 of Homo sapiens. Classification (NCBI taxonomy): domain Eukaryota; kingdom Metazoa; phylum Chordata; class Mammalia; order Primates; family Hominidae; genus Homo; species Homo sapiens. Next base: position 65,542,021 of record NC_000004.12, read on the forward strand.
TCAAGAAGTTCTTTGAAACCAAAGAGAACAAAGAGATAATGTGTCTCTGGGACACAGCTAAGGCAGTGTTAAGAGGGAAATTTACAGCACTAAAAGGTTCACATCAGAAAGTTAGAAATATCTCAAATCAACACTCTAACATAACAATGAAATGAACTAGAAAAGCCAGAGCAAACAAATCAAAAAGCTAGCAGAAGATAAGAAATAACTGAGATCAGAGTGGAACTGAAGAAGATAAAGACACAACAAACATCAAAAAATCAATAAATCCAGGAGCTGGTTTTTGAAAAAATTAATAAAATAGATAATCCACTAGCTAGACTAAAAGAGAGAAGAATCAAATAGACACAATAAAAAATGATAAAGGGCTATCACCACTGACCCCACAGAAATACAAACTACTATCAGAGAATACTGTAACACTTCTACTCAAATGAACTAGAAAATCTAGAAGAAATGGATAAATTCCTGGACACATACACCCTCCCAAGACTAAACCACAAAGAAGTCGAATCCCTGGGTATACAAATAACAAGTTCTGAAATTGAGGCAGTAATAAGTAGTCTACCAACCAAAGAAAGCCAGAACCTGAAGAATTCACAGCCAAATTTTACCAGAGGTACAAAGAGGAGCTGGCACCATTCCTTCAAAAACTATTGCAAACAATTGAAAATAAGGGACTCCTCCCTAACTCATTTTATGGGGCCAGCATCATCTTGATACCAAAACCTGGCAGAGACACAACAAAGAAAAAAAAAACTTCAGTCCAACATCCCTGATGAACATTGATATGAAAATCCTCAATAAAATACTGGCAAATCAAATTCAGCAGCACATGAAAAAGATTATCACTATGATCATGTTGGTTTCAGCCCTGGGATGCAAGGCTGGTTCAATATATGCAAATCAATAAACATAATCCATCACATAAGCAGAACCAATTACAAAACCACATGATTATCTCCATAGATGCAGAAAAAGCCTTTGATAAAATTTAACATCCCTTCAAGGTAAAAACTCTTAATAAACTACGTATTGATGGAACATATCTCAAAATAATAAGAGCTATTTATTGCAAACCTACAGCCAATATCATACTGAATAGGCAAAAGCTGGAAGCATTCCCTTTAAAAACTAACACAAGACAAGGATGCCCTCTCTCAAAACTGCTATTCAACATAGTATTGGAAGTTCTGGCCAGGGCAATCAGGTAAGAGAAAGAAATAAAGTGTATTCAGACAGGAAGAGAGGAAGTCAAATTGTCTCTGTCTGCAGATGACATGATCCTATATTTAGAAAACCCCATCATCTCAGCCCCAAAACTCCTTACTCTGATAAGTAACTTCAGCAAACTCTCAGGATACAAAAATCCATATGCAAAAATCACAAGCATTCCTATACACCAACAATAGACAAGTAGAGAGCCAAATCACAAAGTAACTCCCATTAACAATTGCTATAAATAGAATAAAATACTTAGGAATACAGCTAACAAGGGATGTGAAGGACCTCTTCAAGGGAAACTACAAACCATTGCTCGAGAAAATAAGAAAGGACACAAACAAATGGAAAACGTTCCATTCTCATAGATTGGAAGAATCAATATCACGAAAATGGTCATACTGCCCAAAGTAATTTATAGATTCAATGCTATTCTCATTCCACTACTGTTATTACATTATTCACAGAATTCTAGAAAAAAATCTTAAAAGTCATATGGAACAAAAAAGAGCCTACATAGCCAAGGCAATCCTGAGCAAAAAGTACAAAGCCAGCGATATCACACTACCTGACTTTAAACTACACTACAAGGCTACAGTAATGAAAACAGCATGGTACTGGTACCAAAACAGATATATAGACTAGTGGAACAGAACAGAGACCTCAGAAATAACACCACACATCTACAACCATCTAATCTTCAACAAACCTGACAAACACAAGCAATGGGGAAAGGATTCCCTATTTAATAAATGTTGCTGGGAAAACTAGCTAGCCGTATGCAGAAAACTGAAACTGGACCCCTTCTTTACACACCTTATACAAAAGTTAACTCAAGATGGATTAAATACTTAAATGTAAAACCCAAAAACATAAAAACAGTAGAAAAAACCCTAGGCAATACCATTCAGAACATAGGCATAGGCAAAAACTTCATGATGAAAATGCTGAAAGCAATTGAAACAAAAGCCAAAATTGACAAATGGTACCTAATTAAACTAAAGAGCTTCTGCACAGCAAAAGTAACTATCATCAGTGTGAACAGGCAACCTACAGAATGGGAGAAAAGTTTTGCAATCCACACATCTGACAAAGGTCTAATATCCAGGATTTAAAAGGAACTTAAACAAATTTACAAGAAACAAAACAAACAACCTAATAAAAAGTGGGCATACGATATGAACAGACACTTTTCAAAAGAAGACATTTATGTGGCCAAGAAACATATGAAAAAAAGCTGAACAACACTTATAATTAGAGAAATGCAAATCAAAGCCACAATGAGATACCATCTCATTCCAGTCAGAATGGCAATTATTAAAAAGTCAAGAAGTAGCAGATGCTGGCATGGCTATGGAGAAATAGCGACGCTTTTACATTGTTGGCAGGAATGTAAATTCGTTCAACATTGTGGAAGACAGTGTGGCAATTCCTCAAAGGTCTAGAACCAGAAATGCCATTTGACCCAGCAATCCCATTACTGGGTATATACCCAAAGGAATATATCATTCTACTATAAAGACACATGCACATATATATTAATTGCAGCACTGTTCACAATAGCAAAGACCTGTAACCAACCCAAATGCCCATCATTCATAGACTGGATAAAGAAAATGTGGTACATATACACCATGGAATACTATGCAGTCACAAAAAGGAATGAGATCGTGTCCTTGCAGGGACATGGATGAAGCTGGAAAAAAAAAAAAGCCATTCCAATTTTTTTTTCTGCTAAATTTCAAACCTGTGTTCCTTCTCTAAACTATGTTTCAACAAACAAGGACAGAAAGTATATTCATTATGGAAACGACTTTGTGGTCAGTAAACTACCATGGGGGCTATTGTTCTTGTTAATATATTTGCCATTAAAATGCACAAATATATGTAGTCTCATTATTTCTGCTATAGTAACTTATACTGCTAACTGAAAGTAATATGACATCGGAGAATCAGCATCTATGATTCTTTAATAAGCATATTTTTGCTATCTTCCCTTCACTTAACTTGTCTCATTTTTCTTTCCCCTGCTTATATAGTCTGGACAGAATCACCTACTAAAAGTAATCCCCATAGATTTAGTAACCTCCAAACAGATGGATTCTCCATTTTCCAAAGTAACCCATCACTCCCAATGAGGTATCTATGAAGATCGTATGTTGATGTCTTGACTAACACACATCTCAAAGCAGAAAAATTAAAGAAACTTGTGATGCCAAGTTTTGAAAAGTGCTTATAAAAGAGAAAGAAAATTGTTATGGTTATTTTTTCAGACCAAGAGGTGCAAAAGAGAAAACACCCTTATAGAACTTAACTACTAGTACAATGAATTGACATAATAGGACACAGATGAAATAGAAAACATAAAACAAAGAATTCAAGGCTCAGCCTAACTGAATATGAATAGAGAACAAGATAAAAATGGAAAGAGCAAAATATTTTGAACATTAGGTGATATTCTAAGTGGTAAAGCTGTTATATATGCCACACATATAAATTACCACTCTTTAAATCGAATAAGAGCTTCCATGTTGCACCAATGATCCAACTGAAAGAACAACTTATAAGGTCTGGAAGGAAACCCTGTTGTCAACAATCAATCAGCAGTCCAATGATGGTTGGCCATTAGGGTCAATTTGACACATTTGCATGAGTCTATTTTAAAGCAAGACTAGAATGATGAAATGTCCCATTTACTATACTCAGTGGTTTGTAAGGACCAGATAACAAATATTTACAGATTTCCAGGCCATAAGGTCTCCATCACAACTACTCGACTCTGAATGGTACCTTGAAAATAGTAATAAACAATATGTAAATAAATGATCTCTAGGCTGTATTTGACACATGTGCTTTCATTGGATGACCTCTGTTCCAAAGAACCATACTTTGGTGAACATTTTAACTTACTGCATTTTAAACTTTTTATTTTCTGAGTTCATGGTAAGGCAGTGAGAGTCTGGCAGCACTGAGATTCTCAATTCTCATAATATTTCAGACACAAAATTCATGGTAGAGACACTTAGAGAATTTAATAATCAAGTTGCAAATACACTGGACATTAAACATTTATGTGTCTTCTCAGTAACATTTTCTTCTCTTTTGCACTAATATAAGGTGTCCAGAAAAAATATGTTAATATTTGAGAGTTGTTAAAAGGTGGATATGCTCAGTATTGCCTATAAAGCAATACAGTTTATTTCACATTGGAAATACTTTTTTTCTTTCTGGACTTCTGCCTATTAACAACCTATTTTTCTAATGGTTCTTGTTTTTTTCTCAAATAGTTTTCTCTGTAGTTCAATATGTTCTGAGTGAGACATATTTGCAAATGTTTTAACAACTGTCCACTGATTTTTAACGTGATTTATAATTCCAGTTTTCTAATTTTGCTCAAAGTTAGCAATTAAAATTCTAGGTCTATGACATTAAAGTCACATTAATAGTAATGACTTTCAACATTTCATCAACTAGTAAGAGCAATTTACAATGTCTGCGAACTTCAAGATCCCTAAAGTCTAATTCTACAAAAAAGAAATGTTGGCATTATTATTTTAAATAACCATTGAGTTCTCATTAATCATCAAAAAATGTTATTTTCTAAAAAGTAACTCCTTTTTTTTTGTTTTTCTAATTCAAGACAACTAAATCCATTTCCAGCCCAACTTGAAAAGACACATGTACGCGTAATACATTCATTGAAAATTTCAACCTCTTCCCTAACAGAATAATCATTCGTAAGTCCACATGTGACTGGAAGCAAAAATTCTGTGATGGAAGTGTCACTGCAACCTTAAATATAGTGTTCACCACTGTGAAAACTGTAATAACAGATGCTCACAAATGCCTGGTGTGATGAATCAATGCAGAGAAAGAAGGAAAGAAAGAGGTCTGTGTAGGTGTTTGTGTGAAATGCGTCACAAACACAGAGTAAACAGATGGCAATGACAGGGCATTCTGGGATAAGTTTGACTTTTTACACCCTGTGGACTTCCCTGCTACCTGCAGTTGCCTATACATCAAATGGACAAGATAATGAAGATTCAAAGCCAAGTGGAAAAAAAAAAAAAAGAAAGAAACCAGAATGACTTTACTGCTATCACTCTTATGATGAGAACAAAAGAAAGCAGGTAATAAAAATGAGCAAATGAGATAAGGAAGCTGTTTTTAAAAAGGTCAGTCAATATACATTGACTGAGCTGTCTGACATATTTTATGGTCTAAAATAGTTCATAATCCATGCATTTTTATTTTTTTTCCTGGTGTTATATTAAAGGTGATGTTCCGGTTAAGTCATTTCTGGTATCTTTCATATAAGAAAAAAGATTAGACTTCCTCTTTTTATTACAATGAAATAGGTAATTCAGGCTAATTTTTCCTCCAAGGAAAATTGTAAAACCAGGTTGAAACATTTAAAATGCTTGGTGTTTTGAGAAACTTTCCCTAGGAGTATTTGTTGATTCTCAAAATGAAAGGTTAATTGGCCCTTTTGACAATCTCATAGGGTCAGGGAAAGAGAGATTTGAATCCAGGGCCACTCAATGACAGGGGCTGGAGGGTCACAGTTAAATATTATTTGCATTAGAAAGTGACCCTGAAAGGCTGCAGTCTAGATAAAGCCAGAAGGCAATCTTATATAGAATTCTGTTCAGCTTCAGATTATCAAAATTCCTGAAACTGGACTGAGATGATCCAAGACTACTAGTACTATAGGTCCTGAATCAAAAGAAAACATTTTCTGTAGAAGAAAATACTCCTTTACATCAAATAATGACATAGTTTTGCAAATAAAATATACAACACATAAATATAACCAGGACCATAAAATAGGACAATATGAATAAAAGCCAGCCCCAAACAGTGAGCAATATCAACTGATCTCTATGACTATGATATTGGAGTTATCAAAATGGATATTAAATAACCATACATAAACTATTTTGAAGTAAATACATAAAATATGTGTTTAATAAGAAAAATGCAAGAATAAGATTTTTTCAGAAATTTGAAAAACCTATTTTAAAATACAAAAGTATAACAAAGTTAAGAACTCAATTTGCTTGGATAACAGCAGATTAGATAAAGTAGGAGAGTTAGTCAACTGAAATATAAGTAGGAGGAAAAAAATTCCAGATCAAAATATAGAAAAGGAGAATAATGGAAAATGGAGAAAACAAGGTATGAGACAAAGATAATGCACTAAGAAGTACTAACATACCTCTAATTGTCACAGAAAGACAGCATAGGCAAAATGAGTCAGAATTAATGCTTAATAAAGTAATGGCTGAGAAATTTTCACACTTGATGAAAGATGTGAAACCACAAATTGAAGAAACTCTGATCCAAAGCAGTAAAATATAAAGCAATACACTTTGGAAAATGTTCCATGTTTCTGCATGACTTACAAGCAGAGGCACTGATTGTGTTTGTTCTGGACTATTTTTACATGAATATCCATATAACACTTAGCCTTGGATGACAGACAATTACCTTCACTCTAGAGCATAGAGCAAGTTTCTGTCTGCCTCAGTATAACAAAGGTAAAGCTAGAAACTCTCATGTTCCCTAAACTCAAGGTCTCTCATTTGAAATGTAGCTCACTGAGTGTTGAGGTGTCATACAGCACTCTATTCATCACTATGTGGAAATTGGGACTTAGGGAACTTGGACAAATGTTAATTGTCTGGCTAGCGCTAATGCTGTAAAAAATAAAATTATTTGCCTCTAACCTAGCAGTGTCCTGTCTTCTGCAGCATTCACGAATTAAAGCAAGCTAACTGTATTAGATTTCAAGTACAGTGAAAATAGCAGATCTTTCTTTGACAGTTTTTGACATATACACTCAGTAAAAGTGCACAAAACCAAAGAGCAACATAAATGCAAACATCAGGAAGAGAAAACTGTCAGATTACAATGAAATAAGAAAAAGTAGACTACAACTAAATTTCCATGATGTCTATGGCCAGAAGATAATAAAATGACATCATTAAGTCCTGAAAGAAAATAACTGGCAACACAGAGCTGATCAAAAGCATCCTTAAGATTCAAACAAATCTGCGAAAATTTATTACCAGCAGATACAGAATGAAGGAATTCTAAAAGGTATTCTGACAACAAGTAAATGATTATAAATGGAAGGGCCTAGATGCAAGAATGATGAATAATAACAAAATGTAAGCATGTGCCAAAATTATATTCAACGTTTATACAACAATGATAATATGTGTTGTTTGAAATATAGAGCTAATAAAAGAAAGCAATGATATTTGGGTTTGGGAAAGAGTTACTGGTATCAAGTGTTCTAAGTTGACTTTTTCTAGAAAGAGGGTTAAAGTAACAAATAACATTTTTAATATGAAAGGGATGCATGCTATAATTTGTAGGGCAACCCTTTAAAAACTGATTATTTACTGACAAAAGAAAAGACAAAAAATTGAATTAAAATTCTTACTTCAAATATTCTTGATATAGAAGAGACTCACAGAAGCTTAAACTAGAGGGTTATAGATTTTTTAAAATTCATCTTCACATAGAAAAATTTCTGTTAAAGTTTAAAGAAACTTGCATATGTTCAAACTTTGATATGCAGTAAAATTTCTTGTAGACAAAGTAAAATTAAAACAAGTTCCTGTCCTGCTAAGATTGATAATGGTCTCCCAAACTATCTTTGAATAGAGATGCTCAGAAGGCCCAAAAGCACACTTTACATTCATTTATAAAACTAAATATATTGCAGTATTTTAGAATCCTCTATATTACTACAAATTAATATTCTTTTGTAAATGACATCATGTTAAAACATTTGACATTTGAAACACACCCACAAAAATCCTTAGGAATTTTTTTCAAAGCATAAAAAGATAATACATTATTTGTTAAATAATATTAGTAATAATAATTATGATAATCAAATTTTTTTCTTTACTGAACTAAGTCAAACATAAGGAAAAAGAAACAATAAAATTATGTAATGATTACATTTAGGTGTAAGCTACTAATTCTTTAAAACTGTTGTTTCATGTATAGTAGTGGAGGGGTGCCCATATTTCTCTTGATTCTAGTTATTAAACCAATGTAAAAATATGTTGAACCATTACAAATAGTTGATATTTATCCATTTTGACATGTTAAAATGAATATTTTATTTGATGTGTATTTTACTAATATTTCAAAAGTTTGGACGCCCTTAATAGATATTCTGTAAACCATAATGATCAAAATATTATTTTTCTGACACTCATATCCAGTAGCTTTTATTTTTCTGCCACTCATATCCAGTAGCTTTTAAGCATTTATTAAAAGAAACAACTACAGCCGGGTGCGGTGGCTCACGTCTGTAATCCCAGCCCTTTGGGAGGCCCAGGCAGGTGGATCATGAGGTCAGGAGATCGAAATCATCCTTGCTAACACGGGTGAAACCCCGTCTCTACTAAAAATACAGAAAATTAGCCAGGCATGGTGGCGCGCGCCTATAGTCCCAGCTAATCGAGGGGCTGAGGCAGGAGAATCCCTTGAACCCAGGAGGGTGAGATTGCAGTGAGCCAACAGCATGCCACTGCACTCCAGCCTGGGCGACAGAGCCAGACTCCTTCTCAAACAAAAAACAAAAACAAAAACAAAAAACAACTACTAAAAACTCCTGAGTACAAACTTGATGAATCAATGTCAAAAAAATAAACCATGATTTGGAGATTCCTACTAGATTACAGAACACATTATATTTATTTTTAGAAAAGGCAACTGCTATGTATTTGTGCATTATATATATATATGCATACATACATATATGTCTATTTACACATATATGTGTAGTTACATATTTGTACATATACACACGTATGTATATTCACATATATGTGTATATATGAAATATATTTACATACATATATAAATGATGATAAATGAGCATATCATTTATTATCCAAACATAAGTAGGTTTGGATAAATAAATGATATGTTCATGCCATGTATGTATATATATGTTTAAATATATGGAGTGTATATATTTATATATGTGTGTGTGTGTGTGTGTGTGTGTGTATATATATATATATATATATGGAGTCAGCATATCATTTATTATCTAAACCTATTTATGTTTGAGAGTGAAAGGAATCAGTTTTCATAATTACCCTAAGGGAATAGTGTAAAACAGAATGGTTCCAGGAAAACCAGAATGTATATCTAACCTTTGAAAAAGCAATTGACTGTCCTTAATCAAAGGAGAATATTGTAGGAAAAAGAACAAGATAAGCAACATATTTCCTTCTTTCTAATTTGCTATTGGTGGAAGTCTATTTATAGTGAATGATCACTACTTTTCTTAGCCACTGAATGTGTGCATATCATATACAGCACTTACATTTTTATTCTATGTCAAGCATGTGTTGTGGCATAGTTCCTAAAACACCTTAATATGCTTGAAAATTTTTATTGTAACATTTTTATTGCATAACAGTGTCAATTTTCAAACTAAATATCTAAAGTAGACTTCCTCCTGTTTACTCATGTGTTACACCACTCAGTATTTATAACACATAAAGTTTATTAGACTGATTTTAATTTCAGACTCCAATACTGTAGCTATTACCATATAGGTAGTTAAATTATTTAAATCATCAGAAGCTAATGGTTAATAAATTACGTTAAAATTTTTAGTAAAATATTTATCAAGTCTGTATTTGCAAGTATATTTTGGTAATTTTTTTCCTCCTACAAACTGGTGGCACGAAAATACAAAACACTGTAAATGATGCTCACCTTAAACAAGCTGAGCAATGATTTAGGCCTCGATTATTTCTACCTGTTTCCTCAAGTGATAGCACGTTTTCATTCACAGCAGAGGGCAGAAAAAGAACCAATATTACTAATAAAGCTGTCCGGCCCTGTGGCCTGATGTCAGAACAGCCAAAGCAGATGCTGACTTCATCAGTATTTAAGAATTACAGGAGCTGAGAATGTTTCCTACTTCAGCATTGTTCCAGTTCTTTGAACCAACTGCCATGGATTCCTGGAGCTTGACCACATTACAATTTTCACACTTAGCAACTGTAAAATTGTTAAAGCGATATCTTTCCACACGGTTTATCCGTTATTACTGCTAAGTTTGGCATACCACCTTAGTTACGGGCTTTAAATGCCACTTTCATCACTTCCCAGGGCAACCTGGGCCATGAAATCGGAAAATCAGATAATTTTCTGGTCCGTTTTCTTCTTTTTCTTTGGATGGCATTAGATTTTGCTACGCTTGACTGACAAATCTCATTTAGGATTCAAGGAGAGGCCTGAGCCCTGACCTCTTTAAGAAGTGGGAGGTGAGATGTCTTAGGCAGTGATGAGGAAGAAAAGACCAATTTCAACTCCTCACATAAAGGTAATTAGTCATTAATTCACACTGTAAGACATAAATACTTGTGAATGTATAGAGTCTCTTAGTGTCAGGTCACAACATTATTTAAGATTCTTTAAAAAATATCAATCATGTTCAAGGGTTTTCTCTGCATGTTTTGTTTTCCTTTCTAATTATATTTCTAGGTGTGTTAAATTGTAAAGCACAAAGCCCAAACCAATTTTATTTTTACCTAATTAAATGTAATCCACAATTAACAGGAAATATTCTTTTTTTTAGTAAATAAGCAATATGACATCAATATAGATACATTTCCCAGGGCATATTAACTTAAGGTAAATTGCTTTATTATTTAGAAATGGACTGCTTAGTTGCTGGGTTGTATGCTTTCCCAATATTACCTACTTTTGGGGGCATTTATCCATTTTAGATAGAAGAGCTATAGTTGGAGACAATGAAAATCACAGTTGTCAAGTGCCTCAAAATTAATGTCTCCCAGACATATTAATAAAATTAATACTTCTCTGAGTGGGGTAGGTTTACAATCTCAATGATGAGTTTAGGAATAAGTTGGGTTTTTGAAATCTATCTCCTCCTATGAAAATTTACATTAAGCTCATAGAAAGAAGAAACTCAATTGCATCTACTATGTGAATTTTGATGAGTAATTGGATCATTGTGTCATCTAAGCCATCTCCTTGCCTTCAAAGTCCTGTTCAACCCTGGAAGGTTGATTTAAATACAGAAACTTGGAAGAAGAATGATACCTTGAAGGACAACCTGGCTTAAAGTGACTGTTACTTTATGTTTTCTCCACCTAACATTTTTTTTTCTAAACTTCTGTTACTCAATAATTGCATTTCAAGTAATTACTTTTGCATCATATTTTATATCACTGAAATTCTAGTTACTTCAAAAAGAATACTTGGTTGTCCTCAATTTCTCTTTTGGTAAATTTAGTTTCTGATTTGTTTCCAGTCAGTTCATGCCTCGAGTCAAATATCTGGTAAAAGAATAAGCAGAAATTCATTTCTAAAGTGTTATGTGTGAAGAAATGCGGATCACAGTAGCTGTACAAAGTGCTAAATAAATATTTGTGAAATATTGGGCCATCTCCCTTAATCTCTCTGGCTGTATAAATATTGCAGTGCATATATTACATTTTCGGATGTAGGACCTCAAGTGTTTTGAAATAAATTATATATGGAGAGAGTCACAGTTGCCTAAAAATTTAAATAACTTATTTTTCCACAAAATGAAAGAACTTTCAGTAACATGGCAATGAGCCGCATCCTAATAGAAAACTCTAGTGAAGTTTGATTTCATTTTTTATATTAGCTACATTTCTGAGCAGCTGTACAAAGCAGACATATATAAAAAATTTAAGTCTCCAAATTTAATTACACTTTCATGAAGAATATCTCTTAGCAAAATATATTGTCTCTGGTATAAAAGAAAAATTACTACGTATCTACAAATTTCAGTGTTCATTTCAAAATGTACTATTATTTTCCCCTTGTGTTTCTTATTTCACATACCTTTTGAAGAGTCCAAGCAAGTAAGGAAAAAAAAAATTGAGAAACTTGTACTTTTGCTAATCTCAGAGTTCCACATTTTCACTTGAAAGCTTATATATAAAACATGAATATACTTATAATATATATAATTATATGTTATATATAATTAAAATATCTTTTCCATTTTATGTTGTTTTGCTTTTATTAATTACATGGGGCTTTATTATGTACTTGGCTATAATTTTGGCTAATCTATTTGAAATATAAATACTATTCAGCTACACTTTATTAACCAAATAATGATTATTTATCAAGAATGTACAAAATTAATTTTCATTAAATGTGAATAATGTGCTACAGTAGTTACAAGTGAGAAATAAGACAGTAATTGACTAAAATCTGATAGTTGAGGAAAAAAGGTTTTAAAAACAAAAATATAAATAATTATAATAAATGTATAATGTGGATTTTATTTATATTGTATTTCTATTCTTATAACTTTTTCTAGGTAATACTAATACTCAGTTTATATTTTATTCATAAACTATTCCCCTGTGTGTGGCCAATGAATGTCTCCATCATTAAACATCTTTTCATGTTAAATGTTTTTACTCTATAAAATGTTATCTAAGTACTATGATATGAATTAGAGAATTATTTTTCATAAAGTAAATATTTAGTGAGAATTTATCCTATGTCAACAATTATTTTAAGGCCTATGTATATACTTGAGAGATAAACATCCTTGGTACTCAGACTCCATTATTCATAATCCATAAAATGTCTCTGTGCTACCACATAAGGTAATGTTTCAGAGATGAGAAGAATTCACTTCTAGCTATAAAATGTTATCACTTCACCCCTATACAACAGCAAAAAAAAAAAAAAAAAAAAAAAAAAAAAAAGTACATGTTTTTGTCAGTTTTAAGGAAGTTTTGTCTTCTACACAGGTTATTTTAATCTTTTGAATATCTATGTTTCAACATGAATTCATTTCCACTATACCAAAGTTGTCTCTTTTTTTAGTGGCATTCTAAAATGCTGAACATGTTTTGTCCCCCACCATTTTACTCCCATGTGTGTCCTTAGTAGCAATGGATATGTGTGTTCAGGTTTAGCAGATGAGAAATGAACAAGAAAAGGCTATGGAAGCTTGGAATGCACTGGGAAGAAATACCCGAGGGCTGTATTTGGACACCCTACCATGAATGAAATCATTCATTTGAAAATCGTGATTTTAAATATGTAGCCTGATTTCAAATCCTAAATTTACCTTACAAGAAAATGCCCACCTATCTGACTATGAGTATCAGATCAAAACAAAAACTACCTAATAGGTACTAAGCTTAATACCTGGATGATGAAATAAGCTGTACTGCAAACACCCATGACACAAGTTTACCTATGTAACAATCCTGCATATGTACCCCTGAACTTAAAATTTTTCTAAAAAAAAAAAAACTCCATCTTCTGTTTTCTCCAAAGTTACTAGTTTTGTTTTCTTTTGAATTTCACATATTACGTATTTTAACACATTTTTCGAAGCTGGGCTACTTCATCAGGCTCTTAAGAGATCACTGGAATATTGTGACAAGTGACAGTAATTGATTAGTGTGAATTTTTATGTTAAAAATCATGAGGCCAAACTAGTGCTACAATGAGATATATACCATATTCAGACTGTCAAGTAGGAGTACTAGGATAACATTCAGGAGATAATATTTTCGATTTGGCATTTTCAGCCTGTATTTATTTAGAAGCTCTTTTTTTATTTTCTTACAAGTTGTTTCCAAATAATCTAAAACAAAAAAGACTATGGAAAACATATAACAGCTTTCCAAATGTTCAGAAATGTATTTTCCCAAATAGTAGCCTTTCTTCATTCTATTCCAACTCTATTTTTAAATGGAATTAAAAGAATATTCCGATGCTGATGAATGTGTGCAGAATTCATCAATTCTTATTGATATTTTATAACATGAGAAAGATCTATACCCTAGATAAAATATCAGTAGCCAGTTCTGGTATGGACACACATCTTTCTACTGACACACCATTTCTGAAAAAGCATAAAGCCAATTGGATGGTAAGTGTGGATATGTTTATTTCACCACCAGTTGAATTAAATGGTACAGCCTCAAGAGACTTTGCATGAACTACTGTGATGTCAATAAAATGTTGTTTCATGAGTGTCAGGGCTTAGCCAGGGGCAATTCACCCTCTCACTAGTGGAAGTCCAGCCACACGCTGGGAACACTGAGAAGAGTACACAGCAAGATTAGTAATAGCCTCAACATGACTGTATATAATTTTTCCTCTCCATGAAAATAGGCATGTAACAAGTGTGGGTAAAAAAGATATATGGAATTAAAAGCATTGAGATATATGGAATTCAAAGCATTAAGTTACGTTTCTATGACTAACAATGTATTTGTGTTTAGTAAAACTAATTTCTCCAATGGGATCAGGTTCACAGTGATCCAAGTCACATGTGGAACAATTTCATATAATTTAGAGGATTCTAAGTATTTTCTGATTACTATAGTAATATTAATTGTTAATTGTTTTAGTGTTAATGCTATTTTCAGCAAATAGAGCGTTATTTTCAGCATTATTATTATTTTCAGCAAATAGAGCATTAGCTTCAGCACTTAGCTTGATTTTACTTTAACCATGTAAAATTGCTCTATGATATGTTATGATCCAGGAAAACAACTTGCTCCTTTTCATTGTCTAAGCTATCCCAATTATTGATGTTAGTAAAAATTCAGCTTTTTGTGGTCTAAAAAACATACTGTGTTCTAAATTCACGGAATGTTGCAAACTCATGGAATGAGTTTTCCTTCACTTCCTCTGTCAAAATATTATTAATGAATATAAAATTCTGTTTGTCCTTTATTCGGACAATTACAGGACTCACTTTCTGTAGTTTCTTCTTCGATGAAGGTGTGATAAGGCTTAGAAATAGATTTTAAATAGGACTGATGTTTAACAGCATTATAATTTATATGGAATATTCTAGACTTGATTATTGGGACTAAAGATGAAACCAGATTTGGGGACGGGGCATGGTGAGAGCAGCTGTGGGTTGTGGCTGAATGTATTTTGAACATCATTTATACTGGGATATATATATATATATATATATATATTCTCACACTTTGTTATTAACACTCCATCTTATTAACGTTTGGGCACATATACATTGGGAATCTTTATGAAGCAGAAAGCATAATCTGTAACTAATGTATTGAAAAATTAAAGTTAGTTAAATACTTTTTCCAACTCTGATCCACAATAATTTAACAAGTATTGTTTTTATAATTATTATCATCATTGATTCAGCAAATATTTATAGGGTATCATGTGAAAATCTTTGATATAGGCACTGAAACCACACCAGTAAAGATAAGAGATATAAATCACCAAATTAAATTCATGAAGATTATCTCACTAAGTAATTATTCTAATAAAGCAGAGAGATTAGGGCAATGTGTATGTGGATAGGGGTCAAAACCCTGGGAAATTTGTAAAAAGTAACATCTTATGAAGAAGTGAGATAAAGAGGGAGACAAGTACACTTCAAGGAGCAAGAATACATAGATGCAGCAAGATTCTGGCAACCATCTGAGGCTTCAGAGGTGGATGAACAAGGGAAGGAGCTGTAAAGGGCTAGTGTAATGTGAGTTCAAAAACGAAAATGCAAAACAATAGCAATGTTCCCAACATTAATGATTGGTCACTGAAATAATTCTGTGGATTCCAAGGTAAAATTCTTTTTTTTTTTTTAGACGGAGTCTAGCTCTGTCACCCAGGCTGGAGTGCAGTGATCTCAGCTCACTGCAACTTCCCTCCTCCTCCTGGGTTCAAGCGATTCTCATGCCTAAGCTTCCAGAGTAGCTGGGATTACAGGTGGGTGCCACCACACCCAGCTAACTTTTGTATTTTTAGTAGAGACAGGGATTCACCATGTTGGCCAGGCTGGTCTCAAACTCCTGACCTCAGGTGATCTGCCCACCTCAACCTCCCAAAGTGGCGGGATTACAGGTGTGAGGCACCACACCTGGCCCAAAATTCTTAATCTGTAGTACTCAGAAAATTTATTTCCATATTTCTCCATTAAGTGTGTGTAAGTATGGTTATATGTGCATTTATCATTATTGGTAATGGTAACAGATCACACTTGCATCAAGTTACATTTAATGTATAAATTTTTCACACTTCATTCATAAAAACTAAACCTAAAATGCATGCTGGAGTTGTTCAGAAGTAATAAAATAGAATATCATTAGGGTATTTCATTTATATCATGTCTTTCAGTTGGTCATTTTATTGGTCTTCATTTGAGATATGTGTATCTGTGTGCATGTGTATGTGTGTATAGTAGTGAATATCTTTATTCACTAAGCACAGTAGTATAGAATTTATTGCAAATTAATTTCTTTTTAATTATACTTTAAGTTTTAGGGTACATGTGCACAACGTGCAGGTTAGTTACATATGTATACATGTGTCATGTTGGTTTGCTGCACCCATTAACTCGTCATTTAACATTAGGTATATCTCCTAATGCTCCCTCCCTCCTCCCCGCACCCCACAACAGGCCCTGGTGTGTGATGTTCCCAAATTCTTATTTTCATTTTACAAAAAATAGAAAATAATTATAGAAGGTTTGTTGCTGAAATTTAAATCCAGGTTTTCTGCTTGGGGACCTGGCATTTTATTCAAGATGCCAATGCTTGCCCAAAGCAAATTTCTCATTTAAAAAATTCTTAAAAACAAAAGATAAGAATTATTTTAAGACAGTGATTTTTAAAGTGATTTTTTAAAACAGTAATAGTGAGCATAGTACCCAACAGATAGTTTTTCAACCTTATCCCAAACTCCAGCAGCACACAACATATCCATGTAACAAACCTGCATGTTTATGCCCTGAATCTAAAATAAAAGTTGAAATTAGGAAAAAATCAAAATTAAGAAAAGTAAACAATTATCTCACATAAATTTATTTTCTCTCTTTTTAAAATAAACTTTCTCTGTGGTAAATATTTTGTGGTAAATTTCCCTATTTAGAATTTATTTTTCTCCAACCACTTTTTAAAATGTATTTATTGTTCAACAATAATTTTTCAATTTAAAATCTGCTGAGTTACCATACTCATTCATAAGGTATCTAAAGCACACACAAAATGGAGAGACCCTTTTCATAAATTTGACGATCATTTCAAAGTAAACACATAAGGATTTGAATGAAAGCACTTAAATTGTCAATTCCAACAGCTGTCACACCAGCAGTGGGCAGAGGACGCTCCCCATTCCCATCTGAGGGTGCACTCTGCAAGTGAAGGAGCTCCTCTTGGGCAGGAAATCATTTGTTTCAGGAAAAATTCCCGAAATCCTTCTCCCAACAGCAACTTTGAGGTTTCTCTGTGATGTCTCTGCAAAACAGTGTGACCACGGACATTTCACAGGGTCTTTCTTTTTAATAAATATTAACCAGCAGGCTCTTTAAGTAGGGTCCCCTACTGTGATGTGCATATGCAAAGGCCCATGAGCTTATGTGAAAATCCCTATGGGTCTATGAAGATACCATGGGTATTAGAAGGGCTTCTAGAAAATAAAAATAATAATGCCAGCAACTTCAGGGACCCTTAGTCTGAATTTATTAATATCTTATAAATGGAAAACAACATTTCTTTGCTGATTTTGTAATTGCTGACATTTTTCTTTTACATGGTTGATTTCGGACAGAATAAAATGTCTCGATTACTGAAAAGGTGTATGTTTTACATGAGGATATTAGTTTTACAATTTCTTATGTATATTTACAAAAGTAGAAGTGCTGACAGTTCCACAGCTGGTACATAAGGATATTACCTAAATCTGTAAACAATCAATGGGATATATAATCTCTCATTCACAAAAAAAGGTTGGCAGTTTAGTGAGAAAGCTTGATTTTTTATGACTGTGACATGTTGGGCTGGTGGGAAGAATTATAATTTATTGAACCCTGGAACCTACAGCTCATTCTTTTGAATAAAGTTGATTATTTCCAGCAATTACTCCCCAACACTTTCAGGAGATGAAAAATGATAATTTGACAATAGATATATTCACATAAGATTTTTCAAATAAGGAATTTCTGAAGGAAAATTGACACACTAATCCAGATACCTGTTTTGCATGTCTATAGCTAGTTTTCTATAAAAAATTTAGTATTGTAATTTTCTGAAACTTGGGTTCCCTAGACAAAAGAATGCATAGCCATTGTCCCGTATCACAACTTAATTTTTCTCCATAAGAAACGGATATTTTTTCCTTCTCTGTATTGTTCTGAAGATCTTTTCAAATAATTTTATTCTGAGAAATATGACATCTTCTCCTGATGACATGAATAATGAATACATTACATGGAAATGTTTATCATTGTTAGGATAAACACGCTTATCCTTATATTTCATTTGCCCATCCCACTCTAGGAGAGATAGGGGAAGCCAATGCCATTTCTTTTTATTTCTACTCACTGTCAGTTTTCTTTGTCCATCTCTAAGTTGAAAGTTGCATTTTAAGTCACTGGAGTTGAGAAATGACAAAGGTAATACAAAAGTCCCTAGCTTAACCCTGAATGTTTATGTTCACATAAGTATTCTAGACATAATTCCTGCCTGTTAAATGACTCAAATAATATTCTGAGGATAAACAAAATAATATAGAATATAGATTTTATGCTTTCAGTCCTTTGAAAAATTATTTCTAAGTAAAATGCAGTGATTTTGTTTTTGTTAAATGACTCCATGTTACTTGAATGCTCAAGTAACTTTTTGAGGATCCTCTGTCCATCCATGTTGAGTCTTTAAATCACTAATTCATAAACTCTTGTCTAGAATAAAAATCTCATATTGAGTAAAACATAACTTTAAATCACTTCCATTAGTAAGTACAAGGCATTTATCGGTACCAATTAAGTATAGGAATTCATACTTTTTCTATCCCCGATAGGCTAGAAAGGTTTGACATGATGGAAAAAAAATTTCCTCCGTACCAACTGTAACATTTTTAAGGGACAAAAAACACAAACATTAAAAAAAAAACTATTCAGTCCCCTTGTTCTTAAAAATAAATGAGCTTTGTAAGATATTATTTATCTAAGAATGGGAAGACCTATCAAATGTCTATACTCATGACAGCAGCATCACTAGAATGCCAATCACTTTATTACGCAATCTGCCAGAAGCAAGTACAAAATACTGATGTTATTCACAGTCATAGGCATATAGGGTATCCAGGGTAGTCTCTCATTGTCCCTCTGTTCAGATCCATCATTCATAAGCACGGGCATCATTCATAGGCAGGGAGTAGACTGAGTGCAATGTGCTGAGGCATAACAGCTTAGCTGGCAGCTGTGTTTCTAGATTTAGGCTGTTCACAGTGGTCCATTGATCACATGTTCACTTCCTAATTTCTTGCAAGTACATAAATGCAGGATTGAGTAAAAGCAGAAAGTGAGAGTAACAGGAACATTAAGCCCCAGAAATTAAGACACATTGTATTGATTTAAATCTTTCAATGCCTGGACTCATCACCAAGTCCATGCACCTCCATTATACTAAAAGCCAAATACATATATTGATCTGTGGTATATTTCTTGGAAACCATAGGGTGGAATGAACCACAAGAGGTTGCAGAAGGGGAAACCATTCTAGGAAATAATTTTTAAGTAAGATTGATATACCAGAAAATTGAATATAAACATAAGTGCCTATAAAAATTTCTTTGCAGCTCTCAATACAGAAGAATTTGTCTAGACTCGCATTGAGGTCTAATATTATACACTGAGACATTTCTAGTGATCATCCAAATCTGAAAATATTTGGAACTAACCTGATAAATGTCTGCAATCTAGATAACCCTGATTATCAGAAAGTCAGCTACCTTCAACTGAATATCACAGAGCTCTTGATTCTTCTGATTATTTTGGATTTTGAGTCAAGATTGAAGGTCACTGGCCATCATGTTCTGAAAGAATTTGGCTTGCTAGGCATGTTATTTATGCTACAGACACAATCGGGTGGCATTTCTCAACCGCAATCCAAGTAAACTTGAAGATCCATAATTAAATTAATATGAATCAGTTATAAATTTCCCCCACTACTGAGGGATATTTTTGTACAAAATTTTATTGACACTAAGTAACCAAAGTTTAGATTTTTAACTTTTAAGGCCATGCTTCTCAATTGTTTCTTTTGCACATTTTGGAGACGTTTAGGGTTCTCCAAAATGACCATAAATATTTGCAGACCTTTAGGTAAGCTTAAACCCCCTCATGTTTTAGGGGAAAAAAGATGCATTTGGCTCTTCTTGAAACTAAATTTTAAATTGACATAAGAAAAATAAAAATTTTAGATAGTTGAAGTTGTTTTCAGAAGCAGTTCATATAAAAATTCATAAGAGAATGTTTGCAACTGTATATCCATGCATGTGGAAGACATATGGTTCATTATGCAAGGGGGTCACAGAGAAGACGCATACCAAGACATTCTTGACATTCTGAAAGTTAGTGACTTTTTCTATTACGTTACAATTCTCAAAAGGCAAGATTATTGTATAGAGCTTCTTCTCACTTTTTTGAAATATTCTGTTTTTAAGAAAATCTCAAAAGTCTTCAAGACACTGAAGATGCTGATTAATTAAATATAACATTTAAAAAAATTAGCCAGGTGTGGTGGTACATGCCTATAGTTGTAATTGTATACATGGTAATTGGTAAACTGAGGCGGGAGGATTGCTAGAAACCAGGAGTTCAAGGCTGCAATGGGCTTTGATTACGCCACTGTACTCCAGACTGGGTGACAGAGCAAGACCCAGTCTCTTAAATAAATAAATAAATAAAATAAGGATAAAATAAATATACTATATGTAAAAGCTTTGCTTTAGTTAAAACCTTGTGATCATGATAAAATATACTTTCAAGTAGATCAAGTAGATATAAATTCTTTTTTTTTCTCACTATTTTCACCCTCCCACTGTTCCTATTGTTTTAGCCATACATAGTTCTGAGGAGCCATTTGGCTGATACTTACTTTAGATCCCCATTTGGCAGACCTGTCCCTTGTTCAAAAGTTGCTGAATTTTATTTCTCAGGTGCTGCTAAGGCGTTGATGGCTGATGAAAACAAAACTGATCACTTATTAGATAATATTTACATTTTAAGAGAAGTCTTCAGTTCCTTCACTCAAAGATTCAAGAAGTAAAGCATTCGAAATTATTTAGAGAAGCAAAAATATTTCAGCATCCTTCAATCACAGCACACAAGTAGCTTCTGATTCTAACATAATTATATGGAGTAGTATAATTATTTGTCTAAAAGAGCAGGTAACAAGAAATTACATAATGGTTAGATTTTAGGAAGTAGAGTGGAGTTAGAACTTTAAAAATTAAATACTTAGTTGGCAGATTTATTGGCAAAATTCTCCAGATATTACTCTAATGGGAAGAGACAGAAGAATCAGCATAAATCATGTGTAGCAGAAAGTACCAAATCCACATATCCTGTTCTAAATCAGTGTGAAAATTAAAAAACTCGAAGCAAGCACTCTTTTGATGAAAATATTTGGAAATTAGCACATGAAAACATTGTTAATTTCTAACTGGAGGAAAATAAAGCTATTTTTCACATTTCTGTCCTATTGAAAAGTCTGATGAGTAATGAAAGAGATTTTTATATGCAAAGTTGTGGGAGCTAAATGACATCAATAGTATGTGTTCAGAAATCTTCCCTCTGTTTAAAAAATATCAAAGGCTAATAAATCAAAACAAGTACTATAACATATTCCACAAATACTAGAAATTTTCCTCTCAAACTATTTTTTGCCAAGTATCCTTTATCAAAGGATTTGGTGCTAAGTGTTGAACAAAATTATCATCTGTTGTTCAGCCAACTTACTCTTTGCTATGCTTCACACAGTTTTAAACAAACAAACAAAAAATGATTTCTTTGAGGCCTGATTTTACTTGTGCATACATATTTCACCCTGTATTTCTGTATCACAAATAACTCAAGATAATCATTTTTCTTGCATATTAATTGAAGGTGCTCCCAGGAATACCACATAGACACCAACATTAGTTTCTAAATCAAAGTACCCATAGGAGTTCTTAACCCAAAAGATGCTTTGACTAAAATACTACAACCATATCAACAAATATTTCTAAATGATAGCTCCTATTAAAGTTTAGGTAATTACTGGGGTCCTAATTGCTAGAAATTTAAATATTACATTAGGAGATTGTCAAAATTACTTATTCCTTTTCTTCCTCATTTTCATATGGTTTTGGTTTTTGTGAATCCAGAATTAACCGCCATACGTTTTGCTTTCTAGTGACCTGGCTATGAATATATTGTGACTTTGTTTTTATTGTATCATTTTATAAGCATATGTGCGTGTTAACCGAGCTCAGTCCCTATTTATACCAATCCTATTACTATAAACTTTAAACCCTTCTTAGCTACATGTACCAAGTTATTTAAAAATCTCACAGTAGAGTGGCTTATGTTCTGCAATGTTTTATACATTTCGTGAACTTCCCAACGTTACAAGGGTAGATAAATATCTGTTGTAATGGAAAAAAATGAAGTATTACTAGAATTAAGCAATGTATTTGTATTTAGGGTGATACATATATACTTTTATAGAAACAATTAATAATGCAAGGACACAGCATTACTTATCAGGGGCTTCTATTTCTCATTACTTGCATTTCTAATGCAAAGTGTTCTCTATGGAAATAAATTTCAAAATACTTTCACTGTTAATTTATGACCTAATTTTACACAATTGCATCCAGAAAGAAATCTTATAGTAGTCTATAATTTCCACTTATTCATTACATACAATCTATTAATAAATATTATACAGTTAATTAAAAATAGATAGAGGGCTGGCAGAAGCATATAGATATTTCACAGCAGTCACTTAACACTCTTCATATCCAATTGCAATGTAAGGACACCTCAGAGGGTTCCTTAAAAATTCACTTTAAAGACTAAGACTATTCCCAAATCACCTTTCTATAACCAACTTTTCCAGGAAATAAGATTCAAGGCCAATGGTGACCAATTTGCTAATGGATCAGAGTTAATAGACCTTTAGCAGACTAAATTTTATATTATTATGCAATCTTTTCAAAAGAGCACTTTAACAGTGGTGCCCAATATATTCAATCCAATTTCATTTCAATAACTCTTTTTAAGCCTTCACAAAGTATTTCATTTTGAAACTTCTACCCTTACATGCGAAAGGGACTCACAAACATATAATTAGAAAAGTCATATAAATGTTTTTCAGTAAAATTTAATAAGAGATTTCCAATAAGGCTTAAAGTAATTTTTATTTTGCTTGTACTCAAATTTATTTTATTTTACTTCAGTATTTTTGGTAATAAAATATATTCATAAAAATATAAGATTCTACTTATTACCTTGTTTTCATAAACAATACTTCAAATAATATTCTGCTTTCAGCAAATTTAGAAAATTTGAATATGTGCAAGGCAAAAGAAAGAATAGCAGACAAAAATAGCCATTAAAAAAAAAAGATAATCTGTAAAGCTAGGAGGATGCCAAACTCTAGCTAATACATATTATGGGAAATATATATGTGGCAGTTAAAATGCAATAAAAAAATTACAGAATATAAATGAAATATTAATTTAAATTAAAACTGTTTCTAAGTTTATAATTTTGAATAAACACTTTTTATTTCCTATTCTACTTTGAATAGGAAATAAACTTGGAGACTATTTCTATCTCATTTTTTTCCTCCCTGTTGATCTTTTCTTCAAATTTGGTATGTTAGAAATGCTGATATTTTATTTAGTCAATTCATGGGTTATAACCTTGAATTCTCCAATTCCTTCAAAATATCCTTTCAAACTTGTCTTTCATAATTCCACTATCCTTGGCATTACAAAGAGACCTCTGTGGGGGCCCTACTTCTACAACATGGAAATATGGTAATTAAGAGCTTTCTGCTCCCATTTTCTCATGACTGTGTAACGTGAAAAACAATGGGGTCTCCTCTTTCTGTTTAGCAATTCCATTCATGCAACAAAGATGTTCAGTGTACATGTCACAATATAATAACAGTCTAAATGGATTAAATTGCAGTGTGTAGCAAACACACAATTCTCTCTGGTAGATGTGTATAGATATTTTGTAGGGAACCACTTAATATTCTTCATATCCAGTTGCATCACACAAATTGACACCTCACATAGTTCCTTAAAAAATCCACTCTATGAAACTAATATTCTTTTGAAATACCTTTCCATATCAATTTTTTCAAGAAATAAACTGTAATGCCAATGGTGAACCATTTGCTAAATCAATTTCACGCCCTTTCTTCAATTCCACCCACCCATCTTCTTTATTCTTCCTTTCTTTTCTTCCTTATTTATTTTATTTTTTTGATGGAAATCTAGAGAGGCAGCAAAGTGCTACTCCAATTTAATTCACAGTAGAGGCACTGAGCGTATGAGCTTTAAGCTCTAAGGTGGTTAGAAACATCTGCTGGTTAGCAATGCCTCTTCCTGTCAGTTGTAAGGCTTGTCTGTATTATGCCACTCATGTTTAACAGAAGTAAAATGCAATTGACAGCATGCTAATTATTACATTTTTTTCTCCCCCAAACTGTAACATCACTAAAGGTCATCCAAAATATATAATGGTTGTTTTGGTACATTGACATTTGTTACATTTCTTTATTTTTTGATAATTTTTAAAAAATTTTTATAACGGAGGCTTGTTTTTGAGGGTAAATAGTGGGAATGTATATTTATGCATGGTCAACCTCTTATAGGTCTTATATACTTAATATAAAAGAACTATACACTATCTGACTACACACACCCATATACAAACACTCCACACTTTTATTTGTGCATTCATCAAACTCTGACGATTAACAGAAACTTAAAAATATTTATTTCTGAAGTGCTGTAAAAGCAAAAAGCAAACCAAAAAACAATCTTTAAGTTCATAGATCTTTATAAGACAAATTTCTTTTTATGTCTTGAAAAGTTGGTTTTTCAAATTATTTTTCTATACAATGCATAAGTCAGCAAACTTGGTAGATAATTTACTTCCAAAAATGAACTTCTTAGTAAACCCCTCTCTTCCGTCATTCAACAAGGTTTCATCAGAGCACTTATATTCTAAGTTTTAATACTTGGTCTTGAAATGCTTATAATATGTCAAACCGACAATCCTCATCATTACAAAAACATATACTATGTACTGGTGACATATTGGTGTATGTAAGTTAATATCAATAACTTCAGAATTTGGCTTTGTGAGTATTCTACCTATTAAGAAAAAGAGACATCTTAAGACAAGGGCTCTGACAAGAAAGAAAAGTAAATGTTCAAGTACAAGTTGGTGATAGCCAAACTGTCAGTATAAAACATACTGTTATTGAAAATGTAATGGAATAAAAATGCCATACTCTTTAAAATGATTTTTACAGAATTTCAACACATATCTAAGTGCATATATCTAAAAGCATATTTTGCAAAGAGCACTAAATACAGAATATGACTGCACCTATTAACCAAAGTGCTTGAGTAGTATGTTCGACTCAAAATAGTGAAACTCAAAATATGTATCAGTGGATCTTTCTACAGTGGGGAGTTTGGAAAAGTCTTTTATAATTGATCTTCTCTTTTAATTGACATTGGCCTATATTGTCAGACTTATAGTCATCCTTTAGTCTGATCCTCCTGTTTAAAATTCTGCCTGCTGATAAACTAATCCTATTCTTTGAATTTTTTTTTCTTCAGGGGCAATAAATTATTGGCTACTTTTCATACTCAAAATGTTGGTGCAGAAAAAAATGGAGATATATTCATGAATAATAGAAATTGAAAAAGTGTTTCATTTTCACTCAAAACCATGTTTAACTTCATGTAAAGGCTCTCTCTTGTTTTGGGTAAAATTTGTAACCATGACCCATATCATTTTATCTGCTCTAGAGAAAATGTGTCTGTTACCTCAGATGACAACTATATTTTTCAAACAACTTTTAATTTTTATTAAAGGTAGATAGCTCATTGAGGAAGTAAAGTACACCCTTTAAAGTGTGGTTCCAATAATAATTGTTGAAGGATAATTAAATAGTAAGTAGGAGAATTGAATATGCAGGTCTTTTTTGACACCTAACACAATTCTATCTCTCAAAATATTGTTGCATTTGAATTAACTATTTCAAATAATCAAAAACTCTGTCCTGTGATATAAAAAAATTAGATTTACTCACAATTTGTTATAAAATATCAAATAATCATATATTTGGACTATAATTTGATTTTAAATATAAATTATACACAAATGTGCAATATAATATTAAAAATTTTTATTAATAATTAACAACAACGCATCCCTTTTTTTTAAACATGTAAGCTTCATCCTCTGATATTGTGTTTTATTTTACATTAAAGGATAAATGAGCAAATGTTGTGAAATTACTATCATCCCATTTTCAAAGAATAAATTATTTTAGGAAGTACTTGTCTTGAAAGGTAAATATGTCATATCAATAGAAATAATATCTTAAATAGTTTATACACTTTTTCAAACCATAACTGATAAAGTGACTTACAGAAACAGTTTCTTACAAATAATAAAACAAAATAAATCTATCTTCAACGAATTTTCCAACTTTATTATTTTTAAGGGCATTCAAAGTATTTCTCTAGTGATCTTTAGTTTTAGTTTATTGTTTCAATAAATAAGAATCAGTATATATTCTAAAACTCAGTGTGACCAATATTTTCCTTTATCATAGAGTTTTTAAACATAATTTAGCTTAATTTTTAAAGCATAATAACAGAGAAAATGCTTAAATGATTGAAAAGCAACATTTAGCTCACTATTTTATTTCAGAGAATAATGTACTTACTATGCAAACATGCCATTGCAAAAAATTATATATTTCAAGTATCTATTTTGAAGATATATTAATAGATAGTGAGCTATCACAATATTAAAAGACACAAAAAAATTTAGGTTAGGCTCATTATATTTGAATAAATGCTTTTTAAGTTGTTTAACCCCAAATAAAATATTTAGAAAGCCAAATCCAGTAAATAATGTTAACTAAGGGTGAATGGCATTTTATCAATTTAAATGGCTATTTTTGTTTTATCTTAATTAGTACAATTATTTCCTAAGTGTTCTTTTAAAAGAATGTTTAAACTTAAGAGGAAAAAATGTGCCATTGTAAGCTAGTTAGCACAGTTGAGGATCATAGAACAGATATATCAGTATAAGAATAGAATAACACATATATTTTCCCTACCCCCAAGTAATTAAAATAATGTTTTATTTGAGTTTTCAAATGTATTTCCTTAAACAATACAAATATTTCTGAGTCAACTTGAATCTGGACCAGATAAATTAAAAGACATTAAAAGAAGATGATTTTGCTTATTAAAGATATACATTATGCTCTTTTACTTGAAACATGCATGAAAAATTAGAATATATTTTCACACATGAAAGCAAAAACAAAATGAATGACCATTAATTATTCATTTTTGTGAAAATATGCAAGTGAAAAATTTTAAAGTTCTTATATTTAATATGGGCAGAATCTTTGCCATTTCACCTCAAAATGAAGTATCTGGAACTTAGTTAAGGGTATAGTGCCTAAAACAATGATTCCCAATCCTGGTTTTTGCATACCCTCATCCTCCATTTCTGGAAATAAAAGTCATCTAGAGTTCAATCAAATATTTGACAAAAGTTTGAAATCTCCCTGCTATAGATGATGCCCTCTCTAAGCAACAAAATATTTACAGTCCTAAATTTCTAAGTTAGCAACAACATATTTACTAAATGAATGTGTGTGTGCATGTGTGTGTGTAATTCAGTATGTGAGAAGGCCCATAATTATATATAATAGATGAGAAAAGAAGCTAGATCACTGGGCAACTTAGTAATTCCAACACTGTATGAGTTCAGAGAAGTTCTTCCCACTCCCAAGATATTCTTCATTCCTAAAAAGAAGATGATAGAACTATACTCCTAACTACACTCACTCTTAATTCCAAACTACATCAGGGTCACTGCCTGAGGTAATTAATACTGTATTATAATCCAGAAAGCTTTAAAATCAGATATTATCAAGCTATTTTCTTTAATCTCAGAGAAGCATTAATGAATTCAAGGCACTATTCCAAGTTAAGAGGTAGCATCTTCTTTCTGAATCTATTCATAAAGTTTTAGTTTTTGCTATGGTTGGTTAAAGCTCTTTAGTGTGATGGCCTTGGTTTTTTTTTTTCTTCCCCACCTCCCCCCACTCTACCCTCATACATATACTCATGCAAATGTTCTGATTCCCCTTTTTCGGCCTTGAAATTGATTTAATATCTTAGTCAGCTTTCTTTTCCAGAATAGCCCTAATCAGCCATCAAAGTTTTGTTACTCTAGGATAAAAAAAGGTCATGATTATACGATGAAGAGCAGTGAAAGTAGAGAGATGACTCTTTCAGGTGGAAGTATAGCTATGTATAAGTACTCTATACTTGTCCATCTCTGAAAAAAAATCGTAGTATTCTAAGCAGAATTTCATTGTCTCTGTATATTTCTAACCATTGTCATGATTTTTACTGTCAGTCTGTGACTATACAATAGTTTCTCCATTTAAAACCAATAAAAATCTTAATATATAGTTAATTTATCATATTTTAATAACAAACTTAAGTTTAAGGTATATTTGGAAGATAGCAATGGAGATTAAACAAACAAGTGGTGATATGATGTCATGGGTTCTGGAAAGACTGGGCATAATATGACCAGAAGAAACAAGAAAGATCATAGCAATCATTGATTTCATTCTCTCCCTTCCGCTGCCCACTCTCTCCTTCTTCCTCCCCCTCCCTTCTCTTCCTACCTTTCCCTTTTCTTTTTCCCTCCCTCTTCCACTCCTTCTCCAAACTCAGAAAATATAAAAGTTATTTTCAAAACATTTATTCATCTGAGAAAATGATAAGGAAGAAACAGAAAGAAATAGGAAGATTTATGGAAGTAATGGAATGGGAAAAATGTGAGTAGGGGAGACTATATCTTAAATTTACTTTAAAAAGGAACGCTTATTAATTAAAATGCACAATATGGCCCACTCACTAGTAAAATAACAATATGGCTTGTTTACAAGTAAAAAAAAAAAAACAGATCAAAAATTTACATTCCCTAAATGTCTAAATCAATAAGTGTTAAAGTAGATTTAATGGAGTACCACAAAATTTAAAAAAGTACTATACTAGTATTGCTTTTAAAATCAACACATGAAACTGCTTGAGAAGATGAATGAAACTGTCAATTCTTTAACATTTTCTTCTTAAGCACTATTCTTAAATAGGACTGAACAATGAGTAAGTTCAAAAGATTGAAAGAAAAGAGGTTTGCTTCCTAAACAGTATTATCATTTCTACTCAGCTTTTCCCATCTTTTTTTCTAGTTTTTACTGTGGCACCCACAAGAACTTATGTTTTAACTTAAGTTGATTCTTAGGTCTTACGTATGTTTTACTTTTCAATAAAAATATGTATTTTTGTCACAAGGGGCTTGTTTTTGTGGGTTTTTATTTAGACTTCTGTTTTGGTTTGGTCTTTCTATGTAGTCAAAATTCTTATTCTTACAGTTGCATAATAGCATTTCAGTATTTCGGGTCCAAAGTCCAATTACATTTCCAAATATTATGTCTATATTGTTAAATCAACAAATTAGAGCATGCCTTCCAAAAACCTGTTATATACAGTTATATATTTCATGTTAGAAATGTAACTCTCCAAAATAATTATTAAAATTTTTACTTTTTACATCAACTCCCTTCCTAATTATTTTTAAATAATTTTTGAATTAACAAAAATACTGTAATTGAAGCAAATATTAATATGAAGGGGTTAAGATATTCTTTTTTCTCTATTCTTTTTCTAGTTTTACAACTGAAAATATCTTCAGAAATAACGTGGCATAATGAAGATTTTGGTGAATTCCATATAGCAATAAAATTATTAAATGAGTCATTTTCTCATTAGCTTAATTATTATCTCCTATAGAACTCTGAGGAAAATAAATTATTAGAAAGAAAATAATTTAATTATTCTGAAATTAGTTTTCAAGTATATATACTACTTTTAATTATTTATGACAATATCACCACACTTATTTCAGTGATTTTATCCCCTTGATATATCACTTACTCTCCAACGCAGGCATGCTAGTGATGATTATATGGACTTGAAACATAATCAAGGCTTGATATTTAAACTTAGGCCCCCACTGCTTCTAAATGCTTACAAGCATAAATCATCCCAGTCATCTACAAAATAAATGGAAAGAATTTAGATACTTAGTGCAAAAGACACACATCAATTTTTGTCACCTTAAATAGCATAATGAGCCATATGCTAGCTGAAAAGTTTGTATAGCAATTGTGACTGTAAACCTATTTATCTGCCAATAGTTTCATGTTATATGTACGGAATATGACAAGTATCTGTGTATAGAAAACTAGAAATAGAAAAAAACAAGAGAGCATGTCCTTTACTCATTTATTATTTGTGTAATAATAATTATCACAAGCTGGGCGTGGTGGCTCACGCCTATAATACCAGTCATTTGGGAGGCCGAGGCAGGCGGATAACCTGAGGTCAGGAGTTTGAGACCAGCCTGGCCAACATAGCGAAACCCCGTCTCTACTAAAAATACAAACATTAGCCAAGAGTGGTGGTGCACGCCTGTATTATCAGCTACTCAGGAGACTTAGGCAAGAGAATCACTTGAACCCAGGAGGCGGAGGCTGCAGTAAGCCAAGATCATGCCATTGCACTCAAGCCCGGGCAACAGAGTGAGACTTTGTCTCAAAAAGAAAAAAAAGAATAATAAAAATAATAGTTATCACGATAATTCTGGAAGTTATGTTTGAATAGTTTTCAAAAGCTTTGAAAACACTCAAATACAGGGCCGGGCGCGGTGGCTCAGGCCTGTAATCCCAGCACTTTGGGAGGCCGAGGCAGGTGGATCACGAGGTCAGGATATAGAGACCATCCTCGCTAACACGGTGAAACCCCGTCTCTACTAAAAACACAAAAAATTAGCTGGGCGTGGTGGCAGGTGCCTGTGGTCCCAGCTACTTGGGAGGCGGAGGCAGGAGAATGGCGTGAACCCGGGAGGCAGAGCTTGCAATGAGCTGAGATTGCGCCACTGCACTCCAGCCTGGGTGACCGAGCCAGACTCCGTCTCAAAAAAAAAAAAAAAAAAAAAAAAAGAAGCTCTTTCCCATCTTGCAAGATGGCGGGTGAAAAAGTTTAGAAGCCAGATACTAAAGAGAAGAAACCCGAAGCCAAGAAGACTGATGCTGGTGGCAAGGTGAAAAAGGGTAACCTCAAAGCTAAAAAGCCCAAGAAGGGGAAGCCCCGTTGCAGCCGCAACCCTGTCCTTGTCAGAGGAATTGGCAGGTATTCCCGATCTGCCATGTATTCCAGAAAGGCCATGTACAAGAGGAAGTACTCAGCCGCTAAATCCAAGGTTGAAAAGAAAAAGAAGGAGAAGGTTCTTGCAACTGTTACAAAACCAGTTGGTGGTGACAAGAACGGCGGTACCCGGGTGGTTAAACTTCGCAAAATGCCTAGATATTATCCTACTGAAGATGTGCCTCGAAAGCTGTTGAGCCACGGCAAAAAAAAACCCTTCAGTCAGCACGTGAGAAAACTGCGAGCCAGCATTACCCCCGGGACCATTCTGATCATCCTCACTGGACGCCACAGGGGCAAGAGGGTGGTTTTCCTGAAGCAGCTGGCTAGTGGCTTATTACTTGTGACTGGACCTCTGGTCCTCAATCGAGTTCCTCTATGAAGAACACACCAGAAATTTGTCATTGCCACCTCAACCAAAATCGATATCAGCAATGTAAAAATCCCAAAACATCTTACTGATGCTTACTTCAAGAAGAAGCAGCTGCGGAAGCCCAGACACCAGGAAGGTGAGATCTTCGACACAGAAAAAGGGAAATATGAGATTACGGAGCAGCGCAAGATTGATCAGAAAGCTGTGGACTCACAAATTTTATCAAAAATCAAAGCTATTCCTCAGCTCCAGGGCTAGTTGCGATCTGTGTTTGCCCTGACGAATGGAATTTATCCTCACAAATTGGTGTTCTAAATGTCTTAAGAACCTAATTAAATAGCTGACTACAAAAAAAAAATAATAATAATAAAAAATAAAAAAATAAAAAAATACTCAAATAACTCAAATACATGTATTCATACTCTTGAGGCTCTACATTAAGAAAATAATTATAAATGTAGTTAAATATTTGTGTAAATAAAAATTTATTAAAATGTCATTCCACATAATGTAGTCTAAATGTCCAATACTGGAAAAATTATTAAATAAATTGCCAGAATAAATATGTCTCTCTCTATATATTGCTGTATATATATATACATATATATATATACACATATATATATACACATATATATACACATATATATATACACATATATATACATATATATACATATATATACATATATATACATATATATATACATATATATACATATATATATACATATATATATATATACACAGTAATTTTCTCAGAGTATTGAATACTATGGCAGAATTGCTCTAGTGATACTGTTTTTGTAAAAATTCCATCACTAATAAACTTTTCTTATAAAACCCTGCAACTTCAAATGGGCTCTCTGGCATCTCACTGTCAGTTCAAGGATTAGAGCTAGAGAACCTATGATACATGAAATAACTTATTTTATTGAACAAGGTTTCCTTTCTAGTGATACAGTGAGGAGGCTGGTACAGGTGTGTACTTTAGATAAACACTTGCCAAAAATGAAGTAAGTTTTAAATTGGGAAAAGAATGCTGCTAGGTATGAACAAGAATAAATCTAGGGAAACAATATAAACAGCTGAGCAATCTAGGATGACAGCAATCAACAGAAAGAATAGACAAACTGGAATGAGTGAGCAGATCAGACAGAAAAGTCCAAAATGAATCCTGGCAATCATTCTGGTCCACTGAAAGTTGACAGACCACATTTTATAGCATTTCTACTGCTCACAACCTTGGATGGTCAGCTACCCAAATCAGTGGGCTCCCACAAGCTGAGTGGTTCCATGTACCTTCTTCACTTGATGTCCAAACCCCACTCCTTAACAACTTTGTGGTATAGGAATACTCTGTTCTCTCTACCTACTACTTTCGTAACTCAACACAGAAATATTAGCTTACCTGAATACTTTACTGCCTAGTGAGACTATCTGTTCAGGTCTCAATGTTTTCTGCTAACACTCTGCAAAGAGATGGAACCATTAGAGTGGCTTATTTACTCACATAAATGTTGCCATTTCACCTTCCTTTATCCTATGAAGCAATTGAGCTTACAATAAGATGCAGTCTTAAATAAGATTTGTTAAAAGGCCATTAATAAGCCTAATAGCAATCTCACCTCCATCATTCTAAGGTAGTGAGAACTCTGTTAGAAATAACTGCAGAAGGCTGCACGTGGTGGCTCACACCTGTAAAACCAGCATTTTGGGAGGCCAAGGCAGGTGAATGGCCTGACATCAGGACTTTGAGACCAGCCCAGCCTGGTCAACATGGTGAAATCCTGTCTCTACTAAAAATACAAAAATTAGGCAGGCGTAGTGATGGGCGCCTGTAATCCCAGCTACTTGGGAGGCTGAGGCAGGAGAATTGCTTGAACCTGAGAGGTGGAGGATGCAGTGAGCCAGGACCGTGCCACTGCACTGCAGTCTGGTGACAGAGCGAGATTCCATCAAAAAAGAAAGAGAGAGAGAGAGAGAGAGAAAGAAAGAAAGAAAGAAAGAAAGAAAGAAAGAAAGAAAGAAAGAAAGAAAGAAAGAAAAGAAAAGAAAAGAAAAGAAAAGAAAAGAAAAGAAAAGAAAAGAAAAGAAAAGAAAAAAGAAAAGAAAAGAAAAGAAAGAAAGAAAAAGAAAGAGAGAGAGAAAGTAAAGGAAGGAAGGAAGGAAGGAAGGAAAATAAATGCAGAAAATTGATCAAGGGTATGCATGACATTTGCCAATTTTGTTCCAAACCTTTGGTTTCTAGAAACATGCCCAGTATGGAACTCTGCATCCATGTGGAGAAAAAAGTATAATAATTAAACAAGCTCAAGTTATGCAGTAGGTGGAATGTGCAAATATCGTTCACCAGAAGAAGTACAGCCTTTTTACAGTCATTTTTCTTAACTTTGGTTCATCCAATATATTGGGCATTTAGGAAGCAGGTGGTAGATAAAAGAATGTTATGTTCTGCAAAATGTAGCACAATATGGTTTTTGAACACAAACACATAAAAAAGCTGTTAAGCCTCAAAAAGCTAGTGTGTAAATAGTGACACTTTAGAGAACTTTAGAATGGATAGTGCCTGTACACAGGCCAGTCACTGAATTATCCAAATAAGGCAGATTTGTGCTCCAGTGGTTAAATGTCTTCCTCCAGTTACATATATATTTGAGGGTAAGACATAAACATTAGGAACTAAGAGTTTCTGTTACCTATCACAGACTTTGTCATATTTTCCTTACTTCCTGCTATGGATTGTCACTTACCATATAACTCTATTCATCTGGGAAATCTCTCACCCTAGACACATATGAAAAGTTCAACAAGTTAGGACAGGTGGTCATTTGAAGTAGCACTACTGGGAGTTCTGACCTTGACTTCATACCTGATGCAAATGCTCAGTCCCTTGGTACCTCTTTCCATGTCTATCAGTTTGAGTGACATTTTCTCTCCACATAGAGAAAGAGGAATTTTACACTCTATAGAAATGGTAAAACAAGTCCCAGTGTTCTTGAACAGGTACAAAACTTTATAACACTGTTGCTGATAGAATGTTTACATGTGCACTTTACTTCCAACCAAAGAAAGAAGAGTTAGCTAAGAATCATTTTTGAAAGTAAGGTTTTTCTTTGTTTGTTAATTATTATTTAAATCTTTGGATACAGAATTACATTTAATTTGCTGCCACTATCATTTTTATTGATTTCTTTACGGGTGCACTTTATATTAACTGAATTTATATTGTATGTCAAAATTTGTATGAAAAGCTGTTTTTAAAATGTCTTTTCTACCTATTGAACCTCAGTATTTGCAGGTTTCCTCTTTAATTAATACTTTCATCTATGTTTTCCAGGTGATTATTAGGCATTTCATTTCAAAAGCATTTAAAAATTAGTGACAATTGCATCATTTTAATGAGATTTTTAAAATCTGCTTTATTATGTGTAATGTAATAGTAGCTTATATAGTAAGTTACTACGCATTTGTTGAGGCTTATAAGTGACTGATGTGGTGTTTAGAAACCAATACAGGAAAAACCATTCCAAGTCAGTTCACTTACATAATTATAATTTAAATCTAATTTACTTATTATTCCTTAGTCTATAATAAAATTTTAAGCAAATTTTGTATATATACCATTATTCATATTTTAATTTGAAATAGACTAGGTAACTTACTACTAACATTCAATTTTAGACAGAAATATTAATGCATGCAGAAATGCCACTAATGACCCTGGATTCTAAAATATCAGTAGATATCCAGCCACAATTTCAAGAAATCATGTTAAAGAAAAAAAGGTCAGAGGGAAAGTATGTACTTAGCATCAAAACTAAGGTGCCTTTACAAATCCTGTCACATTTCTCTCATCAGACTGGTATGTGACTGATTAGACTAGAAATTGTCCCCATAAACTCAGGAATCTTTTGGTTATTGTTCACTTCTGCCTCACCAGAAATTCCTAGAATTTATAGCACTTAATTAGCCTCAATTAATATTTTCTGAATAAGTGAATACAAGTTAATTATAAATAATTTCAATGCATAAAAATAAGCTACTTCTTGGGATATCTCTATCTTTATATCAGTATACCTATATCAACATCTAATCTATCTCTATCCAAACACCACACCCTCTCCAAATGTGTAATTCAAGTCCTGGCAGATTATTTTCCGAGTTTCTCATCTAACACCCTCCCAACTGTACTCCACCCCCATCCCTAGTCTTTTTCTTTTTGTCAGGGGGCGGGGCATACATACATACAAGACATAACAGTAGGCTTTGCTAATTCCAAACTTCTTCCTATAGTTTTATGCTAAAAAAAATGATGGTTATGGGTTTTCCATCTCGTTTTCTTCTATGGAAAGGTCAGTAACAGACACTGTGGGTGGAGGAAAAGGATATAGGACAGGCACTCTCAGGGAGCCAGGCTGTGTTGGGCCTGGACCATCCCAGTCACCAGAGGGGCACACACACAGACAAATGCTCCAACTGCACATGCTCTAAATGGTCTGAGCCACTAATATATGAGCAGTGTAGAATGTTGACAGTAATCAGTTCGTTGTAAACTTGTGAAGACTTCTACTACATAAAGAATGTATCTAAATTAAAGTTTTGTAAAAAGAAACCTTTAATTTTTGCAATTAAAAGTGTGTATATTATTTGATTTTTAAAAAGACGAGAGTACCGAAAGGACACTTTAGAAAATATGTCTTTGAGGTTTCCCAACAAATACGTGGATGAGATTTAATATAAAGATTTGGCAATAATTGGTAACAAGCTAAAGAAAATATGGGAGAATAATTAAAAAAGAAACTCAATGCTGACTATAACTCAATCTAGCATGCTTCTAGAGCCTATAATTATAAGTTTATTGTACAGAGAATTCCATATTGGTGTAAAATGCTAAAGACCGCTATTAAAAAATGTTAAGACTACATTTTTGAAAATAATCTAGTACTATGGTAACTTAAACTTCAGTTAGACTTTGAACTAGAAAAGGTAGCCTAATGTGGGAAAGAATGGTATTTTTTAGTGTTTCAAAATGTTAATCTAAAATAAAAATAGCTATATGAAGATTACTTTTATAGCCAGCAGGAAGGGTACTTTCTTTATATTTTGTAAAAATGTTTAAATATTATTCAAAAAGGCTTATGGAAATTATATTTTCTTCAACTACAAAATAACTAAATAAGCAATTTGCCATGAGAATATAAAATTTCTACTGTCCCATCATATTAGTTATGTTATCAGTGTTGTTCTGCCTAAGTAAGAATGACTGAATAACTCGAAGACAGAAAAGAGATGTAATTGAGAGGGGAATAACCTGCATGTGTAAATATATATATGTATGTGTGTATATATATATATATATAAATATATATATATAAAATATTTATTCTAAACTGCCATTTGTCATCTCAGGATTGTGGCAGTATAGATTAAATAAAATTTTAATGTGAGATGCCTGAATATGGCAAAATGTGAGCCTAATTGCATTTGGAACGTTTTGCTATATGTAATGAATGCTGCATAACATTTTCAAAATATTTCCTAATTATAAAATTATGAGAATAATTACTAGTTATTTCTCATTGTATTTGTTATCTTCATGTTTTATTAAAATAATCTTCAGATTTGTTGAATAAAATACACCATTGACTAATTGCTTGAGTCTGTGATTTAAAGATGAATATTCTCGTGTTTTAGAAAGCGGATCTCCAACCAATCACATGGCAATCAAGACAGCTGAAATGATAAATTCTGTTTTTTTCTGAGCATAGTAATTTCAAACCAGCAATAATAGAACCTCCTGAGTTAGCCGATCAATGTAAACATACACATCTATAAGTGCTAAAAATAATTTTCCAATGACTCACATTTAAAAAGCAAGTACCTTAAGTTAATGAAAATACTGATTATACAACAAAGATTAAGATTGCTTCTATCATGCGAAATTTAATAGTCTTTATTAATATTTGAGAAAATGTCCTAAAGAATGTAAAGCTGATGGTAAATATGCATACAACAGAGTGCTGAGCCTGCTAATAATCCAATGACTTAATTTTCAAGAACGAGACTTAGAGATCATTTTAGAACAAAGTTCTAAAGGTTAAATAATGTTTAGTCACTTTTTGAAAGAAAAAAAATTTGCTTTCAGTATTTACTTAAAACTTTAAAAATGTTTAAGGACTCATTAAAATAGGCATATATAAACTTAAAAATAAAATTATTAGGTTATAGCTGCTGTAACTACAGAACCAAACAATTTTACAGAATTAATACAAACAAACCTACAGAGCCAATAAAATTCTAATTAACAGTACTAATTAATGTGACAATTCATGTTATTTTGCTGAAACTAAATGCTACTTTAAATTGTACCGTCTGACATTACATGGGAAATTTTCAAGTTTAACATAAAATTAAAATATAAAATGCAGTCCTTCCAATGATGATCTTCAGTGACTGAAGACTATGTCCAGAAAACCCATTTTGAAAAACATGATACTAAATTCAAGGGTGGTAGAATATTTCACCAAAAACTATGCCACTTTGGCATAAGGATTATTTTGTGCTGAAGGTAAATAATGTGAAACACATATCAAATAAAATAAAATAAAATAAAAGCCCTCTGCTCTTTCCCTATTTGACTAAAATTAGGACTTAAATTTACAAAGATCTCCCTCCTCCCCTGTCCCTCAAAGAGGACAAAAGTTGAGCATAAAAGACTTCAGACCCTTATCAGCCTGGAGATGGCACCAAAGGAATCTAAATAACACAGTTTACTTTTTTTTTTTTTACTTTGAAACATCTACTTATTTCCATTTCCAATGAAGAATTAAAAGATACAATGTGTTAAAGACATATTTAAAAGACTAGCAATGGGATTAGACAGATGAATCAAATTTTGTTGATATCCCAAGTAATTACAAGAGATTTCGAAAATGTAGTGTAATTCAGGTTTTCTTTCCAGTTTAAAAATTTCTATCCATTGCCTCTATCTTTGGTGTCACTGCCAGCAATAAACACAGTATAGAGCTTAGAAACCTAATTACTATCTTCAACTAGGAAAAGGTAAACCAACCAATTAGCCTTTATCTATCGTTTGTTCTCCCATTTATTTAGCCCACAACAATTTGCTCCTTTGGTGACTCGGGTCCTTTTCCTTTGTCTTGTCACTTCTCTAAAAGTATATTGTTCTTTGTTGAAGATGCTCTATATGCCAGAGTTTTAAGCATCTCTTTCAGATTTACTCAGTTTTTCTCTTGGGTCTTTTTCACGTATACATGAAGTATGTATACATGTTAATAAACTTCCGTTTGTTTTTTTGTTCTTGTTAATCTGTCTTTTGTTACAAGGGTCTCAGCTAAGAAGTCAAAAGATTAGAGGGTAAATTATTTTTACATATCCTACAAAGTCAATCTCTTATTTTAAAGACTAACCTCCTGAAGTCCTAGCAAGCAAAGCGATTTACCCAAATTGGTCTATTTCTGGCAGAGGTGGTATTTGAAACATGGGTCCTTATTTATCAGTCTGGGTTCTTTGAAACTTAACCTAATGTTTTTTCACTTGACAATTTTATATAGATTATGTTGACTAAAGGTAATGAATCTTAAAATATACCAGCCATAGGGACATTTTAAATTCTTGTTTTATCTTAACAGTTACCAGGTTTTGAGTTAGAAATGTCTTCAGCGCACTTTACTTCCTTAAATAAAATATAGGCTTGAACTAGTTAACTTATTGGCATGAAAACTCTTTAGTACCAATTTAATGGAAGGTTTCTAAATGGGCAATAACTTGGTTTATATGCTAAAGTCATGAAGTAACTGTCCAAGAGTTTTAACCATGTTTTATTTGTAATTCTTTACACATAGACAATTGAAATTCTGGTAAAGTAATTTACTTTAACAAAGTTTAACTGAAAAGGCAGGAAGTATTCATGTTTTAATAATGTGAACATTTTTATGTGTGTGAGCACCTTTCAACATCTTTTGTCTTTGTTGGTTTGCTTGTTTTGCTGTAGACACTATGAAGCATATAGAAATGGTCCTCCTCCTCAATCCCTCAGGAGCTGGGTTGCATTAAACATGTCTGGATATTTTAGGAAAAAATAAATAAAAGGAACTCCTCAGTGTGTTCTGAAGGAAAAAATAATTTAATAACTTGAAACCAGGACTGTTACTGTGATAAGATAGATATGTATAAAAATTTCCATATGACAAACAATTTATGACTAATTTTCAAGACGCCACAATTCTATTCTTAGACTGAGACAAGGGAGTAGGTATTTTTAACTATACCTTGTATAACTTTCCATTTTAAATTTTAGATCTGAACTATGACGAGGGAAACTGTGCATCAGATAAGCAAAGTCAGGTATTCTTTGCTCATAAAATATCTTGTTTTCCTCTGGATGGCAAAGACTCAATCATTTTTGCCTGGACACCAAAAGGGACTAGCAATTGGGAAAAAAAAAAAAAAGAAAATCCAGAAGTATTCCTTTTCTTACTCTATGAAAAAATTATGGGCAAATTATCAAAAAAAAATAAACTGAAGTGCTTTCTTGAAGTTGAAATTTTCTGATAACTCTTCTCCAGATGAGTGAAGGTTACAGATGTCTATGAAAATAACTTGGGTATTATCTGAGGAAAGAGGAAAAAAATGAATTCCAACATTTCTTGCAACTTACTTGCAGCTGTGTTGTGTGTGTGCAATTTTAATTATGTGATTTCTGAAAAAAGAGGTAAAGGAGAAAATTGCCAATTTACATATATTTACTCAAAAGTCTGCAAAGGTATAAAATAAAGTAAAATGACCATTGGAATTCTTGCTGGTTGGCTATCATTTGATTCTATAACTTAGAATTACATAATAGATGATAATTTCTGTATTGCCTTTGACATTACCTCCACATTTGCTTTCTTATTATATCTTTGTCTCTTTTAAATAAGAGGAGGAGAAATATAAAAACTAGAATTGAGACAAGATTTTTTTGTTTTTAATCTACAATTGAATTCTTATTAAATTTTAGGCAATAGGTATGTATTCTTACTTGCAAGTGTACACAGTTGTTCATTAAATTCATTTAATAATATGTTTAAGGTATAAGCCAGGTCTATCTGCTGTGATAAATCATGGACAAAATATATAAAATTCCTGCTCTCGGAGAGTTTATATTCTAAGGAGAGAGGAAATTAATAATATAGAAAGAAAATTATAAAATCAACATTTAATGAGAAACTCTTGCCACTAAACACAAATATTATTAAAGCTTTCTCTGTAACATAAAGAGAAAATTAATTTAAAAGTAAAAAAAGAAAACTAAAATAAGCAATAACAATCTATGTTCATTGCCTTGAAAATTCATGTTCTCCTACCGAAGAGGAGGACATTCGTCTTTAATCTTACTGTGTAGTTTTCTAGATTGGAATGGCATTTTCTGAATATTTAAAGTACACGAATCAATTTATATATCACCAATAAAATTCAGTAAAATTAAACATGACAATAGTTTATCAAGGTTTTGTTACAAGAAAAACAACAATTTGTAGTTGATAAAGACCCCACAGAATAAAAGACTGATTGCAATGATGAATAATGCATATCGCCTATGGTACTAATTAACCTTGTACTCCAGGAAGATATTACAGAACAATAAGGCTAATTTGAATGTGGTCCGGCACTTTTCCCTATGGCTTGTGGTTATCACCCTTCAGAATACGTAAAATTTGATTTTGTTAAAAAAGAAACATATCTTTGTTATTGTTTTTCACATAAAATCATGAAAAAGAAATTCTATTATTTGACATTATGCATTTCCCAAAAGGTAGACTAAATGTATACATAAAATAGGTATATATATTCTTATTTGCGAATGTATATACTGGTTCATTAAATTCATTAAACATTAAATTAAATTTATTTAAAATATGTTTACACACTATATATGTAATATATATGTAATACGGTATATATGTAATATGCTAAGTATAAATTGTAAAATAATGTATTTTAATAACCAATTTGAAAAAAGTCAGCTAAAACTTTAACACATGATCAATTCTACTAGACTTTTAAATCTCTTCAATTTATATCCAGTTTTTCCATTCATATACCTGAGTTATTTTTTATCTTAAAATAATAAAATCAATCAAATGGATAAGGTATAAACAAAACCTGTAATGAAAATATTTCCTTCAAACAGAAACTCATCAATTTCTTCAAAATATAATGTGTTTCTCTTCTGTGACTAAATCTCTGTTGGATGTACAGTAATATTGATGTCTGAGAAATATATCTTAATTGAAAATGCCAATCTTTAATGTCTTAACTATGGAATTCAAATAGTAATTTAAATATATTTTTAAAATACAAAATAATATTTCAAATTTCTTTTCCAAAATTCTCTTGCACGAACTTGACGATAAAGCCCTTTTCGGATTTTTTGAGTGGCATGACACAGCCCCCTCAACCCCCAAAAATACTCAAATGTGACAAAGCATAACCTAAACATATCAACTTTTCCTTTATGACATATTTAAAAATAGTACAGCAAACAAGAGGAACCAGTATGAACAAAAATGGAATACCTATTAGAAAAGTGTCTCTAATACCTTTAATATTAACACATTTTAAATGACAATGTTACTATTTTAGTACATAACAATTTTTGTTAATTTTTAGAGTTTGTGGACATGTACATTTTTAATGGAAATATTTAGTATTTGAATCAGTCTCTTTTTACAAGATAAAAAGGATCAAGTGCCTAAGTGTTCTTGAGATTTTTAATCAAAATAACTTATGAAAGTATTGTTAAAAAATCTTCCTATTTAATTATTTATTTGTCACTCATATAATTATTACATATACAGCCTTCTTTTTTCTTTTTAACTGTTTTTTAAATGCCTTGGTGAGAAAATTGAGAAAAAATTAGGAGAGAGGAAATGCTGTTCTCTCCATGACCAGAATGACATAGTAGTTAAGAGCAGAGAGACCCTGGAAGATATGACCTAAGTTTCCCTCCAGCTCCAGTACTTACCAACGTGTTATCTTCATTACATCTCTGTTTTTCACTACCTGCATGCATGCATGTATATGTGTGTGCATGTGTGTTTGTGTGTGTGTGTGTGTGTGTGTGTCTGTGTCCAGATCCAATTACATAATAAATATGATGTGCTTAGAATAGTGTGTGATATATAGAATTTGCTATAAATGAATTGAATGAATTTATATTACAGAAAATTTATAAGGGAGGAGAAAAAAAGCAGGAGATTGAAATGGGGTGTAAGTAGAAGAAATCAAAACAACACAAAGTAAAGTAACTTTAGAAAAAAGTAGTAAGAATTGGAGAAAACAAAAAAAATCAGAAAACAACCAGGTTTTAAATCTTACCTAGGAGTTGAAACTGAGAGGTTTTCAGGATTCAATACTACTTTGGTGAGAAAAAAAAAAATATTTAC
This sequence comes from Homo sapiens, assembly GCF_000001405.40. Lineage (NCBI taxonomy): Eukaryota > Metazoa > Chordata > Mammalia > Primates > Hominidae > Homo > Homo sapiens. The sequence goes on from NC_000004.12 coordinate 65,585,467, forward strand.
CAAGAGTGTTTTAATTGACCTTAAGAGCTAAAGTAGTTAGTGCTTTTGTGAGTTGAAACAGGATCTGTTAACTTTATTAGTAGAAAAGCTGAAATGGCAGGATACAAATAAAACAACATCTTTTTGTTTCCAAGAACAAAGCAAGAACACTTATTTGGGAAAAACAAAACAAAATAAAAGAAAACAAGAAAATCTGAAGATTATTGGAGATTACAGTTACATTTAGCTGTGTATCTCTCCTTTATATAGAGAAAACATGAAACAGCTGTTGTAATTAGTGCTTATAAGTCTATGAGCTCTAAGAAGCATTTAAAATTATGAATTAGGAACAATTTACACAAAATAAAGGAGCATATGTTTTTCTACAGCAGTATGGACATATACTCCTTTTCAAGTTTTATTGTAAAATTAGTAATATTTATAATATAAAACTGGAAAAAAATGCCTGCAGCCTTACTTTTTTTTCTACGTCAAATACACTGAGAAATACAAAAGTTATCATTTCTGGAATGTCTCCTAAAAATAAAGAGAAAAAACAAAAATAGGAGAAAAGGAAAATGAGGGAAAGAAATAAGGAAGAGGAAGAGAGAGAGTACACTTAGGGAAATTGGATTTGCAGTCAAATTTTCCTTAATTATTGAACTATTTTAATATATAAGTAATGAGAAAGTATCAATAAGTATTAACTTGATATCAAATGCTTATATCAAATATAAGCATTTGATTGCATATATGTTATTTTGAATAACATGAAACCATCTTTTCTACTTCAAAATCGTCATATATTAGCAATTTCTTCATTGTACCCAATTTAATATAACTTTTCCCACTAAAAGTAACTCCCATATTCAAGTTATATAATAATTAGACAATCTTAAGTTCATTGTGATTTTTTTCATATTACTGATGCCATGTATAAACATATATAGTCATATGAATATAATTAGTTCTTTTTATATCTTCTTTTCATATAATTACTAGCAAATAGTTGTCTTTGATTTTGATTTTTCAAAACAGGTAGCAGTTACTATTTTTCTTCATATCAGTGCTACAATATTCTCTATCCTTGTCTTTTTACTATACATCTCTTCCCCTGTCATTCCAGTAATTAAGCTTTATCTACTTTTTCAATTAAAAACTAAAATGTGGTATATTCTAAAATGTTAGAAATCCCAATGTGTTTTTTTTTCTCTCAAAGCTAATATATATTTAAGCATAACAAAGCTGTATTTGAAGCTAACTACTAACTCAGGGTTCTTGGAAATCATATTTAATCTACATTAATCTCATTTATTTCCAATTATAAAATAAAAACAACAGTATATATCTGGTAAAGTTATTGTAAGGATTAAATTCTTTTCTACAGACCTGGCATGCAGCTGGGTGAGATAATGCATGGATATGAATTTTATTTTTTCTAAAACAGTTCTGTTCTACCCATTAGAACATAAGGACATTTGTCTTCATTATCAGCATGATGAATTCATTTAGATCAATCATCAGAGAAGTAGCAATTATTTTAATTGTACTATTTTGCTTATAAAGATATTTTTATTTTTGCTTTTGCTTTTAATTGTCTTTGTTTTGTTTTGTGTTCTGCTTCTTTTCAACTTCCCACCATCAAGAATGACATGAAAACACTTCAAACTGAAAGTCTCCTCCAGTCAGAAACCTTGTACCTGCTAAATGTGTAATTTCGGAATTGGTGGGGAGATGAAGAATCCTTTAACTTCTTTACTGTGGAAATGAAAAATCTAAAGATCCCACCAGGTCCATGAGGTACAGAGGATGCTCCCACATCAGAATCCTGACAATGTCTCCTCCCTTATTTTGTACAGTCCAGTTTTGTTTTATTACTTCCATACCACACCTCCAAACAAAACAAAAACAACAAACAAAACAAAACTTGAATACAAATGACACTTTAATACTCCAAAGGCCAAAACATGTTTTAAAAAAATCCTGTACTATTTACAGGAGCAGACAAGTAAGGCAAAGCAGCTTATGTGTCCAAGAATGTACAGACCAAAAGTTCAGAAATGGATTGAGAACTTTAAACCCATGTACACAATCTCTCCCTCAACTACATGTATGTTGAGCTTATGCCAAAAGGTGCCCCGACCCCCATCTGGATATTCCCATAGGAAATATGTTAAAAAGTCTAGTTCGGTTCCTGACTATTCATAGAGCCTAATTATAGGGCCTCTACTGTCTAGGGTAAGAGCTTCAGAATCCCAGACATTCTTACGCATTCTTTGCTTTGCTCACTCAGTCTTGCTTTGCTTATTTGTTCCATCTTCCCGCTACTACATTTTCTCCCTTTCTAGCCACTTTTCCTTTTCCTCAGTCTGAGGTCTGAAAATAGGGTCCGAATCTCTCTTCTGTAAAGACAACTCTGGTGGCTCCTGTGTCTTTCTGGGGTGCCTCCCTCTCATGTGCACTTTAGTGCAGCTCCTACAACAACAGATTAAGCTCACAGGTGATCTAAGTCAAGGTGACAAAATTAAATGAATTTCAAATACATTTTATTGCAGAACATATAGTAAAAAGGTACAGACTTTGAAACAAACACACTGGGTTCAAATGTCAATTTACCACTTTCTAGTTTTAGTTTGTGTGATCTTAGTAAAATTAACCTTCTGAGCTTTCAGTTGCCCCTGAAACAGTGGCTTGCAGGATGTTGTCAAGCTTAAAAGAGTGAATATGAATAAAACATTTAACAGTACAGACACATAGCAGCTTTTTGCAAATGTGTCAACCCTTCTTCTTGCCTTACCATTCCGGTTAAAATATCCTGACAATTCTGATATTCAGAATCTTAGATCTTATTTCTTGGGATCTCTATTATTTCTAGTATATTATTGCTTTTTACACTGCACTTGAAAGTCAAACTATTCCCTTTGGCCTACTTTTGTATTTTCTAGGAACAAGCTCCTTTTCTCCTCAGCTTTCGTTCCATTCCCTGTAAGTGCAGATGAAAATAACTATGATCTCCTGAGATCTGCTCAGGGGAACAGTCTGGCTGGTCTTTCCCTTGATGATGACAGGTTGCCCTTGGCTAAGACTTTCCCCTTCATCAGATTTTTACCAGAAGTCGGATTTTTCACCCAATTCTATGCTTCCTGAATGCTTAATTTCTTATACCCTCAGTTTCTGATCAAGGTGTTTTATTTATGGTCTCTCTATTCCTATAACATATATTTAATCATTAACAACATGCCTGGTTGGTCTGGTTTATTTCTCCTTTAAATTGAAATGAAAATGTGCACACTTGCACTCATACCAACAACTCTTAGAAAGCTTCTGAGTCCTTAAAGGGCTTGCCATGAGTAGCTGGCCTGGTCGGACGGTACCAGGTTGAGTGTGCTCCTATGTTCCAGTGCTCCAATGGCCAGGGTGGTGGCAACAATACCAACAAATGGTAGCACACAAACAAAAACAGAAGGAAACAAAAGACCCCAGCACTTTATCTAGGATTATCTCTCATTGAAATTAGAAATTGCTTTAAACTTTTAAATCTAACTAGCATGTATTGAGGATTTTCTTTGTGCCAAGTGCTAAGCTTTATGAGCCTCCAATATTTAAAATCTAATCCAAGTTTTGAAATCATAATCAATATGTTTATTGTGGGAGACAGTGGAAACATTTTTTAGTATGAACTGGTTTCTAACATTATGTACTGAGAGCAATAACCACTCAGGGCCTGGTAATAAAGTATGAAGGAAATCCAACTAAAACTCGATTTCTTTGAGTGTTATTTGGTTAAACTGCTAACAGACGTTTTTTTTTAACTTGTCCATAATGGGAAAACAAATTCTTATTCTGAATTTAAATTTTTTTTCACCTGAATAAAGACTGAAGCCCTCCTCAAATGTAAGTACATTATTCTATTGCTGTTAGTCTGTGTGGGCCTTGAGGAGCACAACCTGACTTAAATGGGCTCTATTATTACTGTTAAAGTTCCCTCCCCACCTCCCTCTGTAACCACTGGCTGTGCCAAAGAAAGCCACTGCTGTCAGAAAACAAGGAGTCTTCACTGTTGTGACATTTCATTTATCTGGGCAGCAACATTCTTGAAAGGCAACTTGCCTAGCTCTAAGTGAAGTATGGAAGACAATCAAATGCAGTTAAGCAAACCGGTGTTGACATATTAAATCATGCTTGAACCAAGAGAGCAAACACAGATGACACACAGAACCTTCTAAAGAGAATTTAAAATAAATAAATAATACAGGTCAGTCTGGTTCTAAAAAAAGAAGCTTTTAGCATTGGAAAATATTGGGAACAGGTGAATATTAAAAAATCATCCACAGGACCAAGTAATTATGTTGCTTTCAGATTGTGAGGCATAAAAGTAGTGTGGGAAAATGAAGGCTAAGGGAAACATGGAAAACGCTGGTGAAATCACATCACATGACTTTTCCACCCACAAAATGGAAAATAAAACTTTGATAGTCTCATTTTTTATTTTATTTTAGATATGTCCTAATGGAATCCTTTCAAAATACTTTGAATTCATCAGAGGAAAAGCTCTTATGCATATGGAGTAGTGTATTGTGATTCTCCTTTACAATCACACAGCAGGAACTTTCCAGCATTCATTCTCCATGTCTGATTCCTGCTAACAATTCCATCAAATAAATGGAGTTATCCGTCAGTCAAATTATCATTTGCTCTAATTGTTACTTCCTCCAAACTGTGGTTCTTCTTTCTTTCCTTACCTTTTCTTTTATAAACTACACCTTTACAGTGCTCAAATGAGCAGGATATCTTCAAGCTCAGAAAAGATGAAAGCATATCAACAAATCACTTTGGTTCTTACAGATGAAACACTGCTGGTCAGCCGTAAATGCAGACAAAGCATTTAAGCACCAAAGAGAATCAAATACTTAAAGATAAGATGTGATCCACACGCATGACAAGAAATAATAAAGGATATAAAAGCATTTTCATGTAATGAAAACCAGTTATGAGATCATGTATAGCTTAGAATTCACTTTTTTATTGTTATTGCGAATTATACACTTCCTAGAAAGAACTATGCCAGGGTTAGTAATTCCATGCCTTCCTGCTTTATAATAATTGGCATGTCTTTCTAGACTAAAGTATGAGTTAAATTTAAAGGCAATAATTGTACAATTTCCGTAAAAGGCATACTTTTCTATGAGTAGCATAAATTGGAGAGAAAGAGAGAGAGACAAATTAAGCTACACTTGCTATTAGTCAGATAGTTTTCTATGCAACCCTTGAAAGTGGGTAAGTAGATTCCTCAAGGTTAACCCATCCATGGGGTACACTAAATAAGTCTATACAGATGAAGCACAAAACATTTAGCATATTATTCCTAATAAGGACCTAGGATGTAACAGTACTTTTTATTCAGGTTTATCATTAATGCAGTATACAATTAAAAGTACAGATAGATCATAGTAATTAAGTGTGTTTTTACACTGTACAAGGTCAAAAAGTAAAACAAAGAGTCTGAAGTAAAATACGATTCTAAGGCTAAAATTAAAATATGGTGGTTGTGTGATATCAGGCAGGTTAATCCCTTCCCCAACCCCCTACTCCAGATCTCATTTTCCTTATTAGCTTACTGACCTTCATGAAATTTTCAACTCATGTTAAATTTTTATTAAGGTGATGAAACAAGATGTGCTAAAAAAGTAAATATATTATTATCCTGTCTAAAATAAAAGTTTTCCGTTTTCCACATGGAAGGATCATTGCATTTCACTTATGTTTTGCAATGAAGAGATTATGAAATAGACCAATATTTACATCTGTATTATATCTTCATTTTTAGTACTATGAAGAAATATGATTAATCTTATTGTAATAACTAGTATTAACATAACACCTCTAAATTCATGCCTTTTTTTCTTTATACAGATGACATGATTTAATTATAATTACTGAGTTGACTGATGAAATAAAATTTAACTTTATCATATCATTTAGGAGTATTTATGCTAAAACTATTTAAAAAATAGTTTTCTGTTCCCAAGTTTCCCTCATATCTTTATTTCATACTCATTTCTCAGAATTAGTTTTGTGTTCCCAAGTTTCACTCATATATTTATTTCATACTCCTTTCTCAAAGCCGAGATGACTTTGCCTACATTAATTTTAATTTTATTTTTTTTAAAAAAAAAGCTTCAGAGATTGTGATCAGAAAAGATGAAAAACTGTAAGGAAGTACAGGGACTTTTTTTCCCTAAGTCATGTAAATTATTTTAATTCTAACGTTACTTACAGAAGATGGAAAAGAAAAATCACAGCTTTTCTTCTGTTCATTACAATGTTAAAATGACAATGCTTATTAATAGATGAAAGTTACTTTACTTGCCAAATTTTTCAGACAGCTTAACTAATACTTTTTTAGATACTAACTATTTAGTAAAATAACATGAGTTTTGAGTAAAACTTAAATGAAACGTATCTTTTAAAAACATAAAAATTCTTCATTTCTTACCTAATAAAAAACTGAATTTAGTATTGGGAAGGTTCAAGTAATTTCACAAATTTTATCTTCCTATCAGTCCACAGTAATTTTTTTTAAAATTAAACATTTTGTATTTGGCATGGTATACCTGGGGAGCTATAAAATTTAGAATTCGTGAGTTTTCAGAAGGCTTTCAGTACCAACCATGTGAAGGTCTAAGAAAACCTGAAAATGCTTCAGGTATAAGCACGTAAAAAAAATCCTGAACTAAGTATAACAGCTTGACGTTCCTGTTATGTTTTGTTTTAACACAAATTCCATTAAAACTAATAAATTAAAAATGTCTGGCAATGTCAATCCACACAGGGCAGAAACAAAGGGAAAGCCAAAGCCTGGAGTGGTGAGTGCCAGAGCATATCCTTGGCGGCCCTGCAAGCTCAGTGGGATGAGGCAGGCTCTGGGAAACAAGGCAACTTGAATTTTAATGCCCCAGAATCCAAGAGAAAAGGCCATAGCCTGGTACCAAGTGGGGAGACCTTCAGAGAACCTGAAACTTTAAAAAGCTGGCTACATCCTCAAGAGGACTCCGAGTTAAAAAAAAACAAAAAGAAAAAAGAAAAAGAAAAGAAAAGAAAAAAATTTACACAAGGAAAGCACAAAGTGGCTGTTACCTGATAACCTCCTAATGGGAAGAAGAAAGCACAACCTTCAAGAATCAAAATCAGTGGCCTTCTCTGGGTGAGGTTTCGGGATGCAAATTCATATTAGCCACCAAAAGCAAAACACACATGAATTTCAAATGTTACAACACGTCTCAATCCTGGTTGCATATAACAATCAACTAAGAAACATTTTAAAAAATACTGAACCTCTGACTAGCACCATACCATGATGTCAGAATTTCTCCTTGGTTATGGCCGACAACAACGCTGCTTAAAATGATTGTGTTGCACCGTAAATGTTGAGCACAGAAGAATTAGACAAAATTTGGTCCCAATAATACACATCAGTAAGAGGAAATGCTAAATCATGTGAGAAACTCCTCTAGGTCAATAAGAAAAAGACAAGCATCCCAAAAGGGGGCAAAATAAACAAACAGCTAATTTATACATTGAACTCATTAGAACATGGATGCACCTCTACTTTTTTCTCTACTTGTCTGTTGTTTGACTTTTCCTCTAATTTGCTAAATATTGTCTATTTATGATAATGGGATAGAGAAATGATAGTAAATATGTAACTCTTAAGTCATAATGCAATTATCAGAAAGAAGTATTATTAGTTCTAATACTGTCAAAAATTAAATAATTACCATATGTATGATAAAAGTATATTAAGGAACATTTTGAGGGGGAGAAATATTTAACTAATGCACAATGGCTCTAAAAACATTGATACTGTACTATTTTTACATACATACAAGGGATTAAGATAAATAAATTACTGTTCTTGACCTTATATACTAACACGGTCCTAATTTATCTGTACCTAAGTATCCCAATCTGTGAAATAAAAAAGAAAAACACACTCACTGCAAGAGTGCTTTCTTTCAGTGCTTCTTAAACTTGATGTACATAAAAATCACCAAGGAATGTGCTAAAATGTAGATCCAGATTTAACATTCTGGGGTAAGGCTGAGATTCTTCCTTTCTAAAAAATTCCCAGGTGATGCCAATGCTGCCGGTCCATGTATCATTTCTAAGTAGGCAAACATTACTTGCAGCTACATGAACACTTTACAGGTGAAGATTATAACATTTAATATTTCACAGAGGAAGAAAGCAGGGCTCAATCTGGTTTTGTAACTTGACCACAGTTACGTATTTACCAAATGATAGAGTGAGATTTGAGCTGAGGCCGGCATCACTTTTAAGCCCAATGCCGTTAATCTGCTACGCACACAAATACCTCCTGATGCTTTCAGAGATCAATTTTAATGTTTGAAGTCTATTGAATGATTTTATGCAAGTGTTGGTTACTTTGTTTCTTATAATTCGCATTCATATTTTGAACTATTATTTCTGAAGAATCTGAAAACTGATACTGAAATATTTGCTAAATCGCACTCTGAGTTTTCACGATCGAATTTCTCTGTACACACTTTTCCCATGAGAGCTGTTCTGTTTTATGTTATCAGACTTTATGTAAGTTCTTTTGCTGGTATCTGAATAACAAGAAAATAAGCAAACAATAAAACAAAAGGACTATTTTTTGGTTTCCTGGAACATTTAAATGTTGTGAATTTTAAATATATAAAGCTTTTTGTGAGGTCTTTATAATTAAAATCTTCTCCTGATAATTATCATGTTATAAAAATGTATTATAATAAAAGGAGCTTATCCAGTGCATCTTATTTTAATAAATGTTTATTATTAAGAGGTGTTTACACAAATATGAGACATTTCAACATAAAATATAATCATTAATTCTCCATCCATATAACCATGATGAAACTCAAGTCCATTAATGTTAAGATTCATTTTCACGGTAACAATATGGAACATGTCATCATCATATAAAACATCCTAGAGACCTGCCCAAAGTGAAATTTACAAAGTAGTTATTACTGTTACTGTAAAGATGAGGTATAGCATTTGCCTGTTACATTTATTCTAAACTAAAAATATATACAACCTCAAGACTTTCACTAGCATAATTTCTTTTATGAGTGAGAAAGTAGGAGTGCAGACCAGATTTAAAAGTTTGACCAGAAAGAAATCACGAGGTTTTTGGTTCTTCTGTCTTTTCTTTCATTGCCAAGTCCCCGTATTTGTCCATCAACATATAGCAGAAGAGTCACTAGTTATTAACCATTGTCAAACCAATGAAACAAGTTCTTTAAGAAAAAAATGGGTTTTATACTTTCAACGGGTGTAATAATTTACAAATAATCATCCACCAACACCACTTATAAATAAACTGAATTGTTTCATGTTTGATATGCATGCATTTGACCCTAGATATTTATTAGGAGTTTTCTGTCTTTAAGATAATAATAAATGTATAAGAAGAGCATATTTTAGCTGGTAAGTTCAGGAATCATCAGGTCTTTTATTTCTCAGATTTTTATAAGCAAATACATTTTTAAAGTGTAATTTTAGAAAGAAATGAGACATACATAAAATTAATGTATTAAAATAGATTTCTGCACTGGAAGCTCCCTCTGTTTGCTGTACTGTTTCCCATACTTTTCACAGTTTTTTTTCCCCTAACTTCTATGTTAAATGCCACCATTTCAGAAAAAAAAAAAAAAAAATCTTATTTCCCTATCTAAAATACCACACTTCACCCACACTGCCATTAGAAAATTTCATAACTTTTAACTGTAGATGTGAGTCTATATGCATGTTTGTATGTATATATGTCCACATTCCTAGGATACAGGAATTCTATAGGCTGGATAGAGTGCCTACTACAATAACAACTTATAGAATAAGTGATAATGTCTAACGAGATAGCAAATTTTTCAGTTTTGTACTTCTAACAAAATTTTTATAAAGGAAGTTCTATAAAACGTACATAGTTTTATTTACCCATTGGAAAAAATGTAGTATTATTCTTTGATAAATTAAATTGCTCAGGAATATACTACCTACTTAGAGAAAACTAGATAATTTTATAACCTGTAGCTACCCTTTATTTTATAATTTTTATATAATATCTCACAAGATTTTTTTTTTTTTTTTTGAGACGGAGCCTAACTCTGTCACCCAGGCTGGAGTGCAGTGGCGCGATCTCCACTCACTGCAAGCTCCACCTCCCGGGTTCACGCCATTCTCCTGCCTCAACCTCCCGAGTAGCTGGGATTACAGGCTCCCGCCACCACGCCGGGCTAATTTTTTGTATATTTACTAGAGACGAGGTTTCACCATGTTAGCCAGGATGGTCTCGATCTCCTGACCTCGTGATCCACCTGCCTTGGCCTCCCAAAGTGCTGGGATTACAGGCATGAGCCACTGCCAATATCTCACAAGATTTTTATGAGCTAGTTAGAGATGAGAACAGCAAAGAACAGAGAGATTCAGCAACTTGCATGGGGATACAGCCTTGGTAAATGGCAGAGGTAGAATAAGACTATATTAATTTTTACTCAGAATTCATGTGGTTAAACTACTAGGGCATGCTGCCTCTTACAAGCAGCGTATTTCCCACCATATTCAAATTCAATTGGTCACATTTAAACATGTACATCTCCTTCATTCTTCCAAATTTAAAGAAAAATGTTCACTTTTGCAAAGGTATCCAGTCCATAAACATATCTATAAACATATTTTGTGTTAGCGGCATGTGTGTTCATTTGGGGAGGGGACAAGTATTTGGATTAGTGGTTCTCAACTGGGAGTGATTTTCCCCCAGTGAATATTAGGCAATATCTAGACACATTTTTGACTGTGAAAATGGGGAGTGGGGTGTCCTACTGCGTCTAGAGGGTAGAACCCAAGAAAGCTGCTAAACAGTCTACAGTGAACAAGACAACATCCCCCTTCCCACCAACAATAATTATCTGGCCCAAAATATCAAAACTCCAGTGCTGAAAAACCTTGATTTAGAAAAAACAAACAAACAAACCAAAAAAACAAACAAACAAAAAACAAAAAAACAAACGCAGAGTACTCTCAAAAATTTTATTAGAACTAATCTAAAAGTAGGCCAGGGAGCAGTTAAAATGGGGGGAAAAAGACTATTTGAATTATTCTCTTGTGTAATGTTTGTAAATGGATGAAATGATTTGACTACTTAATTGCCTTGGTTGTGCCTCACAAAAGCAGAACACACACACACACACACACACACACCAACACAACACACACAGGCACCATTGATATTCTGTACTTCCATAATTGCCATCATTTGTTCAAATTTTGAAATTAAAATAGGTTCCTTTTGTTACATATAATAACATACTAAATAGAACGATAAGTTCAACCCCTTTGATGTTTTTTGGTAATGTCCCTAATTAAAAATAACTAGGCTCTCTAATCCATAATTGCATGGACACCTAATATACCTAATATATTTCCAGCCAATTTTGCTTCAATCATAAATATGCACCAGAAGTACGAATGATCGACATTCTACTCCCTGCTGTAACTGTACTGTTTCTGAATCAAGGCTCTTTCTTGAATTGGGTATTTTCACTACATTTTCCTCGCTGTGCAATCATCTCCCAGTTGGACAATTAATAAGTACTTTTTCTCCACAGCCCTTGACGTGTAACCCTCCTTATCCCGTATTTTAGCATGTACTATATACCTTCTTCACTCTGACTGGTTTTGGCAGTGACCCACAATCTAAATCTCTTTCCTCCATTTGATATAAGTGAAACTATAATTATCTAGGGCTAATTTCAAATTACTACTTCATTCCACTAGCAACTGATGAAGATTAGTGGTCTTGCCTTGCATCTAAGTAAGTCAGCAACATAATCACAAGAGAACTCAGCAGGCAACATTTGATTCATGTGAACTCAATTACTTCTGTCAAAAACATTCACTTCAATAAAAGACAGAAACTTCTAAAATGTGTTTTTGCTAACCATTTTTTACTAAAAAAAAAAAGTCTCACATGAGTCTTAAGGGGAAAAAAATAGCATGAATTTCATCAGAAATAATAATAAATAACAAGTGGGGAAACATACTTGGATAAATGGATTTGAGACATTATTTATTTCTGAAAATAAAAAGACTTCCAAGAAAGAAATCTGTAGACTTAAATCAGTTTATTATAGAAAATTTAGGCATATAAGTAAGACTTACAAAAATAAATGTACACTATATTTTAAGTTCATACAATAGAAATGAGTATTTTGTTACCTCGTCAAAACCAGATTACTATGGGTGAGGTAGTCTATTTCTCTTAAAGAAAGTTAAATGAGAGGAAGTTATATTAAGATGACAGATCACAAATTGCTAAATTGACCAGGACTCCAGACTCACTGCTTGGTCACCTGGATTGAGGCCATATGTTAATGAGCTGCCTAGCATTCTGAATCTTGAAGGTTTAGTTTGTAAAAGGCCATGTGTCAACTCCATCATGCAAAGCACATATAACAAGTCACATAAGCATGATATGACAGCAAGTACTCAGTCACCTGCCAGCACAGACTAAGAAATATTAACATATGAAAATCATTGCCACAGATATATTCAAACTTTAGCTTCTCAATAATATATTTTAATTAAATTCTAATATAGTTTGGTTATCAAGAAACTGAATAATTAAATGTCATCATGTAATATGGCCATATTATATTTAAGTATGTGATGTTCTGTGCTCTGTAAAATTCACTAAATTGGCTTCTCTAATAGTATGTGAAGTACCAATCACATATGACTTAATACCTTGAATATGAAATTTGGGCTGAGAGTCTTAGAACTAAGAAATGATTAAGTTAAAAGACATATCCATCAATTTTCAGACCAAGGAGATATTTTAGAGATAATACAAAGGTAAAATAAATCAACACAATGTGATATTTAACATAGAATAACATAGTATTCTTTTACACCTTTGCAGATTTTCTTTCCTCTCTTTTGAATTCATTGTCCTTCTCTTGTGCTTTTTGACTTCTTTCTCATCCCTTAAGTTAAGGAGTACATGGTCTCCCGCTACTCCTGCCATCAAGGTGTATGTGGACTAACAGGAGTAGAAAAAATAATTAAACAGATAACAAGTATGCAAATATAGGTAAAATAATAGTTCTAAATTGTTTTGTGACAAAAGATATATGAGTAAACAGTGACGCTTGATTTAGCCTTGATTGATTGGGGCATCTTCTCTGTAGAAGGGATATTGGAGCACAGATCTGAAGGATTAGTGTATGTTAGATACAAGAATAATCCATGCAAGAGAACATATTCTTAAAACAACAAGTAGTGAAAAAGAGCAAATTGAGAAACTGAAAAAAGTTAGCTTGGCTAGTGCATAGGGAAGGGGAGAAAGCAAAATTTAAGATGAGACATGAAAGATAACTGGAGCAAAACCATGCAGCCTCTTAATGATAAAACTTTGTCTTAAAGGAAACCACTGAAGTGTATAAAGTGTGTGTGTGAAGGGGGGAGGTTTCAGGGGTAGGATGGATGTGTGAAACAAATATTTGCATTTGTTATAGGTGATATATTCATATAGTTAAAAAACCAAAACTATATATAAAGTCATTCATTAAATTTGAAAACAAAGTTTCAACAAGGTTTACCTCTATATTGAAGGAAGAAGGAAATAGAAGTAGATGATTTAAAGAGAAAGTTGACTGGTAATTTCTATAAACACTGTGATGGATTGGAACTGGATAGTGAGTAGGAAAGAGATGAGAGAAATGATTCCTAAATTTCTGGCTTATTTAGAAGGATGATTCCAAATCATCAAGATCTCCACTTAGAGGTTTGAGGCTAGCAGGTTAAGATGTAAAATGAGCTAGAGTCATGGTGGCATTTTATAACACACACACACACACACACACACACACTCATTTACATGTACTTATTGTGTACAGATAGAAATCTCTCAACAATATCTATGATGCTTTAGTTCTCCAAAGCAAGCCCTCAAGATGTATTTATTCATTCAATGAGTCATTCTATTACATAAGTTGTGTGTAGAATAAATACTTGAAACTCTTCCTAGAGTGCCATCACATACCATTTGTACATAGTAAAATACCAGCAAGCGTTAATCATACCGACTACATGTGTGAAACATTCTCTGGGCTGTAGTAAACTTTTTGCATTACCTCTGCAAACCACTGCTCCTACTACCAAGGGAGGAAGATAAATGCATGAATTAAGACAGAGTCCAGTTAAGTAAAGTTTTCTACAATGAAATGTCTCCAGTTAATCCAATGTCCATCAATTAAGGTTCTACTTTTCAATTATTAAGAGAATAACATGAGAAGAGAAAGAAAAGATGTATGCTAACACTTGCACTAAGACTGCATTGCATTCTGTCAGAACGCTGCCTCCCAGGATTTTTGTGACTATCACCAGCAGAATGTTTTAATCTCATCGACAATCAAAATGCATCCTCGAAACATGGAGAGAGGCCTCTTATACTATCTGTCAATCAAAATAATGACAAAGGTCATGGTGGTCTGAATTAAGTGCTCACATATTCTCTAAAATGATAGAAACAAACAACCAAATAGAGTACGTTGTTTTATAATACTAATAAACAAATTTTTAGAAATAATTAATAAGATTTATATTTACAATATTTTAGACAGAAATATATTCAATGGATTGCTTATAACTCCTGCTTTTGATCCTTTAATTACATAAAACCTCACCTTAAACCAATAAGATTGCTCAAAAGTAAAAGATAATATTAGAACATTTCTTTAATTCCAGTCCTGAAGAAATTATGATTCTTTTCCCCAATAAGCTTTTAAGCATTTTATAAACGTAATTTTGATGGAACAAAACTTTCAGATGTACTTGTGTAGATATAAAATCAGATGTAGAAAGTTGTAGCTTGCATGGAAAAACAACAGAATTAATAGTAGATGGTATTTCAAAGATACAAAATAGAAACTGGTGCTGAAAAAGGAATTTCAAGTAAAGTGCAATGTGTTTCTGGAGAGAATTAATTAACCAAGTTATTATAATTTACAGGTAATTTCCCTAGTTTTGTTTCCCTGGATCGATAATCAATCTACAGTCAAGCAAGAACAAATGAGGAAGTCTGATTCATGTAACAGAGTGGACTTAGGAAAAATAAATGCACCTGAAGCTACCAGGTGGGACTAAGGGGCTGCTCAGCATTCAAAGTTCCCTAAGTTAATATTCATTAACTTTCATTACCTAGTTAGTACACTCACATCATGATGAAAACAAGTTCAGGATCATGAGGGTGAATAATTTAAATAAAAACATGCTGCTTTCTTTCCCATAAACTGCTCTTCGTTTTGATATAAAATACTCCCCTGTTCCAGAAAGCCATTGACAAATTTCCAGTTTAAACGGCCAACTCACCACACTGCGGGCAAAATGAGGGCATTTTCAAAGGAAGAGAGAAGCATGCATGATCAAGTTTCAATTTAAAAGAAAAATAAAAACAGAAAAAAAAATCCCCCAGGGCAAATTGCTTTAAAATGACCTTTTGTATTGGTTCTATCTTCAAATAGTTATTTTTGTGGGGCACTGCTTATTATGCATTTAAAAATATCTGTAATTTTTAAAAAGCAAGCATGTAATTACAACCATAAGTAAACAACACAGTAAACTAATCCTGTCAGTTTACAAATGTTTTGCTATAAAGTTCATATGGCTGAACTTTTTTTCTGAAGAATTTTTAAAAGGCAGTTAAAAACATGCCAAAACTAGTCTAATCTAAGATTTTGCATTTAAATTTTATACAGCAAATAAAGAGTAGAAAATAAGTTCATGGAGAGAAAATAGATGTAGCAGACAATAATTATACAATGAAGGTTACTAGTCCCTTGGTTTGAGTTTTTCAAAAATAAAATTTCTAAAAGCAAAGTGAATATGAAATATTACACTGCAAGTCAGACACTCTCTGAGTATTAATTATGTATATCCAATAAAATATTACATTAAATCTTTCACGGTTGCCAGAAATTTTAAAATTCTGAAAAGAGAAAAATAAAACTTGAGAGAAATAATCTCCATAAATTAGCAAAGTAAAAGGTCATTTCCTCATAATCATTGGAGGAAATACATATACATGATCCAACTGAAGCAGACAGCCCCTGCAGATCTGGAGGCAAACTCTTACCTTGACAGGTGCCATTTTTCTCTTCATATCCTGCCTTGCACATGCATTTCCCGATGGGCACCAGCCACTCCCCTTCGGCGCTGCAGTGCATTTTGGGAGGTTCATCGGTCACAGAATGGTTGACACAGGAGCCTGACACTTCGAGCAATTGGGAAGAATCAGCTCCAGTGATGGTGTCAGGGAAGACAGCCAAGTGTCGTACCACAGAAGGGCATTTTTTATAGTATACACGCACAGAAACCAGAGCAATGCAAGCACCAACATCTTGAAAAGCAAGATAAAATCCCTTTTTGCTTAGAGGTCCTACATCTCTGACCTCTGTATTCAGTTTCATAACACGGTCACCAAGATCAAGTTCTGTAAAGCTTTCATCGGCAGCAATGGTATCAATTTTGATGTATTGGTTTTCCTTGATGTTTCTCCCATTCTGATCATCTGACTCAAAGTAATACATATTAAAGGTTTCCTTACAGGTCCCCAGTCCTCCAGGAAGGCTGTTGCAGTCCCGCAGGGTAAATTTGAGTTCTATGAAGATTCTGGAAGCACCTTCATTGGAGATCCAACTGGTCAAAAGCCAGTTATTCTGATTCTGTTCCATCACTTTGCATACTTGGTATGTGTGGATAGGGGCATAATTTTCATCCACTTCACCAATCTCTTCCCACTGTACAATATAAAATAGAAAGATAAAAAAAATTCAAAAAATAGAAAATAACAAGGAACTATAGCAAAAATTATAAAAGAAAACTAACTGAGATATAGAAATATTCGTATCCTCAATATGTGATATTTACAGAAGGAACTAGATATAAAGTATTGGGAGAAGAGAATCACAAATTTTTATTGTAATTTTTAAATTAAAAGTAAATTAAGAAATTATTATTCTTCATCTCCAACATAACTCCAAGACGAACACATATGAATATGCCCCAGGGCAGGAAGGAACCATGCATTTCAGAGTAAAAGTAAAAGAAATTTAAACGTGGGTGAGGTTAACAAAATGAAGCAAAGAAAGAAAAATATGTATATTTTGAATAAAGTTCAGCATATACATAAATAGGGTAGAATACAAGAAATGCAATTAAAAAAATGAAATAAGGGATAAAAGGATCGCAAATTTGAAAAAGAAGGGAGAAAAATGTAATATAAAAACAGTCATTTATTTAAATCTGTCATGTCACAAATAACACACCAATGGAATAAAAGTTGAAAGAAAATCCTTTAGTTTAAAATTAATAATAGATCTTTATTTCACTGAACCCATCTATTCAGGACTCTCACAAATTGGCTAGCTAAATATTAATTCATAGATTTATCTACATATATAAACATGGAGACAGATATGAAAGAAAGATTAAAAATTACAGATTAAGAATATGGATAGCCTTGTCATTTTGAATATTAGCTAACTTCTTGCGATATGTTGGGACCCCATTAATTCTTTCTTACCAAGGCATTATTTTATGCATATGGCCTTAAGAGTTCTGAAGATATACAGGACGTAAAAAAAATTAAGTACAATTTATATAGCTTCCAAAATATTATTTGGCCAAAGAAGAGTTCTAAACCTATCTCTTTCCTAATAAAATACTCCAGTTTTGAGAATCTCGATGTACCATAACCATTTCCTGAACGGTACAGAGCCAAATTTTTATTTTTCATAAAGAAGTAATTATAATTTAAGGAATTTCTGAAGCCTGTAAAAAAATCTGTGTGTACAAAAGTGATATATAATTTTAAATCTTTAAAATACCACTGGAACACAAAGAACAATGAAACCATACTGACTTTCAAAAAATCCAGAATGTGTGATTTCAGACATTAAGTATTGTAGATAAAAAAAACTTCATAGACACTCATTTCTTTAGACATGAAATTAAATATAGCATTATTTCTTGATTCTGTTCTAAAAGCAAAGATGTGAAAAATGCAAGGCACAAAGGATGCAAATAAATCTTATACATCAGATGGCTCCTCTCGAAATCTAGCTGCAACATCAGACAGACATAAGCAAAAGGTGCTAATGAGGTAAAACTGTTGAGCTCCTTAAATTCACAAGAGAGAGACATGAAGATTTTATCTTGCCAAACAATTTCCATATATGTTATTACCTAAAGCCTCAGTTCTTTCACTAAATCTCATTTTTGTCCTCTCTCAAAATGTATATATACTCTACTTAGCTCCCTATTTTCTAAACCAGATATCTATTGCAGCACTCCATAATTAAACTACTTACATTTTCTTTCCAATGTGATTTAAGTATCAATCTCTTTATATTATAAATGGCACCAAATATTATGATCAATATTTCATGCAAAAGAATATGTCAACTAACCAAATAAAATGGTAAGAATTATCAATTTACCATAATAAGATTAAATATATATTTTTTGAATTAGTCAAATGAAAGATATCAAAAATCTCTTCTCTATAAAAAGAAAATAAAACACAAATATGTATATTTTTTGCCTTGAATCACTTATTGATGACCTATTTCTGGACAATATATTCTAGTAGGATCCTCCTAGCAAGTAAAAGCAAGCAGAATAACAGGATCTTTCAAGATTATAAGCCAAGCAATTCAGCCTTTGTCTGTACAAAGTCCAGGGTACCACAAATACTATTAAAAATGCAAGCCAAGCAGCACTTGACAAGATAGCTTAATAGTTACTGCTTCAGGTGATAATTTCAAAGTATGTGCATAAGCATCTTGCTTCTCTGAATATTCTCAGTTAAGAAGATGGAAACTATAATTTTCTTTGAATTCAGAAACTGTCATGGTGAGATTTTATTTATTTTTCTTTTCAAGTACCCAAAACATAAATGATGGCTCACATTTAATATTTCTAGTGAGCAAATAGAATGAGTTTAATTTAAATAATTATGGCCATAAGCCATTCAGAGAATCACATGGGTAATATATCCATCTCTAATATCTGCTGTCATTGAGACACATATACTAAGAAATTGACAGAAAGATTTTATTTTAGGCTGGCTCTCTGAAATAAAACTTTGAATTTTTCTAAGCTTTCTTTCCCCTTTAACATGAAGAGAATATCTTGCTGTCCTCAGCAAAAATCAGGTATGTAAAAAAAAAAAAACCAAGAGGATGAAGAGAAAGTAACACTCACCAAGAACTTTAGAATGTGGCAGACGTATTCCTAGACACTTTTACAAATGTCATGTACAGGATATTACAGTAACTTAATAAAAGGCACAGATAGGAATCAATATTTTCTGTTCATTTTTGTTGGATTTTCCATGACTTCATGATTTAATAAAAATATTTGCTGATCCTTCGATTACTAGAAGTTGTGAGCCTGGACATTTTGGAAGCATGGATTGCTGAATGCAATATGATGGCTGTAGCTCTGCTCTTTAGGTCTAGCAATTATTCAATGCCATCCCCTGAGCCCATGCTTTCCTGTACGTTTATTTCCTCCTTATTGCCCATTCTTTCCCGTTAAGAATAAATAACTGGTTACGCAGCTTGGGTTTGCTTGATTTATCTCCCAGATTCTTAGGGTTACTCCTTTTCCCTCAGGGCTCTGAAAATTCCAGGTCAGTTGCGTTCTAAACCCATTGCTGGCCAGGCATCTCACATCAGCCACATTCATCAGAGAAGGGTCGGGGGAAGAAAGAACTTACTTTCATAACCATATGTGTATCATGCAGTTACAATGTTTTTCTACCCAAGCCGTTAGGAACTAGTTTCTCCCCATCTGCCTCTCATTGCTCTCTTGGCCTTCTGGTATCAAGCGCCTGCTGTTTCCTACCTTGTTGGCATTGCTCTCCTTTCCAGATCCCCAGCCTATACATCGTTTTTTCATGAAGAGCTTGAAAATACTGACTCATGACACATGGGCTGGACCAGAAATCCCTCTTACATTATGTCCCCAAATTCACAGTAGGAAGCATCATGTGAACAGAGACAATTTTAACCTTTCAAGTTATTAGGGGTGCCCATTATCTAGTTCTGTTTTCATTATTATGTTTCTATTTATCTTGATTCTATATCGAGAGTGATCTATTGAGGCTAAGGTGCAACAGTAAGAAACTTTGGAGTAGACATCTGAAAAAAAAAATGGCACTGTATGGGTCTTGTATAGAAGAAAAGTACAAGCCCGAAGCTCTAGTTTTAGTCCCAGCTCTTATAATATCTAGATATATAAGCTGAGATCCAATCTCTGGCATAACAACTATGCAACTCTGTAATGAGAATGAAAGCTCTCTATCCTAGGCATCTAATATTCAATAGAGAACATCACAAAGAGCCTTAAAAGAGCCAGTCCTATTGTTCATTTTAGAAATAAGAAATTGAAGACCAGACCAAAAAAAAAGGATTTACTCAAGTTCACACAAGACCAAGCTGACTACCTGGGCATCTCCTTTGCCCATATCTTCCTTTGTCTTCTTGTCAGCATGTCTCTGCCTCAAAGGGTGGATTTGTGCATGGGATTCCTTGATTCGTTGCATTAATTGCTACACAACATTTTTTCCAGACGTCATGTAACCATCAATAAGTCTTTTTTTTCTTTTGCTATATATTTTAATACTCAACCCCAATATGAGGGAGAGGCAGGCATGCATGATTTTCTTATCGTCAACTGTATCTTAGAGTCTGATACAACAGGGCACAGAGTAGGGCACTTGATATACATTTTATAATGAATGAATTAATATCAAACATATACATATAACTTCTTAATTCAGAGATCCCACTAATTTGGAATAATTCAAACATATTGAATAAATAGTTAAATGTTTTGTGCTATCTTTAAAACAAGAAAATACATTTTCTTCTCTGTAAATCGTCAGAATTTTATAAGAGCAAATTAGAAAGGTTTATAAAAGCAGATTAAAAATTAGTTTGGTAATTCTTAATTAAAAACACTAAGTATTTATTAAAAGAGATTGTCTTATTTCCATTGTTGATACAATTTTTATGAGTTTAGTTTTGCCTATTAACCTGTTGAATGATTTTTCACTAGCATTACATTTTACTAATTGTAACTGATAACTAAGTTTATTTTATTTGTGAGCCTATGTTTTCAAAATAAGTTTTTATTTTGTCACTCAGTAGTCTTCTTCACCATTCTGTGTAAATCAAAAGCCCAGAATATAGCATATCGGTTCAAGGAACTATGGACATATTTCATATTTCAGTCAAATAATATTACGACCATCTTAGGGATTTCCTTTGCAGAATTACATAAAAATCTGGCAAAGAATCAATTGCCTGCAGCTTTACTCTGACATGACCAAATCATAACTTTCTAGGAAGACCTTGTTTATCACCTAACTGCCTCTTTAAATACAGGGAAAGCTGTTCTTCACACTTTGAGTCACATATTTTAAATATAATATCTTCTCAAGTTCCTCAAAACTACATAAAATATAGGTTTTAAATTTAAAATATTTTTATATATCATTTATTGTGATTTTCATTGTGCAAATGTGTGTGGTATGTTTTGTTTCACACACTAAGTTTTGCTAACTTTACTGAAGATATCCTGATTTCAAATTACTAACTCACTGATGTTTTTTTTAAAGATATAAACCTAATACCTAAAACCATAAAAACCCTAGAAGAAAACCTAGGCAATACCATTCAGGACATAGGCATGGGCAAATAATTCATAACTAAAACACCAAAATCAATGGCAACAAAAGCCCCAAATTGACAAATGAGATATAATTAAAGAGCTTATGCACAGCAAAAGAAACTATCATCGGAGTGAACAGGCAACCTACAGAATGGGAGAAAATTTCTGAAATCTACCCATCTGACAAAGGGCTAATATCCAGAATCTACCCCCCAAAAAATACAAAAACAAACAAACAAACAAACAAAAAAAAAAACATCAAAAAGTGGGCAAAGGATACGAACAGACACTTCTCAAAAGAAGACATTTATGCAGCCAACAAATATGCGAAAAAAAGCTCATCATCACTTGTCATTAGAGAAACGCAAATCAAAACCACAGTGAGTTACCATCTCATGCCAGTTACAATGGCGATCATTAAAAAGCCAGGAAACCACAGATGCTGGAGAGGGTGTGGAGAAATAGGAACACTTTTACACTGTTGGTGGGAGTGTAAATTAGTTCAACCATTGTGGAAAACACTGTGGCAATTCCTCAAGGATCTAGAACCTGAAATACCATTTGACCCAGCAATCCCATTACTGGGTATATATCCAAAGGATTCTAAATCATTCTATTATAAAGACACATGCACATGCATGTTTACTGCAGCACTGATCACAATAACAAAGACATGGAAGCATCCCAAATGCCCATCAATGTTAGACTGGATAAAGAAATGGTCACATATATACACCATGAAACACTGTGCAGCCATACTAAACGATGAGTTCATGTCCTTTTCAGGGACGTGGATGAAGCCAGGGAGTGGGCGGCTAGGGGAGGGATAGCATTAGGAAAACTACCTAATGTAGATGATGGGTTGATGGGTGCAGCAAATCACCATGGCACGTGTATTACCTATGTAACAAACCTGCACGTTCTGCACATATATCCCAGAGCTTAAAGTATTTTAAAAAAGCAGTACCACCCCATGATTTTAGAAAGTGCCTGGCGCCTGTAATCCCAGCACTTTGGGAGGCTGAGGTAAGTGGATCACGGAGGTCAGGAGATCGAGACCATCCTGACTAACACGGTGAAACCCTGCCTCTACTAAAAACACAAAAAATTAGCCGGGCGTGGTGGTGGGCACCTGTAGTCCCAGCTACTTGGGAGGCTGAGGCAGGAGAATGGCATGAACCCATGAGGCGGAGCCTGCAGTGAGCCGAGATTGCGCCACTGCACCCCAGCTTGGGCGACAGAGCGAGACTCCATCTCAAAAAAAAAAAGAAAAAAAGAAAAAAGAAAATGCCTGGGAACAGTTTTACTACACACTAAAATTTGAAATTCAGACACTGGCTTCCCAAATGCTCAAACAATAAAGAGTCAAATAAAAGTGCAAACTTCATCTTGGGTTATAATCCTTTGAAAGATATTGTGTGCTAATTTAAAGGTGATCCTGGAAGAAGAGTTTAAATATATAGATCAATTTTAGATCAATTTTCCTGTTATGCAATGCATGCATGACATAATTATACTGCAGAATAAACTGCATCTTTTTGCAGATGAGTAAACTGAGGCCACAAACAACTGGCATACTAATTAGGGCCTAATTAATGTCTACAATTAGAAATCTGTGCTTATAAATTATTTTTTCTCTTTTTTAGGGGTTAAAATTACTATGCATAAAATATAAGGCCACTCGAGGTCATTTTAATGAACGAAAGATTCATTACCTAATGAACTAGGTATTTATGTTTTCAAAAGACAAAATTATGTGCCCTTGTTGTAGAATTATAGCTTCCATCCTCCTTGTTCACTTTCCTTATTTTGGATCAAGAAAAAAATGGGCAATCCATTGGGCAACAGAAGCATCTCTATTTTTACATATAACAACAAGAAAAATGTGGTTTTAAAAGAATAAAACATGTAGCACAGTTTCTGTTTTAGAAATTCAAATTCTCTAATAGCTATGATTCTTTAGAAAATAAATATGACAAAATATATCAGCTTTCAGCAAAAATCATTTGAATCAAAACCTTGTTATATTTCCTCAATATTATGTTAGTGGGAAAAAAAGACTTGCATCAAGTAGGAGTTTGAGTTGTTCAAAACATCTTTAAAATTCGTAAGTATGATGCAGCAGTATTGCTAGAAATGACTCTATTAATTTTCTGTGTATGAAATAAAACTGAATTTGATTACTTTATTGCCTGTGGAATAGTACAAATATTTATGAGCTCAAATTCAATTCATAATACAAATGAAATCACTTGAGAAACACAGAGATTAAAACTTTCAGGTTAATATTAATCTTTTTGCAGCAAAATTCACAGACAATTGAGCATCTATTTTCAACAGTAAATGTGAATGGCAAGCTAGATATTTTTTTTTCAACCTGGAGGAAAAAAATCAGTTTTTTTTTTTTCATTCAATGTTGTCATTGTATTTTTTCAAAAACGTATGGATCCTTTCCTCATTAATTCCTTTAACAATTATCCAAGTGCAGAAGCAATAAATGGAAGGATGGAAAAATCAAAAGTAGCATATCAGATAAAATACACACAATTAGAACAGTTTATGATTTAATCAAGAAAAGTATTTCTTAGTTAAATATCATGATGAACATAATATGCAAACAAAAAAAACCCAAAAAGCATATATATAGACTGATTATGTATTTATTATGTATTTATTGCTATTCTACTTTTAATGAGAGATATTAAACAGTTTCTCATTATATAAAATGATCAAAGATGTCATAAACACTTCAAATTTTAAAATAAGGCATTCAAAAAGACATATGAACTCATATGTTCATTGCAGCACTATTCACAACAGCAAAGACAAGGAATCAACCAAGATGCCCATCAACAGCGAACAGGATAAAAAAATGTGGTAAATATAGACTATGGAATAGTCTATATTGGAATAGTCTAATAGTCTATATATGGAATAGTCTAATACACAACCATTAAAAAGAATGAGATCCTGTCCTTTGCAGCAACATGGATGCAGTTGGAGGCCATCATCCTAAGCAAACTAACACAGAAACGGAAATCCAAATACTGCATGTTCTCATTTAAACACTGAATACACAGGGACACAAAGACAGGAACAACAGACACTAGGGACTGCTTGACAGAGGAGTGTGTGTGGCTGTATGGGTTGGAAGGCTGCCTATCCGGTACTATGCTCACTATCTGAGTGACTGAATCATCTATACACCAAGGCTGTGTGACATGCAGTTTCCCCATGTAACAAACCTGCACATGTGCCCCGAGAACCTAAAATAAAAATAGAAGAATAAACAAATTAATTAATTAATTAATTAAACAAATAAAATGGGATATTTTTCCTTGAAAAATTTACTAATAAGAACAAATGCAAACTATCAGTCAATAATAATTTTAAAAGAATGAGCAAACTAGGTAACCATGCCTGAAATTAACAAATTAATAAACTGAATAAAATCTTAAATGATCTCATTATTGTTTTATAAAAAGCAACCCTATTGTATAGGGTACATGTGATCTAATTTGTCAGTAATGAGTGCCATGAGTTATAATTTTAAAAGATGCAAATAACAAATAGGTTTATAAACCACTGATCTAGTTTAGTTCCATTATGGTACCACTGTATATGGAGACACCTTCATACTTAGGTGATGGTAGCCTCCCACTATGTATTTTTCATCATGCTATGCCAAGAGATGATTAGGCCAACATTTGATATCATGTAACTGTAGCAACAGAAATAAGCTTTTGTGTACTATTATGAAGGTTTACATAGTTGGTGAGTTTATATCTTTCTTAAGAGTGATTGCAATCTCAATTATATATTATTTAAGATGGAGTACAAATTTACCATGTAGATTTTAAGGTATTTCGTGTTTCAGGACTTCAAATGACAAACACATATATGCACACATGGGCACACACCCACGATTAAGAATTCCTTTGCAACAGTCATTGTGAGACATTAGAGATGGTCCTTTTAGTGATATTTCAATATATTTCAGTATATATTTCAATATATTTCGGTATATTCTCAGTAAGATGTAAATTGAAAAGTAACATAATTGGTACTCTTTAATATAAATATTGCACTGTCCTGTTATAGATAGCTGTAAATTCTGTGGGGAAGCCTTATTTTCAAAGCAGAATGAAAGTTCCAGTAAGTAAGGGAAAAGAAACTATTTCACTTGGGATTCAGCTTAATGAAAATAAAGTAGATTAGCCTTTGGTGCACTTAATGTTTCAGGCAAAATAAATACAATTACACCCTTGTTGTTCTGGCAAAAAAAAAAAAAAAAAAGGTTTCAGTAAACCATGTGCAACTCTTGATCTCTTGATTATATATCCACTCTATAAAATATATCCGAAAATATAATGCTGCCTGTGCTCTCTGTTCTTTTTTCAGTCCTCATTTTTCAGTAGATAATATTATGCTTCTGATGCAAGATTTGACAACAGCACCCATAAATCAATTCTATATCTCACATTAATGATGTTCTTGTAATCAGTGGCTATTCAACACAAATTTCCATCGCATTTTTTTTTGTTGGAAAACAGCCACATTAGGGCTGTTAGCTTTCTCAAATGTAAGTGGCTATATTGCCATAATACATAATAAAGTGCACTCCAGCCACTTGCCAAAGCAGTATTAAAGACATTCTATAGAAATTGAGGCTATCCAGGAGGATGGCGTGAACCTGGCAGGCGGAGTCTGCAGTGAGCCGAGATCAGGCCACTGCACTCCAGCCTGGGCGATAGAGCGAGACCCTCTCTCAAAAAAAAAAAAAAAAAAAAAAAGGAAAGAAAAGAAAAGAAAAGAAAAGAAAAGAAATTGAGGCCATCTACTGTCAGTACGTTGTCCAGTCAGCAGCTGGCATTTCCATAGAGAATGGCTTTATTTTTAATTTTTTAAAACAGATTTAGGAGGTATAAGTGCTCTTTTGTTGCATGGATATACTGCATAGTGGTGAAGTCTGGGTCTTTTGTGTAACCATCACCGGAATAGTTACCCATTAAGTAATTTCTTAATGTTAATGGTAACATTGTGGCCCATTAAGTAATTTCTCATCCCTCATCCCCCTCCCACCCTCTCACCTTGCCGAGTTTCCAAAACTTATTATTCCACTCTCTATATCCGTGAGTACACATTATTTAGCTACCACTTATAAGTGGGAACATCTGGAATTTGACTGTTTCTGAACTGTTTCACTTATGATAATGGCCTCTAGTCCCATTCATGTTTCTGCAAAAGACATTACTTCATTCTTCTTTATTATTGAGTAATATTTCACTGAATACATATGCCACATTTTCTTTATCCAATCATCCTTTGATGAACACTTAGGTTAATTCTATATCTCTGCTATTGGGAATAGTGCGGTGAGAAACATAGAGGTACAAGAATATTCTTGATGCAATGATTTATTTTCCTTGTGTGCTTTCTTTTGCAAAATATCTGTTCACTTTTTAATAAGGTTATTTGTGTTGTTTCGGGGTTGTTATTGTTTCTGTTCCTTGTAGATTCTGGATATTAGTCCTTTGTCAGATACATAATTTGCAAATTTTTTTCCATTCTTCAAGTTGTCTATTCAGTCTGATGATTATTTATTTATTTTGCTGTGCTGAAGCTTTTTAGTTTAAATAAGTTCCATTTATCATTTTTGTTTTTGTTGCATTTGTTTTTGAGGTCTTAATCATGCATACTTCAACTAGGCCAATGTCCAGAAGAGCTTTCCATGGTTTTGCTTAGGATTTTATAGTTTCAGGTCATACATTTAAATCTATAATCCATCTTGGGTCCATTTTAATAGACAGTAGAAAATAGGGGTCCAATTTCATTTTTCTGCGTATAGCAATCCAATTTTCCCAGTACCATTTATTGAATAGGGTGTCCTAATCTCGGTATATGTTTTCATCAACAATGTCAAAGATCGGTTGGCTGTAGGTCTGTGACTTTATTTCTGGGACTCTATTCTGTTCCACTGATCTATCTGTCTATTTTTATGCCTGTATCATGCTGTTTTGGTTATTACATACTTGTAGTATAATTTGAAGTTAGGTAATGTGATGCCTCCAGCTTTATTCTTTTTGCTTAGAATTCCTTTGACAATTTGGGCTCTTTTGAGAGGTCATATAAACTATATAATTTTTTGTCTAATTCTGTGAAAAATAGTGTTGATATTTTTTATAGGAATTGCATTGAATCTGCAGATTGCTTTGGGCAGTATGGTCATTTTAACTGTATTGATTCTTCCAATCCATAAGAATGGGATGATCTTCAATTTGTTTGTGTCATCTATGGTTTATTTCATCAGTGTTCTGTAGTTTTCCCTGTAGAGATTTTTTTAGCCACTTAGTTAAATATATTAAGAATTCCAGTGCTTCTCTATTTGAGATAGAAGTAAATGAACAGCCATATGTCTATTGCAAATTCCTCCTCCTGGATTTTGTTAAGCTTGTGTCTGGCCAAAAAGTTAATATCAACCAAAAGCATACTTTTGAATAAATGTATACCTCACTTATGGAAGTTTAAAATGTTTAGTGATAGCTCTCCAATGACAATTCTAAATATTTAGTGTTTATGTTTTTTGATCATTAATTGAATGCAAATTTAATTCTGACCAACATTAGACCATAGAAGTTTACAATAGGGATTGACTATCTGAAGACAGTGATTGATCAACATTTACAGAATTTTTTATCTATCAACAATCGATATATTTTGTTGCACTTTAATATTTTACTTGAGAATTACTATAAAAACAGATGTTTCTACGAATGCCAAGAATTCTAGAAAAATATGATATATTTACAGATTTAGTGAAGTTGAAACATTAAAAAAATTAAGTCTTCACATTTATTATTCCTACTGGCGTCTTCTGTCAACTTGTTCCTTGTCTCACTATATTGTCCCTTAATTATTTTGAGGCCTGTTGCTTAGGTTATCAATCACAGATGGGAATAGTAAAATTAATTTTTCAGTGTGATTTTAGCCTTAATATTAAAACAAGCTGTTAACTGCCTTTTTCTCTGCTTATCAACACAATCCCTTTTGCCAATGTATTCTCATAACAGAAAACATACATAGAGCAAATGCAGATAACCAGTAAATCTAGTTATAGTAAAGAAACAGAATGTTTTAACATAATATCTTAGATATTATTTCATACTTTTACATCTATTTGTATATGAGCAAACTGAACTCTTGATATGATAAGGAAGCTATGCATAGAAGGTAAATGTCCCTGACCTCCCTTTATTATTCTGTTTGCTGTATCTGATAGTTTGTCAGCTATGTAAGTCCATCCTTTAGCAAAGATGGATTAGAGGGCTCCTGGATATCACAAGCTCTTAATAATATTTCTTCACCCTACTTTGGCTATTTATGCTAAATATAGGCTAATGCTTCATACATTTAACTGACTGTTTATTAGGAGAAAACCTGGCAGAAATTGAATCAAGTGATATAAAGGCAATAGGGAAGAAGTACTCTTCTATGCTCCTGCTGGGAGTATATATTAGTAGCCAGCTTTGGGAAGTGTTTGGAAATATATGGTGCATTTAAAAGTGTTTTAAACCTGGGATCTTTACATGATTCTAAAGATACATATGCCAAAGTAAGTCTGAAACACTGTAATGATCAAAAAGAAAGTACTAATGTCATCAACAATAGAAATAAATAAATGTGTTATATTCATGCTATAAATCATCATACAAGAGTTAATAGTAATTGTTATATGGAGTTTACAAGTATATAATAAAGAAAAATGTAAAATTTATAAAACAGCAAAATATACTTTACAAAGAATGCAATTATGCTAAATTGTGTTTTGTTACATTCATAACAAAGTGATAAAGTATAAAATGAACTGGAAAAATACACTAAATTCATTATCAGAAGCTTATAGATCTCTAGGAAAAATAAAATATATCATATTAACATATATGTAATGAAAGTCTCAAAAGAAGGAGTAAGAGAAAAAAATGGCAGGTACAATAGTTGATTAAATAGCAAGTATTTTACAAATTTGATTTAAAAACTTAGGTAGAAATACAAAATGCCTGCTGAAACCAATTGGGGTACATACAAAAGTTCATGCCTAGATACTTGAACATGATAAAAGCTAAAACATTTTTGAAAATTTTGAAAGCAGCAAGAGGAAATCAACTCAGTAGAGAGGAACAAGAATATGACAATAAGCTGACACCACAGATGAAACAATGAAGGCCAGAAGAAAATAGAATGACATAGTCAAAGTGCTAGAAAAACAATACTATCAACCAATAATTCTATATCTAGCAAACCTACCTTCCAAATGAAAGATCACTCAAAACTCACAGTAAAACATATAAAACACAAATCGCTGAGAAAGTACAGAAAATACATGAAAAGACAATACTGAAAAGTGTATAAATATGGGAAATATGCTTATGAAATGATGCTAAATGTCATTAGCCATCAGGGAAACTCAAATTAAAGCTCCAATGAGATGTCACCATACCCCTATTTGAAATGAATAAAAAATCATTTTTAATAGTGACAACAACCAATGCTGATGAGAAAGTGAAGAAACTGGAATACCTATATATTGCTGGTGGAAACATAAAATGGTACAGGCACATGGATAACAGGAAATTTCATATTAAATTAAATCTGAAATTGCCATTAAAAGGAGCAATTTCACTCTTCAACATCTATACCTGGTAAATAACAACTTACGTCCACAGAAATACCTGTACATGAATGTTCATAGCAGTTTTGTTTATGGTAGCCGAAAACTGGAATCAGCCTATGTGACCTTCAGTGAGCAAATGGTTAAACAAACTGTAGTACATTATATATCATGGAATACGACTCAACAATAAAAAGAAACAAACTATTGATAAAAGAAGGAACTGATGAATCTCCAGGGAATTATGCTGAGTGAGAAAAATCATACACAAAACGTTAATACTTTATGACTCAATTTTTATAATATTTTTAAAATAAAATTTTAGAAGTGGAGAAGAGCTGAGTAGTTACCAAAAGTTAGATCTGCGGATGAGGGAAGAAGTAAACAAGAAATATATGAGAGTGGTCATAAAAGGATGACATGAAAGATCTTGTGGCATTGTCTCTGTTTGGTATCATACAGGTGGTGACTACACAAACTTACACAGATGATGAATTGTACAGACTTAATGCATACACACACACACACACACACACACACAGAGAGAGAGAGAGAGAGAAGAGCATTAAGAGAAGGGAGAATTGAGATATACAGGATGAAAGGTCAGGAGAAGTTGTTACATAATTAATGATCAATAAAAACAAAAATTATAATTCAGATTTACCTGACTTCAAAGCTCATATTTCAACTCACTACACCATGATGCTTCACAAAATAAGATAAAGAGTATGGGAAAACAGTCATTCCGAGGCAGACTAATGAATGGAGTAAATGAAGCCTCTTTGATATTCTTTCAAAGGCACATTCATTTTTTTATTCCCCAAATTCTACTCTGCATTTATTTCTCTATACTTTGAATTAAAACTTAAGTACTTATTAAAGTAATATTGCTTAAATTATTTACTATACAACTATAATCTCACTAAATATTTCATAGAAAACAAATGTTCTTTAGGGAAACAACAATGAAGCTCTTCCTGGTTTATCTATTTGCAAGATATTAAGTTGAAATCTTTGTGAACTCTGTGAATATCTGTAAAGTAAATCTGCATAGTATGCAATATGTATAGAAAAGCGATACAGTAAATTATACTATTTGGTTTTATATAATATTTCCCAAACTTGTATTGTGGGATAACTCTTTTGTTAATAACACACATTTACATTTTTCTGTACATCTCCATATTTGGAGAAATTCTAAGTTATGACAGTGGCTGACAGCTGCTAAGAGACCACACTTATTCTACTAAGTGTGGTCATTTAGTGAAATACCATATCATATTATCTTAAATCCTGTTTACTCCTCTTACACGCATTTTTCATTGCACCTGATTTATGCTACATTGTCAGTGTACACATTTGTATCCCCCAATGGATTCATTCTCTTGCCCCAATTTTGTCATTGGGGCAAACCTGTGATCAATTGTTGGTGTATCGCCCTCTCCATCACCAGTATTATGTCTAGGGAACTGGATATATTTAATACCTGTTGGCTGAATTTATGCATGTAAAAATGAAAGAATGAATGAATAGATGAATTAATGAAAATGCCAACAGCGATTTTCTTTACTTTTATTGCTTTACTGGTAGTGTACTGGGATCTACAGCAGGGAAACAGAAAGACCTTTTGAATAACAATTACTTATCCCTCCTTTTCCTAGAAGTAATTTGGTCAAAGAACACTTGGCATGTCAACTCTGAAATGTTGCCAGCCTTTTGGTCTGGCCACTATTTTTTTCTTCTCAATAATAACTGCCACTAGAAGAATAGTAAAGAAAGAAGGAAAGTTAAACTCAATTCTGTCACATGTTTTTAAGAGTTGATAGCTCCAGGGAAGGTTTTATAGTGAAGAGAATTGAATCTAGTTGGAAAAGGGTACTACTTGAATCACTGTGAATTTCATTTATCTGCGTATCTCTATTCCTAATTATCACTAGGAAGTGACAGTTGGCAAGCCCATAGAGGTCTCAGAAGATTATAAAATTCTATTAAATCATCACAAATGTTTCAATATAACATTTAAAAGCTTCAGCTCTTCATATAAATAAAAGTAGGGTTTATTATCATGTGAGATTGAGGCTTGATCTAACCAGTATTTTTCTTCTCCTCATATAAAATAGAATGTTAAAATTATTTGATGGTATCTGAAATTCCTATCTTGCCAGGGAACAAGACCTAATTAGTTGGGCTAAATGTAAAGTTCAAACACTGGGACACAGATTGTCTTCCACTTACCACCAGAGAAGGAGAACAAGAGCCCCAATGACCTCAGTTAACACATGCCAATTCACTTGGTCCAAATGAATACAGTAAATTAGAAAACTAAATACTAAAGTTTCTTTGATATATACCTGATAAGCTGTAGAATTTCATTAATTCTTTGATTATAATTACCACCCTTTTAACATGTAAATGGTATCAAAAGACAATTACTAGAAATTTAATTACTATAAAATGTAACAAAGCATATAATTATTGAAAAATTTTTAAAAGAAAAGAAAAAAATTTTACAAGTCTCTATATTCATAGTTAAATTTCTGCTTTAATTGAAAATATCAGTGTCTCTTTAATTAATTAGTTTTCACAAGAATTTAGAGCCATGTTTTAGATCTGATCACTCTACAGGATGATCAAGGTACAAACACTTTTTTTGACAATCTTCCCCTAAGTAGTTACTTTATTGCTTTATACAACCTTATTGCTGACAGAGTTCATTTCTGCTACGAATTTTACAGTAATACTAACATGCCCCAAATATGCTGGTTTGTGTTTTTCTTATATCTGGTGACAAAGTATAAACCTGAATTTTTTAGAAGATAATTGTATTTATAATTCTGTTAAGTTCCCATTGGAGACATTCCATTCATAACTATAGAGAGCCAATAAATGAGTAAAATACATCCTTGTCCTCATCAGAGAAGTCAGTTACAGAAAAGGCCATAAAAGAATAAACTAATTGGTTGGGCGCGGTGGCTCACGCCTGTAATCCCAGCACTTTGGGAGGCCTAGGCGGGTAGATGATTTGAGGTCAGGAGTTTGAGACCAGCCTGGCCAAAATGGTGAAACCCCGTCTCTATAGAAAACACAAAAATTAGCCGGGCATGGTGGCGGGTGCCTGTAATCCCAGCTACTCAGGAGGCTGAGGCAGGAGAACCACTTGAGCACAGAGGTTGCAGTGAGCAGAGATCGCGGCACTGCACTCCAGCCTGGAAGACAGAGTGAGACTCCGTCCAAAAAAAAAGAATAAACAAATTACATTTACAATCAGCTGGATGTTTACATTTGTACACTTATTGATAACACATTACTTCATAGACATTTGCACTAATCTATAATAAACAATTTAATATTCCCTACATAATTGAAAAACTATCTCTAACAGACAATGATTTATATTTGAGAAGTTAAGATTTTTCAGATTTTCAAAAACTAGTATTAGATATGTATATATAGGCATACACATACATTTAGGCATTTTTAAAAATATGGACTTTTTTTGAAGAAAGACATTAAATGAGGACCTTGGGATATTTAATAATGGATATAAAGCTTTATTCAACTTAGAATCAGTAACCATAAGGAATATATAACTACAAAACCTGTATATTGACATTAAACAATTAAATTTGATTTATGCAGCATGGTTTTAAAAAAGTATCACTAAATGAAAAATGAGTAAGGACTGGTGTACTTTTTTTCTCTTTAAACCATCTTAACTCATTTTCTTCTTCAGCTAAAATAACTTCAGGCTGACAGAATTAAACATTCAGCCAGAGAAATACTGAGTCTCATTAATTATTATATATATATGCCATATTTTCCTAAGTATCTATGTGCACAGAATTTCCATTCAATTTAATGAAGTTATACTTACATAAAAATACATACATGTCCAGAAAAATTAGCTTAGAATTTTTACATGTAAAATCTACTGTTTTTCTCTTTTTCCTTATATTTCTTTCTAAAACACTCATTCATAACAGTATATCTTCAATATTTTGTTTTAATTGATAATAATATTATAAAGTTTCTCCTTTTTTCATCCCTATGCTCAATTTGAATGACCCAGAACAGAGTTTTAAACACTAGTTTAATCATCAATAGTATCACAACCATCTCTGGTGTGTGTTAAAGAGCAAATTCTTTGGAATCTACACCAAACTACACCAGATCTACAGAATATTTGGACTCAGGTATATATATATATATATATATTAAATATATGATAGTAATAACTGTTTAAAATTTATCAAGAATGAAGTATGTGCCTAGAACTTTCCTAAACATTGTAAATATTTTAACACAAGTTATCACCAAAACAATCCAAAGAAGAAGCTATTATTATATCTGGGAAAACTAGGCAAGTTAATAAGTTTTGGAGCTATGATCTGCCAGCTTCACTTCAGAATCCTGGCTCTTGACTTCTTGCGATGCACACTGTTTCTATTTGATGAGTCTAACATCTAGCCAGATTCCTATAAAAAATGTCTTAACACCAATCCAATAAATGTGATGACATAGTACACTCAATTTAAGATATTTGAACTGTGGCAATTTTAAAATTAAATGAAAATGTATTTGAGAGAAGGGGGAAATATACATATACATATTCACATTTTCAGCAAAATAATTGAGTCGTCAGTGAATATTTGTTGAGTTGATTCTTCTTTTCACATTCTTTAAACAGAAATTTACTAAAAGACTATCTGCACTAAGAAAACATTATAGAAGTTCAAAATGATATTTCAGTTCTTGAAAGGTTATATATTTATTGTTGTGAAATAAAGGCAGATCATGGTCTTGGTTGAAGTTTTGTTTGGCTAAGCTTATGCTAAAACAGAAAAGACATTAAGATTTTTCTGGAACAAAGAAAATGGAAAGAAATGTATTCAGAAAACATCCGGTAACTTAAAGAATCAGATAATGGATTTGCGTAAATTTCCCATATGCTTTTTCCATATGTGAGAAAAAGTGGAAAACTGCAAGTGGTATGGCCTTTCCTTCTCAGAGATAGGAGGAAAAGAAAGTGAGGACTGAACATTCAGAGTTGCATGCTTCAATACTTCCAGGTATATAATCAGACATTTATATGTATCTCTATGGACCAAGTTACCATTTTTTTCCATGATACACTGAAATTCATTAGAAAAAATAAATTGAGTAATTGCTAACCTCAGATATGGTCTTGGGAAAGTGATTCTCCCCTTAATAAGGATAAAACCTAGTTTGAATAATGAACACTGCAGGGATACTTAGCAAGGTTAAACAGAATAAGATGAAATAAAAACATTGAGAAGCATCACTTGTTTACACAAATTGCCTCATTCTTTACATATGCCTGTTTTGACAATATGCACCAGCTGGAGGATACCTAGACCAGAAGCAGCATATGTCACTGTGGCCAGAAGTGGGATGGAGCCAAAAATGTACTGGCAAAGTGACTTTCACTAGACTACAATCCTTTTGAATATGGAGATAATAAGATACCCATATTTGATTCTCTAATGGTAAATAGTCATTAGCACATAGTAAGTACATAATAATTTTTATGAATTAATATTAAAGCCTGATTTCTCATCAAATTATGAGCAGCAGAAAGTTTCTCTCATCTCTCCATTTACAATGTATATAGTACTTTGTACAAAACTTGCTTATAATAAATGTTTTGTAGAACAAATAAATGAAGGTACCAACATCAAAGTAAGGTGTGTTCAGAAATAACAAACCAGGAGAAACATTAATATACAGAATCAGAAATATAGTCAGGTGCCCAGGGACAAAGACACGAGTCCAAATGTTGGGTTATTTTCAGAAAACTGTTCCACTGGGTTCTAGCAAGTGCTGTTTGTATTAGGGGTTCAGGCATGTTTTTGGATTTAATCCTGGGAATATTCTGGGTGTCTACTACTAGGCTGTATACATCTGCATCCCTACGTATGTCTGTGTGTCTGTATGTGAATATATTTCTGAGTATGTTAAGAGATTTCTGAAAACAAAGGAAAGCTGCATTCGTCATGAACATTAAGATCAGCACTCTGAGTTCAAAGGAAAGGCTACAGTCCATTAAATTAATCTGAGTACATTTTCACTTAGATTCTATTTGGCTGAAGTTTAAGTAGTATGATTAAAACTTCGAAGAGTATTTTAAGTTTAAAATTATTTAGTCAGGCCCAACTTGCTCTGGGAATACTTACATTACTCCCGTGTAACTATATTCTGTTCAGCTTATTTTATTTTCTAGAAAAGTAACTTTTTTGTTGTTTAGAATCAACTCTAAACAGTATTTGGTTTGGTGTTCTCTTCCACAGTGAACTGTAAACTTATTATAGTTTTTGATTAAATCTTCCAACTAGTGTCTGGATAGATAAACTGAGTTAGAAATAACGGTAAATTCATTGCACCATAAGAGCTTTTCTTGAAAAACAGTTACACTTCAGCTTATTTCATATATGACACTAGGTGAGTTCACCAAAGTATGTTCAAGGCATAGGCAACATGGCAGATTTGAAAAAAAAATTAGAAAACTATTCAAGCGTTCTTGCCTTTAAATGAAGATAAAATGTTTTGTAATTCCCAAATGTTAGCCAATGGACCATGACAAAGTATTCACTAATTCTTTAAAAACTGAAAATAAATGTAGTACTATTTCACAAAACCAAATTTGTTCAATTTAATGGCTTACTCTTTATTTAGGGAATATATGCCAATTTTTGGTATTATAATTCTATTTTTAATGATGTGGTAGTGATAACAGAGGATGGTTTATTGACTCTGACTTAAGGTAACCTTTGAATTTTGTTTTTAAATCAATGGTTGATGAGGAACATAACTCCTGTATAAATTCTAGGTGATCTTGTTGGGCTTTACCTGTGGAAAAAAAAAGAAATAAATCCTGTCTCTTAGAAGGGACTTGGTCTGGCTTCCAAGATAAAGTGTGTGTAATATTTAAACCTCAAGCTCACTTAACTTTAATTTTTAATAAGAACTGAGTGTCTGGCACGTCATAAAGAGACTCAGCAAGGCTGAGAACTGTTAAGCCAGTGTATTAACATTAAAGTTTAAGAGCATATATTCATTATATAACAATTTTTATCAACTGATTTGGATAACATGGGTTTAGGTAGTTTAAGTTTATGAAAAGTTAGCAGTCCCATATTACTTCTTAATAACCTTGTTAAATAACGATTATTTGAAACTTGAAAATCATATCACCACCAAAAAAATCCCACTTTTATTAAGAAAAGATGGGTTAGTACACTATAAATCTCACAAAAGGCTGTCAACATATACAATATATAATTTATATATCTAATATTGTTACTACGGGGATCACATTAAAAATTATAATTGGGGATGTCTGATGCCTGTAATTCTTTTGTAACAGTCCCAGAGTCCTGAAACCAAATTCCTTTAAGTGAGGGAAAATCTTTCTTTCAATCTCAACTTCAAATCCATTTATTTGTTCTTTCATTCAACAATTATATTGATTACTCACTATGCTGTGGAGACACAACATTGAAAAAGAAAGAAAATAGTTCTCTTCACATATTATACCTAATACACTATCATAAGAAGTATACAATATGTGAGAATATAATATAACATATAATATAATAGCATCAGGTTTGTGATAAGTGCTATGAGGAGATACAGTGTTTCTCTTACAGCTTTGCAAGATGGGTATATGAAGCAGGAAGCTTCAGAGTTTTAGAATTCTAGTC
The DNA here is from genome assembly GCF_000001405.40 of Homo sapiens. Classification (NCBI taxonomy): domain Eukaryota; kingdom Metazoa; phylum Chordata; class Mammalia; order Primates; family Hominidae; genus Homo; species Homo sapiens. The sequence continues at coordinate 65,623,636 of NC_000004.12, forward strand.
ATATTCAGAAAAGCCACTGCACAAAGACTGAGTCATTAAAAACGCTGGAGTCAGTGACTTCATAATGACTGCCTGATGGAAACATTTTTGCCTCATGACATAATGGTAACAGATTGTATCTACTAATATGAGTATCATCAAACTTCTGTCATAAAACAAAAATTATTGAGGAATTCACATGAAAGATTATAAGTTATACAGGATATGTGTCTCATTTATGCAAATAAAGGAATTAAATGCTTTAACAATAAACCATGTGTTTTAACAACACTATGGCAAACATTAACAATAAATTTAACAATGAAAATTTAAGGTTTTATCTGACAAAATGACTATATGCCAAGCAAAACTTTAGAAAATGCTAAAAATGTATATATTTGTACAATCAGAAACAAATGAATAATGGACAAAAAACTAATATAAAATTCATGATCTAATAGCTAACTTCACATTCCACTATTACCAATTATGATACAGATCAGAGAATAGGTAAATAAAATCTTGATGGAAAAACCAATACTTATTTATATTTAGAGATTTATGATAATAAAGGTAATAGTAAAATGAAAGAATTATTATGCTTCAGAGAATGTTAGAGAGGATAAGAAAATCATGAGATTTAATAAAAATTTTATGAATTATTTTAAATACAAAAACAATTTCCATGAATCTTGAAAATTTAAAATTTAACACTTTCAGGCATACTTGTCATTATTCAGTATCTTTCATATTAGCCATTCACAAATTCACTGCAGACTGTGGTTGCCACACGTTGATGGATGTGCGACATGCTGCCTACAGACAGGGGCAAGAACTTTTATTTACTGTTACTAAAGGGTGAGTTTTCTTCGGAAATTATCACAAAATAAATCCTATTGTTATAACTCTCAAAATATTTTAATAAATTTGAGGCTTTTTAGGGTACCAACTATTGAAAATCATTCATAAGGAACATTAAAATTCAATAAACACAATGGTCATTTAAATAAAAATTGCTTTACTTCATCCCCCTCAATTCTCTGACTGAATGTTACAAAACTCTCTATTGGATTTATCCCAGATTCTACCTGGTTACTAGCAAGGATGAATTTCATAATGAAAGCAAAGGAGTCTTGATGTTGACCCAGGAACCAAACTGTTAGGATTCTATTCTCAGCTTCACTTTCCAGCTCTATGACTGTGTACAAGTCATTTTTCTACTGCTCAGATTTCTTACCAATAAAGTGGAAATAATCATTGTGCCTAACTCTTGAAATATTTAAGAGATGAGTGTGCTTAGAACAGCTTATGTCACATAGCAAAATAAAAGTGAGTGCTAGTGTTAAAAAGATAAATGTATTAAAAATAAAACAACAACCACTTTAGAAAAAATTGTCATTGGCATAGATAAAATGAACACCTCAGATTTCAGTGTTTACTACACAATTATTAAATATAGCACTAATGATGTTTAAGATTTAGATAATAAAGGAAACACTAGACAGTTTAAGTTATCTCATATGATATAACATATTAAACTTTGTAGAACATAAATTATTTAATATAAAAATATAGAGAGCTATGTTGTAGAACAAATCTATTGAATGGAATAATAGACTGAGATAATAGAAGAGAACGCCAAGTGAAAAGAATTACTGTGCCTCATAGATCTAGTTTTTTTTAAACTGCTAGTTTGTCATACCAAAAAAAATGAAATAATTACTTGTTCTTTTTACATAGGTATACAGTAATACACGTCTAAAAAAGGTTTTTGCATCTTACATATGCACCTCTTTTCACAGGCAGATACAATCATACAGTATGTAATACCAGAGAAAAATTCTCACCTTCTCCAGTCATCAACTGATGCCAGCTATCACATTCAAGAATAAGATATCAAACATTTAAACACTGTTTAATATTTCTCTCTCATTTCTCCTATGAAGTCAATATTATAATCTTTAGTAAGTTGTAGTAATTGACCTACTTGACCTAATTTGCAAAAGAACATGGAAAAAATGAACTAAAAAATCTCCTTGTCACTGTGGTTGTAGTTATGATAAGAAATAGTCCACAACATAATACTAATTGATTCAATTTACAATTTAAAATAAATAAAATAAATTTTGGCATCATTCAACTAACACAACCAACTTCCAGATCCCAGTAAGCAGGTGCTTTTGCAGTAATTTTAACATTTATTTAAAGAATGCGCGGCCGGGCGCGGTGACTCACGCTTGTAATCCCAGCACTTTAGGAGGCCGAGGCGGGAGGATCATGAGGTCAGGAGATCGAGACCACGGTGAAACCCCGTCTCTACTAAAAATACAAAAAAATTATCCGCGTTTGGTGGCGGGCGCCTCTAGTCCCAGCTACTCGGAGAGGCTGAGGCAGGAGAATGACATGAACCCGGGAGGCGGAGCTTGCAGTGAGCCGAGATCGCGCCACTGCACTCCAGCCTGGGTGACAGAGCGACACTCCGTCTCAAAAAAAAAAAAAAAAATGCACTTTTAAAAAATGTTAATTGAATATCACATATAGCTAAGTCACACTTTGAGTAACAATTTTATATTTAGAAAAAAATGGATTATGTAAAACATGGCTTGATATTTAAATTTATCACAAACAATGAAAGAACAAAATGTAATAATTTAATGAAATCACAAAAAATACTTTTGAACTTTTTAGTTGTTATAAGTACTGTAATAGAAGCTTAACACATTGTAGAACACAAGAATTGCTTACTTATGTTTTTCAGAGTCTATAAAAAATATTGCTAATAGCTATTTTCATTATTGTGATCAAATAATTAGGTGTTACTAATTTAAATTCAGAGTTCAAATTTCATTTTGTTGTAAACCTTTATGAGAATTATACTGCTTCACGTATTTAATTCTACAATAATATAATCTCCAGTTGCAGAACTTGGATAAATATTTTTTGAACAAATAAATATTTGCTGAATGAGTGCATCTACAACTATATCAAGAAATTAAGTTCAAAATCATGATTTCAAGGTTATATGCCATTATGGCCATTACGTATAGTTTCAAATCAAAGTTGTATGTGGACGATCTACATGCTCACATGTAATACAGTAGATTTAGAGGAAACACATTTTTTTAGAAGACATTTGTTCAATATAACTTTCTGTGGGGTTTTACACAGCTGCCTTCTCTTTTCTACTATGGATCAATAGATGAGATTATATAGATGTATAGTTAAAATATCAGCTAAATAAATTATTTAGTTTCTCACTTATGTAAATTAAAAGGGAATTGATTTCATTTACCCCCTGGAAAAAGGTAGACTTGAAATCCTCTCTAGCCACAGCTTGCAAGTCTAGGTCACTGTGTCTCTGTGATATGAATGTGGAACATGCCTGATCTGGCCATCCAACATACCCAACACTATATATAGGTTATAATATCCAGTGCAGGCTAGCTAGTTGTTATTATTGTGCCTTAGACAAAATTTCCACACATGTATAGAAAAGCAATTCTTAGGCAGTTCTCCATACTTCATTATGATAAAGAGAAAAACTCTTTCTACACTTATTTCTATCACTGCATTCAGAAAGGTTTTAAATGTAGAACCAGCTCATTTGAATTAAAATGTTTCCTAAACTGCATTCTGCTAAACATTTTTCAAGAAGATGTTCCTAAGTATACTGGGTAAAATGTTTCCTGATCAAATAATTTGGAAAAACCTGAATGCCCATTAATATATTAAAAGTTTAGTATAATGCTGCAAGTAGAGAAATCTGTTTAATACCATTTAACTTGATATTTTCTAGACTCAACTTGAGTATAGAACCCTTTTGGCTTAACACATTTATTTTCTGTTTCAGATAATTTTTAGTAAAGTATCACTTTGGGAAATAGTGAGTATCAATTCAGCAACTTCAGTCCTCTAGTTATTCACAACTGTAATGTTTGTCCTGTTTTGTAAAAGCATATGCACTTGATGGAATGTGTAGTTTGAGCAGGAGAGAGAAAGATAAAGACAGAAAGATATCTCATGATAGCATTGCCATTTCTATGTCTAACCATATTATGCCTTGTTACTCTTTTAGAAAAATAAAAATTAGCAAAATGCCACCTACATTCTCAAACTTCACCAAACCCACACTTCAATTATTCATCTTTATCACCCCAACTAGGACCACAGAAGTAATTTCTTCAGTAGATTTACACAAAGTCTAACTATGAAATAATTCTAGTGTTAATATCTTTGTGCATGTTATAATTGACCATCATGTCATATTTCAAATCAGTCAAAAAAATAAAAGCATAAACTATGTGTATTAAAAATAATCTTTTTATTAACTGTCCTTTTTTAATAGTTGAGTAAACTGAGCTAAAGTTTGAAATAAATCACAAATTTAACTCAGTATGGACTCAAGTTGTCAGTATTATTTGCTCCTGTTACTGTTGCTGTTTTTATGATGTGGTTTTCATAATTTTATACCACCTGAATTCATTGAAAAAAATGGACATCTTTAAGTATATTGAAACACACTGACGATACTTGGCTAATAATATGAAGAATCCCAACTATAAAATCCTGTAGTTTATTATTTTTCACAGCTATGTCATAAATCTTCCATCTGAAAATGTGGGGAGTCTTCATTTTAACATTTTATTGACTGCTTATATGATACTGTATCCTCATCCCCATTTCTTCTTTCAAAGGACAGCACAATACATGTAAGTGTCAGGAATGAACTTCAATGTATGAATAATGCTACCAAGAAAATTACTGATGATTGGTTAGTCAGAAAGAACTTTCAATATCTGATGACATGACAGCTACCTTTAACCTTCCAGGATAATGGCATACTGATACCACTTTTGCAACAACATTAAGTTTCCTGATATTAGCCTTGAGATTATATATGTTATTTTGATCATAATAACCTTAATCTATATATTTTAAGGATGTAAAAAATAAACGTTATAAGATGAGATAAATGCAGCATACAGCCACCACTATTAGTTACCTTTAAAAATTTCATTATTCAATCTGGCATCATAATAAAGCAAACAGCAAACTAGAGAAGTTTGTTTAATGAAGTGACTATATTTCAGGATTATACTCATGGTTATGTCTTTAACTGTGCAGATTGGAAGTATTTGTGAATAATCTTGAATTATTTGAATAATTTATAAGCACAGCAGAGCCTGTGTGATTCATTGGCTTATCGCACATTCGCATGTTATAATCAACCAAAGTCCATGCATGCCCAATATACAAAACTCTCTTAAATTTTTTTTTCTAACAGCCTTGGCAGCTGTCCTGTCCTGATATATATACTGTAGAGTAGAACATATGAAGGATTAAGTTCGATGTTCATAAAGTATATGCACACCATTTCCATTATCTGTGTTCTAGATAAAATGCTAAGAAATAAGATGAATTGGAATATATTTGCTCAAGGAGTTCACATTGATAAAATATGTCATCAAATATTTATAATAACATTTGGAAGTGTTAAAATAACATAAATAAATTCCACATAGGAAAAGCAATGTAAACAGACAGTAAAGGTTGTCTTCCTCTTTTGTTTCTATACTTTCATATCTACAACATGCTTCTAAGCTAGAGCCAATGTTAGATGCAGCACAAGGACTTTCAGAACCAGGTCAGCAATCACAAGGGTGACTTTCTTAGGCTCTAAGGAAACAATGAGCTAATAGGATGTTATTAGTTTTTTGCCTACTCATAATAACTGGATAGAGGCAGGAGTATAAGATTATTATACAGTCAAAGCATCATAGAGGAACAGAAGTATTTCTGTTATGGAAAAGAATGATGATAAATAAAGACATACAATCAATAGGTGCAATAAAGTCCCAAATATACAAATAGTGGGATAAAATTCATATGTATTGTATGATCAGACTTTAGAAATATAGTGGACATTATATGCTGTAACAACGCATTTTTCTCCAATTTTGGGGAATAAAATATTTCACATTGGTAACTATTTTTATAACTAAGTCAATTTTATATTTATGGAAATACTTCCTCATCAGAATTCCTAAGAGACACTAATTGAGATGTGTCCCAGATAGTTTTTTGATACTTTTTTTTCTAAAGCTGCTCTCCTTAACTGTAGTGATGGCTGCCAACATCTACAGCAATGTGTTTAACGCATGATTCCATCCTCTTCCCCCTACCCAGCTAGAGCTGTTTGCATCAGTGATGCACAGGTGAACCAAGTGGAGCCCATTACAATATTTCATTGTGGAATTTGGAATATTTCCAGTCAATGTGAGCTAGTCACTTTAATATAGGAGGGCAAATTTGGAATTGCAGAAAGGGCATGTGCTAAGTGAAGCAAAGAAATCTGGTCTGCAGAGAAGAATGAAAAAATAACTCGTCAGTTACTGTAGGTAGCTTGTCAGACATAAGCATAGCAGAAGAAGCCTCCCTCTACACACACACACACTCTCTCTCTCTCTCACACACACACACACACACACACACACCAGGAATGTCAGGCAACCATCAGGTAATGGTCAGGTGGTTAGTAACTATCTCTCTAAAATAATCATTGGTCACAGCTAGTGCCAGGGAAAGCTAGTCTCTCCATGGAGAGAAAAGACGTGAAACTGGTGATCAGCAGCTTCCCTATGAGATCTCAAGAGTTGGGCGGGTGGGCTCAAGCATGTTCATTATGAGAAGTGATGGAGTTTAACTGGTATATGACCTTGGAGGGACATTCCACTGGCAAGGCAAGAATGCCTGAAGTCAGCATGAGCACAACTCCAGTAAATACACTGTGCATGAGGCCCCTCTCAAGTGGTAGCAGGCCAGTGCATGTGGACAGCCAACTTCAAGGGAAGCCTCAGGGGAGAAGGGATTCAAGACCCAGAAGTATGCCAACATATAAAATGCCAAGTCAAAGGTCATCAGTGCATTCTCTCAGTGATCTCTCAAGTTGCCTGCTTGGCCCTCTTCCACGTGTACTTTATTTCCTTTCATTCCTGCTCTAAAGCTTTTTAATAAATTTCCACTCCTGCTCTAACACTTGCCTCAGACTCTTCTTCTGCCTTAGGTTGCCTCAAATTATTTCTTCTAAGGAGGCAAGAATTGAGGTTGCTGCAGACCTGTACAGATTCGCCGCTGGTAACAGTCAGAAGCAGGAACCAGAGAGAGAAAGCAACCCCTGCCTAGCTGAAGTCATTTTACATTAAATGAAACCAATTGACTTTTGACTAACAGAATAATAAATAATTAAATCAGCTTTATTTGTATGGATAACTCATAAGGTTAGAATATTTCCTGGAAACTGTCCCTGTAAGGATAATATTTTATCTTATTAATAATTTTTGGATGAAATACTTCCTCTATATCCTGACTGCTTAAGAGAAAAAGCGGAACAACACTTAAGTTGTTTTGAAGATCAATTTTATTATTGAGCACATGCCCATCATTGTACCCCTGCTCTTGGTGAGGGTAAAGTGATGCATACAAAAAGGTTTTCAAAGAGTGTTGTCATAGATTTATGTAAGCCTATCATCAAAAAATCTACAAAATTACAATCCTTTAGTCTGCTTTTGATAAACATTCCCTGCCTTCACTGTGCATTTTCCCTTCTTGCTGTAATTAGTATGCATTCCTGTTTTGATTTGTGAAACTGAATTGTTCATATCAGTGAAAAACAATTAATTGTTTTAGGAAAGTTTATATACATAATACCAAGAAAAGTGCCAGAGTGACTTTTGGTAAAACCATTCAAGGGTTTATTAATAAATTATCTACATGCTTTATTTAACAAGTGAATATCTTTTCCATCTTTAAGTTTTAACTAAAATATAGTTCAAACATACCAAAGAGAATGATCAAAACATAATGAACTTATAAGTCTATCACAACCACTACCTATCATTTGGTAAGAATAAAAAAGCTTTTTAGTAACTTTCCACTCCTGCTGTAACATTTGCCTCAGACTCTCCTTGGCAACATCACACACTGAGTCCTCAATATGGGTCAGGTATTGTGCTGAACACTGCATCATACTTTCTTGAGGAAGTAATACTTAAGTCAAATCTAAAGGGTAGGACATTAAGCTAGCCAACTGCAGTTGGACATGTACCCTAAAACTTAAAGTATAATAATAATAATAATAATAAAAGAGATTAATAAGACTATATTATGGATAAAGGTCATTTTCCAATTTATGAGTTTCTCTATTAATCAGGAAAAGTGTTTTGAGAACTTCTAAAGAAGAAAATATTGGCATTAATTTATATTGATTTTAAATATATAACCAGGGTAAACACAGTGATACTTAATGAACCTAAAGAACAAATAATGCATGTATATCTCAAAAACCAAACAGAAACCAAGAACAAGAACAAGAATAATGCCAACATCACACTGAGTCCTCAATATGGGTCAGGTATTGTGCTAAACACTGCATCACTGACTCATTGTAATCCTTATAACAACCTTGTACAGTAGGTAGTATTATACATAATGTATAGATGAAGAAACAGAAAGATTAACTAATTTGTTACACATGAGGTAGTAAAGAATTGGATCATATCTGGAATCTAGATTAGCTGATGTCAAGACCTCTATATTAACTATACTGCCATTAAGGATGCAAATATTTATATACATTAGTAAATTGGATCAAACTCAATGGAGGAGTAGCCCCATTGTTGTGTTTATGTTTGTGCAGGTTGTATATTTCACAACTCTAGGAGACATCATTCAAACCGATGTTTTTTAATACTTGAGGACAGAAACTGAGTCCTGTTTACCACCATAATCTCTGTGCTTGGCATAAGCACTGTTGGTAAAAATAAGTTGTAAAGTATTATTGGCTCAGCTTAGTACAATACAAAATAAATAGAAACTCCTAAATCCAAAGGTTGCTATCTTTGTTTCACTGTTCAATTTTCAGCAAAAAAAAAAAAAAAAAATCTGCAGCCTTTTGGTTCCAAACAATCCCTTCTTCCTAAAGATTTAAATACCTGATTATCAATCAGTAACTGATATAGGTAATGCAAATTTATATTTGAGGCATAGAGTGATCTGCTAGAGGTGAAGACAAAAAGGTCTTTACAGTAGAACAGTTTACAGTATTCACACAATCGATAACACTATAAATATCTAATTTTCAATGTGTTCAATATACAATAATTGCTATATTGATTCATCCAAAGAAGTATCCACACTTCTGGGTGGTAATGAGAGGTTTCATGTTGTATAACTTGAGCTGTACCTTGAAAAAATGATTATCATTAAGATGGATTTTATGGAGAGTAAGAAGTATTTCAAGTAATTTGTGGAAAACACCAGAAGTAGAAATTTATATGAATCATTTGTAGAGTTAAGATGAAAGAAATGAGCTCATTAGAGGGAAAGTATTGGGGGATATAGGATCACAAAGACAACAATGGCTAGGCTCCAAAGGACCAAAATTTCAGGTTGAGCAGTTTGGGACGTCATTTTCTCCATTAGTGCAAGCACTGAACAACACAAAAAAGAGAGAGAGAATAAGGCAATGAATAGCAAAAGCCTCAAAAAACTTCAAAAGCAAGAGGAGTCTCTCTTCCCCTGCTGCCTTTAATGGAAATAATCAACAGGAATGCGGGATGATTACAGTATATTTTTTCTCTGTGGGAGAGGGAGATTATGTACTCAGAACCATAAAGCATTTGCTTTCAAAATTAATTCAAATTGACTTGCATGGGAGCACTGTCACAGGAATTGAAAACAGCTGAAGGATGATAGGAAAAAAAAGATCATGATAAACACCAATCAAACCACTTGGAAAAAATACCTGGTGATTTGTCCCCAGGGAACTCTGCAAGGCCTAGTTTTATTTAACATTTTCATTAATAAATGGGAAGATGGAAGGAAAAAACAAAACAAAAATAATTATACTCACATACGGAAACTGGTGCAAATATCAATGTCAGGAGATTTTTTTTTCAAAAGAAAAATAACTTTAGGCCTGGGTTTTGCATGGACTATATCATTTGGCAGAGAACCACTTAGACAGAGACCTATATATCCCTCTATACATAATGGGGAAAAGGAAAATATTTGGACTCAATATGAGATTGTGGAAATTATACTGGGAAATATGCATCTGGTACAAGTCTGTTAACAGGTACCTCATGTCACAGGAGTAGGTAACAATAACTTGTATATGACTCTATAAATGCCCCGAAACTCTTTGTTCACATGTTTGCTTCCCGCCTGTTTTACAAACAAGTGAAAAAAGCAATCTAAAGAAGAAAAAATCAGAATAATAAACAATTGGATGCAAAACTAGACAAAGTGATAAGTGTGGATAACACACCTGTACACGTTGTAATCTGGAGCAAAAACATTAGATAGAGGTTAGGATGGAGGGGAGAAGAGATGGATTTCACTGCATGAACTGCTAACGAGGAGGAACAGAGTTTGTCTGGATGTCATACTTTCTTGAGGAAGTAATACTTAAATCTAAAGGGTAGGACATTTAGCTAGCCAATTGCAGTTGGGTTAAAAAGAGATTAATAAGATGATATTATGGATAAAGGCCATTTTCCAATTTATGAGTTTCTCTATTAATTAGGAAAAGTGTTTTGAGAACTTCTAAAGAATAAAATATTGGCATTAATTTATATTGATTTTACATATATAACCAGGGTAAACACAGTGATACCTAATGAAGCTAATGAACAAATAATGCATGTATATCTCAATCGTACTATGCAGGAATATGCTATGACTATTATCAATTCATTTTAAGTGTTTGTATATATCAAAGACTAAATACAATACTTGTCTTATATACAGAAGCAGAGAAGAACATTTTAAAGAACCTTATTCATAATTGCTGTTTCCATGTGAGAAATCTAAATGCAAAATATTTTGTCTTCTATACTTCAGTGTATGCTTAATGTCTAGCTTGAATTCCATAAATTATTTATCTTAATTATTTTACAGATGGGGTATGCTTTTTATTTTTCTAAAAAATAATGAATACAAAGCTACTTTGGATCAGGCTTGTTCTTCATTATATTGGCATTTGCATTATATATTATAATATCCATTCCCTTTAGAATTATTGTCTATCACTGTTCAAATAAAGAGCTTTTCTATATCCACTAATGTGCTCTTTTTTTTACCCACTTCAGCATTACTTTAATCTTTATTAGCCCCTTCATGCTCAGTGTGGGCTTCTGTGCTAGTCATTATTTTTCCTTTCTTTCAGTAGGAAGCAAAGCCAAAATAAGGTTCTGGCAAAACTCACTGTGATCCTCAACAAAATACGAGATCAGCAGAGTTCAAATGCTTCTCCTTATTCTTGCCTTTAATTTGAGGTACAAGAAATTATACACAAAACACGCACACAAACACAAACATGCACACTATTGTCAAAATCTGAGTACCAGAATGGAAAATCCAGCTTAAGTTCTTCTTGATTCAGGAGAAAACACATAAAACACTAACAATGTATTCACAGTCCATTTTGAGTAAAAACCTGAGTTATTTCCAGCTTCAAAAGTAAGCACAAAGGTTCTCAGTCTCAAAGAAATAACAGAACAAAGCGACAATAAAACAAGAAAAGCCATAAACTCCTGTTTTGAAGTATCTACAATGTAGGGTTACTTTTTCTTTCTCCTCCAGGCACAGAGCAACTTACTTTGTCTCCATTTTAGTACAAATACCACTTAAGTCAATAATCTGAAGTCTTCAAATGAAAAAATGATTATGAATGATCCTAAAAGTTCTTAAGATCAGCATTAGAAAAAAATTTAAAATGATGTTTATATTCTTTATTTGACTGGAGGAAGAAAATAGAGCAAAAATCAAAGCAGAATTAGCAATACAACCGATGCTCAGGGGAATGTAGTGGTTTCCCCATTGTGTGCTAGAGGAAGCACAGACAACTCAGTGGGGAGAAGACTGGTTCCACCAAAGCAAAGGAGGCAGGTGTATCTTGTGATCTTACATAACAACAGCTTACAGAAAAAAAAAGAGCAATAGTGGAATTTCTAAGACATGAGATCACAAACTGTTCTAAGCAAACACCAAACCATTAATTTTATTCTCACAAGAATAAGCCTTGAAAACACTTGATAAAAATTTCCAGGGAAAGATTATGTTCACATAAAGGCTTAGACTATATAAATTAATCAATACAAAATGTTCCAGACGCTGACTGAAACAACTCTAATGTAATTAGAAGGAAGCAAAAACAAAATACATTTTTAGGTTGTGTACATATAGGCTAGTGAAGCTATGAATAATGAGATTGATAGCTTAAGGGCAGAAAGATAAAGAGGGAGGAAAGCTTTAAGTGAGGAAATATTTATTTTACAGAGTCTATTGGGTTTACTATTATTCCGCCAAGTAATTTGATCAGAAAACTGAGATTAGTGTATTTCTATGAAGTTTTAAAATTGATTCTAAATGCTTTCATAATTTTAATTAAAATGAGATTTATATAAAACAAGACTTTTACCTTTTAAGAAAGATATTTAGTTCTTAAAGGTTTTGTTTATCTTTTTCTAATGTTCAGGTTTGGAATTTGCTAACATAGGTTTGACACTCAATGAGAAAGTGAAACCTTGCAGAAATTTGAGTAGCTATGTTCTATATGTTGTTTCAACATTTATGGTCTAACAGTGGATAGAATGCAACCCACTCTGGACATTTTAAAACTTCTCTTTGAGGTGAATTCCCTCTTTAGCATGGACTCTTGTAGGTATAAAGTAAAATCTGGGTACCCGCCAGAACCTGGTCGTTACTCTGAAAACCTAACCATTTAGAGTAGCTCATGTCTGGTTTTAAATAATCAGGACGTTGGATGACCTGGGATTGAAATGGACTCAGTCTCCAAGTAAATGCAAAGCCTTGGGAAAGTCACTTACCCATACTGAATCTCATTTTTTTTTTCATCTACAAACAGAATATTAAGTGTCCCTTTGTGCATTGTCATTATTAGTACTAAATGTTGGTGTATATTTATATACTGAAAGTGTATTTTTTCATAGCAAGATAGAATTAGAAAGAGCTATATGACACTGCATGTGCCAAATACAGAATACGTGCTCTTCCCAGGTGTGTCGCTAACTACTTAAGTGACCTTGGTCAAATACCATCATCTCTCTGACACTTTTGCACATCTATAAAAAGAAAGAACAATACAAGAAAATGTATTATCTACCGCCTTTTTCTCCTTGATTCTTCATTCTCAGGACCATAATGCTCCCTTAAGTTCTAGGATGTGAGGAATTTGGGGTGTTTTACTTCACTGCTGTAGCCCCAGTGCCTAGAAGACTGAGGGAAATACACTAGGAGCCTGATAAATATTTGTTGAATGAATAAATGCAGCAAATTTGCATAAAATTTGCTGTAACATAGTACTGCTAGATATGTCCAGAAGAAAAAAGAGGAGAGTTAAAGTTACTATCATGAGGCAGACCAACAGGCACACAAATATACACACACAAACACACACAAATAAATACTGTCTGTCACATATGTAACAGTTGAAAAATACATATGGATGCCAAAATTCAAATGGCATTTCCTAATTAAGGGGAAGTACTCAAAGACTAAAAAGAAACCATGCCAGCATGCACAGAAAAGTTTTTTTTTTTTTTTCAGTTAGGTCCCTCCAGAAACAAACAAAAAAAAATGTGGATGCTTCTGCAATATCAAAAAAATGACTATTCATTGCTGTCATTGTCACAGATTGGTAACTTAAATGAATGAGGAGTGTCGGGTAGTAAATAAGTCAAAGAGGAGAATTTGCATACTCTCCTATATGGCAGTTTTACTCAGCTTTGGACTATTCAAGCTATGAAAGGCTCCTGCCTCTGGCTTCCTGAAATATCCAATTAACAGAAACTTGAAATTCAGATTTTATATGAAATCTTCAAATTTTGTCTGTTAAAAATGAACTCATATATATACACAAATATGAGTTTTGCATATATATATATATATATATATATATATACGTATATGCTAAAACAAACAAAACCTTATGGAGTGGTGGTTCTCTTAGCATTAACATAGAAATGCAATAGAAGGTCAAGGAAAGGATATTTACTGACTGCCAACACTGTGTCAAGTTCTTTGCTAGGTTTTACTTATTCCGTGTTTATCAGAAAACTGTAAGTAATTTATGCCCCATTTTATAAATAAAAAATAAGTTATCCTTCCAATAAATATTTATTGAAGTTCTATTACAAGCCAGAAATTGAGTCAAGTTTTAGAAACATTGTAAAGTGGCAAATATGAAATAATTACAGTAAGTCTGAGTTTACAATGTAATAAAGAGGACACATACAGAAAAGTATTGCAGGTGCAATGATTGTTTTTAACAAATGTATGGTACATGTATCTGATTATGAGGAATGAATAATAGTGTTTCCCTTAAATTCTTGCCAAATTCTTAAGCCCAGATTTGAGGTAGACATTTTTACCAGTATAAGAAATAAACATATCCATTCTTAAGGCCTAAAGTTAAGAAGAATATTCTGAAAAAAGTGAAGAAAGTGTAGTACTTTTAATTGAATATTCATACAATTGCTTTTTTATTATTTATAAGGCATTTTGAATTCCCAAGGGACCAATACAACTTAATATATATTTATTAACTATATCATCTGTATTAGGCAATATGCCAGGCAATATCTCCACAACTGGGGATAAAAATCTGAGTAAGATTGATTCACTTTAAATCAGGAATTCTATTTAGAGGAAGAAACTATATGTAAATAATACAAAACAAAGTAAGTTTTCTGGTAGCATAAGAGAAAAAACAATCTCTAGAACAGAATTCATAATTTACATGATATATGTAAATAGGCAGACTGGGCACGGTGGCTCATGCCTGTAATCCTAGCACTTTGGGAGACCGAGGCAGGCGTATCACCTGAAGTCGGGAGTTCGAGACCAGCCTGACCACCATGGAAAAACCCCGTCTCTACTAATAAAATACAAAATTAGCCGGGTGTGGTGGCACATGCCTGTAATCCCAGCTACTCGGAAGGCTGAGGCAGGAGAATTGCTTTAACCCAGGAGGCGGAGGTTGCGGTGAGTTGAGATCGTGCCATTGCATTCCAGCCTGGGCAACAAGAGTGAAACTCCGTCTCAAAAACAAGAAATATTCAGGTAAATATTTCCTGAATGAATGGAGCAATAGGGTTAAGTTATATGAGACTCACTCAAGGACAGGGACCCTCCTCTTACCCAAGTTTTATATAAATCAGACTCTGGTGTAAGACATTGTATACAACAAATATTTAAGGCCACTTACTGATTCAAATTATACTTGATTTCTTTAAAACAATGTTAATATGCAAATCATACTTGAATTTGAAATAAAATGATTTTAAGCCATATCTATGAAAGCATAAATGCAAACAGCAGCACTGTGTGTTTATTATTAAAACATGACATCAAATCATAAAACAATACCATAAACAAACTCTTGTAAAATTAACTGTTGTTACTTAAAACACATTTTTCAAACTTGAGGGAAATCAAATAATCAGTTTATGTTTCCCTATGGAAATGAAGTAGACAGAATAAAAGGAAAATAAAGATGCAGTTTTCTCAGAAAAAATATGTAGGTTGCATATGTGTAAAACCTATTTCTAAAGTTATATTTCCAGTAGTAAAAATATTTATTTTGATCATTTATAGTTGCACAGATTTTACTTATTTGAGAATGTGTTAGTTTCTTCATTTTTGAAAGGCAGTTTTCCTGGATATTGAATTCTAGCTCCACAGTCTTTCTCTTCTTGCATTTTGAAGAGGTCATCGCTTTGCCTTCTGGACCCCATTATTTCTAGTGAGAAATTAGCTGTGCAAAGTACTGAGGATCTTTTATACAAGGTGAGATGTTTGACTCTTGCTACTTTTGAAATTCTCCCTCTTTGGCTTTTGACAGTTTAACTATGATGTGTCTAGCTGTGAATCTCTCTAGCTTTATCCTGCTTATGTTTGCTGAGTTTCCTGAATGTGTGCATTAATGTTTCCTCATCAAATTTGGGAACTTTATTTCCATTAATACTTCAAATATTTGTTCTGACCCATTTGGCCTCTCTTCTTCTGAGACTCCCATTATATCTGTGTTCTTTCCACCGATCTCTAAGTTTCTGTTTATTTCTGTTCATTAATTTTTCTTTCTGTTCCTCAGATTTGATTATCTCAGTTGTCCTATCTTCAAGTGGGCTTATCCTTTCTTCTCTGTGCTCAAATCTGCTGTTAAGGCTGTATTGCAAATTCATTTGTTTTTATACTTTTCAACTCCAATTTATTTTTCATTTATAAGAGGTTCTATCTCTTTATTGATACTTTGAATTCAATTATACATTGCTCTTACATTTTCTTTTAGTTCTTTACACATATTTTCCCTTACTTCTTTCAACATATTTTAACAGCTGGGCATCTTCAGTACAAAGTCTAATAATTGTGTTTGTTCTTTTTGCCTTTGCATTTCTCATAGTTTTTTGTTATTGCAAACCTGGCATATTAAATAAAGTAATGTGACAACTCTGAAAATTAGATTCTCCCCCACTCTGCAGGGTGTGTTAATGTTTGTTTCTTTAATGACTTCTCTGAAATAATTCTGTAAACTCTGTATTTTTCAATGGCCATGTGTAGACATTGAAGTCATTGCTCAGTTTTTTCTTTTTTTTTTTTTTTTTTTTTGAGACGGAGTCTCGCTCTGTCGCCCAGGCTGGAGTGCAGTGGCGCAATCTTGGCTCACTGCAAGCTCCACCTCCCGGGTTCAAGCCATTCTCCTGCCTCAGCCTCCCGAGTAGCTGGGACTACAGGCGCCCACCACCACGCCCAGCTAATTTTTATGTATTTTTAGTAGAGACAGGGTGTCCCCGTGTTAGCCAGGATGGTCTCGATCTCCTGACCTCGTGATCCACCCGCCTCGGCCTCCCAAAGTGCTGGGATTACAGGCGTGAGCCACTGCGCCCGGCCAAAGTCATTTCTCTATTAGCTTACATACCAGGTATTGCTTAGACAGAATATTTTGTTAATCTCAAACCAGTAAGTGTTCTCAACTTCGCTGAGGGTCTGTGTGTGCATGTTGGGACATTCCTTCAATATTCAGCTAAGCAATTAAAGACCTACCTTAACCTTCACTTCCTGCTTGTGCACAAGTAAAACCTTAGGTCTTTCTCAGGTCTTTCCTGAGCATACTTACATCCTTGGGCATGTACACAGTCCTACACATGTGCATGGCCTTATAAATTCCAAATAATTCATTGAGACATTTTAAAATCAATGTGGACATCTCAGTTTCCAGCTTTCCCTAAGTTTTCTGGTTGGCAAGCCTATTGTTTGTCCCAAATTTTATCTAGCCCCTCACACAGAAGAAAAATCAGACAATTGCCTCTCTTTTTGACAAATTCCCAGCTGAGAAAAAGATACTTCAAGAGCTCTAAGTCAGGTGAAATCAAGAGTGTCTTACAATGTAGTCTTCTAGAGAGTTCTCAAACATGTCAAATAAAGACAATTCTCTGAAATTGAGGCTGGGAAGAGTCTCCTACTTCCTTTCTGTTCTTACGAGGCTACTGGTTTTCACCATGATGACTGAATTTTGGCTTTTCAAGACTACCTCAGAGCTAGAGAGGCAGAAAGGACACGGAGCAAGTAAAATGCCACAAACCTTGCTATCTTTAAAAGATTCAGTCATTTTTCTTAAATAAGCATGCCCTATATTGCTCCAAGATGTTGTTTGAATCCAGAGTTCCAAAACAATTGACTCGAACATTTTTTTTCCAGTTTTCTTGTGGCATTTATTGAAAAAAAAATTGGAGTTCATTACTCCACAGTTTTTATGTACATCATTCTGATAATCTATATTTCACCTACGATTATGTTGCTTATCTAATCACAAATGGCACAGCCAACTAAAAACATTTTAAGTCTATATGTTTTTACTATCATTGTATATACCTTGAACATTCATTTTCCTTAAATATAATACATTTTTTCCTTCATTTTGCATTCGAGTGATACAATACAAAACATAACACCTGAATCCCATACACATTTTTCACCCTCAAATATACATTCATTAAGCCCCTCTAAATTAACTTCCCTGTCTTCAATATTAACATCTGGTACACTATGTTGAAGGAAACATTACTCAACATAATTACAAGAATTTTGAAAAGGATCCTTATTGTTTAAAAAACAGAACAAATACACCACTATATTAACAATAATAATAGAAAAAAAAGACAGCATGAAGTTGTTAGAATAATTTAAAAAATCCCACTCCCAATACAGAAGGATTATGTTTTTATAAAGCAATTAATTGTTTCATATAGAAATCATGTATAAAATTGAGTAATTGTCTTCAAATGTATAGTTGCAACAGCAACTACAACACCATACGTATACTCTCATAGATATGCTCTTCCAAGGCTCTATTTTAATAATGTCTGAGTGGAAACAGGAGAAAAACACAAAACTAAATTCAAAGAGAATATCTCATATATTTTCTCTGGATTCTAAAAAATTAATTTCAACACAGCACATCAGCCATCCTCTCAGAAAGAAAAAAAAATTAAAATATTTATTCAATAGATTATTTTTGGTACATGAAAAAAGGGAGAATACAAAATATCTGTATAGGTTCTCATAGACAGATGTTAGCCAGGCATTTATCTGTATGGAGCGATGATAGATGAGAGAAAGAGTGTGATGGTGCAGGGAAGAAGGAAGAGTGTAAGAAAGATAAAAGAGGAACACATTGAAAGTATACATGTTATCATCTTGAGCCTGGCTCTACCTGGGTTATGCAATGTTTTTGTTTGTTTTTTGTTATTTTGCCTTACCTTTATGTTCTATTATCTTAAAAATCTAGTAGTATTCCTTCTTAATATTATGTCTTTAAGTACATCTGTAACTTTTAACAACTAAAAAGAAATACCAAATTGATGAAAAACATAAAAGCCCACTGAGATGAGGATGTTAATATACAAATTATTATGAATTAGAATAATTAATACAATGTGTTATTTCCATAATAACTTTCTTAGTAAAGGACTGATTCACACATCTGGTTTACTCATTAATTTGAAAATGAAAATTTTGCCTCTTTAGGTTGTTATAATCAAATTTGTTATAATATTTGATTACTCTAAAATTAACCTTTGATATCATCTAAAAATATAAGTGTGCACAATTTTCTAGATGAATTGCATGTGTACATGATATTATAATAGTTTCTTGGAATCTTTTTTTATCTCAATGTCATTTAAAGGAATTTCTTATAATATTTTTTATTCCCTGATTCTGTAAATGAAGTAAAAATTAAATTGGTCCCAGCGTTGAATCAACACTGATCATAGACCTGTTAAATTTTATTTCCTGTGCAATATGCCAGGATGATGGCAAATTAATAGCAAATAAAATACTTTTATCTTTAATATAAACTAATTCTGAAAGTTTCTTTGTTGTTTTAATGTGAACTTTTCCTAAATGCTGAAGGAAACTTCACATCTCTTTGTGGAACAATACTCAGAGAGGAAATAATATATTGACTCTTCAGTCACTGAAAGCCCTTCCCTAGTGTTCCTTTTTTTGATTAGAGTTATTTGAAGTCCCCTCACCCCATCCAACACACACATAGCACCTCCTGTCTTAACAACATATACATCCAGTACATATTCATTCCTGTGTTACAAGTATCAAGATGCTTACGCACATAGCTTAAGTTTTAGAAAAACTTTCATAAAACTTACCCCATTTTTTGGAAAAGCAATCCATCCCAGGTCCCCCATGACAGTGCGTGAATCCAATAAATTCACTGAAAAGAAAAGAACAAAAAACTCAGTGAAATGTATATTATCATGAATATTGTATCTCTATTTTAATAGTGTTATTAAAATTGCATGTTGTTTACATAACTGAAATTAAGTGTTCATTATGATGAATACAATGGGTATAATTTAAAGAAAATATATTGATGCAGGAGAACAAATGATTTTAAATAAACATTTGAAGAACAATCACAGCAAAATTCTCTGAAAGCAAATCATTACCCTAATTTTTTTCTTGCAAAACAATAATAAATTTAAAAAAAAAGCTAATAAGGAAAAAAAAAGACAAAAAGTAAGCCCACAAAAATGAAACTTTCATGTGGCCTTGTACAAAGCTCGAGGTTTTGGGATTAAGCTGCAGCCATAAAATTGGAGCTAAATGTATTTTATTTTCTTCTGGAAAGCTGTTATGCAGCAATTAACAAATAATTTACATTAAACAGCAATAAACTATTCCCAAGATTGTAACATTTTTTGTGATATTAACAGAAATCTGTAATCCAAATTGCAAGTTTAATTAAGAAATAAATCTACACACCCTTAACCAAGACAAGGAAATTGTAGCAGTTCTTGAGATAGTTGATATACTTAAGAATCCATGGCATTCCCAAAGATATCTTCTTCTTAGATATGACCATAGTCTAAAAAGGATGTTTCATGTAGAACTGTCAGATATATTATATATGGGAATCCCAAGATATTTAGAAACTCCAGGACGGAAGTTTGAGTACCGTCATTACAAAAGGAAGCCATTTATGAGTATCTACACACACACACACCCCCATGCACACACATACACACTCATACATATCATACATATGGTGTTACATACTGTCTCTGAGAAATCAAACTAGCTTATAGGGTACTGTCTAGTCAAAATACTTTAGCCCTGGATCACAGATCATTATTTTTCCAACCTATTATACCTATCCCACATGGTTCTACCTGGCCTCCTGTGCAACAGAACAACTTTGAATGAGCCTGGAATATGAACCTGAAAGGGAAACACGTGAGTTATTCCTATGTAGAGGTATTGAGGCTTCCTTAAGCTGTATTCAAAAGCCAGTATCTTGAAATGCTACCATTTCTAAAAGGATGATTCTTTGTGTAAGTGTAAGCCTAAAGTACTAAAGGAATAACAGTTGATAGGCTGGGATGTGTTTTAATACTTTATAAGATAATATAACATTATTATGACTGAGGAAATTTTCTACATCTTAGAGAAATTATGTACATTTAACTATTATTATGCATCATTTATTTCACAGTAGCAAAAATTAATGAGACAAAAGCACGTTTGGGAACATGCATATCTTATAAACCACATTGAAAGTATATAATAATGTTAGTAACATTAAAATAAATCAATAACTTAAAATCTGTAGAAAAACAAATATGTTAAATATTACCTATATATACACATATATAGGTTGTTGCTAAATATACTTTATTCATCTATTTTCTGAGCTCATTAACTATACAAATGCATGCAATATAATGTTTGTATCATTTTTAACCTACTCAAATCATACTGGTTTTAAGGAATAATAATTAATTTGTGGAACTGTTAATTTCTTAAAGGAATGGTGATCTAACTGAAAAACTATTCTTTAAAAAACAAACAAAAACTGTTCTAATACCCACTGACCTTGCAAATCCTGCCACTCACTACATCTAATTTTTCAGACAGATCCATACTCTTCTTTTTACTTTATGGTTGGCTTTCCTGATTTCCATGGGAATAAGGCTACATTAAACTTAAATGCCCTTGTCCTCATTTTAGTTTTTCTGGGACACTAGGGCTGTGTCTAGACATGACTAAATACCAAGGGGTTGCAGAACCTAAATTTTATGTTTATTCATCTTAATGATTCATTTGATTCACCTTTTATATTGAGCAGCAGCATATCTGTGTAGATGAGACAAAGTAGAGCAAATCAGCAAACTAAGGGTGCTAATGACGGCAATCAAATTGAACTTAATCCTTTGGCAGCAAACTGATGTGCATAGGAATTCCAGGAATTCATAACCAGCCTACCATGAGAAACACAGCATTCCTTGTAGACCTCTTACTAATATGAAATATGAAGTATTATCAACAGAATTTCAGATGGTTTTTCAAGATTCAGTTAACTGCACTTGAATTAGGTTTAAACTAAATTACCATTTTTACCTTTTTTTTTTTTTCCTGGAAAATATGTATGTGTTGGACAAAACGAATTACCTCAAAAAACTAGCTTGGCTGTTAATATAATTTATTGAGTGTTCTCAATGTC
Source organism: Homo sapiens (assembly GCF_000001405.40). Classification (NCBI taxonomy): domain Eukaryota; kingdom Metazoa; phylum Chordata; class Mammalia; order Primates; family Hominidae; genus Homo; species Homo sapiens. Next base: position 65,645,717 of record NC_000004.12, read on the forward strand.
GGAATACACTGCAGAATACATGAGAATAACTACATTAGGAATCTCTATAATCTTACAGTGATATGGTCAAATAGTTTTATTCGTATATAGACTAGGAAATTCACAAGAAATACATGTATGTATCTTCCCACTACTGCCTAAAATTGTGGTCCTTCTGGAAACAAATGATTTCATAAAATTCACAATCTTAAAAAGGTAATTACACATCCCATTTCTAGAATGGAAATTGAGAAAAAGAGTAAAATTAGGCATTTTAGCAATTATTTGCATATTATTATATTATGATTTTGTTTATATAATGGAGAATAAATTAGGATTTGATTCTCAGAGAAAATAACTAAAATGTATGTGCAAATTTTAAAATACATATCTTTCTTTTACCTTCTGAATTGCTAACGTTTCCTTTGTCCTTCAAAACGTATTTCAGGAACTTCCTTCTTCAGGACACTATTCTGATCTTCCCTTTCCTAAATCTGAGTTAGGTATTATTACTTAATATTCTATGACTACTCAATTCCTATCTCTAAAACACTGAATGCACAGAATTCTCTTATAAGAACACCATGTTTGACTCACGCCTATGAACCTAGCCTCAGTTCAGAAGAGCTGAATAGCTGTTTATCTTATGAATGAATAATCTGGTCAGTGGAAAGATCAGGAGGGTGTGGCTAATCAGCATACACCAGTGGTTCTCAACATGGAGATATAATAATGTCTGGACACATTTAGGGGCATTTATCTATTTTCTGAGTTCATTAGTGGATGAATACTTGCTTCTGGCATTTAATGGGAAGAAGTCAGGTATGTGGTGAAACATCCTACAATGTACTGTCAACCTCCCCAGGAAAGAATTATCTGGCCAAAATTTCACTGGTACCAAAGTTAAGAAACCCTGTTATATACCTATTGATGCCACTAGAAATTTTCTACTTTCACAATTATTTATATGGTATATCAGTAGAATGATCTGTTCATCTATCAATGTACCAGATAAAGAATTGTGAAAGTAGAAATTTAACAGAAGTTAGCATATTTGGGGGCCTTCTTTTTGAACCAAAATAATACTTCAATTTAAGAAAATTAAAGTAATAAAATATTTTAGTCTTATTTATAAAAATAAAAACAGAATATCTGACTATATAACACCACTAAATTATCTTTCACATAACCGATATAATTATTACAGGTGTTCTTATATACGCTTCCATAATTTCTCAGTATTCATGACAATATGCATGAAAAAGCACTTTGCCACTACTGTAATCAATGCCTCCATTTTCCCTACTAGTAAAACAAAAAATCAAAGATAGCTATATAAAAAACAGAAGTTTGCCAGGCATGGTGGCTCACGCCTGTAATCCCAGCACTTTGGGAGGCTGAGGCGGGTGGATCATGAGGTTAGGAGATTGAGACCATCCTGGCTAACACGGTGAAACCCCATCTCTACTAAAAATACAAAAAAATTAGCCGGGTGTGGTGGTGGGTGCCTGTTGTCCCAGCTACTCATGAGGCTGAGGCAGGAGAATGGTGTGAACCTGGGAGGCGGAGCTTGCAGTGAGCTGAGATTGTGCCACTGCACTCCAGCCTGGGCGACAGAGCAAGACTCTGTCTCAAAAAAAAAAAAAAAAAAAAAAAAGAAGTTTAGACATAGGGTATATATAAATGTGAATTTTCAGAAGTTAATTTCCCAATTACCAAATTTATTAAAAAGAGGGGATTGGCAGTAATAGAGCATAGTCACTAAGTATCTTCTGTGCTATAATTACAGTAATTAAATTGTTCTGAACAGTATATATGCTTGTCGTAAATTGCAATGAATACATGAGTATTGATCTTATTGTACAACTTAATTAAAACTTGTCTGGGAGAACCCACTAATGAATATAATTAGAGGAAATGTTTGATGCCACAGTTACTCTAGAAGACATTAGATATCAGAAATTTTATGAAAATTTTTTTCATTCTATTATTTATATTTTAAAATACAGTCATACCATTCAACTGAGAGACAGATTTCAAGGTGACTTTTCCCTGAGCCATTGTATAATTATGATTAAGATGGACATGTTGGTTGATATTGGTATTTTAATCAGTAATTAAGAAGGCTGATTATCCAGGAGAAATAACTTTAAAGGGGTTAATGAATATGTACTAAATTGCAAATTCCTAAAGTTAACGTATAGGGAAAAATACTAATACAGGAACTTTTTAATAAGGAAAAGTCACTTAACTGAATGCCCAACCAAATAACAGATTATGAAAGAAACTAATTCAAAATAGTCTTTAGTATGCTTTAATTGTATTACTACACATTAACAATTTCAATGCTTTATTGAACAGAGAAAAGCTTTTAGAAAATTCACTTTCAGAAAAAGCAGATTGCTAACTCATTATATTTGTTGAGATTCAAGGAGAGCAAAGAGCAAATAAATAAAATGGAATATGAATAAGAAGATTCCTAAATCCTCAACTTCACACATTCTAATAATTAAAGTTTAGCTTAGGTTAATAATACAAATATGTTCTTCAATGATTATAACTTTCAAACATTCTAACTTGTTCTGTATCACTTTGACTCCACTACTTTATCCTTAACATCTTGCCAACTTAAGTCACTATGAGCAGGAAAATGTATTAGATTCTCCAGGAAATAGACACATTGGAATGAAAGTGTTTTCAGACTTTGAAGAGTCAAAAGATAGATCAAGGACATGTGATCCCACCATATACCATCAGTGGGCAAAGGCTTAAGAGAATGTGTGATCCTTGATGACATGAAGATAGACAATTAGAAGTCATATTCTTACTTATATTGTTTCTGTTTTTGCCATTATCTTCACATTAACAAACACAATTATAATGTCAGTTAAACCTCCGCTACAGTATGAAAAGAGAACAATTTGGGTTAGTAGCAGATTATATGGCCTTCTCTTTCTCTAAAGGCATTGAGTCAAAGTCACATTGCATACAAGAGGCTTTTGATGGATGCTTGCTTATTGACTTTCATTTAACAATATCAGAAAAGCTACTGGATTCAATTATAACACACATTTAACTAATCTGTGGGAACAAACCCCAGATATACAGCTGTCCAGCCTCTCTCCATGGTCCCATTCAGCACAGATGTAATTTCTTGCTTTCAGGCTAAATTTTGTAGTTTGACAACTGCTGCAGGGAACAAAGAACAGTTTACAAAATGAGTGCAGAGAAAGAGGACATGTGTTTCCCACTGGAAAACTAGATTTGTAAATTTGGGGAAAATTATGTTATAGGTTTAGAAGTGTTATGTAGATTTCTGGCATCCCTTGACTGGAAGGCAGGAAGCCATAGCCAACTGTATTTTCACAGACAATGAATGGAAGAGTATTTATTTTACAATTCTGAGCAATCCATATGCATAGTCTTTTTTAGAGAAAAGAAGAATGAATATGGGGAAATAACTTGGTGAATGCTTACTATATGTCAGGTGCTCTACAAGGCAATTTATGTATAAAGCAGTAACTGAGACCTTAGTAACAGACCATGAGCACTGCTTATTGTTTCCTGCAGCCAAGTCAGTCCTCTACTTAAGACCTAAACATCAGATCACTTTATTACAACCACCTATTTCCCTGGACATCCAAAGACTCTAATCAGGAATGAATCTACCTTGTTTGTACATGAACCAAGGCAGCTGAACATAGCTTGAGAAAAACTGCACAACCAGAGACTGATTTCATTCTAAGTAAATGACCTCAAATGAGCCATCAACATTACCTGACAAACCTATATTTGGGTAACTAGTCCTTTTGTATATTAACCACAAAGTATTTTCTAAAAATTTTCATTAAAATATATTCAAAAATAAACCTCACATTCCCATCCAGTAAATGTCCTATCTCTGTCCTTTTCATAACTCAAATTATTGAATGAATTGTCAACACCCCTATCTATTATTTCCTCATATCTTCCTCATTCCTTACCTAATCCATTATAATCTGGCTTCAATCCCCATTATTCTATTAAAACTTCTGTTACTAAATTCACTAGTGATAATTGCGTAGCTCTGAGCTCCTAATTTGCCTTATCTTTTGGCAGCATTTGGTCATGATCACGATAGACAAACAATCTCACTTTTCATCTTCAGTGACAACAGATTTCTGTGGTTTTCTTACCTCTCTAGCTACTTCTTTCTCTTTCCTTTATAAGCTATTCTTACTGTACCATCCCTTCAAATCTCGATTTTGATCAATGCCTCATTTTTGTAGATTTCCTTCACTTCTCACACTACACCAAAAATTCTTGATTAACAAATGATATTAACAAATGATATTGATATTAACAAATAATCACATAAATCCATTTAGTTTGTCCATCTGTCTCTCCTAAAACTCCTGTAAATTTGTAAAACTGACTGCTGGTTCTTAACATATTTATGGTATATAATCATCCCCAAATTCAGCCTGCCCCCAAATGAACAAAGTATCTTCTCTATACAGAAGTAAAAATAAAAATTGTGCTCCCATGTTCCCTAGTTCAACGAGTGCAATGCCATATAACTAGTTGCTCTGGCTGGGCGCGGTGGCTCACGCCTGTGATCCCAGCACTTTGGGAGGCCGAGGCGGGCAGATCACGAGGTCAGGAGATGGAGACCATCCTGGCTAACACAGTGAAACCCGGTGTGTACTAAACATACAAAAAAAAAAAAAAAAAATTAACCAGGGCTTGGTGGCGGGCGCCCGTAGTCCCAGCTATTCGGGAGGCTGAGGCAGGAGAATGGCGTGAACTTAGGAGGCGGAGCTTGCAGTGAGCCGAGATCGCGCCACTGCACTTCAGCCTGGGCAACAGAGTGAGACTCAGTCTCAAAAAAAAAAAAAGAGCTAGTTGTTAGTTGTTCTATCCAAATATCTGAGTCACTGAGTCACCCTTTCCTCACCTTTAGCCCCACATTGAATCATTGACCAAATCCTACTGATTCTAACACAATGATAACTCTAAATCACCTGCTCTGTTTCATTCCACAGTATAACCAGTCCAGTTAAATCCTTGCCATAATTTTTCACTTGAAAAATCTCCTAACTGCTCTCTCTGCAGAAAAAGATATGATGCTTAACACTTTCTTCAAAATACTGCTTCCAGAAAGATCTTTGTAAACCACCAATATAATCATGTCCCTCTCTTACTTCAATCTTGTAATATTCTTATTATTTTGACACAAGTCCTTCCAGGGTTTTTCTTTTCCAGTTTTATTCAAGTTTGTTTGTCTCTCTATTTTCCCATTTCAGCAAAAATGAACTTATTTCAATTCCAATTATGTGGTCCCACTATTGATTCAGTTCTCTCCAGTGATCTGTGAAGGGGATCTGCAAAGGAAGGGAATTTAGGTAGAAAATATTAGTAAAGAAAACTCCTGACTGCCTTTGATGTTGCTGGGAATGGATGTATTTCCTGGAACTGATACAGTCATCGAGAGAAAATAAGTAGAATCAGCAGGGGAGCAAAGCTTTCAGATTAAGGTTGGCAGAGTGAAGGGATGGGAAGTATCTGGTTCCAAATTATATCATAGAGTTGTTAATCCATCTAAACTTGAAACTTGCCTCTCTCAGGAATTGCTTTTATGTGGGAAAAATCAATGTTGTTGCTTAATCCAGTAGGGAAGTTATTTGCTGTTATTTGAAGAGGAAGACATACTAACTGATACAACTTGTAAGTGGCAGAGCTTGAAGGCAAACCTATGTCTCCGTTCCAGTGTCTATTCTCCTTCCATGATGTTAATACTTCCAAAAATTGTATTCACAGAATTCTAATGACATTTAAAAACTAGTCACTTAAATTTTCACATTATCTTTGAAATGATTCCTAAAAGAGATGACTTTTATTTTTCCTTTAGCTTAATATTATGCTTAATTGTTTACTGCAAATAATGAGTGCCTTTTTTATTTCAAAATATTTTCATCTTTATTTATTTTACCCCAAAGTATTTTTCATCACCACAAAGATGTTATAGACATTGCTCTTCAAAAGTTAAGCAGTAGAATATTCATACCATAAAGCATATGACTATGATGGAAGCAAAAATCAATCCGAAATGTATACCAAGTGTTTTGAATTGTTAATAGCCTAAAAAAGTGTAAACCCAGGGAGATGGCAGAAAAGAATTCAGAAACAGTATCCACTGGTTCGTCTGTACAAAGTGTTAAGGCAGAGCTCATACAGTAGTCTACTGACAGCTAAATTATGACTAATGAGCAGTCTGCTATATTCACAGAACATATTGCATGAAAAGAGCAACACCATATGGTTTTCGGTGGCTACCTTGTCAGGTATGCTAACCAAACTTGTATAATCTTACATATTGTTTTTATTCTAAAAAGAAAAGCCAACATTAGATGATATAAGAAGCTTGAAAATCTTTACATCACAAAATACTTCACATAAAGCAGCTTAATTCCACCCTACTATGTATATAGATAATATGAGGCTGTTTCTTTCAAAAACAAAACATTGTCAAGTCCTCACTACTGGAAATAAATGTGCATATTCACAATTCACTTTGGGAATGCTTCATTGCATAGAGAATACTCATTAGTTCTATGGTTCCAGTTCTGCTACTGTGTGACCTTGAGGAAATAATTTTACTTTGAGGGCCTCAGTCCTCAGGTCTGTAACATCAGTGACTGAAACTAAAATTATATGTTTCTGTACTTAATATACATTATATCACTTAATCCTAACAATTGTCTTTTAGTATATTATTTTGCCCATTTTACAGATGAGGAAATGGAAGTTGAAAAACACTAATAGGGCAAGAGCCCAAGGTCCCAGAGCTAATAAGCATATAGCTGAAATCTAAATCCAAGTATATCTAACTCCAAAGCTCTTTCTCTTGTATCTATATCATACTCGCCCCAACGTTTGACTGGTGAAATACAAAGGTTCACTCTTTTGAACCACTTAATCCTACATATCAATGAATTTTATGAGATCAATTACTGAAAATCTTATGTTACAGAAGCCAGCATCACCATAATGCTTCAATTTTATTGTATATCAGATGAAAATCTTCAGGCATATCAATCTAAATAGAACAGACATTAGGTTTTCCTGGAAAAATCACATTTTCTAATCAAATTTTCAAAAATAAGTTACAAGATTCCAGAAAGCAAATGAGAAAGCAACAAAGTAATAATGAACCCTCTTTTCTTATTTTTTTATTTTGTTACTCACTTTGCTTTAAGCATGTTAATGGGGGCAAAATAGGATAGCATTTGTCCTAAACAGGCAAAAGGTACACTAAAAACTACTATATTAAAATAGAATTTAAAAAAATGTAAGCAAAGCTGATTCTTTGTTTTGAAGGGATGCTTACCTTAGTTCTTAATTACCCCTAATGCTTAAGTGAATTATACCAAACTTAAAAACAACCTATATAATCATTAGCTTTCCAGACTTCAGGGGAGGATAAATGAGGATTACAGGAGACAGAAAGTCACACAAACTCATAGTCTCTATTTTAAAGTGATGGCACATACCAAAAATAAACAAACAACTTGATGACCTAGTACTCCTGATGTAAAAGGAGAAGTGACCCAAATTTTTGCTGACATTCATGTCAGCCTTGCAGTTTAGTCAAAATTTAATATTAATGTAAACCCTACATAATGATTTTTATCTAAAATTTTTAAATCTTTGGTTAATGTTTTATCATTAAAAACTAGTCAAAATATAAAGTAACACAGACAAAAATACTAACAAAGTACAAATATTGTGCCAAATGATTTTAGGTGGCTGATCACAAACATTTTAGTACTCAGAACTAATTATCCATCTCAAAATAACTGGATTCATGATAGCAGGAAAATATTTTAAAATTAGTCTATTAAAATACAATGGTTTATATATCTTAACTGTATAAAATTGTTGTAGTATTAATCACTTTTGTCTAGTTAGCCTAGTACATATAATCGATTTTTGGTCACAAAATGACTGCAGTAGTTGGCTATTTGTCCTTTCTCAAAGGTTACAAAGAAAATAAAAAATAAAAGAAATAATGTAAAATAAAAGAAATAATTAAAATAAAAGTACTTTCATTTTTCTGTGATATTGTGGCAGACGTTGTTTTATGCTTATTAATTACTCATATCCTTTTTCTTTCCTTAGTATCATAATATCAGTGATATGCTTCATATCAGACCATGGATCAGAGGGGTCTTAGCAAACAATGATAATCGTGCTGCTGTTATCTTAGGCTCCCTTGAATCTGGTAGCCTTGTTACATAGGTCTGGCAATGAGATATGGACAGCAATCTGCTTGCCAATTTCTGGGAAAGTTTTGTTGTTTAAACTAAAGGAATAATGCTGCTGACATGGCTATCGGTGCTTCTCTTTCCCTTTTTCTTATTCTGAATTGGTTGTGATACTGGCAGATGCATTAGCATTCTTGCAACCATAACACCATGAACATGAGAGTAAGGCCAAGAAAAACACAGACTTCTGTCTTCATAGAACCCAAGCCACCAGACATCTACCCTCCAACTTCTTTCTTGAAAAAAAAAAAAACAAAACTATTTTTAAGCCGCTGTTGGATAGTTTTTTCTATTTGTAACCCAATATAGTTCTACAGATAATATATACACAACGGACGAGAAAGTCCAACTTACTGCCTTAACTTTTGTTCAAGTTCCATAGAATATAACACCTACAATGAGGGTTCATTCATTAAACAAATATTTATTGAGTATCTACTTAACTGCCAAGAATTGTTCTAAGCCTTGGGGATAGATACATCAGTAAATAAAACAGGAAGTATCTTGATTATCATTCAGTCTTCTAATAGCATGGCCCTGAGAATAGAAACTCCTTTGAATTTATATTACCTGTGAAGTCATCCATCTGAATCTCCTAAATCAGACTCTCAGGATGTAACTATCTAAGTTAACATTTAGCATTTACAGATACATATATATTTATTTATTTTTAATATATATTTATTTATACATAAATATATAAATGTATAAATATATTTTTATATATAACTATCTAAATTATAGTTATCTATCTAAATTATAATGTCTAATTTAGATAGTTTCATTCTGTTATAAATCCTAAATTAGATAGGATATAACTATCTAAACTAACATTTACCATTATGGATATATATGTATTTTAATATATATTTATTTATATATATTAAATATATATAAATATACATTTATTTTTATATGTATGTATATAAGCTTTGATATATGTATATATATCAAAGCATATACCTTGAGGATCAGTTTTTTCAAATCAGTGGTTATGTCATTGAATATGCATCAAATCATACTTAGAATTCATTTTTCTTTTGCACAGTGTTACTTGCTTTTATAATTCTCTAACACCTTGTATTTCCTTAATGTACATAGTGTTACCTGATAATCATCTATATCCCCTTTATCCTTAGAACACTTTCATATTCTCTTTTATTAACAATAGAAACCATTTATATAGCATTTTCTAAGCATGAGTCATATGTTAAGTGATATATACATGTGAGTAAATATACACTGTTTTTTTGAAGTGTGGTATTTCTATCACCCACATTCAAATCACCAGAAGTACTTTTTTTTAAACTATAAATCCATTGGCTCTTTCTAAAAGTACAAAATCAGGACATTAGGTAGAGACGAAAATGCAAGCAACTGCATTTTAGAAGTTCCCGCACAACTACCAACCCAAGTAATTCTTATGTTCACTTAACTAGAGTTAGAAGTGAGCCAGCTATGCCTTGGCTCAATGAGGTGAATCTACCTATTACACAGCTGTATTTTGTAGCAATGTCAAATTGCAATAATAGTCTCTAAATCTAACTCTCAATCTTTATATTGATATAATTGCAAACTAGTTCCAGTGTCAGTACACATCTCACTTTAAGTACTTCCGTTCTAAGCAAGGGTTCTTTAACAAGGATAAAGATCAGAATTATCTATGGGGGTTCTAAAACTACAGATTTCCAAGTTGCAGAAGTATAGATTTCCAAAGAATTTGCTTTCATCAATTTTGATTCCATAAGTTTAGGTGGGTCCAGACACAGCATAATTAACAATATTCTGAGGTTGGCTCTAATGAGCACCTCTGCATTAGGGACCATTGGTTTAAAGTAAACTTCACCAGATATTATAATTTCTGTTTTAGGCAGATTTATAGAAAGTTACAAGTCAGGATTATATCACATTGATCTTCCATACAACATTCCTTTTATATTTTAACACAGTAGTTTTTAAACTGAGCTCAGAATGGCCTGGAGATCCTAAAAAGATGTCTCAGAAGTACAAGCATATGGAGGGAAAAGGGAGACAAGAAAACAGCCAGGAAGCCCAATAATTCTTTTGTTACCTGATTTAGGTATTAGGTTTCCACAGTGATTTCTTTTGAACTTGCTGCTGCTGCTGCTTAAAAAAAAAAAAAAAAAAAAAAAGTCCCTAAAACCACTGCTAGCTTTATGTCTATGGCTTTCTACAATGACTCATACAAGAATCCATCAGATAATCAGTGAAAATTAAAAATATTATTCATGGCATCCTTCAAACAAAAACACCACTGGGGTTCTCTCAAACCCCAGAGTTGGAAAAAAAAAATGTCAGTTACCTGATGAACTGACAGGTTTTCTACCAGGAAGTGAGAACTGTGTAACTGAAAGCTTATGCTTAACTTTTCTATATAATTGCTTTAGCATTGATGATAGTGAGATTTTCTTGATACGAGTTTTCCATATGCATATTTCCACATTCCATATGCATGTTTTCTTGTGCATATATTTATATTATTTTTATATCTTCATTTATTTTCTCATGAAGCATACTATTTATATGTAGTATACTACATTTACATGTAGCATTTTATATATATATTATATATATATAATATATATATAATAATGTGATTGTTTATTTTTGAGAAAGGGTCTCCCTCTGTTGCCCAAGCTGAAGTGAAGAGGAGTGATCAGGGCTCACTGAAGCCTCAACCTCCCAGGGCTCAGGTTATTTTACCACCTCAGTCACCTAGGTAGCTGGGACTACAGGTGCACGCCACCATGTCCGGCTAATTTTTTGTATATTGTGTGGTAATAGTCTCCATAGCATTTATAATTTTAACCCTCCCATCTAGAGGAAAATTTAATTCAAAGAACTTTTATAGATTAGGAGAATCTAATATTAACCCTGTGATATTTTGGATATATTTGATATTATTTTAGAGTAAATGAAAACGTGTGTGTGTTTTTTTTTTTTCTGGAGAAATAGTTCATTTAAAACGCTAACCAGATGCTGACCAAACTGTATTTAAAAAGTCTTTATCACACATTTTAAACTTTCTTCCACGTAAATCTATCTTAAAATGCTATTCTGTTCACATAATTAATAACAACAATGTTTCTGCTGTTTTCTCTCCAATATTAAGAATTCTTGCCAGCTTGTAAATCTAAAGTACTTCATAAAATAAGTGACAGTCAAAATAATCCAAGAAATCTATAACAAATGAAAGAGTAAATCCTTCTGCCCCCCAAGAAATTTAAACCATTTAGAAACACATGTTTTATATTAATTGTTTTTCTGGAGGTAAAATTAAGACATGCTTAAGGCAAAAAAAATTTATGTTATGTTGGCTGATAGCTGTTCAAGTGATATGAATTCTGAGAATTTATCATAAGAAAGCAGAGGTCTTGGGAAAGCTGTAGTTGATTAAATTACAAAGAGGTAGTGACCACAGGATGTCTATGAATTGTTTTCTAGCAGCTTGCTAATCTCAGTAGAACTTTCTTCTCATTATACGTCTAGCAAATCTAAAATACAGTATTCTACTAACAAATTTCTTGGAATTAACTCGCTTTGGTTGGCAAATCATAGAATCTTTTAGTTGGTAACTTTTCAGTTTAAGAAAGACTGCAATACCAGAGATTCTGAACTCTATTGGTTATGGATTTATGAAAAGAGCTATGTTGGCTTCACCAGCAATACAGTAATGAGGTAAGACTTGGTGTACTTAACAGCAGTGACTTTAAAGAAACAAATAAGTTACTTAATAATATTCGTTCACTAAACACAAATGTATAGATTATAACATACTTCACTGATATTCCATATGGAATAGCGAGCACTGGAGGTGGCACTCAATGAGTTTACAGACAGGCAAGCTTTCTTCATATTGATACATTTGGTATATGCAAAAAAAAAAAAAAAAAAAAAAGATATTTTACTGCCAGTTTTTGTGGAACTAACTTGCTTTCTTTAGAAAATCATACTATTTCAGTGGCCATTCTCAGTTCAGAAGAGAGCTTTTTTTTCTAGTCAACCTTTACTTTTTACAGGGATCTCTATTTCCAGCAAAGATCAGAAATGTACAGACAAGCAAAAACACAATTCCATCTCAGTATGATAGGCAACACCTAGAATAAAAATGGGCACACAATCCTGGGAAAATCTTGTACAGACCTAGGCATAAATATCAAATTATTTAGTGAAGAAAAGAGGTGAGTGTTTCTGACTGAGCTCATAGGATCCTATTGCACTAAGAGCAGTTCTTCACCGCAGGAGCTTGGAGTGCAGGGAAGGGGAACAGGCAGGAGAGGTGGGCCAGAAACAAAATACTGAGAACTTTGTACTCAGGCTCAAGTAGTTAGGTTTTATCCTGAGGGCACTGGAGGACTATTGAAAGGTTTTAACCTGGGAGTAAATAAGGGCTGCTTGAGCTATTGAGCTGAAGTCAAGTGTTTTTCTTCTGGCATTTCCACTTGCAATGAATATTAGACAGTACTCACTGACTAATGTAAAAAAGTAGACCTTGCTCAATGTCAGAGTGCCAACCCACACTGTTTTAATACATGTAATACTTAACATATATATTATTTACTATATGCTAGAACTTTTATGGAGCACATTATTAATAATAATTCAATCTTTTCAATTCTAAGCCATATTGTTATAATAATCCCATTTCACAGACAAGAAAACAGAGGCACAGAGAGGTTTACTAGCTTGCCCAAGTCACACAGCTCTAAGTAGTTGAGCCAGGTTCCTGAGCCCGTGTTTTTACAATTTTGCTATACCTCAGCTAAAATGTTGCACTGATTCTTCAGTAATAAGAAATTGGCTTTGATACTAGTTCTAATTTTTTAATAGATCAAACTCTCGTTTCAGCTCCCTAATTTATAACATTGAGCTTCTCTAATCTATTCTACAGGCTCTATTATGAGATTCATGTGGAATACCATTTTTCATAATATATGCTACAAAATATTGATTATAAAATATTTAATATAACCTTGTATGTAAAGGAGGAAAAAAGCATCCAAAGGGTTGGCTTGGACAGGAGATGAAAGGTGAGTACATTTTCCAGGAAACCTTTCTGTCTTCTCTCTTGTTATAAAAAGTAGTGCTGCCCAAAATAATATAATCTATCATGAGTTAGAATAAAACTATTTTAAAAACTCTCCTCTATTTTTAACAGAGCAAGAGGTAGTGATCAGCAATAGATAGCACTTCTTAAACAATTTATTAATAGGATTTTGGGTATGCATGCCGAGATATAGAGTGTCTGGTCTGGGCTAGAGACTGGGAACTGGATTGTTTATATACTAGAGTAACAGAAAAAAAAAAAAAAAAAAAAAAAAAAAAAAAAAAAAAAACAGGAAAGGTAAAGCATAGATGCCGTGAATTGGAAAGAGGAAAATATGTGGGAACAGTTCTCCCCTTGTGCCAGTGGGGATCTGGACAATGAAGAGAGAAGATGTTAATACGAGTTAAATTAGTGTGTAAGAGTATGATGACCAGCAGCTGATCAAGCGTTTAATGAGAGGGAAAAAATTATAGCTATGACTAAGTATGAGAGGAAATATCTCCAAGACCTCACATACATTTTTTAAGACTTGTTTTGAGGAAAATAAATTAATACATACGTAAACCACTTAGAACAATGTCCCCCACCCAGTAAGTCAATAATAAATGTTAGTTATGATTACTTTATACACATGTGTGCATTTGTGAGCCTGCAAGCACACGCATACATTTTAAAAGTGGATCTAAATATAATACATTCCAAATTTATTTTACCTGTTTATGCTCACCTAAGTAAAAAAGCTAAGCCTTATAAAATTACATTAATACCTTTTGAAAATATAAAAATTCAATTATATTTCCAGGTAATATTTTTAACTGTGCAAATAATAGAACAGATGAGACATCTACATATTTCAAACTAAAGGTAGAGGTGTCGACTTACAATATTAGTAATTTCTAAGAATCTAATTCTTCCAACTGTCCACTTTCAGCAGCATTTCTCATGCCCTTTTAATGAATTTCTATACAGACTCTACATATATATGACATTTTATACATATACGTGTGTGTGTATTTAAAAGTGAAACTGATAACATACTATTATTATAGGACTAAATATTCAAAATATTTGAACATATTTCTTGATATGATTTGTGGCAAAATTTTTTAAAAAAATTCTGCCCTCTACCAGTCTACCTGAGGGCAAATGAGGTAAAATACAACATTTACAACCCATGACCTTGTACTGATGGTTTCCATTTATTTCCTAATCAAATTCCAATATTCGATATTAAATAATGGGGAAAACCAACAGAAAATCAAGATAATGTCATGTGGTTGGTTTTCACCTTGGATAGCTCTATAGAAAATGTGTATATGAATTCCTTTTCTCAGATTGTTTTCCAAGCCTAGATTCCTTTTAATCGTACAGTGTCAGGAAGATGACGATCTGTGAGTGTGAAATCATACCTCAAATATTCTATATGTAGTAATAGGAGAAAGGGAGGAAAGATAGGGACTAACATTTTGGTGTACCCACTTGGCTTTAGGAAACCTACTAGGCTACATAGGTACATTATTATTTTATTTTCACAGCAACCTTTTGGATGTACCTTTACATCTTCATTTTAACTGTGTGGAATCTGAGGTGGATGGTTCAAGACCATACCACTGTCTAAGACCATGGTTGAGCTGGGTTCCTGGTCTCTACATCTCCCCATTCTGAGCTACCCCACAGCAGGCATAATTATCATGAAGTTAATAAAAATTAAGATACAGGACCCTCAAGGACATGGGCCACTTGAGGCATGAGCAAAGTGTTCATAAAATCCATATTTCTGTTAAACTTGCAAAGTAGAATATTTTTCTACTCCGTTTCTTAATGGAATTCCCTCACATAACATAATCTTTTATTCTTACCCTTACCCAGCAAACAAAGAGTAACACACAGAGACCATGTAGGGCATTTATTCAGTTATATTCCCAGGCTTCCTCTGCTCCTCTACAACCTATATTTGTGTATTGCTCTAATAATTAGAAAATGGTTTTATTTCATTTGTTTTCCATAGCAATTATATGAAGTAGGCAGTACCATTATTGCCGTAATACAGATAATTGAGTTGAAGTTTAAAATAAATATATAAGGGCCAAATAATTTAGAGTTAGTAAGTGTTAGAGACTAGCACAAACAAAAACTAAAACCATGTTTGTTTTTTAATTCAAAACAGATTTTCTTAACTGTTTTTGTTTGTATGCTTTTGTTGTTGTTGTTGTTGATCTGTCTGTACTTCCACTGTGACTAATTCTTTCCCTACTTTGTTTCACAAGTTTAAATCAAAAACAATGACTTCAAATCTGCATGATTAAGGTAATTTTGTTGTTGTTATTGTTGCCTTCCCTCTTTCTAGAGACATCAAATACCATGGTTCGAAACTAGGTGTGGTTAAAATCCTTCAAACACAGCAGTTTTCAAGTATCTTCTACCTCAGAAGTCTGGCTGTATCCCCCTTCTTAGGACACCCAGTATGGCATTACTACACTGACTAGAGAAAAACTCTTAAGTGAGATGACAGTGCATTGTCATCTTCCATGAGACTGGGCAGTCAGCCTCACCTTTTCTGCTAGTACACATGGTGAAAGCTTTGGGTGAAGCTTTGGGTGAAAGCTTTGGGTGAAAGCCAAGTTAGAACTTGGCTCTCTAAGCAAGCTCCTGCTGTGGACTGATGGGCTGAACTGGTGCCAGCCGGATCTGCCTACTGAGTTTGCCTTTCCATAGAAAAGACATTAACAAGCATCCTGGAAAGGGAAGGTGCTGTCATTGCAAAGCAAATAAGTTAGCTGTCTTATAAGAAAGGCAAAACTGACAGAGATGTCTTACAAACTTCTGATGTATGAATTAAGTGAAAAAATATATAACTGGGTTTGACACAATCTATTCTGCAGGCAGAGTCCCACAATTTATTTACAAGAAGACTATATATTATCTTCTTAACAAACACACAGTCCAAAATCTTGACTTCCTTGAGGGTGTTGGAACAAAACAGGCAGGGGCTCTTACCCTCTTAAATCATTTTGACTTAGTGGAGGATGGAAGGAGGGAGGAAGAGAAAGAGGGAAAGAGGAAGAGAGGATGGGAAGAGACATGACAAATGAAAATAAGAGTGTAAAATTAATATAAGAGAAAAAAGACATTACCCATCTCTGAGTAAAAGAACAGACTGTATTTTCTCTAAATCTTCCAATACTTAGCCTGAAACATGTTTCCAAGTAGGAACATGTTCTTGCAAAGCATATGTAAAATATTTCAACCCTCAGGTTTTGGCTCTTTAATTTTTTTTATTTTTTACCAGAATCATTTACTTAACAGAGTTGTGTGGCTAGTTTATTTAGAACTGAAGACAAGCTCGATGAATGCAGAAGATGGCCTGGGCAATAGTCCAGCAACTAAAACATAATTAGAATTATCACAGACACTTTAATCCCAATTATTTAATCTGTGGGGTGTCCAACACAACAAGTGTTTGGCATAACTCAACAAAACAGATCTTACAGAGAAATAGAAGGAAAAAACAACAACAACAACAAATGTATGAAACAAAATGAACTAGGGATTTATTTATTCTTTTTTCTTTAGGCTGGGGTTTTATCTTCAGGGTCATAGTAAAACAAATGTAAAATTAGAATATGTGAGTGTGTGAGAGTGTGTATGTGGGCAGGGGTGATATTTTTTAAAAATAAGATTGAAAACAATACTCAAAACTGTTATTAATATCAATTTTGTGGTGATACCACATTGACATCCCTCTCCCTACCCTTTCTTCCAGCCTTCCAACAACCTTTCCACACACTCAGCACACACCCATGGGCACATACACCAAAATTCCAGGCAAGTTATTGCACTCTGCTTAATAAACACACAACAATTAAAGGCATGAACATTTTATCACTGAGAGACACAGAGGAAAGAAGGCATGCCCTAGGTTCTACTTTTGTTTGACAAAGTTTTGTTATGCTCACCTATAGTATAACTAATAATTTAAGCATTATTAATAAAGTAACACATAAGCTGATCAGAGACTAAAGACTGCAAACCCTACAGGAAAAGAAGAGCTACAGAAAAGTTTAATTATGAATAGAATCTACTAGGACTTTTTAAACTGGGATACAATTAAATGGCACTCTAAAGGCAAAACATAGACACTTTTTTAAAAGAGGTTTTCAGGCAATTTTTAAATATAGAAATGACTGCTTATGGTTTCTTTAAATCACTATAAATTTAAAATCATTTCACAAAGTTAGACTAACATTAAAATGACAATAAATGTCATCATACCAAACCACAGAGTTTTTAAGAACTCCAAGTGGGACACCTACTAAATTACAGTTTTCTTTTATGACTTTGTAACATCTGAGATTCTCATTAGGGATACTGGATGAAAATTTGAGCTTTTAGGGAAAAAAAAATAAAAAACAAAAAACAAGACCTTCAATTACTACAAATTTCACCAGACACAATTCAAATTCTTATGTATCTTATAGCACTTTTTCCTTCTGTTTATTTTTCTTTGCACTAACAGATTATATCATGTAACAATTGTTTAAGATGGTAATGAAATAGTTTAAATGCGATTTTTAAAATCTGATTCTTGAAATTAATTGATCAGAATTACATTTTAAACCACTCAAATATTTCTTATTGTTATTATAATAGGAATTTAAAAAATAGAGCCATATCTTTCTTTTATGTGATAAGAATAATTGCAATGAATAAAACTTCTGTATGGGAATTCTATAGGGTCAAAAGAAAAATGCAAATTCCAATAAAGTCTTAATATTCAAAAATAACTGCACCACTATTTATTTGGAGCTTCATGTGGAAATACCCATTTCACAGTACAATTTATATGACATCAGATTCTATTTTTGTAAAAGCTTCTTTATTACAAGAACATTTTGCATATGTTAATAAATGAATTGTCAAAAATAAGATGTTCAAAATTTATATTTAAAATTGCTACACTGCTTCCATTTTTACCTTGCTCAAACACTTTAAAATCTATCTCATGAACTGAATACAAACAAATGTCTGGAAAGTCAGAAACTAAAAGTAAATATTAAATAGAGAAAAACTGTCCTAAGAATTCATGCTAATTGTTTTGGAAGTTCAAAATCAAATACTTAAAAAATAGATCATTCATATTTTGAAATAAACATTTTCAATGGCACCAATTATTTAGACTAGATTTTCAACATCTAATAATTGTTAGTTTTCTAACTGTCATATCATGCCTTCAAAAATTGTTATTAGTACATCAGAAAATCTCTTGTTATTTATGTATTTTCTATCTCTAATGCATCTCACTCAATAAATGTTTGTTGATTACTTTAAAGATAGGTACTAATAATTTTTTCTTAAAAAATGAACCCATTTTAATCTGTGTTTACAAAGCCTTCAGAACTCATTTTGCTTTTTATCTACCTTTATGTACACCCATAGGAATATCTGTACCAATTACACAAGGATAGAACATATGATAAATTTTTAAAATCAGTTAACTATCCCATTAGGTATATAAGTATACAACGGACTATAATAACTCTTTTGAAGAAACCCTTATCTATCCTATGAATTACATAACTTTTGATAAAATAAATATGTATTTACTCAGAAGGGCACAGCAGTAGGAGCCATTCTCCACCTGAAATATACTCACTACAGATATTATAACAGTAAGAATCATTCTGAGCTTCTAAGTAAGAGTTGACATTTTTAGCTCTAATGTTGCTTTTATAATCACAATTCACTCTTTCTGAAAAGAAAAATGCAAATACTACGATCAATTTTTACTGATTAATAAGCAAGACATGAAATTCAAACCTCAGTTAATTCTGATGCTTTATAAAAACCATTGTGAGCTATTTTAAGATTGCTTAAAATGATGTCATAATCTTTAAGTAGGTACCCCTGCTAACTTAAATTGGAACTATTCATTAGTAAAATAGAATATATTAAATATATGCTAATTTAAATTGAAAAAATAATGTCTAAAGAGTTATCAATAATTTGTTCAGCAATTATTTCTTTGAAGTATGAACACGATATTTTTCTTTTGAAAAAAGAACATTAAATTTGACTCATAAAAAGGATAACAGCTATAGTTAGCTAATATAATTATGTACATTATACTCTATTTTTACAGTCAAAGGTAGAAAGGTTTCTACCAAATGAAAAAGAAACTAATTGCCATTCAAGCAAATACATTTAAAAAAGCACTCCAGACAAAGGAGATTCAAGTGGTAGAGTCAATCAACAAAAGTGTGGTGGAAATAACTAAAGCATAGTTATTTTCTCAATGGTAGCAATCAATTCTGAATAAAATATTTAATTAAAAAGTTTGGAAATGTTTGCTATAAACAGCTATATCATTTCATTTTGATTTTGCATGTAAAGATACAAAAACACATACTCTAAGTGGTCACATTTTATAGAGCATAATAATATCAATATGTTATAGTAAATAATGTTCTTATAGGTGTAAAAAGTGCACCTTTTTTTCCATACCAACTATATTTTATGTGAATTGGAATAAAGAGCCAACAGTATTTCCAGATGACAATATTACAAGAAGAATATTTCCAATCAAAGAAAAATCTTTGTTTTAAATGCAGAAATTGTTCACTGTCCTCTCTGTCTTATATGAGTAAATGAAATCCTCTTACCTGTCACCCTAACACCCAAGAAGATCTTTGTCTACCTCAAAAGGAGCTTAAAATGTCAAGACCTAGGTCCCCTTTTCATGGTTTATTAAGCAAAAAGCCAAAACTATTCACGGTCCCTTGTAGTTTCAACAATCTATGATTCAAATAGGGGTAATAGCTCTCTTTTCTTGTTCAGTAATGTCCTGGTGAGGAAATGATTTTACTGTCCTTTTTTCTGTGGGGTCCTGCGGATTTATCTAAAAGGAAATGAATTACAACAGGATGACAAGGCCACAGAATAAAGCCATTTAGTTTTACAAATCTATTATGTCCTCCAATCTATTTTATGGGCCTGGTTCTATTATAAGCCAAGAAAAACCCTAAAACAAACTTTTTTTTTCCTTTTTTATCTTTCCAAGGAAAACATTTACAAGTTTATGATAGTTTTTCAGGCAGTTTAGCCTTTTCTTCCCACCTTATGTGTTTCTACCCCACTTTCTTAAACATACAAAACATTCAGAGACAAGAAACTGGACTTTTTAAATCCAAACTGCTGACAACTGTCAGAAGCACTTTACTGGGACATTACTGACTGTAGCTTCAATGAATTAAGCTTGATTCACTGCGGGTGAATCATTTTCAATGCAGGGCTGTTCAGCAGTAATTGGCCAAGAATCCCTGCTGTGAAAAGCACTTGTCAAATAATGCTTGTTTACAAATATATCTCCAGACAGCAAAAAGTGGCAGCTACTGAATAAGTTCAGGGCCACCTCCAAAATTCATAGCAGTGGACATGAACCCTTTACTTACTAAATTTATTTAAATTTTCACTTGCAGATACACTTGCTAATATTTGTCCTGCTTGATCAGAGACAAGTCTGTTTCTAAATATACCTCTGAAATCTTTTATAATAAAAAAGTTTTGAATATTATACTGTAGATCAAATATTCCTTTCACATGTAGTTTATGACTAATATACTAAAACTACTAAGGATATATTTATCTTATAAATTGCTTAGAATTTAGACTAAAGGGTAAATTTTCCTCTTATTGTCTGCTATCCAACATATTCAAACATGCCAAATAAACACATTTCATATCAGTCCAAAATTCCAGATATATGTTTGGCTTTTTCTATTCAATTCTGCTTGGTTATATCTAACAAAGTTAAATTTAAGAAATGACTAGAATAGCAGCTATGAATATACACTTACATTTATTCTGTATGTTTTAAAACTTTTTTTCACATAATGGGAGCATTCATAATACGCACACACACACATACACACACAGTCTTTGGGAAATCACTAAGCATCTATAGATTGCAGAAGTCAAATTATATGAGAAAAAGTGATTAATGAGTTCAGCATATACATGAAATCTTTCTGCCCCCTGACCTTCCAAAGTCCCTCCAGAAGCAAACAAACAAATTGGAAAACTCTAATCTGAATCTCTAAAAAAGCCCAAACATTTTATGAATATTTTAGCATAAATAAATATTTTAATACACTCTGCTGCTCAATTTATAGCAATAGCATGGAGAAACAAGAAGAGAAGAATCTATATTTCACAGAGCAGAAATAAAGATCTAGGATACTAGGTGGAAAGATGGAAAACTGCTCAGCTGAGATAGGATGAATTAGATAATGACATAGATATTTACACAATTTTATTTCCAATTAAGTATAATAGTGACATATTACAAAATGTGCCCCAAACAGCAGGCTTTTTTCAGAGCACCAGGTGGTAAGGTACATCTCATTTTTGATTAGATCCCCAAGCCCCATCTCCGTGTAGTCCAAGTTTTGCTGTGTGACGGACTAGATGAGGTAAGACAATACAATCTGTGGGTGTTAAATCTGTAACAACAGCCAGGCTGTGTTCCACA
Source organism: Homo sapiens (assembly GCF_000001405.40). Classification (NCBI taxonomy): domain Eukaryota; kingdom Metazoa; phylum Chordata; class Mammalia; order Primates; family Hominidae; genus Homo; species Homo sapiens. The sequence continues at coordinate 65,667,597 of NC_000004.12, forward strand.
AGATTCCAGCTCTGCCTTCAACACCTTAGGAGACCGGCGCTATTTCTCCTTCCTTCTCTTTCCTTCTGCCTCTTCCTCCCTGCACAGTCTTGGCTCTTGTTCCCATTCAGTGTCACTCTCCCTGAGAATTGAATTCTTCCAATTTTCTAACCAAGAGCGACTCCCTTTCATCTCCACCTAAGTTCTCCCCTTCCATCACACCTGGAGAGAGGACTTGAAATCTAACGGAAACACGAAAGGATGAATGATATTACTGTTAAACCTCTTCAAATTCAAACGAGGATGCCCCTTTCGGTGGAATAAGACAGTTAATAAAAGAGCCTCCTCCAAAGCTGTTATAATCCTCCAGACGTCTAACAGAATGAATTTAACATAAGGTGTTAATAAAAGGTCTACGACTCTCAAAAACATTTTTTCAACTTTATCAGAAAGGGAAAATACCCAATTGTTTGGCTTAAGCATGAGAGATAGCTATATATATGTATATAGATAAATGCAGATAAATACACATAAGCCTTTAATTAGCGTTTAAAAAATAAACTTAGAGGTTAAAGAGAAAGTTCATGGGATGAGGGCAGGGGAGCCTCTATCTGCCCTGCTTTCACACCCTTCCTTTAGAGCTGGCATTGCTGGGATATCAGCTCAGCGCCTTCTCCTACAGCGGAGACTGAACCCATGCAAGTCACGAGGACACACACGACTCCACCACTGCTGCTTCATCTTTCCGGTCTAGTGTCCCGTGCCCAGGAGTGGAAGGAATTTCTGCAAGGTTTTGAGCCTCACGCGTCGCATCCACAGCCCCAAACCGAAACCTCACCATTCTAGCCAAAGTGGGTAGGTTTTTCTATGTTTTCATGGTGGAGCTGACAGATCTGGATCTGAGATACTGTTCCCGCCCCTCCGCGAGTAATGCGCCCTTGGGCTGAGACCCGAGCTCAGTCCGGGTGTGGGAGAGGAGCAAGCGCTGCTGGAGGGGACCCAAAGGCAGAGGTCTCAGGTCCAAGAGGCAGGCGGACAGAGGGGCTGAGCACTGTTCCGGGAGCACGAAGAGCGACACAGGTGTTGCTCCCGCGCCAGCTCTACTCTCCCAGAAAAAGGCAGGGACAGTATTCTGGGTCTGGAGCACAGGATTGGGGGTAGGGAGGGGGACTGGGTACTCCTGGATCAGGTGCTGGCCAGAGCAGGTCTTTTCCGTCTTTAAGACATGCCCAGGTGGGTTTTAGCGGCAACTTCCTAGCAGCGACACTCCCCCTCACCCCTCCTGCCGCGGCATCCCACCTTCTCGCCTTCTTCCACCTTGGCTTGAGTGTGACAATGAACTCCCCCAAGAAGAAGGGCACCCAACTGTGTGGGGCGCCTTCTGTCCTTCGCTATACCCCTCCCACGAGAAATAAAAGCTCCTGCCACCCACCCCAGAATAGCAGCTGGTGATGCCCTAAATAACAGCTCCCAGCAGGCACTTTCCCCAAAAATAAAAGCATCCAGCCACCCCCACAACGTTTCCCATCACTGGCCTCAAATAACGGTTTCTAAAAGCCCCACTGCTCCAGAGATCCTTGTCACTGAGCTTCCAACAGTTCCCACTCCTTCAAGCCCGAAATGTCACTTCCCCACGCGCCTTAAGTGAGGCCCAGCCGCACCCATCCCCCTGGAACGGGCCTCCATTCCCCAAAGGAGGCCTCGACCTCCTTTCCCCCAAGGTTTTCCACCTTCCCAGCCCCCCAACCAGCCTCTGTCCACACGCATGTTCCTTGCCCAGCACTCCGCAGCTAACGTCAAACAATGCAACCAAAAACCGCAGAGGGGAGCGAAAAGGCCAGTGGAAGGGGACGACAAATACCAATTTGAGATGAGACTGCGATTTAGTCTGCAGCAGCAGCGTCCAGCGCGCTGAGACCTGAACTCCCAGGCCCCGCCTAGCCCCTCCGCCCCAGGTCGCCACGGTCCCCACCCCCATCTCCCTACCTTCGTTGCTGGGGCTGGCCAGGAGGGTCCGGAGTGCGGCGCACAGGAGAAGGCACGTCCAGAGGGGAGCCCGTCGAGGTGCAGAGTAGCAGCCGGCCAGGGACGCTGGGGTGATGGGGGTGTCGCCGCCGCCGCTTGGGGGCCGCCGGCGTCCCGCACCCCGGGGCCCCGAGCCCCGCATCTTCTCCGAGCCTCCTCCGGTGCCGCTGTCCCGAGCGGCTCAGTCCACCGCTTCGGCCTCGCAGAGCGGCGAAGGGAGACTCGGGAGTCCTCCTTGTCCCCCCTTGGGGTCCTACGCCTTCTGGCACGCGGCTCCTCCAAATGTAGGAACCACGGATCCGGCTGAGACAGCTGAAGTTTGCTTCTGGCTCCTCTCGCCTCCCCCTTTGGTGGGGTTAAATGAAATATTAGTTCTGGTTGCTAGTGCAGATCTGGACTCGGATCAAGGGTGTCGAGAGGGTCCTGGGTCCTGTTCCTTTGCCTTTCAAAAAGACTTTTTACGGATTGAGAATTTTTAAATACCACTAGGGGAAAGGTGAAGGTTCTTTGCAGCCTTCAGTGTTGAAATGGACGAAGGTAAGGAAGGCAAATCATTTTAAGACGAAATCTCCGATTTTTTAAAAAAGGAGGAAAAAAGCAGGGTGGCTAAGGATAAAGAAAGAGGACTTGAGAAAATGTGGAGAATGAAAAACAGGAGAGCAGCGAGCAAAAGCAAAGATCCAGAGTTCAAAGAGACTGGCAGAAGGAAATAGCTGCGGGCTGAGTGCTGAAGAGGGGAGGGACTGACGGCTGCCGGCCGGTAGGAGCGCGGAGCTGCGCTGCGGCGGCCCAGGAGCTGCTGCGGTTCCCGCTGCTCGGGGAGCAGGCGGTGTGTGCGCGGCTGCGAAGTCGAGGTTGAAACTGCACCGCCAAGGCGCGCTCCTGCTGTGTCTGGAGCTCCGGCGTCTCCTCTGCCTCCCAGCTCAGCGCCTCCCACCCTCCTTCCCTCCTCCTCTTCCCAGCTCCCCCGCCCTCTGCTGCTCGCAGCCTCGCCAGTGAGAATCTACTGTAAGTGTGAGTTGCTTCGACGAAGTCACACACCCACGGAGGGAAGTAATCTGGAGGCTGCCTTGGTGAGTGTTGCCTAGCGGTCTCCGGGAAAGGCGCGTCTTCCTCCCGGGATAATTAGGGCAAGGAATCCTGACGACGCTGGCGAGGACTGGGGTTCCCGGGAGGCGGAAGGGAGATCAGCCCCAGCTCAGCCGGCGGCCCTTAGAGACGCGGGTCCCTCCGTTTGGCATCTTGCCTGCTGTCCCTCACAGGCTGTGGCATCAACAACCTTGTCGTCACATCGCCGCGCATTCGCAGGCTCTGCTGGTCCGTGGCTAGTTTCTTAAACACCCATACCGCTTACCGCTGCTGACTCTTTCTGTTCTTCCCATACTTTGATGGCTGGAATAGGATAATTACTCAATGTTTTCTTCAGAAGTAAATTGTAGAGTAAATAAAGAGGCGGTAGCTCTGTTTGAGATTTCAAGGAGTCAAAGAATTTGACTATTGAGATTTGTAGTGTGCCAGGTACTTTCATAGGTGGCGATTTAATTCATTTATTTCATTGATAAAATGTTTTAGTATTTTAGAAATTGGACGATATGCAGATACACGACATACATTCCAGTGAAATTAGCCTCGGTCAAATAAATTCAGGGTTTTGAAAAATTAATTATTTTAATTGATTGTGCCCTATAGCATTGGGAGATTTACAAACAGTGAAAAAAAAAACAGTTAAAACAATCAACTTTCTATGCTTCACCTCTATTATGTCTTTTCTTGCTTTAGTATATTCCCTCGATTTATTCATTCTTTCAAAGAGATACATTTGAAGGACAATTTTAGTACACAGGCATTTAAAAACAAAAGGCTGCAGAGAAAGCACTTACAGAAAGGTCTGATTATAGAAGAAAGATATCTCATTTAATTTCATGTATAGTAACCACTGTAAAGCTTGGGCTTCCGTTCACACCTAATAAAGGTGAGTCAGCTCACCAGTTTTGACATATCTAGAGCCTTGTTTGTCTCCACAATAAATTCCTCACTATCTTTAGCTGGTGACATTTGTTTTTTGTTTAAATATTTGCAATAAAGATGAAAGAATAAAGCAGCAGTGATGCAATTTTGTAAAGAGGTGAAAGCTCATCTTTGATTTCTTTTTTTCCTGAAATGTTTTGGCACCAGAAGTCTGAAAGCAGGTTCTTTTTATTATAATGTGCTCCGAATGGATGAAGCAAATTTAGAGGAAGAGCAGTGAATCAGTTTCTCAGTTTGGCAAAAAGCCTCACGGGTGAGATGGAAAGTTAAAATTTATGTTTCTATTTGAGGACCATTCAAAATGTAAGCTCCCCTCTCCCCTACAATTATAATTGAGTTACTTAAAAATATTTAAGCAGAATACCAACTACGATATCTAAAGCCCAGAAATATGTAGTAAAACTAATATGAGTTTAATGGGGCTTTGAGCTCGTTCCTTTACTTCTACAGGCTTCAGTATCCTCATCAGTAAAATGAGGAATTTGGAGAAGACAATCTTCAAGCCTTCTTCCCTTCCGTTGGTTGCATGTCTATGTGACTACCCTGTTCATCTATCTCCAATTATTTACTATTGGCCACAAAATAACCAAATTTTTCAGCCTAGAATTTAAAGCCTTCTACTACAAATGGTTTAAATATATTTTTTATTCTATACTACAATGTTAAACTCATTTTTCCCCTAAATTACCTCATGCCTCTCTGATTTTTCTACCTGTCATTCCATTCTAAAGAAATCCCACCTCTGGAAATATTTATCCGCCCCCCACCTCACCCCACCACAACACACACACACACACACACACACACACACACACACACTACTGTCATCTAAATCATACCCAGTGTCCTAGGAGAGCCAGGCACTCAAGATTAAATTCTTCTTTTCTCAACAAAAAAGTTACTTCGTTCTCCTCCTCAAAGTACTCATAGCTTTACATAAATCAACACAATGCCAATATTTTCTGAATCAAAGGTGGAATAAAATTGTCTAACTATATCTAAAGAGAAGAAAGACAGAATTTAAATCTGGTTTGTCAAAGAAAACCTGGGACGCTGGTCAGCATGGGCATAATTGTGTTATCTTCTCCCAACATAGCTAAGTTACATGATTGAGAATACAGAAAGCAAAATTCTTTGTATTCTCCACCTTAAATTGCAGCCATCTTTCTCATAGTTCTTTAATAATATTGATTACACATCTCTGAAAGAATGAACAGCTGTAAAGTTCATTGAAGCTGTAAAGTTCATGAAGTTCTGATGACAACAATGAAAATCATTTTTTGATCTAAGGAGGGTTAATCAGAAAAGGTAATGATGGTGGTTTGACTTGGACTTCAAGCTCAAAGGAGATTCACATTTGGCCACGTGTTGATGTCTTGGCATATTAATACTTTTTATTTTAACACAATTACATTGAACCATGGCATTGCATGAAAACTAGATTTGGTTTATATTTTTCTTTTATACTTATTGTTTTGCACAACAAAAGGCCATGCCATCAATATTGGTTTTGGTGCCCTATTGTTTGCATTTCTCATTTCTTGGAATAGCTACTATGACCTTAAAAGATGCAAGTGGTTAGTGTCTCCCAAGATCTGTGCTTTTGTGTGACTTCAGTACTAAGTATTCCTGAAGGAAGGATATTCAAAGTAACCTTGATAAGGTGCCTTGAAAGTTTACTAACCTCATAAAAAGTTTTAATATTATAGTTAGGTTCAGTGTATCAATAAGCCCAAATGTATCTTCCCTGCATTCAAAGATTCAAGAAAAGCAATTTTGACAGAAAGCCTTGCTAGTTTTTCCTGAAGATTTGCTATGTGTAAAGCATTATGTGACGTTTTTACCTTAACTATTTTACTTAATGCTGACACTTCAACCCTGATGTTGGTGTAATTATTATCCCCATGTTAATGATGAGAAAACTGAGGAAATGAGATTAGGTGATCCAAGTAGTCTCACAGCTGGTAAGACACGGAAACTTTCACCCATGGGATTGAGTCTATTGGAGAAAAGTCCTACATAACAGAAGTAAAGAATAAATTTGATAGCCAGGTTGATCAGAAAAAGAGAACTACCCCAAAATTCTGCATGAATGGGAGCAATGAATACATGAAAATATTTTAATTTTCAGGTTTAAGTCTAAAAGCGATTTTCCAAATAGGTAGTATAGGTCAGATAAATGAATAGGAGAAAACAAGAAATGAAGGATCATAAGCAAGCATTACTTAAAGAAAAATACTGTTTCGTGTACATAAAAACATGCACACGATTTGTTTGTGTACAATGAAGACAATGGACCAAATCAAGGAAATAACAAGATTGACGTCTGTGGTCAGATAATAGTAGCTCAACACATGGCACACAGCCCCTTTAAACCATGGTAAAAAATATAAGCAACAGTCTTTACTAAAACAATTTAAATAAAACTCCATAAACTCAAGAACATTTTTCCTCATATAATTGTAGCAATTTTTTACAAATCAGTTTTAAATATTTTTGTCACTTAGCTAGATTCTTTCTTTGGGGGAATTTGGTGAAAAATACAAGCAAAGCAAAATTTTAACCCATGGTAGATTTTAGATGAGAAATTATATGATACCCTAATGAAACGATAAGATACCCTAAAGAAGTTAAGTTTTCAGATTCATAATTTTATAAAGAGGATAGATGTACAGTGATATTAATTATTTTGATCTCAAAGGTAAATATTGACTAAAATATATTTAAGCAATCAATAACTCTTGAAGTTCACAACATAGATAATATTGTAATGTATCCATAATTGTGTGTATTATGTCTTAAGTTAATGAACATAAAACATCAAATATTTTTTGTTTAGTGTTATTTCTTAAGCATTTTTTTCCTGAAGTCCTAGAATCTCTTCTTTTTGCTAATGACTCACATTTCTACCTATTAATGTGAAGTTAAATTATTTTTAAATTTAACAAGTTATCAGATGCGTGTTCAATTAAAAAATGCATTAATACCATTTTAATAAATTAATGAGGATATAAATATAGAAAGTATTTTATAACTTAACAATACATGAAATGCTTACTTATCAGAAATTTCACTTATTAAAGATGTCCATATCACAATCAGCACTCTTTTTATCTCTTTTCTATCAATATTGAGAACAGAATAAAGTTGTCACACTGTTCGTGATTATTAATAGGAAGTTATGTAGCAAAGAAGAAAGAATAAGATGTTCAGATGAATTACAGTGAGCCGAAGAGACATGGTGATTGTTGATGGTGGTGGTTTCTTCTTTAATCATTCTTTCATCAATGTGCTAGGATTGCAGATGTTGCAGCATAGCATGAGGCCAAGGCTACTAGAGTTTATGATGAGCCAAATTGACTTGCCAGGAAATTCTTTGGTTATTGTTTGCATCCAGCATCTTGGATAACTGGCATCAGATGAAGTTGTGAATGCTGGGATAATACGGACTTTTGGGACTGAAAAAGTAGGAAATGTGTGGACATAAGAGTCAGAAAATTGAAATAACACTACTGTTAGAGTTAAAATTCTACCTATTCTAACCTGTTTTCTGGACTCCAAAAGTATTTGCAAATATGTGAAAAATAAGCTGTAATATTTTTCACATTCAGAGAACTGTTTATTAATCTCAGTTGATATGTGACTTGAAATTGATAGCTAATCTACTCCTACAAAAACATATTTTATAAAATAATTGCTATAATTTGCTAGGGGAAAACTGATCAATTTTTTTCAATAGCATAAATAATAAAGGGGTACATATGCAACTAGGATTTTTTTATTTATTTATTTTTTTGAGACAGAGTCTCCCTCTGTTGCCCAGGCTAGAGTGTATAGAGTGCAATGGCTGGATCATAGCTCACTGCAGCCTGGAACTCCTGGCCTGCAGTGATACTCCTATGTCAGCCTCCCACGTAGCCAGGAATACAGCCTCCCTAGTAGCCGGGAGTCCAGCCCAGGCTTTTGATACCACTGTTCATTGTCTATTGAACAAGCTTCCAGCTAAAAGTTAGCAGTGATAAACTCATGTACTCTGATATGCTGTTCGTGGGATGTTAATCTGAAACATCTTTATTATCGTTGTTTTAAAATAACATCAAGTGCTTTTAAGGTATGCATAGTTTCAGATCTAGCAATTACATTTTTTATATTGTGAGTAAATTAAAATGGGCCAAAAGATTAAACATAGTGGTATTTTTAACTGATAAAAACCAGAAGTGTTCTAATCTTTAATACGAAATGGTTAATATATTATAGTATATTTATATAATAGAATATTATGGGATCATTTTAAAAATTTTATTTATTTATTTATTTATTTATTGAGACAGACACTCTGTCACCAGGCTGGAGTGCAGTAGTGCAATCAGAGCTCACTGTAACCTTGAACTCCTGGGCTGGCACTACAGGCTTGCAGTACTATACCTGGCTAATTTTTTTAAATTTTTTATAGAGATGGGTATCTCACTTTGTCCAGGCAGGTCTTGAACTCCTGGCCTCAAACCATCCTCCCACCTCAGCCTCCCAAAAGACTGAGATTACAGGCGTGAGCCACAAAGCCCAGGAGGACCATTTAAATATGAGAATATATATATATATAATACTTTCACTTTGATATTTAAAGCTATCTTTACATATATATAAAGATATATAAAGAGAGATATATATAAATATATACAAATATATATATTTTATATATATATTTATATATAAATTTATAAATAAACATATGTATATAAATATATATATGTGTGTGTGTGTGTGTGTGTGTGTGTGTATATATATATACACACACACATATATATATATAAAGCCTGGCTAATAAAAGCAAACTTTTTTAAGTTTGAAGAGCTATATCCCATTATTCACATTTGTATATGACTGGTGGGATAAATTGAATTTATTTTTATATTTTTAATTTTTGCATTTTCAATAATTAGCATTTATAACATATAACAATAGAAAAACATGAGTAAAAATAAAAACATCCTAAGCCAGGCTCAGTGGCCCATGCCTGTAATCACAGCACTTTGGGAGGCTGAGGCAGGTGGATCACCTGAGGTCAGGAGTTCAAGACTAGCCTGGCCAACTTGGTAAAACCTCATCTCTACCAAAAATACAAAAACTAGCTGGGTGTGGTTGTAGACACCTGTAATCCTGGCTCCTCAGGAGGCTGAGTCAGGAGAATCGCTTGAACCCAGGAGGCAGAGGTCACAGTGAAATAAGATTTTGCCACTGCATTCCAGCCTGGGTGACAGAGCAAGACTCTGTCTTGAAAAACAAAAACAAAAACAAATCTTAGATGAAAATGTATATGCAGTCATCAATACACACACACAAACACACACACACACACAAGAGAGAGAGAGAGAACAGGGAAGAAAAAAATAAAAAGGTGGAAGAGAAGGAGAGACAGAAGAGAGTACAAAGATGGTAATAATTAGTAACTTTATATTACCAAAAAATAGTAAAGAAAAATTACTTTTTTTTTTTTTTTTTTTTTTTTTGAGACGGAGTCTCGCTCTGTCGCCCAGGCTGGAGTGCAGTGGCGCGATCTCGGCTCACTGCAAGCTCCGCCTCCCAGGTTCACGCCATTCTCCTGCCTCAGCCTCCCGAGTAGCTGGGACTACAGGCGCCCGCTACCACACCCGGCTAATTTTTTGTATTTTTAGTAGAGACGGGGTTTCACCGTGTTAGCCAGGATGGTCTCGATCTCCTGACCTCGTGATCCTCCCGCCTCGGCCTCCCAAAATGCTGGGATTACAGGCGTGAGCCACTGCGCCCGGCCTAAAAATTACTTTAATTACCCTCTTGCCCCTATTATAAAAAGAGTTAGGTACAATACTTATTTGACTTAATCATTTTCTGTCCACAGAAAATGTATCCACAACATTTACAAGTCTTCCAAAATTCCTAGGATGCATGATTTCTGTTGTGTACCTCATGTTTCAATGCATTTTCCCACTAAATTTTCCAGCACACTAACTTTATTGACTGTAGTTCTAATTCCATTTTCTTTCCACACTGGTTTACCTCATAATTGGTAACATTCCTCTTCTTCGCTATCATATGTGTAGGTTATGAATAGTTAATTTTCTTGAAATATGTGAAAAGAGGAGAAGACTATATCACAGAATTAGTAAAAATTGAAATTTCACTTCCTAAAGTTTTATGGTGTGAGATTGGTGTGGTTTGGCTATGTCCCCACCCAAATCTCACCTTGAATTGTAGTAATCTCCGTGTCTCAAGGATAGGGCCAGGTGGAGATAATTGAATCATGGAGGTGGTTTCCCCCATACTATTCTCATTGTAGTGAATAAGTCTCACGAGATCTGATAGATCTATAAATGGGAGTTCACCTGCACAAGCTCTCTTGCTTGCTGCCATGTGAGATTTGACTTTGCTCCTCATTTGTCTTCAGCCATGATTGTGAGGCCTCCCAAACCATGTGGAAGTGTAAGTCAATTAAACCTCTTTCCTTTATAAATTCCTTTATGTTTTTATTAGTGGGGTAAAAACTGACTAATATAGTAAATTGGTACCAGGGGTGTGGTGCTTCTGTAAAGATACCCAAAAATGTTGAAGCGCCTCTGGAACTGGGTAACAGGCAGAGAGGTTGGAACAGTTGGAGGGCTCAGAAGAAGACAGGAAGATGGAATGTTTATAACTTCCTAGAGACTTGTTGAATGGCTTTGACAAAAATGCTGATAGTGATATTGACAATAAAGTCCGGGATGAGGTGGTCTCAGATGGAGAAGGGGAACTTGTTGGGAACTGGAGCAAACATGACTCTTGCTAAGTTTAAGCAAAGAGACTGGCAGCATTTTGCCCCTGCCCTAGAGATTTGTGGAACTTTGAACTTGTGAGATGATTTAGAGCATCTAGTGGAAGAAATTTCTAAGCAGCAAAGCAGTCCAGAGGTGACTTGGGTACTGTTAAAAGCATTCAGTTTTATGTATTCACAAATATATGATTTGGAATTGGAACTTATGTTTAAAAGGGAAGCAGAACATAAAAGTTCAGAATATTTGCAGTCTGTTGATGTGATAGAAAAGAAAAACCCATTTTCTGAGAGAAATTCAAGCCAGCTGCAGAAATTTACGTAAGTAATGAGGAGTCAAATGTTAATCACCAAGACATTCGCCTCTAACAGGGCATGTTAGAGGTCTTCATGGAAGCCCCTCATATCACAAGCTGGGAGGCCAAGGAGGAAAAAATAATTTTGTGTGCTGGACCCAAGGGCTTGCTGTTTTCTGCAGTCTCTGGAGTTGGTCCCTGCATCCCAGCCATGGCTAAAAGAGGCCAACCTAGAGCTCAGGTCCCTGCTTCAGATGATGCAAGCCCCAAGCCTTGGCAGCTTACATGTGGTGTTGGGCCTGCAGGTGCAGAGAGGTCAAGAGTTGAGGTTTGGGAACCTCTGACAAGATTTCAGAGGATGTATGGAAACACTTGGATGTCTAGGAAGAGGTGTGCTACACGGGGGAAGCCCTCATGGAGAACCTCTGCTAGGGCAGTGCAGAAGGGAAATGTGGGTATGAATCCCCATACAAAACCCCCACTGGGGCACTGCCTAGTTGAACTGAAAGAAGGGGGCCTCCATCCTCCAGATCCCAGAATGGTAGATACATTGACAGCTTGCACTGTGTTCCTGGAAAAGCTGCAGACACTCAATGCCAACCTGTTAAAGCATCCAGGAGGGGGGCTGTACCCTGCAAAGCCACAGGGGTAGAGTAACCCAAGACCCTGGGAACTCACCTCTTGCATCAGTGTGATCTGGATATGAGACATGAAGTCAAAGGAGATCATTTTGGAGCTTTTATGATTTGACTGCCCCACTGGATTTTGAACTTGCATGGGGCCTGATGCCCCTTTGTTCTGTCCAATTTCTCCCATTTGGAAGAGTTATATTTACCCAATGCCTGTACCCCCATTGTATCTAGGAAACAACTAACTTGCTTTTCACTTTACAAGCTCATAAGTGAAAGGGACTTTCCTTGTCTCAGATGAGACTTTGGAATGTGCACTTTTGACTTAATGCTGAAATTAGTTAACACTTTTGGGGACTGTTGGGAAAACATGATTGGTTTTGAAATGTGAGGACATGAGATTTGGGAGGAGCCAGGGGTGGAATGATGTGATTTGTCTGTGTCCCCACCCAAATCTCACCTTCAATTGTAATAATCTCCACCTGTCAATGGTGGGGCCAGGTGGAGATAATTGAATCATGGGGGTGGTTTCCCTTATACTGTTCTTGTGGTAGTGAATAAGTCTCATGAGATCTGATGGTTTTATAAATGGGAGTTTCCTTGCAAAAGCTCTCTTGACTTCCTGTCACCATGTAAGAACTCACTTTACTCCTCATTCAACTTCCACCAATATTGTGAGGCTTCCCCAGTCATGTGGAACTGTGAGAAAATTAAACCTCTTTCCTCTATGAATTACCCAGTCTCAGGTATGTATTAGCAGCATGAGAACAGACTAAGAAAATGTCACAGAGAATTTTTTTTTCATCAAATGGTTTTCTAATGTCCATTTTCCTGGCTTTTTTCGTCTTTGAAAACCATTTTCTATCTTCCTCTTCCTCAAGCACCTAAACTCTTATCTTCTCAACTGAGAAGAATATTTATTTCCCAAAGCATTGTCTTTGGTTAAACCCTTCTCTGCCTGATTAAGTCCCATGAGATCTGATGATTTTATAAACAAGAGTTCCCCTACCCAAGCTCACTCTTCTCTTTGCCTGCCGCCATTCATGTAAGATGTGACTTGCTCCTCCTTGCCTTCTGCCATGATTGTGAGGCCTCCCCAGCCATGTGGAACTGTAAGTCCATTAAACCTCTTTTTCTTCCCAGTATTGGATATGTCTTTATCAGCAGCATGAAAATAGACTAATATATTGCCCAATCTCTCTCATGGAGACTCTGCCCACAGATCCTCAACAATCATAATTCAAAAAAATCCATAAGAAACTTTCTTTATTCATACTGACCCAAAAATGAAACTGGCCCCTGAAATAATACTTTTTCCCTTCCTTTCCTACTTGTTAAATTTATAAAATTATATACAAACACAGAAAGCTATGTGGATAGAAGAAATACATAATTTTCGTAAAGTGATAAAAGGATGTGAGGCAAATATAAAAATGTAAGTGATGGTTTGTAGTAAAACTGGTTGATTCCATCAAAGATACTATCAGTTCTTTATGTTTGATAATTAAAAATGTATTTAATCATCAGTGCTGATGACCACTGTGGGGGAAGTACATGACTTAATAAAGGGCTTAAACGTGAATCATAAATCACAAACCAAAGTCATGGTTTGAAATCCATCAATAGTTCTTATTGTTAATTCTGAACTTGGTTATTAGATGACAATTACTAAATTATGAAAATGATGGTGTATGAGTTATTTTATAAAAACATATTTAAAAATTAACTAAATTTTCCACAAAACAAAAACCTAGGAAAAAAATCTTCCTTTTTTACCTTTACAAAACATATTCCTAGTATTATTTGCATTGTAATTTCAAATTTCATTTTATGTTTATGAAAAATAATCAAAGAGAGCAAAGGGCAGAATGGAAATACTCCCTTCAATATTTAAAAAAAGGAAAAAAAAACACTTTTGAATCCTTTTTCATAGGCATGTACAGGAAGCCTTCCTGCAGACATCCACAGTGAACAAGTCTAAGGACAATAGCTTTCGTTGGCCCCCAATAGAAGGTGAGAAGAAGTAAACATTAGTAACCTCAAAACAATTAGATTCCACAAAGTAAACGTTTGCAATATTGCATTTTCTCTTAATGTTTTGCCTATCAGAATTATTTTACATCAAGTGATTTTTTTTGTAAACATTTTGTTTTGAGATAATTATAGATTAGCTGGATGTTGCAAAGAAATGTATAAAGAAGTCCCATGTACACTTTCTCAAATTTCCCTCAATGTTATCATAATACACATTTATAATTAAAAATCAAAACCAAGAAATTGACATTGGCACATTTTACAGAGCCTATTCAGATTTCACATATTATAAAGTGCTCATGTGTAAGTGTGAATGTGTGTGTGTGTGTGTGTGTGTACCTGAATCTATGTAATTTTATTTCATGGGTACCCTTGTGTAACCATCAGGAAACTCAGGATACCCAACTGTACCATTACTACAATATTCCCTCATGTTATCTCTTTATACCCACACATCCACTGCCCACTATCCCTAGCACCTAGAGATCACTAACCAATTTCCATTTCTATTGTTATGCTGTTTCACAAATGTTACATAAATGGAATGATGTAGTTTGTATCCTTTTGAAATTGGCTTTTTCATTCAGTATAGTTTGTGTGAGGTTCATCCAAGTTATTTGTAAGTCAATAATAGCTCATTCTTTTTTATTGCTAATTAGTATTCCATAGAATGAATGTACCACAGCATATTTAACCATTCACTCATTTAAGGACATTTGGGTAGTTTCCAGCTTTGGGCTGTTACAAATAAAACTGCTATGAACATTTGTGTACAAGTTTCTTTGTGAAAATAAGTCTTCATATCTGTGACATAAATGCCCAAGAGTGCAACTGTTAGGCTGTATGGTAAGTCATTTTCACCATCAATTTTTGATGATATGTGGTTATAGCCATGCCCATTGCACCCTCAACTTATCAAACAAGAACAAGATGAATTGGATCCAATAATATAATAAATTTCCTTCAAAAGAAAATATTAGAACACACAAAAATATTCAATATATACAAAAAAACAGTGAAATGAAATAGCCAATAGAATATTAAATAAATAAAAGAGGAAAATTCAAATATCAAATGAATATCCTCATATATAAATGATGTAACATATTTCTATATTTAAACTTTAAGCATCCTAAGAGTAGAGAAATAATTATCTTAATGAAGTAGTAACCACACAACTTTTACTTAATTGATTTATTCAAAATATGTTCTTCAATCTTATTCTATCTCTTTAAAAATTGTTCCACACTCCTAACACTTATATTCCAGTATTTGAATGAGTAACTCATATCACTTGGTCCCAAATTGACATTTCAAAAGATGTGTTCAAATACATTTGCAGAGATATTTTTGAGTTCATTCAAGCCGAGCAGTACTTCTTATCTTTTGAAATGTCAGGTAGCTGGTCTAAAGAAAATGGAAACAGATCGCTTTTTAAAGATCATCACACATGTGGGCATAGGATTGTGACTTGGTTTGTACAAGCATACTGTGGGGAAATATATTTATTTGTGTGCAAAGTGTTTATTTTATGGAAAAAAAGAAAAAGCACTTGCAAAATAAAAATCAGCCATCTTAATTATTTCATATTATGAGTTTTACTTGAAGTCCTCTTATATCTTCCCCTTTTAGATGTGTTCATGGCTTTTAGTTTATTATCATGAAGTAATATTATTATACTATGAAAACCCAAGAACCTTATTACCTAGATAAAATATTTTAATCAGGTTTTTGAAACCTAAATTTGACAATAAAATATTAAAAACAAAACACTTCCAAAGATTAATATGAAAACATCAGTGTATTCTTAATCCCACATGAATAAATACTAAATTTATATTTGTTTAAAATCATTAAAATGTACTGATTACTTTTTGCTTTATATATAGTGGATTGAATCCATTTTAGATGGCCCCTGAAAATTTACTAAAGTTATTAACAAGAATATTTTTAAAACAAACACATTCAGCACTACAAACGGCAAAAGAACAGGAAAAGAGAAGACAGAAAAATATTTTGGAAGCTGAACAGCAAATGAATGAGTGGTAAATAATCTAATAGACCAAGAAAGTTAAATCTTAAATCAACAGGTAGGAAGACTAAATAGCAACCTGACTTTTTCCACAAGAAACCTCTGAAATGTGTGGTATTAGGTAACCCTGATAGTGGAATAATGGGATGAAAACAGAGTTTCGTTGAAAGTGTGTTTCAAAAGTATCCTGTTTCCAGATTCTGGTCACTAATCTGGTCACTTAACTAACTAGATTGCCTACTGCCTTACCCCATTCAAAACTGCAGTTTTATTCACTAAGAAAAGTAATACAGAAAGCTCTGTTCTAGTTTATATCAGGCAGAATGAAGATAAGAATAGCTTCATAAATATCATATGCTATATTAATTGCCTGTTGCTGTAAAACAAATTATCCCAACACTTATTTGCTAAAAACAACATTTATTATTCACAATTTCTGTAGATGTAGAAACTGGGCTCAGCATGGATGAGTTCTGTGGCTCATGGTTTCTCACAGGCTGAAATCAAGTTGTTGGATGGAACTGTAGTCATCTCAAGGCCCAACTTCAATTCATTAGAAGCAAGGCCTTGGGTCAGCCAGAATATAATAATATCAGAAGGTGAGATTATGGTGGACATCTTAGAAAGTGTGTCTCTACCACGCATGGCCTTTGTTCACTGAACTACAGAATTGCCAAGAATATTTTTAAAACAAACACATTCAACATTACAAAGGGCAAGAGAACAGGAAAAAAGAAAATCCCTACTCAGCTTTGAAGTCATGAGATGGCCATAAAAATGGAAGAGTACAAGAAAAGGGCCTTTGAAAATTAAATATATATGATTGAAGTGAAAAAATAAAACACTTAACTGTACTTTTAGAAAATTAAACAATGAGGCAAAAACCTGAGAACAAAGGAATGTAAGAAATTCAGAGGACTGGTAAAATGGCCAAAATATTAGAAGTATTATTATTCTAAAATAATTCCAGAAATGCAAGAAATAAAACTGTCAAATAATTGAAATAAAACATCTAAAAATGAAGGGCTCAAGCTTGCATAAAGAAAGCCAATACCCCATACCAAGTGATCAGGAAAATTGGTAAAAATAAACTTACCCAAAGGCACATGGACATGATATTTCAGAACAATAATGAAAAAGAGAAGACGCTATTAGTTTCCAGAAAGAGAGAGACAAACATAACAAAATAAAGAAAGAAATGTGGAAAGAGTCAGAATCAGTAACACTTTACAGCAAGACTGGAAAATAGACCACAATGGAGCAATGTCTTCAAAATGCAGAAAAAAAAAATAGTTTAAACCTTGACTCTTTCATCCAGATGAATTATCAACACGTATGGAGATTGAATTCATTTATATTCTTAGTATTGCTCATTCAGCCTTTTTTAGGAAGGTACTGGTTGATATGCTGTATCAAAACATGAGTGTAAATCAAGAAGTAACAACACATTGGATTCAGAAAATGTATATGCAGCACTGAGATAAAAGAGAACAGAATTCTTAGAATATTGTCAAGGATGATCCCAAGATGAGATATGTACCTCACGCATGGAATGCAACCAACCAGTCCTAATTGAACAGATCAGAGGCTATTGGAGATATTTCTATAAAAGGATAAAATTGATGGAATGCCTGGTACATATTAATGCGAGGAGAAACATCTAAGATCATTGGCAGATAATTTGGGGTTATTTTAGTGATAAGTGGAAAGAACCAGACAATTATTCAGGAAAAACAATATTTTAAGGAAATGACAAGCAATCATAAGTTAGATCTTGACTCACCTATCAATAGCATTCACATGGTAATAATGTGAATAGTTAATGTAGATGCAATAAAACTTTTGATAAGTAGGAGTGATGGAAAGACGGGAATGAATGGTTGTAGAGGGAAATGAAAGAAAATCAAGTTCTTATTTTTATTATTGCAAATTCAACAGATAATATATAAAATTGTAAGAAATAGAGATGCTAACATATGTATATAGTATTTAGAGATAGTGTTATATGCACAGATAATCAGCTAAAATGTTTGAAATTGTTGATTTTGGATATTTCTTTCAAAGTTAGGAACAATGAATCACTGTCTCAAAAACCATATAGAATTGTGTGATTCTTATATGCATGTATAACATTGATAAAATTAAAACTAAAACAAAAATAATATGGTTTGTGTGTTTTTTTAATATTTTGCAAATGCTTAACATATTATATGTAACATTCTTCAATTTGGTTTTTATATCTCAGCATTATATTTCCAGCTTCTATACATGTGAATAAATGTGTATATCTTTTGGTTATTTGTGTAGTTTTACACTATTCTGATCATACAGATTGATGCACAATTTAGTGATCCATTTTTTTTTTACTGTTGAATTGAAGGATTGTAAATAGGGACATTTTAATCTTAACTAAATATTGCCAAGTTGTTTCCTAAAATGCTTATAAACCTTTCAGTGGAAATATTTCAAGTTTGGCAAAAGATAAATATTGTTGCCCTTCCCTTCCCAAAGCAGGAAGTAGTTCAGCTTTGACAAATGTTTCTCAGTAAACTTTTCATTTACTTTATTGTTAAATTTTGATAGTGTCTTTTCTCTAAGGAGTATATGGGGTTTCATGTTTTTTCTATGCAACAATTAATGCAGGAGGACAGTGAAGCAAAGTCAATAGATTTTGTAGAAAAATAATTGTAATTCAAAAATGTTATTCTTAGCAAACATATGGTTCATATGTGTAGAAAACATCCAGAGCCATGCATAACTTCAAAAGTACAAAACCCTAATATATTTTCCTTTAAAAATTTCTGGAAGAATTGTTTTGTACCACAAAGAGATGAATGAAATATCAACTAAGGAAGGCTATTCAACAGGTAAAAACTAATATAAATGTATGAAAGCTCTAACTTATGTGGGGAGGGATAGGATGTTAGTGGATATAAATAACTGTTGTAATTATAACTCCAAAATAGAATGTTTAAGTCTAAACAATCTGGACAGACAAATTTATTTCTTTATGAAATTTATAACCTGAAGATATATTAAATATGAACTAAGAAAAATGCTGGGAAAGTAATATAAGGAAAACGAGTAAAAGAGTGTAAAAATAGTTTAATTTTAATATTAATGTAACCCATCTTTTTTAAATGAACATGTCAAAATATTTAAGTACTTGAATTGAAATCAGGACCCTATTTTAAAAATTACAGAAGAAAATAAGTCAGCAAAACAAAAGATGTAACAAAAACGAATCAAAAAAAACATAAAATTAAACTATACATTGGACCAAATACAATGTTATG
Source organism: Homo sapiens (assembly GCF_000001405.40). NCBI lineage: Eukaryota > Metazoa > Chordata > Mammalia > Primates > Hominidae > Homo > Homo sapiens. Next base: position 65,686,697 of record NC_000004.12, read on the forward strand.
GAAATAAATATAAACGATTAAATTCCTTGATTAAAAGTTAAGATACTCATGTCCTTTGTAGCGACATGGATGAAGCTGGAAGTCATCATTCTCAGCAAATGAACACAAGAACAGAAAACCAAACACTGCATGTTCTCACTCATAAGTGGGAGTTGAAGAGTGAGAACACACGGACACAGGGAGGGGAACATCACACACCAGGGCATGTCGCAGGATTGGGGGCAAGGGGAGAGACAGCATGAGGACAAAGACCTAATGCATGCAGGGCTTAAAAACTAGATGACGGGTTGACAGGTGCAGCAAACCACCATGGCACATGTGTATCTACGTAACAAACCTGCGCATTCTGCACATGTATCCCAGAACTTAAAAAAAAAAAAAAAAGTTAAGATACTCAAGCTGAGTAACAGGGAAAAGCTATTTAGTATTGTTGGTTCATGCATGATCTCACCCAGAAAATGACCTTTCAAACAAAACCTGATGGATAGAAAATTTTTTAATTATTTAGATAATATTTGAAGGGATAGAGAGAAAAATACATGAATGTGTCAACAATGAGATAAAATGAAATATCCTTTGACTTCTCTGTCTGTGGAGTTTCTTCTCATTTTTCAATGATCTGCTCAAATATAACTTCTTATTTAAGTATTTACCAATAGGCCACAATCTTAAAGACTGAATTGTCAGGGGCAGGGGAGATGTTCGTCAAAGGGTACAAGGTTTCAGTTACACAGGATAAATAAGTTTGGCACTGTGAGTATAGTTAATAATAATGTATTATGTACTTGGAAATTGCTAAGAGAGTAGGTCTTAAATGTTCTCCCCACAAAAAAATAAGAAATATGTGCTGAGGATTATGTTAATTAGCTTTATTTAACCATTGCACAATGCATACATATCAAAACATCCTATTGAACACCATGAATATATACAATTTTTGTCAATTATATCTTAATAAAAAATGAATGAATGACTCTCTACTCTTGTGTATTTTTATTACTTCCAAGGGAACAGTTGGACTTGGTGGTTCCAATGATCTTCCTTTACTTCATGAAGTCTTTAGTGGCAGAAAATTTGTGCTAGTCATATTTGTTGACAGTGTCATTTCTAGAATAATCTGAAATGTGTTATGTATTCAAATCATATTTATGAATTGACCTGAAATGATTTTAATATTATCTGTCTCACAATTCATAAGCAGGTAACTTTTCATAAATTATCACACTTTGTAATTTTGTTATAACCACTCTATATTAGAATTATGACTAACTCATACACCCTTGAATGTGTTAGGAATATTTTCAAAGTCTAAGATCATGGTATATTAACTTGCAAAACACTGAAAATAAAATGGTGATTTTTAAAGTATTTTTGCATTTAGAAGACATACATATTTTTAGTCTAGCAACACAAAAATATATCAAAATTATTTATTTATATAAATACATACATTAATGCATTTTCCCCCATTTTCTGCTCTTTTCCACATTCTTACTAAACATTCTTTTACATGTTCTATTTTAGAACAGTAGCAAAATTGGGAAAGAAGACATAATTTGAGACAAACTGCTTCATATTTCTAGCATTACTTTAAGGAAATCATGGAAGTCGCTATAATATCAAGAATTAAATTTGGATCTAGGTTTATGTTGAGTTTTTTTCTCTTGAGTGGAATAGTTTTTTTCTTCCAGCTTAATGAAAAAGTTTTGATGGTATCCTAGGTGTCAATTTCATTTAGAAGTCTAAATTAAAAAACAAAAAACAAACCTTGTTTTAGTTATAAGTCATTTAAATCGGTTTCACTATTTTACTTAAGTAAAAAGCAGCTTTTAGTTAACATATTTTGGAGAGACATACATTAAATTTCTAATAAAACTGTATACCTATTTTACATATGTATAATTGGTATTCAAATTTGCACACAACTACTGCTAAAATTGCTATAATTGTGTTTGCAAGTGTGGCTGAGAAAGCTCAATGCCTGAGGAAGAGCCATTTTCACGATTTTTTACAATTCTTTCCTATAGCTTTTTATAGAACTGAATTGTCTTACTGTTTTCTAGTTAGTTTCAGCTTCCACCTTATAGTCCGGCGTGCTTACATCTTCCCTAACTTGGAAACTGCTAATTAGTGAAGACAAATCTATCTGTTTATTGCAGTTCTTTTCAGGTGTTTAGGTGTTCTAAGTTGTGTGAATTTTGCTTTGAGTTGTATTGCACTTTCTTTGTATCCTTTCTGTCTGTGTGCAGTTCTCAGATCTGAAATAAGGAACTCTATTGAAAGACATTTTAGGTGCCCACTGATTACATTGGAACACAATAATATTTCAAGTCATGGATCTTTTAGGAATTAAGTGTCTATAATTTGGTTTGCAGTGGAAGGAAAATATTCATTGTTCAATGTTCATTGACCTAAAGCATATAAATTAATGGCAATATTATTGCTAAACAGAATGCCTACCTAGCTCTATAGGACACACACATAAAATCTTTAATGCAAAATCTGTATTTGTGAATGAATTGATGAAGATATCTGTGGCCAGCTTGTGAAACTGGGAAAGATTTGTTTGTTTCTGCAGTCCTCTGCTTCTCTGCGGTAAGAATGCCTGCTTGAAACAAAAATGTGTTCAGTTCACAACTCAAATACTTCGGAAGTTCTGTTGGAATTTACATTGACTAGGAATGTTGCTGGGAAACCACTCATTCTAAAAGAAAATTGTGTCTAATTACATACTTTTTCCCAACATTTATGTTATGTTGTTTTACAAGTCACTTCCTTAATTATTTACAAATAAATTATTATGAAATTTATAATATCACCTATACTATTGATAGATGTAGGGCAGCATGATTATATTGTTACAAGCATCATTAATAGTACACTGTTCCCAAACCTCACTGATTCTTCTCTTTTCTCATTTAGTGTCTTATAAAGAGAGGATATAATGTGATAAATTTCCAGACAGGCAATTAGTGACCTACTGTTCTTTCTATCATATGGAAAAGTTAACACAACCTTTTTCTATAGACCTATTGCCCCACAGTTTTTTTTGATAACACACTCTATCAATCATTGAAATATTTTGGACAAATATTTCAACACGTTTATTTATTTATGAAATGTGTAATTCTGCTTCTTTACTTATGGATTATATACTTTGTAAACCATCACAAAATACAGATGAGTTAATGATTATTGAGAATTATTTTAATTAATATGTGCAATTATACTTCAAATGATCATTTTGATGACTTAGAAAAAATCTTGCTGACCTCTTATCCTTTCAATTTAGACTGTCATCGCTTTTGTCTTATAGTGTGGCCTATAAAAATAATGAATTTGGTTTATAAATATCAGTGCTACAAATTTTTGATGGTTGATTTTATGTGAATTATTAAATCTTATATTATTTTTAATACATGTTTATTTGGCAGAAATATTTGTAAGCAACTCGTATAGTTTGTGAGTTTGCTTAATTAAAACTATAAATCATAGTGTGTAAGTCCACTCAACTATGCACATGCAAACTTCAAGAAGTCACCAAATGCTTAGGAAAATAAAAGATTAAGTGTGACACTGTCAGTTTCTCCAGGATGTGGAGCTTCTACACTTTACACAAGACACATTGCATGCCATCTGTGACATGCTGACCACTCAAAAAGGGATGAAGCAGGGAACCTATGTCTGTATATTCAAACACTCCAAAGAATTTACAAATAGCCTCCTTAGACCAGTTGTCTTCTAACTGGAGTATACATACCCTGGGGTTATAAGATAAAAGCACAGATGGTTTTAAGGAAATTAATTTTCCAATCCTCACTTCTGTATATATTATAAGACTGATAAGGCTTCTGAATCAGGCAACTCCTTTCCTTTCTCTTTCTCAATTAAGATTATTCCCACTTTATACCAAAAAGGAATACTTCTCATCTATTCAATGGCTAATTACTTTGTATTGTGCCAAGCTGTAAATTTTTCCAGTGTTTTACACACACACACACACACACAATCATACACAGATGCACACAGGATAAACCAGATATTGATGTCAGAATTGGGAAAATGAATAATTCTGATGACTAGAAAACAAATGCTTTTTCAGGTGTTTTTTAAATCACACTTTTCAACAAAATTGAAGGAGAACCAAATTTAGTGATTTAATAATTTTATCAGAGACAGTTCATTAAATGTATTTTAATGGGAAATCAGCAACGATTTTTGGTACAAAACTCAGGGTTTAAGGATTCGGTTACATGCTTATCACAAATACTTTTGTTCTATCTATTTACTTATATGAATATAGATTCTTCATGCTCAGACCTATTTTTTCATAAAGAAATGGAATGGATGTTGCACTCTGCATTGTTCTCATGATAAATAAAATTCATCTATGGATACATGATAGAAGATCTTTGATCAACTGTATGTTACTTTTATGTGTAATAGGAAAGACATGTCAAGCTAGAATAACTTTTTAAAAACTCTTTACTTTTTACTATCTTATGCTCCTAGGAAATTTTAAAAAATGATTTTAAATTTAAACATATATTTTATATCATAGAGAAGCAATGAAAGAGTTTAAACAAAATATTTAAGTGTATTATATACAGTCATTTGAAAATCCTATGGAGGAATTGGGATTTAATTTTGATCTAAAGACAAAAACAAACATGTGCAACTCATGTATTTTAAATCTGTGGTGCTGTGTGTTGAGTGTCATTGATAGTTAGATCCCATTGGATGTGATTAAAGGACTGACATAATATGTCCACTTTTAAATACGAGTATTTAAAAGAAGCAAAATTTCAATGTCTTAGCCACTTTAAACTGTTACAATTTAATCATCAACCTGGAAACTTTTTGAGACCACTTATTTTATTCTGAATTCTTATGGTAGTATATAAGGAAAATGCATGCTTGTAAAAATCACTGCTTTAGATTAACATCATTAAAACATCAATCTATATTAGAACTTACTAATGATAAGATCAAATCAGGCGGGGCTTGGTGGCTCATGCCTGTAATCCCAGCACTTTGGGAGGCCGAGGCAGGCGGATCACGAGGTCAGGAGATCGAGACCATTCTGGCTAACATGGTGAAACCCCATCTCTACTAAAAATACAAAAAAATTAGCCGGGCGTGGTGGCAGGCGCCTGTAGTCCCAGCTACAGGAGGTTGAGGCAGGAGAATGGCGTGAACCCAGGAGGCAGAGCTTGCAGTGAGCCGAGATGGTGCCACTGCACTCCAGCCTGGATGACAGAGCGAGACTCCGTCTCAAAAAAAAAAAAAAAAAAATCATATTTTAACCATTACGTAAGTGTACTTGTATATTGTAATGGAGAGAGAGAGAGAGAGAAAGATAGCGTGTATGAATATGAGAGAATGACAGAAGATTTAAAACCAATAGTTATTTTACTGGAATAGGTTTAATTACTGGTATTCTTGAATGCAATCAACAGTAATTCTGTGTTGTGTTTTCTAGATTAGAAGAATTGCTGCTATCTAATGCATCATGTGTTTGAGAATAGACTTCTATGTCAAAGTAAATTTTTTAAAGTATAATTGCTTTATTATAATTACTATTACTGCTGCTATTACTATGATGAATTATGTTAGGGCACAGGAAATTTAACTAATTTTTCATGGGTCATTATACAGCACTGTCCATTGGTCACATTTGTAAGGCCATATGTGATTTTAACATCCTTTCTGGACTTAAAACTATTACATTATCTGGAAAGAATATTATTATATATTTAAAAATTCTGCTTTCATTGATGCTTCTAAATAGTTTCAGATACCAAATTGCTGTTTTCATAACATCTCTGCTTTAAATTGAAAAAAAAGACTTCTCAACTTAAGTTCTCTTTGCTTCTAGTTGGTAAGAAACAAAGTTTTTCAATAAACAAAAATTACACAGATGAATACACATATTGCATTTTAGAATGAAGACATAATGTAACAGCATTATTCACTTAGGGAACATAGAAAAAATAAGTGATTAAAATAATCCTATTATCCAAATGTCATGATCTACACTGATTTACTCTATGAAAGGATAGAAAATCAGAAAATTTAAAAATCAATTCAAAAGTTAATACATTAATAAAAGTAAGATCATTTTATTATACTTTGCCCCAATGATGTTCAAAATGTTATTTATAATAATGATGACTTTTTTGGTTATATTATAACAGAAATATTAAAATAAGAGAAATAGTGTCTATATTGTATATTTTATGTTTTCTTTGTGCCACTTATTTTGTATATGCTGTTCTTTTTAATATTTATAATATTTTGACTATATTTTCTTTGTGCTACTTATATCTAATGTGTGTGCATATCTCTGACTGTATTTTCTCTCTTTTTTGTTTGTTTGTTCCTGGTCACACAAATGGACTACGGTTGCCAGGCATTTTTAGTGATGTGTGGCCTCACCACTTAAATCCAGTTTATTGAATCTGAAGTGATTTGCTCCTCTTTCTGGACTACACAATAAACACCCTCCAACGTCCCCAGCCATGCTCTTCCCATCATTTGGCTGAAAGGGGAGGAATTCAAGGCCTTAGAGTGGGGAAGCTACAATTTGGAAGAATCCTGGAAGCACAGATTACCCTGTGAAGCAGCATCCCCATGAGGGTCTCTTTCTTCTGTGATATAAGCAAGAAATAAATGAATTGTGCAAATCCAGTGAGATTTAGTCATCTCTGTGTTAAATCAGTTAGCTACTCTGGCTCATACATCATCTTCTGGCTGCTTTTGACTCATAGCTTGGTTAAGATGAGGTTATCTAAGGTGTTCATCATTTCAAACCGTCCTTCTTAATATTGCCAAGATAATTTTTACGTCAAACAGCCATTTAATGGCAGCTTATTTCTAAATTATTCCTATCTTTCACAGTCTTAATATAGTTCACATTATGACCCTAACTCCATTGATATTTTATTTTTATTTTTATTATTTATTTATTATTTATCTATCTATTTTTGAGACAGTCTCACTCTATCATCCAGGCTGGAGTGCAATGGTGTGATCTCGGCTCACTGCATCCTTGGCCTCCTGAGTTTAAGTGATTCTCCTGCCTCAGCCTCCTAAGTAGCTGGGAATACAGGCACCTACCATCATGCCTGGTTAATTTTTGTATTTTTGTAGAGACAGGGTTCGCTATGTTTCCCAGGCTGGTCTCGAACTCCTGGGCCCAAGTGCTCTGCCTGCCTCGGCCTCCTAAAGTACTGGGATTAGAGGCATGAGATACCTCACCCAGCCACCCTTGATATTTTAATAAGTTTGTTTTATTTATTTTATTTTTCATGTTTATCTCATCATTGAGCCACTGCTTCTCTCTCTCTCTCTCTCTCTCAGCCTCCCCCCTGCCCCCCCCCTCCCCATACACACACAAATCTCAACATTCCTTCCAGATCATAGTAAAGTTCACATTCTCTCTAAGCCTTTACTGGCTATCTCCATCCTCTTTACATTTCCGGCCCTCTACATGAAGCCCCCATCTCATCTCCTACCATGTTGTCCCCTTCACATTGTCCTTCATGCTCTGTTTCCAACACACCAAGTTGTTTCCCTTAGGATGCCAGCACTTATTTACCCATTTTCTCAAGACGCTCTTAACCTAAAACCCCTTATAGTTTGCACTCTCATGTCATTCAAATTTCTTATTGCCATTTCTTGGAATTTCAATAGCCCTATTTTAAATAGTATTCCCACAGGCTGTTATGCTGCATCTCTTTATCGTGCTTTGCTTTTTTCTAGTGCTTACAACTATCTGATATTGGTATGTCTGTTTATTTAATTTTATGTTCCCTTCCGTAGAATGTAAATTCGCTCAGAGAAGGGGATTGGTCTGTTCTGCACTATGTGTTCACTGTCCAAAGCAGTTTCTGCCCTATAATTGGGGCTCAGTAAAAATCTGTTTAATAAACAGATGAATCAATAAGTGTACCCTTCTGAAAAACTATGTTAATGATGATGAAAACCAAAATCAAGAGTTTCAGATATTTTTCCTATTTGTTACCTCATTTGAGTCTGTTTCTCTCTCTCCCTCCTTCCCTATTTCTCCTTCACATATTACATTCTTTAAACATGTAGATAGTGAGGCTTAAAATTACCCTACCCTGTTAGAACATTGCAGTGGCAAAGGAAGAATCCATACATTTTTACTCCTGAGTATGATACCACGACAATATGCACACAACACCAGTTTGTAGATTCAGTCTTAAATATAATACCTAGTCATTACCTCTTAGTGTTTCACCAATATTTTAATATTTGATATTGTTATAACTAGATTATAAATATTTTAAAAGAAAAGATCATAGATTAGCATTATAGTAAGAGGTTGCATTTGCTCAAATAGTTCCATTGATTTACTTACCTATTGATTTTTGTTCAGAAAATAAATTCTAGTTTAATGTAGTATCATTTAAAGTCTTACTTTAAATGTAACATGGCTTCCTGCTTATATAGAATATATGTTCTACAAATAAAGTACTATTTTCTAGGCTTTTAAAAATAATAAACACATAATGAAATAATAGTAATGTCTTATGCTTGGTGGACAGCAATAACAACCATAAATCTCTTTTCTTGGCAATTCTCCTTAGTCTGAAGTGAATACTGTTTTGATAAATTAATTGAATAAATAAATGACTAAAATGAATTTTATCATGTCATTTCTTTCAAGTGACACACCATGTGCCACAAAATGCTGCTACCTTTCACACATTGGGTGTCCTTTATATTTGGACATATTTTTTGCTCATGCAAAATGTTCTCAAATAGTTGTAAAGCAGAAAGAAGAATAATTTAACATCATGGTAATAATTTATGCTGCATTTTTTCTAAAACAAAGAAAAAGCAATCTTTTCTCCACTGCCATATAAGCTATGTATAGGATTTGCATCAAAATATAATGTTTGCACTGATACACAATTGTAAGCCCTCTTAGGGACTGGCCTGTTTGAGGTTTCTTGCATACTTTTACATTTTGCCTTTGGATTGCAGACGAAGCTGAAAAATGTGTGTGTAGATCTTGTTCTTTCTGACTCTTTCTTTGGGATGGCTTCTTTAACTGGATTTTGCCTAGTGTATTACTTACTATATTTTATCCATTCAAGATATTTTCCAATCAGCTCCTTTAAAAGGAAAAAAGTGACTATTTATATATTTTTCTTAATCTTTGATTTTAATTATTAACTTCACGAGGTATTTTCAACTTAATCAGAAGCCATTCCTAAATCACTTTTCTAAGGAAGCACACTCTTTTGCTAGCATCCTCTGCCATTGCCTTTTTTATTTCTCTTCACAGCTCTGAAGTCACCTATTTAAGTGTTTTATGCATTTGCTTACTCTCTGCCTTCCTCCTCTGTCATAAGCTTCATGAAACCAGGTACTTTTATCACAGCTTTTGAAATTATTATGTCCCTATATCCTGGCACATAGTGTGATTAATCAATATTTATTGAATGAGTGAATGGATGGATGGCTGAATTCATATTTTAATTCTAATTCATTATATCCCAGGAGAAGTTTTTGGCACAGAACATTAACTAGACTAAATTTACCCACTTTCAAATACATTTATCACACTTTTTTGCTATATATTAATAGATTTTAAATACAAAATAAAAACTGTGTTCATATATTAGAAAAAGTGAGTTCAAAAGTAGAGTACTTTTAATCCGACAACTGTTCTCCAATTATTTAATTGTCCAATCTTACTATTTAAATATAAATGAAATAACTAATTCAGTTTTTATATTCCTTCAAGTCAAAAGTCATAGTTTATTCCTGCCCTGTCACGTACCTTTCTGGCAAATGTGCTTTGCGTTCTCATTTAGAAACACTGGCAACTTATTTTAAAGTAGTCTATTTGTTCCTTGCTAGTTAAATGTGCGAGACACAGAAATAGAACATTTTGTGATGGAACAGATGCTGTGGCAATGGTGAGTTTATATGAGGATGCTGATGACAGATGCCACATTACAGCATTAGCCAATTAAAAAAAAATTATGGGTATTACTATTTACAATTACTCAAAATGAGCTGGGCTGTGGGCAACCCCGAATGCACAGTCTCACTCTCATGTTCTGTAAGTGATCATGTATTATGGGTGGAATAAATATTTCAAGCTAATTTAAAGAGGTATAAAGACAAAGTTATTTTAAGGCAGGTAGCGTGAATCACTTCTGTTAGGTTTCCTCTTAGGGAAGCACTTTATTCTTTATGACAAGAAGAGAGAAACTAAAGACAAATAAAACTTACTTGGAACAGAATTCATCGACAATGGTTAAGTAACTGAAATATGAGACAAGCAGAAATACTTCAGAAGAGAAAATAAAAGTTATAATATTGATAAGCAAATTTACTGTATTTTATTATTATAGAATTATGTTCTATCCTATATTACTAAAAATAAATGTATAATTTTCTTAAATATTTTTAGTTGTAATAAAAGGTTATTTATTATGAGAGGACTTTGATTTATATATGTGAAATAATCAAATTGAACATCAATCAATACATTATTATCTATAATCACTATGTTGTACAATAGTTAATAATAATGGATTTTATACATGAAAATTCCTAAAAAAGAAAAGCAGATCTTAAGTGTTCTCATCACAAATAAGGGAGAAGTATGTGAAGTAATGAATATATTGATTAGCTTGATTTAATCATTTCACAATGTCTACATACATCCACATATGTTATTATACACTGTAAATATTTTTAAATTTTATTTGTAGGTTATTCCTTGTTAAACCTCAGAGAAAAAATCAGTAAGTATGTGAAGGTCATTTTACAGTCTGTCAATGTTCAGTTTGACCAGGTTTCCTATCTCTAGCACTGATTATTTCACAATAGAGGTAACTGAAATGAACAAAGTATATTTGCCTTATTCTATGCCAAGTTTGAGTGGGCCTAAACACAGACTCAGAGATGAGAACTTGGGTACAAGTAATATATGGAAGTGGTAATCTAGAAGGTACAAATATGAAAGTAGGGAAAGTGAAGCAGAAAAGTTTGTGTTAATGAAATTACTGCTGTAGGCTATTGTTGCTTAACCCTCTGTGGCCCCTTTGGGAAACTAGGTAGAAAAGTCTTCAGAACTATCCCTCCGAAGGAATGGAGGTCTTGCTCTTATTCATTGACCACTTCATTTTCCATGGTTTCAGCGTTGCCTGAGGGAAGGACATTAACTCTCCAAAACCTGTAATTTGTCCTTTTTTGAATTCAAGCAAGTCTCAAGGTGACAATAGTCCTCAGGCAGACAAGAAGGAATAAGGGTTTGAGATGAATGGCTACAGCTGAGAGTATGCTGGTAAGTGTCAAATGAAATTGCTCATGAATTCATTTGGGGATGGGGCATCAGCATCCTCTGCTCCAGTGACTTTTGTGTTTTTGTGATATGCATCAAAGTGACTCCAGGAATGTGTGTGTGTACATATGTGTGTGGTATATATTCTGCATGCTTGTGTGTATACTTTAATTTTGCCTTAATATAAACATTTCTTGAAAACATGTATTTCACTGCTAGTAAAGTTTTGAGAAATTAATGAGTTCAACACAAATGGTGGTATATGAGAATAGCTATTGATGTGTTAATTTTGTGACAATTAACATTTTCTTCTTATTGTAGAAGTACAATATTGTAGGAAAACTTCAAACTAGAGTTATTGGAAATATCATAACTGAACATAAATGTAGTTTTCCTCATAACTGTTTTTGTTCTGGTGCCTCCTAAATCTTTCTATACTACTCTGGAGAATTTTCTCTCCATTAGGATGAATATGATTAAGTTCATATTAAGTTAATTTCCTTATAGTTTAGCATTAAAAACTAGATTTTAATCTACCAATATAAAATTTAGAATTTCTTTTTAGGGTCTTTTATTTATTGTGAGGCAGTTCCTTTCCTTCCTTCCTTCCTTCCTTCCTTCCTTCCTTCCTTCCTTCCTTCCTTCCTCTCCTCCTATTCCTCCTCCTCCTTCTTCTCATTATTCTTGTCAAAGATCAGGGGAAAAAGAGAAAAAAATAACTTGCTACATTGATTTGGAACAAAAAAAAAGAATGAGTATAGCTTGAGCTGTGTCCAGATCTGCTTTCTGCCATCTCTAGAATACTTGCAGTCTAAGCTCATATAAATGCCACTGAGTGAAAGGAAAAGGTCAGGGGAAACTGGTGGCTGCCGCTTTGTTCAACTTCTAGTCATACTAATCTGTGTACAGCCTATCCCTTGAGGCATCAAGCTCTTCCTTGAAATTCTCTGCTTCAGTTTCATTCATTTTCAGTAAAAGAATATTTTCTGAAACTCTTAAGATATATTGAAGGTCAGAGGCAGAGCTAAACAGGTGATGCCACTGGGTCTTTTGCAATAATAAATACAAACTTACTATTGGCATTGGGATTTTCTCATATATTTTTTCTTTCTTTTTAATATCATTAGTATAAAGAAAAAGTAACGATATTCTTTCTATGCTCCTCAAAATCAATAGGATAATCACCTTTTCTAAGCAATTAAAAGCTTCCAATCAAATAATCAATGTTTATAGAATTTTTGAAAATCACCAATGGTTCCCAAAAACACATTAGAGGTATGAGTAGCTGTTACAGATTTAGTGTGTATGTCCCGATGATCCCTTTTCTATCATTGCCAGTCCCCACGTCTTGCTATATTATATTTAGAGCAAGTCTTGTGCCCAAAGTTTATATGCAAGGAATTGGAAGAAATCTTATTATACTGCCAGCCAAATAATTGGGACTAGAAATTAAATTTTGAAGAGCTAGACATTCTACCTACAATGAGCAGCCGTGAAAGAACTAAGTCTGAGCTATCGTCCTGAGTGTCAAAGTTATAGAATTAAAGTACAAATACAAATTCCCCAGGAAGTAGCAGGTCTAAAAAGGCTAAAATTACAAAATAATCAGAATATGCCAGTATTAAGTTAAAGTGGTACCTGGGCCATCGCCAAGAAAGGATTTATAGGATGTATCACTTACTTTTTTCAGTTACCTAACATGCCGACTTATCACCTTAGTTTAAGGCAGCAGGAGAAACAGAGGTGGCAAATTTGAGAGATTCAAATAATTCATGAAAAAATGTGAGAATTTTAGGAATTTGATATCATTTTGAAATCCAATGAATAAATTGACACAACAATTTTACTCATAGTCATGGAGTTTCTATCTCAGGGAGACTATGCTTTTTTCCTTTTTGTAGCCTACATTTGCCTTCCTGAACATATCTCTTAAAGATATTGACCTGAAAGGAAGACTGAGCAGAGTTTGTGCCTTTCTGGTATTCACAGTTCCAGAGCCCAGTGTTCTTCCTTAGATGATGAGATTCAGTCAAACATTTTTCTGCAGTACAGTGTTGCTCTCACAGAAGAACACAATCTCTGCTCGTAGCTTTTATTGTAAAATTGTTCTTAAGCTCTAAGAGTGAGTGTCCAAGAGCTGCAAAGTGTCTACATCGATAAAGATCATATTTGGATTAAAATTTGAAGCTGTAACTTAAGGTTGTTATAGTTTCTATAGTGTAAAACATAGCAAATAAAATGTCTTTTTTTTGAGACAGAGTTTCACTCTTGTTGCCCAGGCTGGAGTGCAATGGCGCGATCTCGGCTCACAACAACCTCCGCCTCCTGGGTTCAAGCAATTCTCCTGCCTCAGCCTCCCGAGTAGCTGAGATTACAGGCATGTGCCAACAAGCCCGGCTAATTTTGTATTTTTAGTAGAGACGTGGTTTCTCCATGTTGATCAGGCTGGTCTTGAACTCCGGACCTCAGGTGATCCACCTCCCTCAGCCTCCCAAAGTGCTGGGATTACAGGTGTGAGCCACCGCGTCTGGCAAATGTCTTAATAAATACTAAACCTATGGACTAATAGAAATGGTTTAATAATCCATAAATGACACAATAATAACAAACAACATTTTAAATAAATTTAAATATGGAGATCGATTTTAATGAGAAAAAATAGACTTATTGGAGAAATCAAATGTGTCAAGTTTGAAACTGTAAATATATACCAATAAAATAGAAATTTAGCACATCCACTACATATCATTGTAATGGTTAATTTCATGTGTCAGTAGGCTACAGTGCACATATGTCTGGTCAAACACCAGTCTTAAAGTTCCTATGAAGGCATTTTTAATGGAATTAGCATTTCAATAGGAAGACTTTGAATAAACAGATCACTCTCCATAATGTGGATGGGCCTTATCTAATCTGTTGAAGGCCTAAGAAGAAAAGACTGAGGTGCCCCAAGGAAAAATGGAATTCTGTCTCCATACTGCCTTCAGAGGTGAGCCGCAGCATCGACTCTTCTCTGGATCTGTAGCCTGACAGCCTGACCTGTAGATTTCGTACTTACCAGTAATCACAGCTGTGTGAGCCAAATCTTTAAAATAAATTCTGTCTTTATTTTGCTGTCTCATATATATATATATGGGATATATATATTATATATATCAGATATATATATTATATATATATATATCCCATTAATTCTGTTTCTCTGGAGAATCCTGACTAATAGGATCACCATTATGTGTCATGACAGTAAAATAATTGGAGCTAGAACTTCAGAGAGGCACTGTGGCATGGGGAAAGAGTCAATAGACCACAGTATAAATTCTGCTTGTATTTTACTACTTGTATGTCTTTGAGCATTTAATTAGCCTTCAGAGTATTGATTACTTTATCCATAAAATGAAATGGGAGGTAAGAAGTTGGGAATAAGTGCTCCGAGTCATGTTTCAAGGACAGACTGGTAAAAAATTACATGAGAGTTCCTAGGATAGTGATTTTACATAGTAAGTGTTTAGATGCCATCTCTTTCCTTTATGATAGGGAGAAAACACAAACACAAATTATCTTGTTAAAATCATTGATTGTAGTATATCTCAGGAGATCAAAACTTTTTAGTATTCTAAAGGTGTTCTTAAATTATTAGCAACAGTCAGTAATTTCAGTGGTAAGTAGTAGAAATTCAGTTAAGCAGTAAACTATTATATCATTTTGATTGTGGCAAATTGAATAAATAAACACCAATGATTTGATAGTGAAGGTGAAGATAAAAAATTGAAAGGAATCTCTTTACAAAATAATGAGAACTAATAAATGATAAAGTTTGAAAATTCCCATTTTTTAACACTCCATGTTATAACCTATTCAAACATATAATCAGTGAATTGTAAAATCATTACATGAAATATTTTAGAGAACAAGATATGAACAGGGTGTTCATGTATCTATCCACACATTAATTATTCATTGTAAATTTTAAAAAATGCACATTAAAAAAGTGGCCAAACTCAGGAATACTCACAGAATTATATCCTTACATCATGGTTTTTCCAATGCGGTGCAATATAAAATAGTAAAGATTACCTATAAAATATTAATTCACAAAATGTTTAGTCTGCATCTATTCCAGCCTCAAGCCCTAACGTTCACTTACAGGAAATAAGAAGATAAAAGAACAAGGCCAACATCACAATGAGGAAACAATCACACATATTCAAAATGTTGGACATTCTCCAAGATAACCAGGGTGGAATAATCAATGTCATTTGAAAAAATGAGCAGACTATTTCATATCAGAAAAAGACTATGAAAGAATAAAGGAATGTAAGTAGCTTACCAAATAGATAAAATTTTATATTATTAATAGTAGAATTATTCAATAATTTGGAGAAGAAAACTAATGTGCTTTTTCAGAAATGTCATTCTTACAGCAATTTGGAAAAGTGATATATTTGTTTGGCAGTAGTGCTGTGTCTGAGAGAAGTGCAGGGCCTAAATTAAGTCTACATTAGGAGCCATTACGTTGTGGGACCTTAGATTTGGTGACTGATTAAATGTGATTTCTGAAGGAGTGTGTGAAACATCCTTGAATCTGCCTTAAATTATACTATCATATAGACACGAAATACAGTGAGTGGCATGATCATAGCAGGGGAAGTAGGGGAACAAAAACAGAGACACTGTGGCCATGTTAACCAAAGGTGGTAACTTCAACAGAGCAGTTTCTACACACCTTCCATTACACCTTATACATATGCTTACTGATAATACTGATTATGCTTCATTGCAGAATTCTTAGTAGACTTGAATTAAGTAGATTTTTAACTAAAATTTATAGGCTGACCCAGTTTCCTTTGCTCATGCTCAGTTTTGGAGACTTATCTACACTACTGAGATGCAGCCATTGGAACATGTTCCAGGTTTTACTAGACTATTCAAATATTGGCACAGACATTCCAATGAGACCACATTCATCCACATATGTCATTGTGGACAGCATGTTATTTAACCATTTTACTAATGATTATTGAATGGGTAGAAAGAGTCAAGTATACCAGAGATATAGTATTTATTCTCATTAAGAAATTTGTATTCTATAGTACTTGACCAAAAGCCATGGGACAACTGCACACACACACACACACACACACGTACTAAATTCTAAGGTGCTACTGATTGTAACACATATGGTTATTTTATATAATACAGTGAAAATAAGAATTATCAAATTATGCATAATTTAAAAATGCATCTCAAAGTTCAGTAATACCATACATCCATTTAAATACATCCATTTAAAAATGCATCTCTAAGTCCAGTAATACCATATTGGGGGATTTAATGTGTCCTGATATAGACAAAATGCTTTGTTTCAATATAGTGCATATCACTGTTTTAACACAGTGGGTTGACCACATTAATTGAAATAAGGGGATTAGTAAGGCTTAACAGAAAGAAAATTGGCTAGTTCTACTCAAAGGATTAGAAGTTATCAGACCATGATCAAAAGAGGTTGCTTTTGTTTACCTGTTTGTTTTTTCATTTTGTCATCTTAGCTATTACTTCACAGAGATACCAGAACAAACAGGAGAAAGTACAATATTTATATCTGTATTTGATAGAATTTAGATTTGAGAATGGAGAGAGATGCAGAAATGTACATGTGGGTTTATGCAGACATTGAAGAGTCAAAATTCCTTCCAGTATTTGTATTGATTACATTCTGTAGGTTATGGATGGATCCTCACATAGGTTGAGTGGGCTAGACAAGACAATATTGCTTGAGCACTGGCCTGACAAGTGAGAAAGTGGAGAAGGAAACAAAGAAAAGCCTCAACAAACACATGGAAGCATGAAAGAAATGGCCTCTTTGGACCATTATCTATTTTAGTATTGCGGACTATATATTATAATGGTGGATGATTCTGAAAATGAGGCTAGGCAGTTAGGCAGAGTCATACCATGTAGGAATGTATGTCATCCTAAGGAATTGAACTTTATACTTTTAATTAATGTGTGGTTATTGCTTTTATTTTTATAAATAATAGCTTTTGTGATGATAAAAATAATACATTATCAATAAAAATAAGATTCTCAGTATAATATTTTCACCTATATAAGAGTATAAGGAAAAAGTTAAAAGTTATCTCAAATATACAACTCAGCTACACCACTGTTACCAATTTGAGAACTATTCTTTCCAATATTTCTCTGAGTAAGCAACACTAATACACACAGACACACACACACACACACGCATGCATAATTGCTCCATATCCTCTTTAATCTTAAGGAGTTTTTTAGGTAAGTACTGTATTTCATTTGTGTGTTATATATTATATATTAAAGTAAATATGTATGCTATATATCATATTATATATTTATTTATAATATAAAGATTATATTTATATGATTTATATATGAATGTAGATTCTAGAAGATACATGTGCTATGATTGAGGGTCTGCAATCTTTCACCATTATTGCTTTATTTATTATACCAAGGAACATGACAAATGTTTGCAATCTGACTTGACCATTTTTACTGTCTTTGCTGTGCTTGTTTTTTTATTGTTTTTCTTTCTTTTTTTAAATTCTCGGTTTTTGAATTTTCTTTTGAATATTTGCATTATTACATTTTTAAATTTTAGCATCCTAGTGAATATCTAACAACAGAATCATTATTATCTGCAAATGAAACTATTTTTCTATAAAATCGTCTTGTATAAGATACATATTTTCCCACAGAGGCTACATAATGTGTGCATGAAGTTTCAGATATATTTAATAGGCTATACTTGGTCACTCTGGAGATAATCTGTAAAAATAAGGCATAGTTTTTTGCTAGCAAAAAACAAAATAGAATGTGATCAACATTTCAAAAGGACTCTTACATGCTCTATTCAAGCACTACTGACAGTAAAAATAGCATGGTTACCAGCATGGAGACAGAACTCCCCAGTTATCTGATTCATCCATGTAGCACTTTATTATGTGCCAGGCCCTGTAGGGGTGCTCAATATTAATGGTGATGCCATTGTGGCAAGTGCATACTGATGACTTACAGCCTTTGAAATGTCATATATACTCATATCCACATGAAATCTATAAGTGTGTATTTAAAATACAAAGTCACATTTTTCAAGTAAACTTTGGAAAATGCAAAATAAAAAGCTGAACAGCCTCTACTGCAGTTGATGTTTTGGTCATACAGACAACATCTAATTTATTTATTTTGAATTGATTTTACTAGTTTATGATTTTATAATGTCATATGTTAATTTATTTACAGATCATAGCTGTGGTGCTGAGAACATAACCTACTCCCATTGGTTTCCAACAACTGAGACCTTGAACAGTGACTTCTTAGCTGTAAATCCCAGAATCTTCTGTTTCAAATCAATTCTTCAGGAAAAAGAGGACAAAATATAAACCCAAGTGGAGAGAGTACTAAAAGACACAAGATTTTTTTTTAGAGAATTTATCAATCTAATATGAGCAATTAATTATTTATGATGGTTCCTATGTTTCACAGAGAAGTTGAAGAAATAAGATTAGAACCATCTTATGGGCTCTGGGTAAGGCTCTGCAATCTTTCACCATTTTTGCTTTATTTATTATACCAAGTAGCATGACAGATGTTTGCAATTTGACTTGAACATTTTCATTGTCTTTGCTTTTTTTGTTTCTTTCTTTTTAAAAATCCATGGTTTTTTAATTTCCTTTTCAATATTTGCATCCTTTTATGGAATATAAGAGACCACTTATATGCACAAGAGTTATCTCTTGTGGGTCTCACTATTATTATCATCAAAATGCCTGAAATTACCTGTGAGGGAACATTATAAAGTAAATGATAAAGAAATAATTTAATGTTACACATTAGGTAACCTCTAGGAATATATGCTGGAACCATAGGAAGACATTGGGCAGGAAGAACAATAAAAATATTTGGATTGGAAGTAAAAATGCTAATCTACTTGTCAGAAAGGTCATGTCTACAGTCAACAACTGTTCAAATAGAAGCTTTAAAGCGAGGCTCAGCACACTTTTCTGTAGAGCCAGACAACAAATATCTCCGGCTTTGTGGTCCATATGGTCGACACTGCAACTACTAGAGTCTGCCATTGTAGCACGCAAACAGCCATAGACCATATGTGAATGAATGGTGTGGCTGTGTTCCAAAAGCCTTATTTACAAAAACAAGGGAAGTGTTAGACTTCTTCAGATCTTGGTGTGCTAGTCCTTGCTTTACACAACTAAGATGAGTGTGAACTATATTTCAAATAGAAGTGAGAGCCCCAAAGGTGGGCAAACCATTATAGTAAGATGGTCAAGTTGCCTAGGCAGGGGCAATTTAGACATCTAGACATCATAATTTTGAGTGAGCTATCAATTTATTCAGGCAGGTTTTCTAAGTCTTAGATTAAAGGGGTAGGTTGGAATTTAGGGTTAGATTCTACCTCACTGAGACAAAATGATACAAATAAAAAGTTCATGACAAGGATAGATAAAGACCGTGAACTTACTAGAACATACTAAGTACAGCTGCTCATAGCAACAAGGTTTATTTCAGATCTTACCTGTTGCTAGCACCATATATTACTCTAACATGCTTGCTCAATTTGCTGTCCCATGGAAAAAATAATTGGTTGAGAACTAGTCAGAAGAGTCTTTGTAACTACTTTAAGGACAAAAGTAATGTTGCTGTTGTGTCCTCAATATATATATACAATAGTGCCTGGAACACAATAGACATTTAGTGATCATTCCTTGTGTACCTAGAACTTGATACCTATTAAATATTTTTCTAGTAGAAGTTTGTAAATTAATACTACAGGATTTTTAGCATTTATTCTTTTATAATATTATATATAAAATTTTACTGATAGACAATGTCTTCCAGTTCTTTATACTATCCTTTGCCACTTTAATTCAAAAGCATATTAAATTATATTTTATATTAAAAATTTAATTCTAAGAGTAAGAATTACAGTTATAAAAATATCCCAGGTGATCAAAGATATGGAGCTATTGCCTAATGACAGACATTATAGTATAGTGGTGAATACAGAAATTTAATTTTTCATCTCCTCCTGTCACTCCCTCTTAAGACATTTTAGGGTCACCCTCCATGAGGTAGCAGATTCATTAGCTTCTACTTTAAATCCTGCCTCAGAGTAGAAATCAGTCAGCTCTGTTGAGGGAATTCCTGAGCAGAAAAAAATATCTTTCTAGGACATTAGAGAGCAATTGAGTATTTAAAGAGTCATTCAAAGAAGAACCTTCAGTAAGCATTAGAGTAAGCAACTTTACCTATATTTTTTAAAAAGGAGAGCTGAGTCAACTCAGGCAAAAGAAATTGAATATGTCATTTTAAAGAGTCTCAATATAACAGAAATGAAATGTGTCACTAATCCACCTTGCCAGCTTATACAGCTTTTGAGAGTGAAAGACTCTTAGTAATGACATTGATTATTATTAAATGTTAGTAGCTCAGTGTTGTAGAGAATATAAACAGCAGTATTTATAGACTCTTGGTAAAATGTATTTTAACTTTTTAAAGACATTGCAGAGTTGGCTATCTTCTCTAACACAACATATTGTAGAATTGTCATTTAATATTTCGTAGAACTAGCTAGAGCAACTATTCTTTCTTAAGTGGCACATGTTCATTTTCTGTATTTTCCTCATCTTTACCACCTGCTAGCAGTGTTTCAGGCAACAAAACAGCAGTGTTCTCACCAGACAGTATAGCCTCCTCCAAAATGGTAGCAATCCCAAAGATTCACAATAAAACAAAACCTTTAAGACTATGATAAATGGTTTTTATTTCTTTTTTAAAAACAGTTCTTCCTTTATTCTTTAATCTTTAAACACTGAGTTGAAATGGATGATTGAAAATATTATTTGGGGTATATTGTTGTACACATAAGAGAGTAAATTTTAAGAGCTGAATTAAATTTCTCACTCTACCTTTTCTTTCAGTTTATTTTTAAATATATATATTTGTAGAAGCAGTTATCTGCCATCCGGAAATTAATTCTCATTTTCTTGGATTATTTTATGGTGACTACTTTCTAAGTATTTTATCCTTTAGTGAACAAATGGTCTTTCTTTCCAGTTAGAAGGTGATCCTCAATAATTATGTTCTTTTCTTTAACCAAAACCTTGTTTCAATTATGACATTTTGTTGATATGTAAAAATTCTGAAGAAATAAAAGCAAAAAATATTGAATAATAATTTTGTTTAAACAACATATTTAGAATATTGAATGACCCTGTTTAAACAATATATTTAGAATGTCTTATTGGTAGAAAATGTCTTCATGAATTTTTCAATGGTTGATTTTTATAGGTATTGTACATTTTGTATCTTAAAGGAACATTAAACTTTAAATACAATTAAGAGAGAGGAATCTGTAAATTACCTTGGGCAGTATGGCCATTTTCACGATATTGATTCTTCCTACCCATGAGCATGGAATGTTCTTCCATTTGTTTGTATCCGCTTTTATTTCCTTGAGCAGTGGTTTGTAGTTCTCCTTGAAGAGGTCCTTCACATCCCTTGTAAGTTGGATTCCTAGGTATTTTATTCTCTTTGAAGCAATTGTGAATGGGAGTTCACTCATGATTTGGCTCTCTGTTTGTCTGTTGTTGGTGTATAGGAATGCTTGTGATTTTTGTACATTGATTTTGTATCCTGAGACTTTGCTGAAGTTGCTTATCAGCTTAAGGAGATTTTGGGCTGAGATGATGGGGTTTTCTAGATAAACAATCATGTCGTCTGCAAACAGGGACAATTTGACTTCCTCTTTTCCTAATTGAATACCCTTTATTTCCTTCTCCTGCCTGATTGCCCTGGCCAGAACTTCCAACACTATGTTGAATAGGAGCGGTGAGAGAGGGCATCCCTGTCTTGTGCCAGTTTTCAAAGGGAATGCTTCCAGTTTTTGCCCATTCAGTATGATATTGGCTGGTGGGGACTGTGGTGGGGAGGGGAGAGGGGGGAGGGATAGCATTGGGAGATATACCTAATGCTAGATGACGAGTTAGTGGGTGCAGCGCACCAGCATGGCACATGTATACATATGTAACTAACCTGCACAATGTGCACATGTACCCTAAAACTTAAAGTATAATTAAAAAAAAAAAAAAGAGAGAGGAAAAGGAAATGTTTAATCAAAATATAAAATATTTTAAATTGCTTCCTATAGTAGTAAGAAAATCAATAAAATTAATGATTAAACAGTTCAGAAGAACTAAACATTAATATCCATTTATAAGAAAGAAATGTGATGACAGATTAGGCTGAGTAGGATGTTATTCACTTACAATTTTAAAAATAAAACTGTGTAGGTGGGCTTTGTTATTTTACACCAATTTCACTAAAATGAAGTAGAGACTTGAATGGCTAACAATGTAAAAAATTACATGATAGTGCTTTCGTATTTTTGAAATGAGAAATAGTCAGAAAAAATATTTACAAGAGCAACCTTTAGAGTGTCCCAATATACATTTATGAGTTATCACGCTAATTTGCAAAATGTAAGAAAAAATTACAAAATAGACAACATAGTTTACCTGATAAATGTTCAATTTAATTGAATAAATTCATTTAAGCACTTCTGAAAGATATTGTGTTAAGTTTTGGGTATATAAAAATAAATTTTAAAATGCCTGACTTCAAGGAATTCACAATATATTATGAAGATAGACAAGTTAAACCAACTATTTCAATAAAGTGTGATCAATTTCCTAAAGAAAAGAATAAAATATCCTAAAAATCCAGAAAAGTGGTGGCCCAAAGTCAGCTTATGGTAGTAGTGAAAAAGTTTGGGAAAATTTTCTAAAGAAAATCAACTGAATAAAGTATTAAAGAGTAAATGACATTAATTCAAGCAAACAGGTTAGGCAGAAATATTCTAGTCCATACCAAAAAACGTTTCCCAACTAAATGCAGACATATATAGATCTACAAAATCATACATGTAGCATGTAGGTTTTTTTAAAAAAGACAGATGGTTAGCACCACCAGTATTAACCTGTGGTGTTATGTCTTTCACAAGATTTTTGAAATGAGGAGCACTCAACAGATGTGGGAGATAAGGAAATAATTTTGAGATATTACTGACAAATGAGGATTGTGACTTATTTTTTTAATTTACTCTGTTAACTTCCCAAAATTATGTAATATATTTTACATAGAAATAAATACTTTAAAAGGTCAATGGAGTTTAAGCTGTTGTTTAGCTCAAATAACCCTCTTACAGAGAGAAATGATAAAGTAGAAAATAAAAAAAAGTTTGAGTGCCATGTAGAGTGATGAAAGCTAGCAGAAGCTGAAGAGGAGTCTGCTCTTAAATAGAAATTAAAATAAGTGTGATATGTGAATTAACAGATTTTTGTTGGAAGTTACCCTCCAATGGAGTACTGTTACTGCAGTAGAAGACTATGGCCTTATTAACTTAAGAGTTTGGTACTGGGAAAGCAGTCAGAAATGTAGAGAAAAATATCTGGAAAAGAAGGAGTTGTATAAGAGATGAAAGCCCCCCAAAATGTATAAAAAGCGCACAAATCTTGATAAAACATTTAATTTTAATAATGAATGAAAAAGAGCATGGGGTCCTGACAAAATCCTAGATGCTCAAAACTGAAAAATCTGAGTGAAGATTTTAGTTGCTTCCCACAAAGGGGAAACACAGTTTATTATAACAAAATCCAGTGTTTGTATAATGTACAATTTGTAATGTTGAATCAAATATCACTAGAATGAAAAAAATTAAAATATGCCATTTTCACAGAGAAAAAAATGCAATCAATAAAAAACTTTCCTAAAATTTTCAAGACATTATAATCAGCAGTATCAAAGTTTTTATTAAAATATACTTCATGACTTAACACAAAATATGATTAATAAACAAATGAGGAATATCAACGGATTAGAACTAAAAAAAAAATCAAAGCAATGAAACTAAAAGTACAACTGAAATGAAAATTTCACTTCATGAAATTGATAAAAGATAGGAGGTAGCAAAATAAAAAGCATTAGTGAACTTGAATGCAGATCAATTAAAATATTGAATGTGAATAAAGAGAAATATTAAGTGCTCTAACATATGTATAATTGGAGTTCGATAGGAGAGGATAGAGACAATGGGGCAGAAAAATATTTGAATATATTAAACAAAAAGAAAAAAGCAAAAATTTGGAGGAAAAGCATCAAACTGTACATACGAACACCTCAACAAACCATGTCATTGTAAACTGTAGATATCAAAACATAAAGAACACCTAAAAGGGTCCAGACATAAATGACATATTACAAACACAGCTATTCAAATAATAGCTGACTTCTCATTAGGAAAAATATGATGGTTAGACTACAATAGAACCATAACCCTAATGTGCTGGGAGAAAACAGAAGGACAATAAAAGACAATTTAGGTAAACCAAAATCAAGACCATTCATTGCATTGAGACTTATGTACAGAAAATGCTAAAGGAAGTAACTCAGGATGAAGGAAATTACACTAGATTATAGCTTGATTATACATAAAGGGGTACAGTTGCAAAATGTTAATAGTATAAAAGACTAATATTTCTTCAAGTAAAATAAAGTAAAAAGGACTAGATGTATAATCTCATTTGAAACAACCAAAAATTGAAACTAAATAAATGAAACAACGAATCACATCCAGCAATGCAGAAGTGATCCCTTAGACATGGTAAAGAAATAAAATGAACTATACAATTGCCTCTGCTTGCTGTCTGAGAATGTAATTCAGGCAGAACTCAGCTATCTCGTTGAGGAGATAGATCTGAGAACTCAGATAATCCAAGGCAGCTAAGGTTCACAGTACAGAGTATGACAGAAGAGAAAGGCATACACATGCACACACACACATCCCAGCCCCCAAACACACACCCCACACAGGGCTCCAGGGTTCTGCAAAAGATTAGCAAAATACTAATTAATGAATACGTGTATGAAAAATATCTATTTCTAGTCACCAAAAAATGACTAGAAATAACAATCCTCAAAGCTCAGAGTGAGGAATATTGCCTGTTCTCAAAAGACAAAGTGGAGTACTTCTGAATTTATGAAGTTGCAGGTGGAGTACTAAGAAAGTTTTCCTCAGTAGTTTGTAAAATTAATATGAAAAACAGCTCCACTCCCTCCCACCTAGTAAAGTTAGAACTCAGTATCCACAATGGTCAAATCATTTCCAGGTAAGTTAATTGTGCCCTGGGAGAATGCTAAAAAATATTCATAGGAACACAAAAAATATCTAGACCAAGCAACGACAAATCCAAAATGGGTCTATCACCCAATAGAAAATTACCATGCACTCAAGAAGCAGAACATTCTGCCTGTAACTAAAAGAAAAAAAAAATCTATCAAAATAGTCCTAGAAATAATGCAGATGATAGAGTTAGACATTTAATACATAGCAAGAGAAAATATCACAAATGAAATACAGAATAAAAAAGACAGGAAAAAATCAGGGAATTATCAATGTGGGTGATAAAATTTCTAGTGAGATATAAAAATTTCCTGGAATAAATAACATGTTTTTATATTGATAAAGGGCCAGTTTCTCAGAAGGATATGACAGTCTTATTTTTTTTTTCACTTCTAATCCAACTTAAAAATTAATGAAGGGAAAACTTCCAGGAGAAATAAAGGAATCCACAAATACAGTTAGAGCTCTTAACACTCTGTCTCAATAGTTTATAAAACATTTATAACATCAGTAAATATGATATTATAAAACATTTATAATATCAGTGTTCTGGTTGACAGAACACTATCAACCAACTTGACCCAATGGACATTTGTACAACAGTCCACCCTATTACAACAGAATACACATTCTTTTCAAGTGTTTATAGGACATTTACAAAGACAAAACGTAATCTCTCAGCAAACATACCTCAATACATGTAAAAATGATTCAGGCCATACAAAGCAAATGTCTTCCAATGATGGAACTAAATACTAAAGAATTACAAAAGAGATATATGGAAAATCTCCAAATATTTTGAAACCAAATGACACATGTACATGTTATCTATGGGCCAAAGAAGAAATGTAAATGCATATTAGAAAGTAGTTTGAGCTGAATGAAAATGTAAATGAAATATGTCAAAACATATGGGAGGCTGTTAAAGAAAAAAAGAGGGAAATAATAAGGGGGAATTCTCAAATTAGAAAATAAATAATTTTCAAATCAGAGACTTCGGCTTCTACTTTAAGAAACTAACAAAAGGAGATCAATTTAAAGCCAAAGTATGCAGAAAAAAATAAGGTCAGAGCAGAAATCAAATAATTTAAACTTAGAAAAAATAAGTAAATGAAGCCAAAAACTGATTATATGAAAGATAAATAAAAATAATAATTATCTAGCTAGGCTGATCAGCCTCCAAAATGAAGAAATTACAAATTACCAGTATCAGATGTGAGCGAAATGCTATCACTTGAAATTCTAGACATTATAAAGAGAAAAGGCAACGTAAACAACTTTAGGTAAGTGAATTCGACCACTTAGTTTATGTCTTTTAAATACATAAACTAAAAAACGTTTTCCCAAGAAAAACCTTGTATCTCTGAAAGACATTGAGTTTTTAATTAAAAACTTTGCAGAAGAATACACAATGTTTTCACTTGGAGAATTCTACTAAACATTAAGCAATAAATAATATCATTTTTTAAAATAAAATCTTCCAGAAAATTTAAGAGAAATGATATACTCTATGTTGTTCTGTAAAACTATAATAGCATTTCTCTGATGCAAAAATCAGAAAAAAGTTGCACAAGGAAAGAAAACCATGAATCAATATTACTTGGAACACAGATGCTAAAGTTTTAAACATGATTTTAGCAACATAATACAGCAAATATAAAAAGGCTAATACATAATGCGTAAGTAAGATTTATCCACAGAAAGTAAGGTTAATTCAACGATTGGAAATCAATCACTATAATTTACCACACTAACAGGCAAACACTAGCAACAATGTCATATAATCTTTTCAATAGATGGAAAAAATGTCTGATACAATTCAACACCTATTTTTGAAAAAGAAAAAAAAAAAACTCTCGGCAAGGTAAGAGTAGAAGGAATCTTCCTCAGCCTGATAAGGGGTAATTACCAATAACCAAAGTTAACCTTATATCTCATAGTAAAAGACTGAATATTTCCCAATAAGATAAAAAAGAATCCAAGTGTATCCACTGTTAGCACTTCTACTGACCATTGTACTAGAGATTTTAGTTAGCACAATATGATAAGAAAAAAAAAACACATTCATATTAGAAAAGAAGTAAATCTATATTTGTAGATGACATAATCATCTCCAGAGATAATTTTATGGACCCTACACAAAAAGCTTCTGGCTAGGCAATGTGGCTTATGCCCATAATCCCAGCACTTTGGGAAGCCAAAGTAAGTCGAAACAAGCCTGGACAACATGGGGAAACCCCCTCTCTACTAAGAACACAAAAATTAGCTGGGTGTGTTGGTGTGCCTGTAGCCTCAACTAATCTACTCCGAAAGCTAAGGTGGGAGAATCACCTTAGCACCAGAAGCTGAGGCTTCAGTAAGCCAAGATCTTGCCACTGCACTCTAGGCTGGGCAATAGGAGTGAGACCAGGTCTCAAAGGAAAAAAAAAAATTGCTGAGGAGTGCTTTATTTCCAAAGATGTGGTCAATTTTGGAATAGGTGTGGTGTGGTGCTGAAAAGAATGTATATTCTGTTGATTTGGGGTGGAGAGTTCTGTAAATGTCTATTAGGTCTGCTTGATGCAGAGCTGAGTTCAATTCCTGGATATCCTTGTTAACTTTCTGTCTCGATCTATCTAATGTTGACAGTGGGGTGTTAAAGTCTCACGTTATTATTGTGTGGGAGTCTAAGTCTCTTTGTAGGTCTCTAAGGATTTGCTTTATGAATCTGGGTGCTCCTGTACTGGGTGCATATATATTTAGGATAGTTAGCTCTTCTTGTTGAATTGCAGATGACATGACTGCATATCTAGAAAACCCCATCATCTCAGCCCAAAATCTCCTTAAGCTGATAGGCAACTTCAGCAAAGTCTTAGTATACAAAATCAGTGTGCAAAAATCACAAGCATTATTACACACCAATAACAGAGAGCCAAATCATGAGTGAACTCCCATTCACAATTGCTTCAAAGAGAATGAAATACCTAGGAATCCAACTTACAAGGGATGTGAAGGACTTCTTCAAGGAGAACTACAAACCACTGCTCATTGAAATAAAAGAGGTTACAAACAAATGGAAGAACATTCCATGCTCATGGATAGGAAGAATCAATATTGTGAAAATGGCCATACTGCCCAAGGTAATTTATAGATTAAATGCCATCCCCATTAAGCTACCAATGATTTTCTTCATAGAATTGGAAAAAACTAACTTAAAGTTCATATGGAACCAAAAAGAGCCCACATTGCCAAGTCAATCCTAAGCCAAAAGAACAAAGCTGGAGGCATCATGCTACCTGACTTCAAACTATACCACAAGGCTACAGTAACCAAAACAGCATGGTACTGGTACCCAAACAGATATATAGACCAATGGAACAGAACAGAGCCCTCAGAAATAATGTCGCATATCTACAACCATCTTATCTTTGACAAACCTGACAAAAACAAGCAATGGGGAAAGGATTCCCTATTTAATAAATGGTGCTGGGAAAACTGGCCAGCCTTATTCAGAAAGCTGAAACTGGATCCCTTCCTTACACCTTATACAAAAATTAATTCAAGATGGATTAAAGACTTACATGTTAGACCTAAAACCATAAAAACCCTAGAAGAAAACCTAGGCAATACCATTCAGGACATAGGCATGGGCAAGGACTTCATGTCTAAAACACCAAAAGCAATGGCAACAAAAGCCAGAATTGACAAATGGGATCTAATGAAACTAAAGAGCTTCTGCACAGTGAAAGAAACTACCATCAGAGTGAACAGGCAACCTACAGAATGGGAGAAAATTTTTGCAGTCTACTTATCAGAAGGGCTAATATCCAGAATCTGCAATGAACTAAAACAAATTTACAAGAAAAAAACAAACAACCCCATCAACAAGTGGGCGAAGGATATGAACAGACACTTCTCAAAAGAAGACATTTATGCAGCCAAAAAACACATGAAAAAATGCTCATCATCACTGGCCACCAGAGAAATGCAAATCAAAACCACAATGAGATACCATCTCACACCAATTAGAATGGTGATCATTAAAAAGTCAGGAAACAACAGGTGCTGGAGAGGATGTGGAGAAATAGGGACAGTTTTACACTGTTGGTGGGACTGTAAACTAGTTCAACCATTGTGGAAGTCAGTGTGGCTATTCCTCAGGGATCTAGAACTAGAAATACCATTTGACCCAGCCATCCCATTACTGGGTATATACCCAAAGGATTATAAAACATGCTGCTATAAAGACACATGCACATGTATGTTTATTGTGGCACTATTCACAATAGCAAAGACTTGGAACCAACCCAAATGTCCAACAATGATAGACTAGATTAAGAAAATGTGGCACATATACACCATGGAATACTATGCAGCCATAAAAAAGGATGAGTTCACGTCCTTTGTAGGGACATGGATGAAGCTGGAAATCATCATTCTCAGCAAACTATCGCAAGGTCAAAAAACCAAACACCGCATGTTCTCACTCATAGGTGGGAAATGAACAATGAGAACACATGGACACAGGAAGGGGAACATCACACACCAGGGCCTGTTGTGGGGTGGGGAGAGGAGTTAGGGATAGCATTAGGAGATATACCTAATGTTAAATGACGAGATAATGGGTGCAGTACACCAACATGGCACATGTATACATATGTAACAAACCTGCACATTGTGCACATGTACCTTAAAACTTAAAGTGTAATTTAAAAAAAAAAAAACCACAATGAGAGACTATTAGACCCCCACCAGAAAGGTTGCAATTAGAAAGCTGACAACACTCGAATATCAGTGATGATGTGAAGACACCAAAACTCTCGTTCACTGCTGATAGGATTGTAAACAGTACAATCACTTTGGAAATTAAGGATTGGAAGTTCTTACAAAGATAAATATTTGATCCTCCAATGTCACTTCCAGGTATTTAACCAAGAAAATTTAATATCTTTGTCAACAGAATGATGCGTGTGCAAATGTTCAGAATAGCTTCATTCATAACAGCCAAAAACTATAAATAACTCATATTTCAATCATCAGGAGAATGAATAATTGATGTGTGATTTATTGATATAATTAATCAATATTATGCAGAACTCCCCTTCCTAAAATCAAAGCACAATAGATTACCTATTCATACAACAACATGGGTGAAAGTTGTAGAGATTATCTCGAGGCAATTAAGCTGGAAATAAAAAAGTACACACTTTATGATGCCATGTACATGAAGTTTTATAATATGTAAAACTGTCTCTTCGAAAAAAAAAAGAAACAGAATTATGGTTTTCTCTGGGCTCAAGAGCAAGTGACTGTCAAGGGACATGAGAAAGTATTTGAGGTGATGAAAGCAGTCTATATCTTTATAGGAAATGTTGGCTATATGTTGCCCATTTACCAAAACTATACATTTAATATCTGTGTATTTTATTTATGCAAATTTTATTTGAAAATTTGAGTGAGAGAGTGAGGAATGGGCAGAAGCATAAATTAAACAAGGATGATGATCACGAATGTTGATTGTTTTTGGAGCTGAGTGACGGAGGTATGAGGATTCCTTATACTCTTTTGTTTGAATATGGACAACAAAACTGAAAACCTTAGATAAAAAAGATTGTACAAGATTTTTAGCTATTATTTAGTACATCATACTAACGAAGAGGAGTATCAGAGTTTGAGAAAGGAAGCACATAGATTTATATATTTGGGATACCCAGGTTCAATTTTTTTTTCTTTTTTTATTAACTTTGTTAGTTTGTGCCAATTATTTTTCTGAATTTCAGTATATTCAACTCTAAGTTTAATGATCTCTACCTGAAAGGGTGGCAATAAAAATTTGACAACTTTAACTTATTGCAACCAGTTGGTATACTGTATAAAATTTAGGACATATCAAAGGAAGTGTTGTTGTAGTTATTCCCTAGATTACCCTTCAATCGTGTCCTCAGTTTTCTTAAAGAAGCCATAAGAAATTAGGATTTGCATTAAATTATGTGAATTTGTCCACATATGCTTCTAGTCTTGGAAAGCAAAGATTGAAGTTAGATAAGATTAACATGGTGGAAAGAAAATTGCATTTATAATCAGACTGGAGCTGTCTTACTTACTTATCACTCTGCAGCTTTGGGTAAAACTTATTTCCTCCTCTATGAAAGGAATATAATAACTAAATTGCAAAATTAGATGAAATATTGCATATAAAATTCCTTGAACGTTTTGTATATATTTGGCACTAAAAAAGCAAGCTAGTTCTTTGTTAACATAAACACAACAGAAGGGCTTACTTTGCTGCTTTCGTATTTGTAATCTAGCAAAAATCTAGAGTGAAAATGAAATATCAAAGACTAATCTGTGTAAAGAGTTTTCAGTTGAGAAATTGAATCCTACAATTCTGTGAGAACCAAGGATATGTATTTGTGATTTTGAATAGACGAAACTTTCCTTCACCAATATGTAGGGAGGATTATTCTTTCTGTCAGTTCTTAGGGCACTAAATCTGAGGAGTCAGGATAAATAATTTTGCAAGCATAGTGGCTCACACAGTTTAACTACGGCAGAAGCAGCAAAGCTACCTGTAATCTAAGGAGATTTATATGATCGAGTTTATTTAGCAAAACTGGAGTCCAAGTGTGAAGAAATTTGTTCTGATCTTGAAGGCTGCAATTCTGAATAGCTGAGTAATGTTATCAAAGCAGCACATAAGGAAGATAGCTTCTGAACTATCATTTAGGATTAAGCTGGGAAGAAGACTTAAATTTGTGAGAAGAATAACATTTTGTCATATGTTGATACAACTTGCAAAATCTTAAATAATAGAATTTATTTTTATCTTTTATAATAAATATACAGCAATACTAGATTCATTATTTACCCATACTTTTTTCATACTTTTTTGAACAGAAACTCTACTATCTGGAACATTTTTGGCTTATCCATACTTAAAAATATATTACTTGTCACTTTTTGCAACATGAAAAATAGGTATCTTAACATAAAATTATAATGATTTGAGTAACCTGAACCTAAATTTCTTTGGAGGCATCAATATCCAGTTGCCTTAGTCTATTTAGGCTGTCATAACAAGATATGATACAGTGGTGGCTTATGAAAAATGGACATTTATTTCTCACAGCTCGAGGAGCTGGGAAGTCCAAGATTAAGATGCCAGCAGATGCGATGTCTGGTGAGGGATCATTTCCTCACAGAGGGCCATCTTCTCACTATAATGTCACATGATGAAAGGGGCAAAGGATTCCACTGAGTTCTCTTTCATAAGGACACTAATACTATTTATGAGGGCTCTTCCCTCCCAATACCATCAACTTGGATGTTAGGATTCCCACAACATTCATAACCATTCAATTCCTTACTCTCCTCAAAATGGGACTCCAAAAAGCATAATGTTGCATTATTTAAATAAATCATTTAAACAATTACCAAATACAGGTATAACACAGTTGAGAAACAGAACATGAAGTATCTTGCAGGGTAGAAGAGGAACTCTTTAAGTAAGTTTTCCTTATCTTTATGGTCATAAGAAAGAGAGGCAATGTGACTCATATTTTTTTACCATCCTTTTAGACAAATATTTTTTTAAAGCCTACTACATGTCATGTACTTTGTTTACATTACACGATATATTCCTCATAGCAATACGAGGAAACAGATACCATTTTCTCACATGGGCAGTATAGGAGAGCAAAAGTGAGGTGCACACCCAAAATTAGAAATTAGAAAAATAAAATCAGAAGATAAAGCTGTGAAATCAACATATAAACTTATATTGTCAGAATGGCTCCCAGAATAGCAAAATTTGCCAATAATCATGTTTTTAAAGCATGCACACACACACACACACACCACACACCACAAAATATGAGGAACGATGTATGAAATATTAAAACAAAACCAATGCAATTTCTTTTCTATGTTGGACACTATCAAAATTAGAATTAGAAAAGAAGATAAAATCGTAGCTATTTTCTGTAAGTTTTAATTAAATTAAAAATAAGCATTTTCGTAATTGTCTCGAATGAATTTTTAAATGCTCATTTGTTACTTTCTGTTAGATTCAAAGTAACTAGTTTATTCACAATCCTAAAAATACCTCAAACTACTTTTTCAAGGCTCTGACTTTTTTGCTAACGTTTATTTATTAAAGACACATTATCACGGGATGTATTTTATTTATTTATTTTTTTGAAACAGTCTTTATGTTGCTCAGACTGGTCTCAAATTCCTGGACTCAAGCAATCCTCATTTATCAGGGGATTTTAATTTGAAGATATGGTTTGTAATCTCAAATCGCTCACAATTTATGACAACTAATTAAAAATTTCCCCACCAAATACATATATATATCCATATACATCAAATATATACAAATATATATAAAAAGATAGAGAGAGATATGTATTCCCCAGACCAAAAAAAAAAAAAAAACAAAAAAACCCAGGCCCTAATACCTTGACCGGTGAATTTTATGAAACAATTATGAAGTAAATAAGACTAATCCTTCACAAAGTATTGAGAAAGAGGGAATACTTTCTAACTCATTCTATAAGGACTGTTTCACCCTAATGCAAAAGCTAGACCGAAGCATAACTAAATAAAATTAAAAAGCAACATAAAATAACAACCAGATCAGTACCTTTCCTGAATATAGATGCAGAAGTCCTCAACAAAGTAATCACAAATAAAGTTTAGTGA
Organism: Homo sapiens; assembly: GCF_000001405.40. NCBI lineage: Eukaryota > Metazoa > Chordata > Mammalia > Primates > Hominidae > Homo > Homo sapiens. The sequence continues at coordinate 65,720,953 of NC_000004.12, forward strand.
TACAAAAAAATTATCAATCTGACCAATTGAGGCTTATTCTAAAAATGCAAGTTTGGTTTCATTTCTGGAAATCAATTATTGTAATATGCTCAAGACATCTTCAATAGACTTAGAAAGAACACTGAGCAAAATTCAATAACCATTCATGAATCCCCAACAAATTAGAAATAAAAAGAGAGTTAATTAACCTCATAAAGGATATCTATGAAACCTCTGCAGCGAATATTAGTCTTAATGGTAAAAGACTGTTTTACCTCTAAGACTAGGAAAAAAAGATGTCTACACTTGTTACCTTTTTTCAAAATTGTACTGAGGTTTCTAATAATCATTGAATTGTATACTTATATCCAGTCAAATTTATAGTATATCAATTTACCTTAATAAAGCTGTTAAAATATTTAAGAAAAGTAATAAAATTAGTTTACTTTTTTAATTCACGCTATTTGAATGTCCTGTTCAGATCATGAGAGGATTAAAAATGCAGGAATTTAAATTTCATATAATATTGGGAAAACAGAAGCTCAAGTTCTCATGCTCAGATACTGTAGGCAGAAAGGTGTTAATTTGTTAATTATTGTAAACACTAAAATTCTCTGTAATTATGGTCAAATTTATTTGCCTCTTTCACTGACAATATGTCAATAAGCTGATTCAAACTGAAAACCAAATTAATTTCTTATATATAAAGCAAAAACTTTCAGAAAGAATTTCAATTTTTATATCCCATATTACGTATCTCTATAAGTTAAAAAAACTTATATTCTGACACACTTGATTTTAAAATGTAGCTATAAATTTTATCATTATCCATTTTAGGCATTTATCTGTAGCTTAATGAATATCTTTATCACATGTTATTAGAGTAATATGTGTAAGCTATTATTTTAAAAGGAGGGCAGAAAAATGACATTTAGCCATCAAGGAATGCAATGTAAAGCATACAAGTATTTACCTCTCCAAAATTCTTTAAATAATAAGGAATTCAGGTCTAACGTTTAAGTCTTTAATCCATCTTGAATTAATTTTTGTATAAGGTGTGAGGAAGAGATCCAGTTTCAGCTTTCTACATATGGCTAGCCAGGTTTCCCAGCACCATTTATTAAATAGGGAATCCTTTCCCCATTGCTTGTTTTTCTCAGGTTTGTCAAAGATCAGATAGTTGTAGATATGCTGCATTATTTCTGAGGGCTCTGTTCTGTTCCATTGATCTATATCTCTGTTTTGGTACCAGACACATGCACACGTATGTTTATTGTGGCATTATTCACAATAGCAAAGACTTGGAACCAACCCAAATGTTCAACAATGACAGACTAGATTAAGAAAATGTGGCACATATACACCATGGAATACTATGCAGCCATAAAAAATGATGAGTTCATGTCCTTTGTAGGGACATGGATGAAATTGGAAATCATCATTCTCAGTAAACTATCGCAAGGACAAAAAAACCAAACACTGCATGTTCTCACTCATAGGTGGGAATTGAACAATGAGAACACATGGACACAGGAAGGGGAACATCACACTCCGGGGACTGTTGTGGGGTGGGGGAGGGGGGAGGGATAGCATTAGGAGATATACCTAATGCTAAATGACGAGTTAATGGGTGCAGCACACCAGCATGGCACATGTATACATATGTAACTAACCTGCACATTGTGCACATGTACCCTAAAACTTAAAGTATAATAATAATAAAATAAAATAAAAGAATTCATAAGGAATTCAAAATAAATAAATAAATAACTTACAAGGAATGCAAAATAAAGCATTCAAATATTTCCCTGTGCAAAAGTATTTAAATAATAAAGAGTTTGCAAATTTAAATAATTCACATACATAATTATTATGTATTAGCCACATCTAGGATTTTGGTGGAGGAACAACATGTAAAACTTTTATGTTGTTTTCATATTTCAACTGATAATCTTTCAATATCAAATTAACAATAAATAAAAACATCTACACTAAGAAGAGAATAAAAAGGCTGGTAAATACAATCATAATAAGTGCTATGAAAAACATTCAGGATCTTTTTAATCCAAGTTGAAAATATCTAATTAATTTTTGTTTTGCAAATCTCCCCGAATAATATACCTCATAAATTAAATTCTTAATTCATTTATTACTAATATAATCTATTTGAAGGCAGGCTGAGATCCTAATATATTTCAACAACACATACTTTGGCATATTTAAGGATGCCGATAGATATTACTATTAGCTCAAAATGTACAAAGACTGGCTACACTGTCTTGTTTGGAATAAACATTATATCCCTGTGTCTTTTTAATAAATACATTGGGTTTTTATTTCATTTTGTTTGTTGGTTTATTTGTTGTCACTGTGATTGTCCTTGTTTTGAGAAATTATATGGAAGAAACAAGGGTGGTAACAGTAAGCAAAATTGGAGAAGGGAGATTCATTCGAGAAATATTTCAGAGATGACAAAATCAAAGCTGCTGAGAGTATGTAAATATGTACCTAAACCTCAGAGCAGAAGAAAACCATTAAAGAGGTACTTAGCTTATCTCTTAGGCTAGCACTACAACAAATGTAAAATATATTAATTTTTAAATTTGAGTTTTGAGGTTATTCGGTATTGCAAATTTAAAAAACAAACAATAAAATTAAAATTTTGGAAAAGGTATATTGTAAATATAGCATATAATGTTATTTTATTATTTATTTATTATATTATTATAAAATCATAGGCTTTAAAATTTGTGAAGAAATTTTGAGATTATATATTTTGAAGTGTTCATCTTTAGTTTGAAGAATCAAGGTTTATTTTATGCCCATATATTTTTTATATCTTAAGATATTCTTCTATGTTTAAAGTTTTCTCTCAGAATTGAAGATATCAGTTAATATGATAAAATTTCAAATAACATTATATTAAGACAATACAAAATATAAGATCTTAATATTTGGATTTTGCTGATTATATATACATAGAGGTAATATTTAGACTGGGTAAGATATTACAATGGTAAATTTTACATTGTCTTTGTATTTGAAGATAGGAAAAGATAGACAAGTACACGGTATTTTAAAATTTTGATTTTTATTTTATTCCATATTTTATTCAAATTGCTTTTGAATAAGTGCATAAACTTCTTTGAAGTTATCATTAACATGGTTTCCCTCCAAATTTTATTCTTTTTGAAGCATATTTGATGGTTTAGATTCCAGAGCACCACTGAAATATTTTTATGTAGTGACATGAAGTATTTCCACTTTCATTTATTCTATAAGTATTATGTGCTTATTATTTGCCAGTAGTATATTATTGGGCTCCTTTCTGTATAGAAAATGAAGACTTCACCTTGTTATACTCTACATTATGAATAAAACATTGCAAATTAATTAATAAAAGAACTGATAACCCCAATTATTATTATTGTGTATTTACAATTTGCTAGATTTCCTATTGAGAAACTTTACATATATTTCCATATATAATGCTCACAAAAAAATCTCTGAGACAGTACTTTTTACTTTAGCTTTGTGAGTGAAGAATGAAGTCTATGAGATTTCATTAACTTGTTCAATGTCAACACAGGTAACATTTAAACGTAGTTCTGTTGGATGACAAAAGCATGCTTCTACTGCTATTCCACTTTCCTTCAAAGTAAATTAAAGGTGAATACATAATAATTTCTAACCTTTCATATGAAAAATACCAGAAAATCATCTTTAAAAAACACAAAGGGAGAGGGTCACTTCCAAGATGGCTGAACAGGAACAGCTCCAGTCTACAGATCCCAGTGAGATAGACACAGAAGACAGGTGATATCTGCATTTCCCACTGAGGTACCTGGTTCATCTCAATGGGACAGGTTGGACAGTGGGTGCAGCCTATGGAGGGTGAGCCTAAGCAGGGCAGGGCGTCACCTCACCTGGAAAGCACTAGGGGTCAGGGACTTTTCCTTTCCTGGCCAAGGGAAGCCATGAATGGCTGTACCTGGAGGAGTGGTACACTCCTGCCCAAATACTGTGCTTTTCCCACTGTCTTCATAACCTGCAGACCAGGGGATCCACTCCTGTGCCAGGCTCGGCAGATCCCACGGCCACGGAGCCTTGCTCACTGCTGGTGGAGCAGTGTGAGATCAACCTGGGATGTGGGAGCTTGGTGGGGGAGGGACATCTGCTATTGCTGAGGCTAGAGTAGGTGGTTCTATACTCACAGTGTAAACAAAGTGGCAGGGAAGTTTGAACTGGGTGGAGCCCACCATAGCTCAGCAAGGCCTACTGACTCTCTAGATTCCACCTCTGGGGGGCAGGGCATATTTAAACAAAAGGCAGCAGATAGCTTCTCCAGACTTAAACGTCCCTGCCTAATAGCTCAGAAGAGACCAGTGGTTCTCCCAGCATGGTGTTTGAGCTCCAATAACGGACAGATTGCCTCCTCAAGTGGGTCCCTGACCCCCTTTTAGCCTTACTGGGAGACACCTCCCAGTAGGGGCCAAAAGACACCTCATACAGGTGGATGCCTCCCTGGGATGAAGCTTCCATAGGAAAGATCAGGCAGCAATATTTGTTGTTCTGCAGCCTCCTCTGGTGATACCAAGGCAAACAGGGCCTAGGGTGGACCTCCAGCAAACTCCAACAGACCTGCAGCGAGGGGCCTGTCTGTTAGAAGGAAAACTAACAAACAGAAAGGAATACCATCAACATCAACAAAAAGGACATCCACACCAAAACCCCATCAGTAGGTCACCAATATCAAAGACCAAAGGTTTATAAAGCAACAAAGATGGGGAGAAACCAGAGCAGAAAGGATGAAAATTCCAAAAACCAGAATGCCTCTTCTCTTCCAAAGGAACACAACTCCTTGCCAGAAAGGGAATAAAACTGGATGGAGAATGAGTTTGTCAAGTTGACAGAAGTAGGCTTTAGAAGGTCAGTAATAACAAGCTTCTCCGAGCTAAAGGAGCGTGTTCTAACTCATCGCAAGGAAGCTAAAAACCGTGAAAAAAAGGTTAGGTGAATGGCTAACTAGAATAATCAGTGTAGAGAAGAGCTTAAATGACCTGATAGAGCTGAAAACCACAGTTTGAGAAGTTCGTGAAGCATACACAAGCTTCAATAGCTGATTCGATCAAACGGAAGAAAGGATATCAGTGATTGAAGATCAGATTAATGAAATAAAGTGAGAAGACAAAATTAGAGAAAAAAGCGTGAAAACCTCCAAGAAATATGGGACTATGACAAATCTACATTTGACTGGTGTACCTGAAAGTGACAGGGAGTATGGAATCAAGTTAGAAAACATTCTTCAGGATATTATCCAGGAGAAATTCCCCAACTTAGCAAAGCAGGCCAACATTCAAATTCCAGAAATGCAGAGAACACCACAAAGATACTCCTTGAGAAGAGCAACCCCAAGACACATAATTATCAGATTCACCAAGGTTGAAATGAAGGAAAAAATATTAAGGGTAATCAGAGAGAAAGGCTGGGTTACCCAAAAAGGGAAGCCCATCAGACTAACAGTAGATATCTCTGCAGAAACTCTACAAGCCAGAAGAGAGTGGTGGCAAATATTTGACATTATTAAAACAATTTTCAGCCCTGAATCTCATATCCAGCCAAACTAAGCTTAATAAGTGAAGGAGAAATAAGATCCTTTACAGACAAGCAAATGCTGAGAGATTTTGTCACCACCAGGCCTGCCTTACAAGAGCTCCTGAAGGAACCACTAAACATGGAAAGGAACAACCAGTATCAGCCACTGCATAAAATATTCCAAATTGTAAAGACCATTGACACTGTGAAGAAACTGCATCAATTAATGGGCGAAATAATCAGCTAGCATCATAATGAGAGGATCAAATTCACACATAACAATACTTACCTTAAATGTAAATGGGCTAAATGCCTCAATTAAAGGACACAGGCTGGCAAATTGGATAAAGAGTCAATTGGTGTGCTGTATTCAGGAGACCCATCTCATGTGCAAAGACATACATAGGCTCAAAATAAAGTGATGGAGGAAGATCTACCAAGCAAATTGAAAGAAAAAAAAGCAGGGGTTGCAATCCTGTTCTCTGATAAAACAGACGTCAAACCAACAAAGATCTAAAGAGACAAAGAAGGCCATTGCATGATGGTAAAGGGATCAATTCACAAGAAGAGCTAAGTATCCTAAATATATATGCAACCAATACAGGAACACCCAGATTCATAAAGGAAGTTCTTAGAGACCTACAAAGAGACTTACATTCCCATACAATAATAATGGGAGACTTTAACACCACAGTCAATATCAGACAGATCATGGAGACAGAAAATTAACAAGGATATTCAGGACTTGAACTCAGCCCTGGACCAAGCAGATCTAATAGACATCTACAGAACTCTCCACCCTAAATCAAAAGAATATACATTCTTCTCAGCACCACATTGCACTTATTCTAAAATTGACCATATAATTGGTAGTAAAACACTCCTCAGCAAATGTAAAAGAACAGAAATCACAACAAACTGTCTCTCAGACCACAGTGTGATCAAATTAGAACTCAGGATTAAGAATCTCACTCAAAACCTCACAACTACATGGAAACTGAACAACCTGCTCCTGAATGACTACTGGGTAAATAACCAAATGAAGGCGGAAATAAAGATGTTCTTTGAAACCAAGGAGAACAAAGACGCAACCTACCAGAATCTCTGGTACACATTTAAAGCAGTGTGTAAAGGGAAATTTATACCACTAAATGACTACAAGAGAAAGCAAGGAGAGATCTAAAATCTGCATCCGTATATGATAATTAAAAGAACTAGAGAGCAGAACTAAAGAAGATAGGGAAAAAAAAAAAAAACCCTTCCAAAAATCAATGAATCCAGGAGCTAGTTTTTTGAAAAGACGAACAAAATAGATAGGCCACTAGCAAGATTAATAAGGAAGAAAAGAGAGAAGAATCAAATAGATGCAATAAAAAATGATAAAGGGGATATCACCACCAATCCCACAGAAATACAAACTACCATCAGAAAATACTATAAACATCTCTAAGCAAATAAGCTAGAAAATCTAGAAGAAATGGATAAATTCCTGTACACATACACCCTCCCAAGACTAAACCAGGGAGAAGTTGAATCTCTGAATAGACCGATAACGGGTTCTGAAATTGAGGCAATAATTAATAGCCTACCAACCAAAAAAAGTCTAGGACCAGATGGATTCACAGCTGAATTCTACCAGAGGTATGAAGAGGAGCTGGTACCATTCCTTCTGAAACTATTCCAATCAATAGAAAACGAGGGAATCCTCCCTAACTCATTTTATGAGGCCACCATCATCCTGATACCAAAGCCTGACAGAGACACAACAACAACAACAAAAAGAGAATCTTAGGCTGATATCCCTCATGAACATATATGTGAAAATCCTCAATAAAATACTGTCAAACTGAATCCAGCAACACATCAAAAACTTATCCACCATGATCAAGTCAGCTTCATTCCTGGGATGCAAGGCTGGTTCAACATACGCAAATCAATAAATGTAATTCATCACATAAACAGAACCAATGACAAAACCACATGATTATCTTAATGGATGCAGAAAAGTCCTTTGACAAAATTCAACAGCCTTCATGCTAAAAACTCTCAATAAACTAGGTATCATTGGAACGTACCACAAAATAATAAGAGCTATTTATGACAAACCCACAGACAATATACTGAATGAGCAAAAACTGGAAGCATTCCTTTTGAAAACTGGCACAAGACAAGGATGCCCTCTCTCACCACTGCTATTCAACATAGTATTGGAAATTCTGGCCCGGGCAATCAGGCAAGAGAAAGCAATAAAGGTATTCAAATAGGAAGAGGGGAAGTCATATTGTCTCTGCAGATGATATGATTGTATTTTAGATAACCCCATCGTCTCAGCCCCAACTCTCCTTAAGCTGATCAGCAACTTCAGCAAAGTCTCAGGATACAAAATCAATGAGCAAAAGCCACAAGCATTCCTATTCACCAATAACAGACAGAGCCAAATCATGAGTGAATTCCCATTTACAATTGCTGCTAAGAGAATGAAATACTTGGGAATACAACTTACAAGGGATGTGAAGGACCTCTTCAAGGAAAGCTACAAACCACTGCTCAAGGAAATAAGAGAGGACACAAACAAATGGAAAAAACTTTCCATGCTCATGTATAGGAAGAATCAATATCATGAAAATGGCCTTACTGCTCAAAGTAATTTATGGATTCAATGCTATCCCATCAAGCTACCACTGACTTTCTTCACAGAATTGGAAAAAAAACTACTTTAAACTTCATATGGAACCAAAAAAGAGCCCACATAGCCGAGACAATCCTGGGCAAGAAGAACAAAGCTGGAAGCATCACGCTACCTGACTTCAAAGTATACTAGAAGGCTACAATAAGCAAAATCATGGTACTCGTACCAAAAACAGATACATAGACCAATGGAACAGAACAGAGGCCTCAGAAATAACATCACACATCTACAACCATCTGACCTTTGATAAATCTGACACAAACAAGCAATGGAGAAAAGATTCCCTATTTAATAAATGGTGTTTGGAAAACTGGTTAGGCATATGCAGAAAACTGAAACTGGACCCCTTCCTTATACAAAAATCAACTCAATATGGATCAAAGACTTAAATGTAAGACCTAGGACCATTAAAATTCTAGAAGAAAACCCGGGCAATACCATTCAGGACATAGGCATGGGCAAGGACTTCATGTCTAAAACACCAAAGCCAATGGCAACAAAAGCCAAAACTGACAAATGGGATTTAATTAAACTAAAGAACTTCTGCACAGCAAAATACACTATCATCAGAGTGAACAGGTAACCTACAGAATGGGAGAAAATTTTTGAAATCTATTCATCTGACAAAGGGCTAATATCCAGAATCTAAAAAGAACTTAAATTTACAGAGAAAAAGCAAACAACCCCATCAAAAGATAGGCAAAGGATATGAACAGATACTTCTTAAAGGAAGACATTTATGCAGACAGCAAGCATATGAAAAAATGCTCATCATCACTGGTCATTAGACAAATGCATGTCAAAACCACAGTGAGATACCGTCTCACACCAGTTAGAATGGTGATCATTATAAAGTCAGGAAACAACAGATGCTGGAGAGGTTGTGGAAAAATATGAACACTTTTACACAGTTGGTGGGAGTGTAAATTAGTTCAACCATTGTGGAAGACAGTGTGGTGATTCTTCAAGGATCTAGAACAAGAAATACCATTTGACCCAGTAATCCCATTACTGGGCATATACCCAAAGGATTATAAATCATTCTACAATAAAGACACATGCACATGTATGTTTACTGAAGCACTATTCACAACAGCAAAGACTTAGAACCAACCCAAATATCCATCAATAAGAGACTGGATTAAGAAAATGTGGCACATATACACTGTGGAATACTATGCAGCCGTAAAAAAGGATGAGTTCATGTCCTTTGCAGGGACATGGAAGAAGCTGGAAACCATCATTCTCAGCAAACTATTACAAGATCAGAAAACCAAACACTGCATGTTCTCACTCATAAGTGGGAGTTGAACAATAAGTACACATGGACACAGGGAGGTGAACATCACACACCAGTGCCTATGGGGGGTTGGGGGCTAGCGGAGAGAGAACATTAGGAGAAATACCTGGTGATGGGTTTATGGGTGCAGCAAACCTCCATGGCACACATATACCTATGTAACAAAACTGCACGTTCTGCACATGTAACCCAGAACTTAAAGTATAATTAAAAAAAAATAATAAAGACACAAAGGATATAGCATTTTTGTAAAACCACATTATTTAGAAGTTAAGGTCAAAAGTGAGGGCTAGCTGAAGTTGCCTGTCTGTTTATTAAACTGTTTTTCTAGGTTTTTTAAGTCTGTAGTAGATTGTTGAGGGTGAAGAAAGGCATAACTCAGCTTAAATAATGATAAGCATTACGTGCCACAAATTTCAGTAGATCACTGACATGAGTTTGAGCCAATGACCTATAAACAATAATCATTAACTTGTAATAACAACTTCTGTTAGTGTAAGAATATGAAATGTATTTAATACAATAGTAATGAAAACAGTCTTACAAATGCTTAATATACGTTATATACAATTCTAAGAAATGTATAAATATCACATTATGTAATCCTTACAACAATCCTGTGAAACAGGTAGACTTTTCTGTCTCCGTATTTTAGGTGAGAAAACTGAGCCACATAGTGGTTTACTAACTTGGCTAAAGACCACCCGGAAGGAAGCAGGGGTATTTTCACAAAATTCACAGACAGACTCTGGAAACAGACAACCTTTGTTTTCAAAACATAAAATATCTGAGTGATAAAAGAAAGCATTGCCCCACAGTTCTAATATCAGTGGGCCTTTTTTTTGGTTTTCTTAATGATACAAAATAACACATCTTATTATGATGAAATTAATGACATTTCAAGTTTGATGAAATACAATGTAATATATAACATGTGTGATTATTTGATTAGTCCTAATCTCTCTAGATTATAAACTCCATGACTCTATCGTTTAACATTCTAGAGTAACAATGTTCTTGACACATAAAATGGGTAAGCTTCCTATCATGCAAAAATACGAATAAAGGTGGATTTTAAGTGATTACGCCTTTCAGAGCCAGTTGGTGTCCTAAGGTTATTCACCAGAGAGTCCCCTGACGTGGGCACAGTATGGGGCTTTTGCTCTAGATATCTATGGAACATGTCATCTCATGTGTTACTGGCATCAAAAGGGGATGTCATAAATTTAAAAAGCCAGTGCTCTTCGCCCACATTCCTGGGTTTAAGTTACACCATCAGCCAGTTCTTCCAATATTATTTACTCGCAAAACCCTTCAGGCATTTCTAAATTTATATACTACTGGCATAACTGTTCAGTCAGGTTCTCCTGAAATTTTTGCTTTCTTGAGATATTTAAAATGCGTTCCCACCTGCCTCTAGAGAACCTTTAGTATCATTTCATTGGAATCCTTAAATCCCTCAGTAATTGTGTTTTATCTCTTTGATCTTTTTGACAGAATTCTGTACTTTATTGGTGTGTGTGTCTGTGTGTGTGTATATATATACACACATATATATATACATATACACACATATACATATATACATATATACACATATACACATATATACACATATATACATATATACACATATATATACATATATACATATATACATATATATACATATATACACACATATATATAGGTGTGTGCTTCTGTGTGTGTGTATATATATAACTTTCCTAGATGTCAGAATCACAATTATTATATATATTACATTATATCTTAATTAGATTCTGCATACTTTTTATGACATGGCTTTGTCTGGCTCTATAATTGCAACCTTGAAGTCATGCTAAGGAATCATACAGCATGAACTTGTTAAAGTTAAAGTTATAAGTTGTGAATATCACATACATAAAAATCAGTTAACTTTTAAGTATTATGGAGTAGGTAAATACAAACAAATTAGCAGTATACCAAATCTATCTTTAACTTGTTTCCTTAAGTTTCACTAGCCTAGGAGTAGATAAAAAATTACACTGGCAGGCTGAAGTGGGCAGATTATGAGGTCAAGAGATCGAGACCATCCTGGCCAACGTGATGAAACCCCTTCTCTATTAAAAATACAAAAATTAGCTGGGTGTGGTGACGCATGCCTGTAGTCCCAGCTACTCGGGAGGCTGAGGCAAGAGAATGGCTTGAACCCAGGAGGCGGAGGTTGCAGTGAACCGAGATCACGCCACTGCACTCCAGCCTGGCAACAGAGTGAAACTCCGTCTCAAAAAAAAAAAAAAAAAAAAAAAAAAAAAAAAAAAAAAAGAATTACACTGGCAGCTTACCCCTAGAGCAGATGGAAAAACGTTAGCACTCCACAAAGTCCCCTGCCTGGTATTTCAGAGTGTCTCACATTTTCTTGCAAACAAGTCTGCTCCCATCGACAGTCACCACCACTGCTGACGTCTCCCTCTGGGCATTGGCACGACTCTACTCATTCTTACCTTCTCTATTTGGGCCTCTATGAATGTATTACTGCTTTACTGGATACCTACTCCTGGGTACTGGGTATTCCTACCATTAGCTACAGTCACTCTGCCAAGTGCCTCTGTTTGTGTAGGAGTCTTAGTGCCAAATGAACAAGGCATTTGGAGGGAATTGGGAGAGAATAGTGTGCTATCCTCTGAGTTACACCATGTCAGAGCAAAGAGGAAGCCAGGCTATAAAAATTGCAGTGAAATTGCTTTTGCCTTTTTAACTTATTAACTGTATCTTCACAGTAATCATAGGCACTGCAATGGAGGGCACATCAGAGTTGCTAATATTCCAGAATCACCAGCTTGTTAATGAGAAAACTGTCTGTACGGAAGTAAGTCTAGCTCCTGTGGCTGGGACTCTTTTTTTTTTTTTTTTTTTTTTTCTTTGCTTAGGATGGGAGTGCTCCTGAAAGTTCTTCAGCCACTTCTCTTAGGCCTACCCCACTCATTACTAGAATACCTTTTACTACTTAGGCTCAAGCTGGAAGTCTTGCTCATAATTTATAATTATAACATGAAAAATGCACAATGCTGACTCACTTGTTGATGTGAAAAATATATTTATCTTTTTTTTTTGCTTTAAATTTGAACTGGACAAAATTCTCTTAAATGCAATTCTAAAATAATTTTAAAATGTTAACTTTGCATACCATTTATGCCTTTCTTTTTACCAGAAAATATGGTTTTCTTTTGACTCAGATGCTAGTAGTAGCCTAGAAATTCTTTTAGTTAAAAGGTCTGTTTGTAGTTAATAGTGTCACACCACAGCGATAAAGGCTGACATGGGCTTCTGTTTTGAGCACAGGGTTGTTGACAGGTGCTCATGAGTTCTAATGACAGTTCTGGTGCAGACTCTTAATGTGGCCTTAGACCATTCAACTTTCCTCTTTGTGCTAAACTCTACATATAAGACTGGGCTTATACATCTGAAAGGACTTTCTGAGGATTAATGACTTCCTATACAGGTTTAGCCGCAGTACAGAAGAACAAACATGCTCAATGATATCATCTACTTTTTCTATGAAATGGTAGTTTTCTGGAGTTAAAACAAACAAGACCAAGCTGGACCAGAAGAAACTTCCTTTACCTATTTTGCCTATAATACTATCGGTACTTCTGTGCAATGCAAATGTTGTAGTTAGGCAGAGGCAGACAGCAACAGCCAGAGGGGAAATGATTTCTGCCTTCTATGTGGAAGAGATTATTTATCATCTTTCCCAGATAGAGAATTCTTATTAACTGAGCAATTTGTCTTAGAACAGTGTATTATTACTTTTCCTATTATTCGACATGAAAGAATATGAAGGCTGATATTTGTTTATCCTCTGAGAAACAGTACCAGAATGAAGTTGTGTAACTATTGACAATGAACTCTATGTGCCTATAGGCAATGCTCAATTTGACACAAAATTTTCCAGGTTTTTAAAAAAGATTTCCAGAAGTTCTCAAATTGCATATAATAATATCTCATGGTTATTTTAAAGTAATTTATAGTCACTTAGGAAAAAGAAGATATATGCAACACAAGTAGAAAATAAGATATGGTTATACGTATGTGTATACATATATATACATACACATATACACAAATACAAAGTATTATGGGAGCTACAAGCAACAAAATATTATTTTTGCCAGAAGTTTCAGGTAACAGGGTTTTACAGAAGGTGAGTAGTTTTAAAATGATTTTAAAAGTCTGAAATGATTGATAAGATTTTAATATTCAAACATTGAAAATTATTTTTCAAACTGAGACAAGAAGGTGGGGGGGAATCTGGAGAAGAGATGAAGGAAAGAATTCCATTGAGGTGGAGAGCCTTCTGGAGAGGCCAACTAGCTACCTATAAAGACTCCCAAAGGGCTACTCCCTGGGCAAATTTACTTGTGTTCCTGATATGGATCTCAATATTGCGTAGCCAGATATCGTGATGTATGTGAGAATCAAAATGTCTTTCAGAATAGATTCAAATGATTCAATCCCAGGAACTGGTAAAAATCAAAATGACATCTTATTAATGAAAAATATAAATGAGAAATATAAAAATCACATAACAGATATACCTATATTGAAAGACCAGAACATTCTGTTCTTAGTGGCAAATCTATGTCATAAGCCAAATTATGGTTAAAAAGTTGCTTGATTAAAATGGAGTCATGGAGTTTGGAGGCACTCTCTTAATTTAGTGTCATTAATAGCAGTCTAAGGGAGTGATGATCTTACCAGTGTGGCTATAATACTGAAGTCCTTGGAGAAGACTTTGAGTGTCACATGTGGCATTCTTAGACAATGGTTGACAGTGTCAGCTTATGAAATTTGCTTTGTTGATTATTTTTCTTCTTTTGTTTATATTTTTCTGAAAGGCATTTTTCTTTAGTTATATTATTTTTTTTTTGTCAAGATATAGGTATAGGCCTTAGACCTTCCTACTCCTTTTTTATGCTGCTTTTATACTTTGTCATTTGGAATGAAATTATTTTCTTTTTTCCTCCTTCGCATTTCTTCAGCTGTCAGAGTGCTTTGTACAATATGGGTTCAACACATGTCTTTTGAGCAAAGGTGAACTTACTATCGTTTTTGTTTTGTAGGTACTAGAACACTTCAATCAGTTCAACTTACTATTTTTTCACCATTACTTTCTAACAAATAGCTGCTGAGATTCTGTGGTCTAAAATAATTTCTAAATACTGAAAATATGACAAAAAGATGATTGCAAAAGTAAAGATAAAATGTTTATCTATTTAAACATGTATAAACATGAATTCTACTTGCATTTTCAACATGTTACAGATCCAATATTTTTTTGAGTGGGGGGCAGGCTGGCTTCAGGGTGGTAGAAGCTGATTTAAGGGAGACATGATGGGCTTAATCCTAAAAACTTCAAGGAAGCTGGACATTTATGCTCCTTTCATTTGGCAAGATAGTAAAATGATTCATTTTGTATCTGGGCTTTAATTGTTTCCTCTTTAATGGTTTATTCTTTCCTCCTGGCATTTTCTTATACTGGCAGGGTTCCCAACTGCTTTCCTACCATGGGTTATCCAAAAACATGACATAAGCTCCGCTCAGGGATGGTTATGGTAGGCTCAAGTGTGCATATGAGTGGCATCTACTTGTCCCTTCCAGGCAGCAATCTGCTGCCATGTCTTTGTCTTCACACAGGAAATAATTTAATAGTTCAGTCACTTCATCGCTATTCTCCTGACCAGGTGGCTAGGCTGTTGGCACTGGCCCATAAGTAAGCAGCAGTATGGCAAGATATGGTGGTAGGTCTCGCCTGCATGGCCATTGCCACTGCATGTAGGTTTGATCCATTGGGCAAAATAATATGTCCAGTCTGAGTCAGAAGATGGCCATCCCCTGGCTGGATGGTAGCCACAGTCCAGTGGATCCCACCTGCTTGTTTTTTGTCAGAGTTATCAGTACTCCATGCCATATTGTAAGAAGGCTCCTCTCTAAGTCTTGAGCTCCCTACAAGTTGCTTGGTCCCTTCTGGTAAGCTAGCCAGTTGTTCATGGAGCCTACTGGTCCCTAGGCATCCTGTCCAGACCCAATCTTGAATGTACCCTTTCCACTTGATAACTGAACTTAGTTGAGCATGTTTAATTTTACTGGTGGAGTTGTGAGCACCCAAGAGAGAAAGGGCAATGCATGTTGCAGTGTCACATGTGGCACTTCAGCTGTAAAGAACTCAGTCTCCACTACTTCCCAAAAGCACTCTAGGAGTTGCCATTTAAAGGAGTTGTATCTGATGGATACCTTAGGCAACTTGTGAGTTCAAAATCCAAGAGATTGGTACACCCCATTGACAGTTTTCTGTTGCCCCAAATTCCAGTCAGCATATGTGAAGGTTGCAGACACCTGTAATTCCATCAGACTAGCCGACATTAAAGGTTTGAAAGGTAGTATCATGGCCATGTCTTATCAAATGTCTTTCCAGCATGCTGTTGCAAAGGGCCCCACTTAAAATTGGTGGCTTTATTGGTCACCTGGGCTAAGGAGGCCTAAAGAACACTTCTGTAAGATAAACATTGTATCCAGTACCCAAAGAGGCATATAGCCTGTTGGGCCTCCTTTTTAATTCATGAGTATCACCAGGAATAATAATTTTTTCTTGATGGTATCTGGAATACTTCTTTGGATTACCACTCCAGAAGCCTAGAATTCAGTCCATTGTTAGTCTCCATGCCCTGAAGGTCCTTTGACCAGCCAAACTGCCTGGTACACTGTAACAAGGTTGATTGTAACCTTTTTATGTGTACCAAATCCTAAATTAACAAATTAGTGTCCATTTCTCCACTCAGCATGCAGTACTACTTGTGTTGAATAATCTGTTGGGACTTGGATAGCTAAGGTTGCAGGTAGGAGGGGATATGCCCCTTTATTGTGGCTGGAATCCTTAGCTGCGAGGGGCATGCCCCTTCAAGCAGCAATGATATTCTGTGCCACAAGCAGCCAAAATGTCAATACCTATAATGCACTCAGAGAAGTCTGAATTGCCTTCTTTCTCCCTTCTATCTTGACCAGAGTTTAGGACCACTGGCCTCCAATGAGCATCCAGAGACCTTGTCTTTGCCCTTAACTGCTCCATTTATCATTTGGATCTGCAATGTCCCTTGATCAAAGAAATACATCATCCAGGCTGCATAGGGCTTCTCTGGCCTTTCTTCATTTCTGTTCTTTAAAAATGAGCCTCGCTCTCTGAGAAGGCCTGCAATACTTGTGTTGGCTCCTTCCCAAACACCTGAGAGTCTATCTGAGTACCGACTTCCTGAGGTCTATGATTCTAGGAATGAGCAACCACATAAGTGGCCAACATCAGGGACTCATGTGCCACTGTGCATTGTCAGGCTGACATCTTCTCCCTGGACCAGGTGTACTAGACGGTATAGCCCTTCTTGCTTTGCCAATAAAAGTCATGGTCTGTCAGAGGTCACCCTGCTCTCAGTGCCAATTTCGTTCACTGTGTACTGGCTATCCACATGACACTCCAGTGAGATAGAACACCCACACACAAGTTACAGGAAGTGAATTTGTTATGTACAGATAAGTAGCGAAGGACCAGAAGCATAGAATTTATTACAAGCCAGTACTTCAAGGCTCAGATATGCTGGCTGGGGTGGTTGGAGAATTGTCTATATATGCCCCATTTGCACCACAGGTGAGGGATTGCAGAAAGCAGCCTTCTCTGGATTTTATATCATGGGGCAACAGGAAAAGCTGACTTAAACCATTGAAAGACATATTATTTCTAGAAGAGACTGGAACAGAGCCTGTGCTGTTCTGATCAGCCACTCCCTGTCTCAGGATGTGGCATTCTCAGCACATTCGACAGTTATTCTTCAGAACTACAAGCAAGAAAGTGGGGAGAAATGGGTCTGTCCAAGGGCACTTGAAGAACTGTCCTGCATGGAGTGGTGAGCAGAGGATTAAAAGATGACAAACAGTCCAAAGAGCCTGAGCTATGACATTACGGACATGTATTTATTTTTCCCAGCTATGAAGTGGTTCCAGGTCTTATGCAGATGTATTCTGTTTATCACTTAGAAGAACTAAAATTTCTAGTTACATAAAGAAATGAGAGAGAGAGAAAAATAGGAAAGGAAGATAGAAGAAGGGAGGGAGAGAGAATGAATTTGAGAGATTTGCACTCTAAATTAAATACTCTACTAATCATATTCCAAATAATACAATGTTTATTTTTTAAAGAAGATATGTTGGTGTCTTGGATTAAATTATCTGTGGAGCCCAAGTTATACACACTATATTGTGAGTCAAATCTAGTAACTTTGTAACTAAACTTTCTTGGACTGGGTTCAAGATAGAGCTAGCTTATTTCAAAACTCCATGTTGCCAATATAATATAATTTTATGATCTAATCTCTCCAAACTTATTCTGATAGAAAGAAATGTCTATTATTTTAATTTTCATCTTTATGGGTTTTCTTTAAAGAATTTCCACAAAGATCTTATGATATGGTTGAAAATCTGCTTATGCATGTATACATTTTCTATAGGCAATCACAAAATATTTTAATGATATATCTGTGTTCTTTATTTTATGGTAGGTGTTCCTTGGTAATGGAAACTATAGAAATGTGATCTTTTATTCAGGGCCTGATTACCAACAGCTTGATTTTCTCCTAGCATCTTGTATTATTTCACTGGAGGGCAAATGTAACAGGAGGTTCATTTTGGGATATTGTTTTGTACATAGATTAACATTCAAAGCTGTTTTCATTACTAATGTACTTAGAATGCACTTTCTCCGTTAGGAATTTTATTTTTTCCTCTATATAAGCTTATCATTTTGTTATTAGAGAGAAGTAGTATGCTGTAATGGCTTTCTTGGGAAACAAATATTTGCATCAGGGCTTGAGAGAACAAAATCATTACACCTGACAAATAGCTTAACTTTCAGGCTTTTATGCAAGCATATTTCATATTATTTTCTCTACTCGTATAAAAGAAAACAAAAAAGATTAAAAATATTGGAGAAATTGGACTTCTATTTTAAATTTATTTGTTTGAGTATTATTTAGTTGATAAGATTCACAACACTAACTGTGGGTTCTTATAACTTCTTTAGTTTCATAATATTAATTTCTTCTGTATGCAGATTGGTTGTTTAGTTGCTAAGTAATCAATATAGTTGAAAATTATACATATTTAGTACCTATGATGTGTAAGACACATATAGAAAAATAAAAGTGAAAGATAATTCATTGTATAACTAAGGTTCATGATATAATGAAGGAAATAAATAAAGACAGTAGACCTCAGTTAATATTATAATTTAGCTGAGGTAGTTTTACTTCTAAGGAATAAGAAACTTAAATGTCAGCTGAACATAGTTGCATTTCTAAAGCTTGATTCTACCCCAGTAGAATCAAACATGAAACACTCTCTCAAAGGCCTATAGAACCCAGGGTCTGTGGTATTCCTATGAAATAAATAGCTGCTGAGGATAAGCTCGTGATTAAAAATTATAAAAAAAATAAGGAAAAAACACATTAAGAGAAAGTGGCACAATTTAATAATATAATGGCTAAAATTACTTTCTAATAGAAAAAATACTGAATCTTCAGATTGAATAATCATCTCTAATCCCAAGCAAGGAAAATAAAACCAAAGCCCATGGCTGAGTATCTTCAGAATATCAACGTTAAAAATACACACACACACACACACACAGACACACACACACACACACACTCACACATATGTATGTATGTATGTAAACACGGAGTTCCTAAAAAGGAAAGTCTCTGATTGACTGCAGGCTTATCATGAGCAACGGAGGCCAGAATTATCTGAAGATGTAATGCATCAACTCAGAATTCTTTAATAAACTAAACTTTTTTTGAAAGGAAGAGTGAATTTTCAGATTTACAAAGACTAGTGTATGTATTACTCACAGATTATCACTGAATAAACAACTTAAAGTATGTCCATCAGCAAGAAGAAAATTAAAAACAGAAGAAAGGATTGGTATACAAAAAGCAAATGCAAACAAGTAAGTAATATACATGTATATTACAGACACACATATATATACATATACATGTATATTACATGTATATATGTATATACACGCACATATATTTGCACACAGATATATTTAAATGTTCATGGCTTTTAAGTTCATGTAAAGCACATAT
The DNA here is from genome assembly GCF_000001405.40 of Homo sapiens. Lineage (NCBI taxonomy): Eukaryota > Metazoa > Chordata > Mammalia > Primates > Hominidae > Homo > Homo sapiens. Next base: position 65,740,694 of record NC_000004.12, read on the forward strand.
GTAATTTCAAATAAGTAAAATCTTTGGTAGGCCTAATTTTGACTGTTATTTTTATTGATAATAGCAGTAGTATTATTACAAATAATTTTATGCCAAAAGTAAGTGGATCTAAATTAATAAGAAAGAATTGTACCTGACACATGTAGTATATGCAGTAAAAATTCCATGAACAAATGAATGAGCTTCATTGAATGAATTCCATTGGAACTCCCATGGAATATTATCTGACTCCACAATATATTTAAGGTATTCAATGCATGTTCTTCCCCAGCATTGGGGAAGGTTTTGCCTTAATCTTCTGAGCCTTGACTATCCTTTCTCTTGGAAGAGTTCTTTCCATGGAAGGCATCACATACCACAGCATAGGACCTGATTTAGACCCTCTACTCATGTCTAGGCATGTCCAATCATAGGGCCAATGGAATTTAGGCTTAAGTTAGATTCTGTTTGATCTAGCTGAGGTAGGCCCAAAAAAGTTAATTGTAATTTTTTTACACCTCTTTTTGAAAATTTTCCTTTAAAATTGCTTCAGAGGACTTGTAACTTGACAGTCTGGTTCACTTAGAACTGGCGTAAAGAAAAGTATATTATATACTAGTGGTATACTGGACAGGTGCATCAAATTGTTCCTCCTCCTTACCACTGGAGGAGAAAGCTTCTTTCTATTTCATTTTATTTATTTATTTATTTATTTATTTATTTATTTATTTATTTGAGACAAGGTCTCATTCTATCACTAGGCTGGAGTGCAGTGGTGTGATCATAGCTCACCGCAGCCTCAACCTCCTGTGCTCAGTTGATCCTCCCACCTCAGCCTCCAGAGTAGCTAAGACTATGCTCAAGCGATCCTTCCACTTCAGCCTCCAGAGTAGCTAGGACTACAGGCATACACCACCATGCCTGGCTACTTTTTATATTTTTTATAGAGATAGGATTTTTCTGTGTTCCCCAGATTCGCCTCCAACTCCTGAGGCTCAAGCAATCCTCCCACCTCAGCCTTCCAAAGTGCTGAGATTACAGATGTGAGCCAGGCACCTGGTCTTTTGCCTTGCTTAGAAAGTTAAAGGATTGTTTTAAGTTAGATAAGATAAAGCTGAAAGTTTGAGCAAATTGTGAAAGCTTAATCTTGTAAAAGAAATTCTGTTAGTGAACATACTTGCCAAAATTAAAGGGGTATTATTCAGTTTTTTCATAGATTGAACATTGGAATAAAAGCACAACAGGGTTTTCTTAGAGCATTGATCTATTCTTTAACCAAAAATTTAGAAGAGTTATAAAAGGTTAATGAGAATCTTAACTTATAGTCAAACTGATTAAGATTGAATAAATTTGTCAACAACATTTTATTGAGAATTGGGTTTGACATTAATAGTACACTCATGCAAAGGTGAAATTTCGCCTTCTCTCTTGAACAAGATTTTCTAGTAATATTAAAAGAGGAAAGACTTTAATTTGCCTTGTAAATAAACAACAGGAAAAGAAGCGAAGAAAAAAGAGACAAATTGTTTGGAAAGCTAATTTCTCCCTGTATCAATGAGTAAAGCTTTTTGCCTTTTTAAAATATTTTGAGTTACCATTTTTGCTAAGTAAATGACTTATGGTGACCTAAGATTCTATTTTATAACATTGTTTAAACCCTTCATATTTGAAAAACTTTCCAAAATCTAATTCAAAATTAAGCCTTTTTCTGACTTGATAGTTCCTTTTAGATATATCTCCCAAAGTATAAAAAAGACATATATTTGGTTTATTTTGTGTACTAAAATCATACAGGAAGGATTGTCAAGTATTAAATGGTGTTTGGCTTTCTTTGGGCTGTATTTGTATAAAGGCATTATTAGTGCATGTTCCAGAATTATGAGAAACTCCTATAAGTCTGACATGACTTAGGGCACATTATCAGTAATAATTATAATTATTATGCCAAAGTATTGTGCGCCACAGAGACAACCAAATTTTCTTGTTAATTTTGTCTTCGACTGTGGCTATCCTAAGACATTTTGTCATCGAAGACAATTGTCTTGTTTTGATTCTCTTCAAAAGTCAGTTTATAATCAGCTATAGAACTCTGATGAATATATTTAAATGTAAGTAAATTTGGAAAGTGTGCCATTAAAATAAAGAGGAAAAACCTTTTAGGACTCTCTTGGACAACTAATGTGCTCATAAATATCAAGCAAAACAGGAATTAATTGCATAGACTGAACGAATAAAATACCAAAATAATATTTTTATTACCTTTGCTAGAAACATTTGTAGATATAGAGTTTTGGTGTGTTCCCTAGGCTGTTCTCCAACTCCTGGACTCAAGCAATCCTCCCACCTCAGCTTCCGAAAGTGCTGGGATTACAGGTGTGATCCTGTAGACAAAACAGCAGCTGACCTGTTTTGTTTTTCAGAATCTAGAAAACTCTTATTTTGAGGTATTTACAGCTTTTAGCAATTGGGTAAAGTATACACCTGTAAACAAAATTCGGATATGTTTCTTTCTAACTAATTTCTCCAAAAACTGGAAACTATTTGTGAGTATTTTTAACCTATAGCAATATAGTTATTTGCATAAGTCCAATAAGAATCTGTTTTCTTTTGCAAGAGGACACAATTGGAAAAACTGGTAATTTTTACCAAGACATTGATTGGAATGGCATGATTTCAAATATAAACAAATGGCTTTAAGGAATCAAACTTCTTAAAGAGCCAATAAAAGCCCCTTGGGAAAACTGGCCTCATACCTTGTCTACATAGTCCCTGTACATAATTCCTGACCTGTGGTAAGTAAAGAATGTCACTTTCTGACAGGCCTGGGAAGCCCAAGTTATCTTGTGCCACAAGAGGAGACAAATTCACCCAATTTATACAGGTATTTTCAGGCACAAAACTATGGTGAGCTTATGGCTTTAAAATGTCTAATATAAGATTCCATATGGAAAAAAAGTTCCAACAAAGGCAATTTTTTCAAAAGCCTATGTGGCAAATAATTATTCTTACTGCATTTTATACAGATAATCAGGCCAAGTATAACAATAATAACACTTGTTTTGCAAACAAATCAGAACTACCATCATTTGTTTTCAACAAAAATGAGGATTAGTGAGAGAAAAATTGTTTCAGAAAGTGTGGTACGCCTGTTAGTGATCCCATATCAGCTTTGTTCTAACAATTGTCCACGTCACGGAAAACCTTATTGAGTTTAGTTGGGATAATTTTACTTATATTACTTTACTGTTGTGGAATATATTGCTATTGTGCTGTGTGTAAAAATGCAAGATAAACTTACTCAATGCTTTGTTAAATTGAACACTTATTTTCTAGATATCACCTTTTGTCAGGACTCAGAGTTATGAATGGACCCCACTATACTGATGATTTCTGACTAAACTCCTCTCTACCCTGAATACAAGAGACCTTACAAGTTATGCAGGGATATCCTTACCCCTATTCAGTCTTAAGTTACAGAAGATGGATCTTCATCCCACTATAACCCTTACAATTAAAGGTCCCCTTGTAAAAGGGATGGGGGATGTATGTCAGAGGCATTTGAACCAGTGACTCCATCTTGAACAGGGGCTATGTAAAATGAGGCTGAGACCTGCTAGGAAGCATTACCAGAAGGTTAAGCATTTAGTCACAGGATGAAATAGGAGGTCGGCACAAGATACAGGTCACAAAGACTCTGCTGATGAAACAGGAGTGGTAAAGAAGCCAGCCAAAACTCACCAAAACCAAGATGGTGATGAAAGTGACCTCTGGCCATCCTCACTGCTCATTATATGTTAATTTTAATACATTTGCATGCTAAAAGACACTCTCACCAGTGCCATGACAGTTTATAAATGCCATGAGAATGTCTGGAAGTTGCACTATATGATCTGAAAAGGGGAAAAACACTAAGTTCCGGCAATTCTCCACCCCTTTCTTGAAAAACTCATGAATCCACACCTTGTTTAGCATATAAATCAAGAAATAACTATAAGTTATTTAGAATAGTCATTATTCCTTTGCTTTCTTAATAAACTTGTTTTTACTTCAAAAAAAGATAATCTTGCATTTGTGTGTTTGTTGTATTTGTATTTTGTTTTGTTTTTCTTGTTTCTTTACTCACACATTTTCTGGTTTGTTCCTTTGTAGGAAGGGGGCACAAACCATCATTTTTTTCTGTGCTGCTTCTCTGACTTTGCTCCTTATCCTTTAAAGTGATTGTAACAACTAGTTTGTTACAGAAGGATGAGGATACTACTTTGTTTAAATTATCTTTGCTTGCAGATAACTCGCAAATACTCTATTCCTATTTCAAAATGAAAGGAAAATCCAATTGAATGTTAATACCTGCTTTATTCTTACTTAAATAAAAATTTTCCATGAAAGTATATTATCATGGGCAGCTTTTCCCCACCTTCCTACCTGAAAATTTGATCTGTGGAGCAATTGTACCAGAATAACTTGAGATTCTGGAGGCTGAGATGTGTTACAGATTTTGTGAGTCACTAACTCTAGATATTAGACCTCGAAATTTAGAAATATTCCTAAGTTTTTCTTTATCATGCTAAACTTGGGAATTATTGATCCATGGGCATCTTACCCTGACAAGACATTAAACATATTTTTTTGGTATCTTAAAAATTTCCATCGTGGTTTACAAACATTCCATTATTTTCACTTTAAAGTATTTAAAAAGGTATTTAATTAATAAATATATGTAGTTGATGAAGGAATCTACATACTAAAATATAAGTTTTCTTTTTCTTTTAACATTTGTACTTCTTAAGTTTTGAATGCAAAATATACCATTCTGTAATTTATATATTGGATACAAGCTGTATAGATTTCGTGATATATATGTACTTCAGCAATATGAAAATAGTCATATTTTGTGAAGTAACATTTCTCATCAAAATGCTGCTAGTTTGATTTTTACTCAGTAGAAATATGGAATATATTCATATATACACACATATCCATGATATACATATGTATCTATCTATCTGTCTATCCATTCATCTATCTATAGATCTTACCTAAAAAACAAGCAATCTTTTATTTTTTCCTAAAAGCTAATAAAATTGAGAACAAGCTGCCCCAAACTTTCCATATTTCCCGTGTGTGTGTGTGTGTGTGTGTGTGTGTGTTACACTGTGTTGTATTGTTTCAGGCTACCAAACATACTTCCTGGGGAACAATACATTGGTAGACATTAATCATTATTCATTGTAGAATATTCAGTGTATCCAGCAAGCACATTATGTTTTTGCTTTGATGGCATAGACAGATTCCAAGACTAATATTCCTCTATTTATTTTCATCTTGAGAAAACACTGCAAGTCCGTATTCCTTATCCCATCTATACTATGTAGCAGCATGTAAAATATTTCTTTGATTTATTTGGATGTCTATATATGTCACATATTTTGATATATTGATCTAATATCCCCTTCTTTGTTCATAAATATACAGTTTGGAAGATTTTTGTAAATGCATTTGATTTTTCTATTTAATGAATTTCACTTAGCCCCTTTCAATATAAGGCTAACATCACTGGAATGCTCCCTCTTTTTAGCCAGTGACTGATAGTAGTATTAAAATTAGCAAATGATGGACATAGAATTATAACAACAAAAGCCACTCTGTGAGGTTGTATTGTAGGTGCAAAAATATTTAGCATTCTTAATAAAATCAGTGGACATTGGGCATACTCTATAGAGTAGACATATTAGTAGCATGCACATTGATATGCCTTCAGACAATTTGTGACTTGCCAATCCAATTCACATAGTAGAATTAAGGTTGTGCTCTTTGGGTTCAGTTACTTGTGAGAGCATTGGGTATACCAAGTTATGGGAATGCCAGATAGATAAAAATGACGTTAATATTTTTTAACTACCCGAGAGCTATATTAGAGACGAGGTTTTCTACCTAAAAAGCAAGCAATCTTTTCTCCTGAGAGTTGTAAAAATTGAGCACAAGCTGCCCCAAACCATCCAGCTATTATTTCCCCCACTTTTTTTTCCACAGAGGCAGAAAGTTTCATCAGCTCTGATGGCTTACAGGAAGAGATTATAGGTTTCATGATGGTCTCTGTCACATCACTAGTATTCTTCATTTCTGAGTGGTAGAAAGTTTTTTTTTTTCTCAGCTGCGAGAATACTAACCTTCAAATACTTTGTGTTATTATATACTATAATTAATTGTATATTATTTCATTATATTTGTTATATAATACATTGTTTATAAATTAACACTTCATCATATCAAATTTTAGTAGAAGTTTGATATCTTAAAGACAGTCCTATATTAAGAGTCATGGGGTTTTAATGCTAATTCCATTTTGGAGGGAAAATATTTTAACATCTCTGAACACCTACCCTGTCTACATTCCAGGATTTTTGTGAAAATTAAAATAGAACATATGTTCTATAGAATCACAGAAAATAAATTTTAGGTAATTTGTAATAATATTGTGCTATATTTTATTAATTAAACACTTGTATTTTATATTTTTGAGTTATTCCTTTTATAGTGCAGAAGCATCCTCAGTTCTCTGGAACTGAGGTTATCATGGACAGACTTAGTGGTACAAATACACTTAAGAGTTTGCATCCATACAAATTCAACTCAACAGTCCAGTGATGTTTTATGAACTGAATTTCCTTGTATATTTACGGTTCGATCAATCTCAAGGCTTCTAAAAGTGCTTTTGTAATTTTACATGAAACATTTTATAGTGACCCTTGAGTAAGGCACATAACTTAAGAGTACTAGCCCACATGAAAAAAACATAGTCCATAAAAAACAATCTCTGAGATAAACGTCCTGTGTTCTTCATGCCAATCAGCCCACATAGAAAAACAATAAATAGTTGCTCTCACATCCTACTAAAAGCAACCATATTGAAGTGGTCATAGGAAAACTATTTAAAAATGAGTCTTCAGGATATGGTAACATAAACAACATTCACAATGTTAACTATAACTATGTTTGAAATTGTGCGAAAAGTAGGATTTTTCCAAGGCTTATTACTTATTATAGCATATGAAATAAGATTTTTTTAAATAAAGGTAGTCTGGAAATTCAAAGAAAAGAAAGAACAGTAGTTTTACTACGTAGGCCATTAAAGTTAGGTAATTTGGTGTGAACAGACGTAAAGAGCCTTGGACAACCCACTGCAAATAATCTAATTAGAGAAGAATCTGTATTTTTGCCAACATTTTAAGGAAGGAGAAATATAAAAAGCTGCATAAGGTGAAACATAGCTTCAGACAAAGCAAATGCTCAGTTGCTCTCATGTACCTTGTCTTGGACACTTAACTCTTGTCATCTCAAAATAAGTTATTGTGGCAGACTGGGATGAAACAGGTCACTCTAGAGAAAAACCAAGAAAGAAGTTCCGAAACATGCACCAGGAAAATAAAATCCTTGACATTATTCAGTCAGAGAAGCTGCAGCACTTATGAACATGTCTCAAGAATATTTCTCTTGTGCATAAAAATCTTAGTATATAAAATAAAGATAAATTTTAAATATTGTAATGAAACTAGGAGGTATATCTAAATGCAAAGTTGGATTAAGAGGTATAGATTATGTTTTATCAAATTATCTCCTTTTTTTGTCTCTGATTTTGTGTTGTACATCTTGTATCCATAATGCCTACAACAGGACATACCTCCTTGTTAAGTAATCAATAAATACTTGCTAAATGGGTGAATTTATGAATGTAAGAGGGAAAGAAATGAAACACTGGGAGCAAAACAATATTTTCAGTGTGTAGTTGTGAAGAGTTGTTTCTCTGAACACAAACTCAACACTTCCCAAGTACCTGCCCATGTTAACTTCCCACCAAACATTCTCTACCTCCCTGGGGGACTGCTACCCTGCTATGTCACTGATGACAGAGAGTCATTTATTTTATTATTCATTATAGAAAGAACCACTCTGATCCTTTTTAGTTCCTCAGAGGTGATATTAGTGAATGGCATTCTCAAATTTCTTTTAATTATTTTATCTTCTAGTTTAAAAATGTACTTAATTATAGAAAACTCCTTTTAATAAATATGCATACATATCAAGGAATTGTGTTGTCTTGAGGATCATCGTCTTGTTGAAAAAGGAGAATTCAGACAAATAGTAATTACTGTCTGTTGACTTTGCTTCTAATTTTTCTACTTAACTGTGAGATATTAAAGAGACTCTTTACAGAAGCAGTCTCAAATTAACTAACACAATTGTTAGCTAATAAAAACTACCTTTAAGAGAGAAACAATATCTGAAACTAATCCTTTTTTCCATTTTATTTGTAGCTATGTTTTAGAAAACTATGTTTTCTGTATTACACTTTAAATATTTTCTGAGGTATTATGTTGATTTATAACCAAAACTAAATATACCACTGAAGCTTTATTTTTAATACCCAAGATATGGAATCAGCTTAAGTGTCCAGTAATGGGTGAAAGAAGATGTGATACACAGCCAGGCGCAATGGCTAATGCCTGTAATCTCGGCAGTTTGGGAGGCTGAGGTGGGCAAAGCACTTGAAGTCAGGAGTTTGAGGCCAGCCTGGCCAACATGGTGAAACCCGCTCACTAGTAAAAATACAAGAATAGGCTGGGTGTGGTGGTGCATGCCTGTAACCTTAGCTACTTGGGAGGCTGAGACACGAGAATCACTTGAACCCAGGAGGCGGAGGTTGCAGTGAGCCGAGATCGTGCCACTGTACTGCAGCCTGAGTGACAGAGTGAGATTCTGTCTCAAAAAAAAGAAAATGTCACAAACACACACACACACACACACACACACACACACACACACACACAGAGGAATATTATTTAGCCATTCAGAAGAGGTAAATCTTGTCATTTGCAACAATATACAACAACCCAGAGGACATTATTCCAAGTGGAAGAAACCAGACACAGAAAAATACTGCATGAGCTCGCTTACATGTGAAAAGGCAGAGTAGAATGGTGGCTCCCAGAGGGTGGGGGATAACGGAACTGGATAGATGCTGCTCAAAGAATAAAAAGTTTCAGTTATAAGGGATGAATAAGTTCTGGAGTTTAATGTATACAACTCTCTTTGACCGTGACCACTGTACCTTCCTTTTATGAGTCATCCTCTAAAATAATGAAGTCTTCTCCTGTATCCAAATTGTTAAACTGGACCCTCGTATCTTTTAATAGGATGCCTAGTTTCTGAAACTTGTTTGGGCTCAGTATTGCTCTGTGTCTTAATGCTGGGCTATAGGCATCTGCTGGGATTTTTGGTATTTTTTCTGAAATTCTTAACTAATTTACTTCTATTTTACCTGGATATTGTTGAAACTTTTAGATTCTTTTTTTAGTGGTTATATCTACTCCCATCTCAAACACCAGGAGTTAGTTTAGCTATAGAGTATTTGTTTGATTCCAGTGGATCAAGCCAGTGATACGTTCTGAACTGGGGCTAAAACCTTTGCTCAGTTATGGCTGTAGTGTTTCCCTGTGAGTTTGAAGTTATAACTATTTTCATATTATAAGAAGTAGGATTTTATATTGTTTTAATTTTCTATGAATTTATGGTACAACTCTGCTTTATCCTATTTTGAATTACTTGAAATATTTGCAATTCATGAACCAGAGTTTTTAAAAAATACCTTTTAGTCAATTTTGATGATCACTTCTACCCATTAATACCAATGAGCAACAATTTCCCATTTATAGATGGCATTAATGAGCATTGAAACTAAAGGCAAAAGGATAAATGCATGATTTGTGATATGAAAAGAAATGGTGCAAATATTTATCCTTACTCTGTATAACCTTGTTCAAAATAATGTGTTTATTTGTTCTTATAAATTCTGAAACCTCTCCATGTTTTCTAACCTGCTTCACATAATATGAATTTTATTTTTATATGCATCTATTTAACTGGGCAAATTCAGGCTTAATGAGGATCAAGTAAAACTATAAGAACACTGAAACAAGTTGAATTAAAGGATACAAAGTGTACCGCTAGTGGAATCCAGGCTACAAAAGTCAGTTATCAGGACGAGGTTTCCAGGTTGAATTAACAGCAGTCATCTTCGTACTGGAACCATGGTTAGTGGGACAAAAGCCATTTAAAAATTTATTGCTTTGAGTTGAGATTAGTTCTGGGTAATGTGGAAGTTTTGAATCTGCTGTTTAATATATTTAGAATATATTCCAGTTTGAACATATTCTACATGTACCAAACTCGGGAAAGTTTTCAGTTTCTTTCTCTATGAATGGAAAAAAAATGATAGGACACATTTCAGTTTCTGAAACTTCATTGGGGTCAATATTATTATATGAAGTTTTCTTGTTGTGGACCCTCACACTGTTGGGACTTTTGTTTTTTTATCTGAAATTATTTATTACTAGCTTACATGATAACATCAGATGTTAAGATTCCATGAGATGATGTATGTATAGCCCTTAGCAAAGTACCTGGCCCATTGTAAGTGTTCAATAGTTTTAATTATTAAATACTATTACTAATCATTGTTCCTGAGGGCCAGATTGAGCAAGTAGAGAGATCTATTTTGTAACAAACACTTTAAGATTTCTTTACAAGAAGCCTCTTAATGACATTTATTTCCCTAGTTTGTTATAGTGTCTTGCATGAAATTGTGCTAAGGTAATTATTTACTTAATAAAATATTTATATGTTTAAGAAATTTCTTCAAGGCACAAGGTATTGTATAAATGTATACCCAGACACTGGAAATGGTAAATTTGGATTGGATTAGACATCTGCAGAATTCACTCTAATAAATAAGTTAGTAATGTAATTAGGATGTCTTCCAAATGATCATTAAGCATCCCATTATGATTCATGTCATCATCAAGGAAGGACAATTTGTAAGAATATTTTTAAAGGATTTCTTATGCAATTTGTTGTAACAAGTATAACAAGTTATAATAGAAAGCTCATGCTTTACTAATTAAATTAAAATAAAGAAGGAGGGAAAGGAAGATGAATAGAAAGAAGGAGTGGCTTGCGCCTGTAATCCCAACATTTTGGGATGCCAAGATGGTCAGATCACCTGAGGTCAGGAGTTCGAGACCAGCCTGACCAACATGGAGAAAATCTGTCTCTACTAAAAAAAAAAAAAAAAAATAGCCATTAGTCAGGTATGGTAGCACATGCCTGTTATCCCAGCTACTCAGGAGGCTGAGGCAGGAGAATCGCTTGAACCTGTGAGGTGGAGGTTGTGGCAAGTCGAGATGTTGCCATTGCACTCGAGCCTGGGCAACAAGAGCAAAAGTCTGTCTCAAAAAAAAAAGAAAGAAAAAAAGAAAAAGAAGAAGAAGAAGGAGTAGGAAAGCAAGATACAGGGAGGGGGAAAGAAAAGAAGAGGGGGAGGAAAAAGAAGATAAATAATACTACTGCCAATGATGACAAAGAAAAGAACAGTGAGGCTTCACCATGGTTTCAAGGAGACTTTCCTGAGTCACTCTTATGAATGCTCTAGTTCTGCCTGACAAATGTTCCGATAATTTTTAAAACAAATTTTGAACACTTTCCTAATCATTGAAATAAACTTCTGATATTGATTTGGTTTCCCAAAAGAATTTTCTTAGAAAGAAAGTATCGTCTTAATCAGCCAAATATATTCTGACCTGCTGTAATGGTCTTTTGATATGTCAACTTGACTAGATTACAGCCCTCAGTTGTTGGATCAAACACTAATCTAGGTATTGCTGCAAAGGTATTTTGTACATGTGATTCAAGTTCATAATTAGAGGCCTTTAAGTAGAGAGAGTATCCTAAACAATCTGGGTAAGCCTGAATCAATTAGTTGAAAGGCCTTAAGAGCAGAGCTGAAGCTCAGAGCTTCTAATGGAGAAGTTCTGCCTGTGGAAAAGGGCTTCAGCCCACATCCAAGATTCCCAGCCTGCCTTTCCTGATGGCCTGTCCTACGGAGTTTGGAATCAGCCAATTGGTCCCACAATTGTGTAAACCATTTCTCTTAAGTAAATCTCTCAATAGAAAATCCCCTACTGGTCTATTCCTCTGGGTGAAACCTGACTAATTCACTTGTGTAGCACATGTATATATATATATATATAATTCAGTGACTGTTTGGATTAGAGTTCAGTTAGTTAAGAAATGCACCCCAGAAGAAACTATCTGAAACCACAAATTTCAGAACCACCATAAAAAGAGTGGCTCAAACTTAACACTGGTCTTTAGCTCCTTTATCCACCTCCTTCTATTTCATATGTATAATTATTTTATTGTAATAAGGCAAAGGCAATTTGCAACTCAGTGTGTGTCTCAAGTATACTTCATGAAGTAATAATCAGTAAACACAATATGGTCATAAAATATGTAGAAATACATAATGTATAATAAAATATGTTATATATGTATATACTGTCACTACATAGATATACACACACATGCATATACGTATATATATATATACGTATATGCATGTGTGTGTATATCTATGTAGTGACAGGCAGAGAGGGATGGAAATTGATTCCACTTCCCTCCACACATCATCTTATTTCCCTGTGCTTCTTTAGAGCAATACCATAAAATAGAAATCTCTATGTGTACACAATACCCCTCCTAGTACTCTTTTTTGAATTCTGGGGGGTATTTTCCATTAGATTTTTGCTGCTAATATTCTACCAAAATTTATCTTATTAACACATAAATAACCATCACCTTGATAAAGACAATAATCAGTTCCTAGCTCTTCTGTAATCAACGAAAGCTCTAAAGTTTCAATACAGAAGTAACAAAGATATGAAAAGCATACAAACAAATGTCTGCCAAGTATTTGAATACATACATTTGGACCTACAAAGAGTCAAAAAACGTCAATTATAAATACGAACAATATTTTTTAACTTTTAAAATTAACAAATTATTTTCAGTGAAAACTCATGTGTTTCACAAGGGTGCATAATGGGAGTGTGATAAATATTATTGCCTGACACAGTAAGTTACTGAATGAATTAATTTAATGAGAATGTAACCTAGAGGTAAATATGTAAAATTTAGGGTCCTTATTAAAAGTAATTAACATATAGATACACAGGATTCTAAAATACCTTTATTTATTTATTTATTTCAAAACACAGTCTTACTCTGTCACCCAGGCTGGAGTACAGTAGCATGATCAGAGCTCATTACAGCCTCAACATGCTGGACCCAAGCAATACTCCTACCTCAGCCTCCCAGGTAGCTATGACTACGGGCATGCATCCTCATGCCCAGCTAATTTTTAAAATTTTTGTAGAAATGAGGTCTCCCTATTTCTGCTGTTCTTGAACTCCTAGGCTCAAGCAATCCTCCCACCTCAGCCTCCCAAAGTTGTTGGGATTACAGGTGTGAGCACTGTACCTGACCCTAAAATATTTTTAATTTAGAATTTGAACTTCAGAAAATTGCAGAAATGCAGAAATAGCTGAATACACAAGAATGTTTGTTGAATCATTTTAAAAAGTAAAAAGGAAACATTAAATCAAATGTTGAAAATACTCAATGAAGGCTGGTATTAGAAAAATGTACAAACAAAAAGATCAGCAGTTCTTAGGTGGGAATGAACTTGCTATGTTTCAGAAACTAAATGAATGTAAAAATAGCTGGAAAATAGCATTCCATGGAAAAAGTGTTGTAAAACTGAAATCAGTCATGCAGGTCTTATAATCTTGTTTAAAGTACTGGAACAATGATATATCATCAAATAATTTTTAATCTGGGGATTATGAAATAAAATGGACACTTTAAAAACGATCATTCTGCTTTCTGTGAGGAGCACAGATTATAGAAGGGGTAAGGAGGCTAAAGGAGAGTAGTTAGAATATGCCACAGTTTTCCAGGTGCATACACATCATTTTTGTTCACTAATCTGTTTTCCCTCTCCTGGGCCTATACAAAAAACACTGTAATTCTCAGACTCGTACAGTTGGCCATTTCTGGACAATGTGTTGTTCATGGAGGTACATGTATCCATTCTAGGCATATATATTTCATTTACAGTTTAAAACCGTTTTGATCTTTTTCTTACCATGGGGTTCCAGGAAGAAGGCGAAGTATTAAGATAGTGAAGCCACAAGACTGAAACATCCTGGATTGGGAATTTGTGGTATGAGGTAGAGTTGCTGTCAGAGTTGCCCGAATCTAGAGTTAATTTTGTGAAAGTAAGAAATACATCTTTGTTTTGCTAAGCCAATGAGCTTTGGATGTTGTTTGATAATTTAGCTTGCCTTAACTAATACATGAAGTAAGAGAATATAGTAGTTTCGATGTGGATGGCAACGGAAAATTATGGGAGTAGGTGAAACAACTTAGGGATAAAGCTTAGAGAAAGAAGGAAAGAGAGCCAGGATCCTCCCCCAATGAATTATTGTGAGAGGTTACAAATTCAAACGCTAGAGGGGACAGGTAGATAGTGTGAATAAGTGAGGCAGACATTGTGATAAGAACTGGAAATCAAGAGTCTCATCAAAATCTGCTATTTTATACTCACATTTTTGCCTGACAAAATAATGAACCCCAGATTGGCAGATTTTCCATATTTTTAAGGAAAGCTTCAAATAAATATGTTTAAATTTGAACTTCTTTAGTTTTTAAAAGTTGCCAATGAATTTTACTAAAATTAAATAAAATATTTGTAAAAATCAGTATCTTGTGTGAGACAATCCTGGTGGCCTGATCAAATAAATAAAACCTGTGACTGTTTCACATCATCTCATCATCTGAATGTATTCAAATTTTATGCCCCCCATTATATTATATTACTTATGCCTTAAGCCAATTCTATTAGTTTCTACAAGGTGGCACATAAGAGAGAATGTAGAGAAAATAGAGGAGAGAGAGGTATAGAAAGAAAATCAAAATAGACATTGTTTATGGAAGATTGATCAGAAAGGACTAATTTCCTCAAGAATCTGCTGTTATTTTTCACCACCTAATCAGTAAGGATGACCTAATGCCAGTAATAATACATTTCCCACATTAAATATGTGAAAACCAGAATTCCGGAATTGCAACATGAAGATGTAATTTACCTACCTTAGTTTGTACATTCAGATTACTCCTGTGCCCGTGCATGTGTGTGTGACTTCTCCATCATGAGCTTGTGGTGGCTTCAGGGAATTATATATAAAGAAATGAGAGAACGAAGAAACAGAACCTTATTCCCAGGGCAAGGTATACATTGCACAATATCTTTAATTGTTAAAATGATAGAAATACATTGCCATTGAAATAAAATTTCCCAACACCTCTATTAGATACTCCTAAGTCCATTGTTAAGTAAAGAATTGGAGTAGTGGAAGGCAGAACATGGAGAACCTGCTAGCACCTCACAGAAAGACAAAAAGAAACATGAAAGAGAAGTTAAAAGGCACGGAGTATAGAATGAGAAGCTCAGAAAAATTGAATAAGGTCTCTAGAAAGAAAAACATAGGGGTCATATAGAAGCAGCAAGATTCAAGTTGAAAACTGCTGATATATTTTTTTCAAAATATAATACCGAAGTTTTCAAATTAGCTCTCCCTAATGAGTGCCAAGTAAAATAGTGAAAATAAAGAAATCTATAATACAATGTAGAGCACACAAAAAATTACCAAGAAAGAGAAAATCCTAAAAGGCCACAAAAGGAAAACTAAATAACTTATATCAATGAAATGAAGATTGAAAAAAGAAAAAATGATTTTAAATCTAGATAATTAGTTTAGAAGTCCAATAATTTAGATCAAAGCCAAAAAATACAAAGATCACTTTATGTAATTTCTCACCCTTGTTCCAACAGCGAACATTGTGAAGCAGTCAATGCTTGCTTCCCCCTGAGCTAAGATGTGGCAGGGGCACTCTTCTCAACATTGTGCTTGGCTTTGGAGATGAACTATTTTCCATGCCAGAACGGTTAAAATCGAGTATGAAGGACGACAGATTTTCAGGCGGTTACAATAATAATTTTCACCTCTGTTCATAAAGACTCCCTTCCCTTTGTCCGATATGGCCATTCACTTAAGTTTCATGGCCCGCTGACATCTGACCTTCCTTGTGGCAGGGTTTTCCCACCACAGGGCAGCCTAGTTGCACTGTGACTACAAACTCAGTCAGCTTCCTTCCCTGTGTAAGTAACTAGCTGTCAGTACTTTTCAACCTTCTTTTCTACCTATGCCCAGTACATAAGAAAAGTAAAAACTCTGGTCTTTATATATTCTTTCAATATTGTTGTTATTATGGCATGTCTAACAGGTTTTCCTAGTTTGTATCCCAGATGTTGTTTTATCCCCATTTTATACCATGTTTACTTCCACAAAAATGTAAAAATTAGGAGAAATATTGCCGTTTTGTTTAAAAGCATTTCTAATGCCAACTTTCAATTTTCTCGTGTTATGCAAGGTTTTTCTGATGGTCAATTTTGAGATAAAAATTTACTGTATACCCTAAGGCTACTTGGATTCTGTTATACAGTGCTCCTCAGACTTTCATTAAAGTAGTTCTTGTGAGAAGAGGGAATGAATGCTTACCTCCAGTTGTCTGGGGACTTATGCTAAGCAGACTCAATGAGCAAAACATTTTGTTATGAAGTAATAACTTTCATTTGACAGAGCATCCAAATAGTTACAAATAGATGCCATATCAATGTGGTTTTAATACTTACCAACTTAATCTGACACTACCGAAAGAAACATTATCTTTGTTTTCAGAATTGATACCCTTTTACACTACCAGTTAACTCTCTCCTGAAAGGTAGTGTATATTAGTTTGAAAAGCCCAGTTCTGTGGCAATCATTAAATGCAGAATACACTTTTATTATAATGCCAAATAGCTATTTCTGAAATGTAGTAATTTTAAAATATCTTAATTTGAAAGAAAGGCATGACAATTTATTTAAAAAGTCCCTGAAATTTCAATTACTACTATCAAGTCCACATCAATGTAATATAATTTTTATTTGCCTTGCATAACTATCCACAGTGTAAGATAAAATTAATGGTAACATATATCCAAGCATCTAGGCTTTGCTAACAGCAGAATGACATCAATAAAATTAACTTATTCCTTCAGTTATGCGTGAATTCTTATTTTAAGAGTAGATTTTTAAATTAATCAATAGCACAGGATAATGAAAATATATACAAACATAATGCAAAATAATTAATATTCTATAGATTGTTCCCAATTTTGAGAACTACAGACTATTGACACAAACCAATTGGCAACAAAGCAATTAACAAAGCAATTAACACCATTTTTCGAGGTGGTTAAAAAAATCTTTTTTCTCATTGAATATGCTTTATGTACCCTCAAGTCTTAATATTTATTCAGTAACATTATTTGGAAATACACCATGAACATATATGATTTAGTCACGTAGACTGTACAAACAAATCCTTAAATGATACGCTTTTTAATTTATAAATAATTTGTTGTATATTTTACGTGGTCTTTTTATTTTACTCATTCATCTGTCCTTTGGTTTAAAATCAGAATTCTTTCTAAAAAACAAAACTATGCAATTAGCCCACAGTTCTAACTTTATTCTGCCACTTATTTCTTGTCAATAGTTTGACACATTGAAAGAGAGTGGAGTTATAGAAGGTTAATTTACATTATTGTTAATTTTAACAATTTGATAAACATTTAAATTTGAAAGACAGTAGAGTATGAAAAGGATAGAGAAAATTAGGACTCTTCTACACTCTATATATGTTTACAGTTATTTAACCTATATCTAACACTTATAATGTGATTGGAGATGAACACTGCTTTCTTTTCAGTACAAAAGTTCTGTTTGTTGACACAATTACCTTGTGGCATTGACAATTTTTCAGTAGCCTGATGGGTTATAGCACATTGTTTCAAGAAATATAACTCATTTAAACATTCACAAAACTGTTTTTGGCGCTTTTTACTCCTTATTGGAAATTTCTTGACAGTTAAGATCATCAAAAGTGACAACTAACAATTAATTGTATTTTTTCTTACTACAGATTCAAAGAAAAATACTGGCTACAACCAGCATTTAAGACCCCAGGGAATGTCATTGTTGTTTTCTTAAGAAGGCATAGAATTTGGGTTTACCAAAGCAGAATTGGTTAATATCTTGATATGAATACTTGAAGGACTATGTGAAGGTCTACAGTAAGCTCAGTAAGAGTTAAATAGATGTTGAGCAAATGAAGTCTTTAATGATATTTTGAATTTCTCTTTTATAGCATTTAATAGTAAAAATAACTTTAATCTTAGCCTGTATTATGGCAACTTTATTTACTAATGTCATTTGATAGATAATTTGGACATTTTTTAAAAATTGTTTTTCACATTTTAAAACATAAATAGTAATTTCTTGCACTACATGATAATAATAAATCATTAAAATTTTGCATGTTGGTTTAGGATTTAATGATTTTTCTTTGATATTATAACCTATGTAAAGGCTATTATTCAAAGAAGGAAATATTATAGATATTGTTTTGGGGAATGGGCCACAGGCATTTTGCAGAACCATATTTATTAAAATGAAAATACTTGCTCACATGGGATAACCAGCTTTATTTTGGTTTAGAGGCTAGCTTCAAAGACTGAAAGAAAATTGGGAATGATGTAACAAATAAATTTCTATTTAGTTAATCACAGAGAAAGATGGAAATAATAAAATCATAAAATCTAATAACGTTAACATCATTGTCAGCTGTTAGGGTCTATAGGTAGGGATGCAGAATGACAGCTAATATAAAAATCTGAGCAAATCAAGTGTTAATTCATGTGTCTTAGGTGGTTTCCTTCTTGTGACCTATAATTGTATTGCCAGATGGTGATTTATAAATGTAAATCTCTATTGTTTTCAAACCCCTTGAAACGATCTCTTAATTTATTGTATCTTCTTTGCCCCTCTCTTCTCTCTACACACACACACAAACACACACACACACCACACACACACACACACACACACACAGAATCATACAAACCAGCAGGGATGCAACCAACATATCCATTTCAACACAAATCCTTTGTTTATGCCTTTGTATCAGAAATTCAGCTTCATACCACCAGAAGAAAAAAATCAGATTAAGAAGAGGGTGAGAACAATAAAAAATGCAGAGATAACTATCAGTAGCTTAACAAAGTATATTTTTTTGTTCATACCACTTTCAAATTCCTACTTTTTTACTGCTTCTGTGTTGACTGCTAGAAGTAAAGATTCAAGTCTCTCTTGCTCTCTTTTAAAAAGTTTTGAAAACTGTTGTTTTGAAATTATTTTCAGGGACTCTATTTCTCAGTAACACTTAGCTGATCCAGCTGTCTCTGTATTATTTTTTTATAGTAACAAATAAATTCTAAAATTATAAAAATGTCACAGAATAAAGCAAGAGATAACTCAAATATGTCACTGGGTAAATATATTTTTACCATTTGGTAAATATTGTTGCAGAAATTTTTCTGTTGAATCTATACAGAAAGAAAGATGGGTATACTTATGCATGCATACATGGACAGGTGGATAGATGGGATGGGAGGATAGATAAATGGACAGATGGAAAACAAATAAATGGACAAATTTAAAAATAATATTACAGATTAAAAATAATTTAAAAATAATTATTAAATGAAAGCATTTCATCTTTTTTAGCAGGGTAGTGTTAGGACTGAGTGTTACTCTCATATCAATTTTCTTTAACCTAAGTCGTATGTACCCAAAGCACATGTGATTTAGAAAGGAAGAGCTTGGTTTGTGCTGAATGTAGTTTATGAAAATTCTAGGGAGATATTCACATTGTGTTCTACAGAACTGTCTATTTCCCGGGGTGATGCAATGCAATGGCCCTGCCAGTCTTTCTATCCTTTTTCTTTATAGAAGCTATTATGTATGTATATACAGGTGTATGATTCTGTCCAGGCTGATTTCAGTATCATGAGTTTTTGCTCACTTTCCTCATTCCTAAAAAGTTCTGAAAAATGACATGATCGGGGCCTTTCATTCTAATGTCTTCCAGGGTAGCATGAGTATGCAGCACCACCTGTACTCACTGTTTTGCCCTACGTTTCCCACCAGAGCTTACTCATAACTCATCCACGTATATCCCAATCAACGTTGAGATGGGAATATATAAGTAAGAATTCTCACGATGAATTCCAATCATGTACTTTCCTCACTTCTGTCTGGCTGGAGGTGCTGACCCAGAATTTTTTATTTATTTCAATGATAGGTACATTTTTTTCCTTTGCTATGTTTTTTCTATTGTTTATTTGATGTTGGCACATATAATTTTTATTTAAATTCTTTAAATTTTATTTTATATTGGGAGAAAAGCATATATAATTCTGTTCTGTTCTGTTTCACCCAATGCCAGGTGCAGCTTTACATATTGTTACATTTGCATGCATACACACGTGTACACATACCCAAATAGAAGATGTATGCAGGTTAGAGATATAAGCTACACTACTTGCTATATCCCATTTCAGATATTAATTAAACTTTCATTTTTCTCAAAAAGCAAAATAACTACCAAATTATAATTTATGCTTCACCACCATTTATAAACTTGTGTTGTACATCATTTCAGCCAGGTGTTGGCAAGTTAATCATATTCTCAGCATGCTTCGCTAACTTTAACGTTATTTCTGAAGTATTGTAAATTCTTCCCCTAATCCAGATCCTCTATCTCAGACCCAATCATAACATATAGCAAACACTAGCATTGATTAACTAAATGTTATTCAATAAGCTATTTTTTAAACCTAAAATTGTATTATTATAAATAATTGCTGTATTTAATAAGTAAATAGAGAATGAGAGGCTATAAAACACACTATTAAAATTAAATTAAAATCCTGTAATGAATGATAGTTGAAGGACAATAGTGGATTATATAACAGTAAGGTTGGCACCAGAAACAGAAATTATTTTTCAGTTTTAATATTCAAATGACATAGCAAAAGCTACACATGCCTTATAACTTTAATTATTTTATATTTACATCATTAATCCATATCAAATATTTTGACATTATAAAACTCTATCATATCAAATGTTATTGTCACTTGATTTAAGTGATTTTTATTTTTCTCCTTCTTCTCTCTCAAGGGGTGAGGTCTCTGTGCTATTGATTTATAGACCAGCTTCTGGGGTCATGTATTGAGGGCTGTCTCACGGGGAGAAGAGTGGTGTTAATTTACTGGTACTTCTTGTGTGTTACGATAACACTCAGATCTTCTTTACAATGTTATGGAAAAAAAATTTCCTCAGATTCAGAAATGCAGGCATTAGCACCTAAAAAGGTCATAGGCATGTGGTTGGCCACTGCCAGCATCCATTACTTTGGGGCTACCAGCTGCACTGACAGAGAGTGAGCTTAACCAAATCTCAGTGGAAGAGATAGTCAATGAAGCATCTATAATCAAATTACCTACACAAAATGGAATCTAGCATAGGGTAGCAACCTAGGCTCGAAACAAGGAGATAAAGGTCATGGAGGAGAAATGTTTCAGTGTACCTTATAATTAATTCTGAAAGCTCTTCTAAACCCATTCTCCTGCTCCAGGCTTTGAATTCTGGGCAACAATATCTGAGAATGAAGATAGAAAGGGAAAACCTTGGTGGTCTGTGCATGAAGTTGGAGCAGTGAAGAATCACAGCAGTGTGGAAAGGATATTTTTGTGACTGAAGAATGCCAGCTCTCAGTAGCAACATCATATATCAATGTGGATTGATGAGCTATGTAGCTTATTCTCTCCACTTGGATACAATGTCTAAATGAATATCTGGCACCACAGTCCTGGCATGTTTAACAATTCTGGATGTGTGGCATACCCGAAAGTGGTTAATGGACTTCGCGCTTTTCTTGCATGCATTTACTGAAACTGAATTTATTTTGAGTTGAAAAATAAAGGTGAATGGCTCCCAATCTAGAATCTCAAAATAACACTTAAGAATCAAGGCTAAAAAGACAGCCCATTACAAAAATACATGAGAGTAATATATTCTTTTCCCAAAGAAGATATCCAATAACCAGTAAGCATATTAATATGTGGTCATTCTCATTAAATAAGAGAATGCAAACTAAAATCACAATAAGGGATCACTACTGCACTAACTAAAAGGACCAACATTGAAATGAATTACAATATCAACTCCTTTTGAGAATGTACAGAGATAGAAACTTTGATGCATAGGTTGACAAAACCAATCTGATTTGCTCAAGAAAATCTTGGCTAAAGCCAATTGTCTCAGTATATGTTTTTAAAAAGGGTCTCTTTTTCATTTTCAGAAGTATCCTATTTTGTACTATAAATTATATGGATAAATGATATGAACTTCTGGTTGGAGTAAAGATTGGTATAATCATTTTAAAAACTTGAATTATCTATTAAATTAGAAAAATGCCTAGCTTAGCCTTTTTTCTTGCTTTCCTTTTTTCTTTTTTTTTCCTTCTTAAAACAATTCTCTTCCTTTATCTTCTTTTTTTTTTCTTAACTTTTATTTTAAGTTCAGGGGTACATGTACAGGTTTGTTTTATAGGTAAACTAACATCACAGGGGGTTGTTGTACAGATTATTTCATCACCCAGGTATTAAGCCTGGTATCCATCAGTTGTTTTCTCTCCCTCCTCTCTGGTAGGCCCCAGTGTCTGTTGTTCCTCTCTATGTGTCCACGTCTTCTCATAATTTAGCTCCCACTTGTAAGTGAGAACATGTGGTATTTTGTTTTATGTTCTTGCATTAGTTTGCTGAGAATAATGGCCTCCAGCTCTATTCATGTTCCTGAAAGCACATGATCTTGTTCTTTTTTAGGCTGCATAGGATTCCATGGTGTATATGTACCACAATTTTATAAACCAGCCTCCATTGATGGGCATTTAGGTTGATTCCATGTCTTTGTTATTGTGAATAATGCTGCAATGAACATACGCGTGCATGTGTCTTTACGATAGAATGATTTATAAAACTTGAGTATATTCCCAGTAATGAGATTGCTGGGTTCAAATGGGATTTCTGCTTCTAGATCTTTGAGGAATCACCACGCTGTCTTGCACAATGGTTGAACTTATTGACACTCCCATCAACAGTGTATAAGCATTCCTTTTTCTCCCGAAGCTTGTGAGCACCTGTTATTTTTTGACTTTTTAATAATAGCCATTCTGCCTGGTGTGAGATAGTATCTCATTGTTTTTTTGTTTTTAACTGTTTTAAAGTTCAGGGGTACAAGTGCAGGTTTGTTACATAGGAAAACTTGTGTCATGGGGTTTGTTGTACAGGTTATTTCATCACCCAGGTATTAAGCTTAGTACTCATTAGTTATTTTCCTGATCCTCTTTTTCTTTTCACCCTCCATTCTCTGGTAGGCCCCAGTGTGTGTTGTTTCTCGCTATATGCCCATGTGTTCTTACCATTTAGTTCTCACATGTAAGTGAGAACATGAGGTATTTGGTTTTCTGTTCCTGCATTAGTTTGCTAAGAATAATCGTCTCCAGCTCCTTCCATGTCCCTGCAAAGGACATAATCTCATTCTGTTTTTATGGCTGCATTGTATTCTATGGTGTATACATACCACATTTTCTTTATTCAGTTTATCATTGTTTGGAATTTAGGTTAATTCCTTTGCTACTGTGAATAGCGCTGCAATGAACATACGTATGCATGTGTCTTTTTATTATTTTTTTGAGATGGAGTCTTGCTCTGTCACCCAGGCTGGAGTGCAAGGGCATGACCTCAACTCACTGCAACCTCTGCCTCCCGGGTTCAGGCAATTCTCCTGCCTCAGCCTCCCGGGTAGCTGAGACTGCAGGCACCCTCCACCTTACTTGGCTAATTTTTGTATTTTCAGTAAAGGCAGAGTTTCACCATGTTGTCCAGGCTGGTATTGAATTCCTGACCTCAGGTGATCCACGCTCCTCAGTGTCCCAAAGTACTGGGATTACAGGCGTGAGCCACTGAACCCAGCCTCCTATATTTATAATATAATGATTTATATTCCTTTGTGTATATACCCAGTAATGGATTGCTGGGTCAAATGGTATTTCTGTCTCTAGGTCTTTGAGGAATCACCACACTGTCTTTCACAATGCCTGAACTAATTTACATTCCCACCAAGAGTGTATAAGCATTCCTTTTTCTTCACAACCTTCACCAGTTCTGTTATTTTTTGACTTTTTCATAGTAGCCATTCTGACTTGTGTTAGATGATATCTCATTGTGGTTTTGATTTGCATTTCTCTAATAATCAGTGATGTCGAGCTTTTTTTTATAAAATTGTTGGCAGCATGTATGTTCTCTTTTGAGAAGTGTCTGTTCACTTCCTTTGCCCACTTTTTAATGGAGATTTTTTTTTCTTGTAAATTTGTGTAAGTTTACTATAGATGCTGGATGTTAGACCTTTTTCAGATTCATAGATTGCAAAAATTTTATCCCGTTCTCTAGGTTGTCTGTTTACTCTGTTGATAGTTTCTTTTACTGTGCAGAAGCCCTTTAGTTTAGATCCCATTTGTCAATATTTGCTTCTATTTCAAATGCTTTTGGCATCTTTGTCATGAAATCTTTGCCCGTGCCTATGTCCTGAATGGTATTACCTAGGTTGCCCTCCACGGTTTTTGTCATATTGGATTTTACATTTAGGTCTTTAATCCATCTTCTGTTAGTTTTTGTATATGGTATAAGGAAGGGGGTCCAGTTTTAATCTTCTGCATATGGCTACCAGTTATCCCAGCACCATTTATTTAATAAAGAATCTTTTCTCCAATGCTTGTTTTTATCGGGTATGTCAAAGATCATATACAACCATAGTTGTAGGTGTATGGCCTTATTTCTGGGTTCTCAATTCTGTTCCATTAGTCTATGTGTCTGTTACTGTACCAGTACCATGCTATTTTGGTTACTGTCATCCTGTAGTATAGTTTGAAGTCAGGTAGTGTTATACTTCAACTACTTGATCATGGTGGGTAAGTTACTTGGTGTGTTTCTGGATTTGGTTTGCCATTACTTTGTTGAAGAGTTTTGCATCAATGTTCATCAAGGATATTGCCCTTTAGTTTTCCCTTTTTATTTTGTCTCTGCCAGACTTTGGTATCAGGATGATGCTGGCCTCATAGAATGAGTCAGAGAGGAGTCCCTCCTCCTCAATTTTTGAGAATAATTTCAGTAGGAATGATACCAGCATGTTTTGGTTGGTAGGCTATTTATTACTGATTCAATTCTGTGTCCTGGGCTTTTCTTGGTTGATAGGCTGCTGGGCTATTGATTCTGATTCAATTTTGGAGCTCGTTATTGGTCTGTTCAGGGATTCAATTTATTCCTGGCTCAGTCTTGGGAGGGTGTATGTCTCCAGGAATTTATCCATTTCTTTTAGATTTTCTACTTTATATGCATAGAGTTGTTCATAATATTCTCCAGTGGTTATTTGTATTTCTATGGTGTCAGTGATAATATCCCCTTTGTCGTTTCTAATTGTGTTTATTTGGATCTGCTCTCCTGCCTGCTAGTCTAGCTGGTGGCCTATCTATTTTATTAACTTTTTTTCAAAACCTAGCTCCTAGATTCATTGATCTTTTGAATGGTTTTTTGTGCCTCAGTCTCTTTCAGTTCAGCTCTGATTTCTGCTGGCTTTGGGGTGGTTTTCTCTTGGTTTTCCAGTTCCTTTAGTTGTGATGTTACGTTGTTAAATTGAGTTCTTTCTAGCTCTTTGATGTGGGCATTTAGTGCTATAATTTCCTTCTTAACACTGCCTTAGTTGTGTCCTAGATATTCTGGTACATTGTCTCTTTGTTCTCATTAGTTTCAAAGAACTTCTTGATTTCTGCCTTAATTTTGTTATTTACCAAAAAGCCCTTCAGGAGCAGGTTATTCAATTGCCATGTAATATATGGTTGGAGTGAATTTTTCAGTCTGGATTTCTAGTTTGATTGTGCTGTGGTCTGAGAGAGTGGTTGCTATGATTTCATCTCTTTTGCACTTGCTGAGGAATGTTTTGTGTCTGATTATGTGATTGATTTTAGAGTATGTGCCATGTGACAATGAGAAGAGTGTATATTCTATAGTTTTTGGGTGGAGAGTCCTGTAGATGTCTATCAAGTCCATTTGATCCATTGCTGAGTTCAGGTCCTGAATATCTTTGTTAATTTTATGCCTTGATGATATGTTTAATGCTGTCAGTGGGGAGTTGAAGTCTTTCACTATTATTGTGTGTGAGTTTAAGTCTTTTTGAAGGTCTCCAAGAACTTGCTTTACAAAGCTGAGTGCTCCTTTGTTGGGTACATATATATTTAAGATAGTTATTCTTGTTAAATTCTTGTTAAACTCTTTCCATTATGTAATGCCCTTCTTTGTCTTTTTGATGTTTGTTGATTTAAAGTCTGTTTTATCTGAAATTAGGATTTCAGCCTCTGCTTTTTTCTGATTTACATTTGCTTGGTAGATTATTCTCTATCTCTTTATTTTGAGCCTATAAGTGTCATTGCATGTGAGATTGGTCCCATTCCCTTACCTGTGGGTCTTGGTTATTTATCCAGTTTACAACTCTGTGCCTTTTAATTGGGGTAGTTAGGCCACTTACATTCCAGGTTATCATTGATATGTGTGGATTTGATCCTGTCATCATGATGTTAGCTGGATATTATGCAGACTTGTTTACGACCCCACTGCTTTGCAGTGTCACTGGTCTGTGTACTTACATGTGCTTTTGTAGTGGCTGGTAAGAGTCTTTCCTTTTCAAATATAGAGCTTCCTTCAGTAGCTCTTATAAAGTGGTCCCTTTCTTGTTTTTGTCAGGTTTGTGAAAGATCAGATGGTTGTAGATGTGTGGTATTATTTCTGAGGGCTCTGTTCTGTTCCATTGGTCTATATCTCTGTTATGGTACCAGTATCATGCTGTTTTGGTTACTATAGCCTTGTAGTATAGTTTGAAGTCAGGTAGTGTGATGCCTCTAGCTTTGTACTTTTGGCTTAGGATTGACTTGGCAATGTGGGCTCTTTTTTGGTTCCATATGAACTTTAAAGTAGTCTTTTCCAATTCTGTGAAGAAAGTCATTGGTAGCTTAATGGGGATGGCATTGAATCTATAAATTACCTTGGGCAGTATGGCCATTTTCATGATATTGATTCTTCCTACCCATGAGCATGGAATGTTCTTCCATTTTTTGTATCCTCTTTTATTTCGTTGAGCAGTGGTTTGTAGTTCTTGAAGAGGTCCTTCACATCCCTTGAAAGTTGGATTCCTAGGTGTTTTATTCCCATTGAAGCAATTGTGAATGGCAGTTACCTCATGTTTTGGCTCTCTGTTTTTCTGTTATTGGTGTATAGGAATGCTTGTGATTTTTGCACATTGATTTTGTATCCTGAGACTTTGCTGAAGTTGCTTATCAGCTTAAGGAGATTTTGGGCTGAGAAGATAGAGTTTTCTAGATATACAATCATGTCATCTGCAAACAGGGAAAATTTGACTTCCTCTTTTCCTAATTGAATACCCTTTATTTCTTTCTCTTGCCTGATTGCCCTGGCCAGAACTTCCAACACTATGTTGAATAGGAGTGGTGAGAGAGGGCATCCCTGTCTTGTGCCAGTTTTCAAAGGGAATGCTTCTAGTTTTTGCCCATTCAGTATGATATTGGCTGTGGGTTTGTCATAAGTAGCTCTTATTATTTTGAAATACATCCCATTAATGCCTAATTTATTGAGAGTTTTTAGCATGAAGGGTTGTTGAATTTTGTCAAAGGCCTTTTCTGCATCTATTGAGATAATCATGTAGTTTTTGTCTTTGGTTCTGTTTATATGCTGGATTACATTTATTGATTTGTATATGTTGAACCAGCCTTGCATCCCATGGATGAAGCCCACTTGATCATGGTGGATAAGCTTTTTGATGTGCTGCTGGATTCGGTTTGCCAGTATTTTACTGAGGACTGTTGCTTTGATGTTCATCAGGGATGTTGGTCTAAAATTATCTTTTTTTGTTGTGTCTCTGCCAGGCTTTGGTATCAGGAGGATGCTGGCTTCATAAAATGAGTTAGGGAGGATTCCCTCTTTTTCTATTGATTGGAATAGTTTCAGAAGGAATGGTACCAGCTCCTCCTTGTACCTCTGGTAGAATTCGGCTGTGAATCCATCTGGTCCTGGACTTTTTTTGGTTGGTAAGCTATGAATTATTGCCTCAATTTCAGAGCTGGTTATTGGTCTATTCAGAGATTCAACTTCTTCCTGGTTTAGTCTTGGGAGGGTGTATGTGTACAGGAATTTATCCATTTCTTCTAGATTTTCTAGTTTATTTGCATACAGGTGTTTATAGTATTCACTGATGGTAGTTTGTATTTCTGTGGAATCGGTGGTGATATCCCCTTTATCATTTTTTATTGCATCTATCTGATTCTTCTCTATTTTCTTCTTTATTAGTCTTGCTAGCAGTCTATCAATTTTGTTGATCTTTTCAAAAAACCAGCTCCTGGATTCATTGATTTTTTGAAGGGTTTTTTGCTTCTCTATCTCCTTCAGTTCTGCTGTGATCTTAGTTATTTCTTGCCTTCTGCTAGCTTTTGAATGTGTTTGCTCTTGCTTCTCTAGTTCTTTTAATTGTGATGTTAGGGTGTCAATTTTGGATCTTTCCTGCTTTCTCTTGTGGGCATTTAGTGCTATAAATTTCCCTCTACACATTGCTTTGAATGTGTCCCAGAGATTCTGTTATGTAGTGTCTTTGTTCTCGTTGGTTTCAAAGAACATCTTCATTTCTGCCTTCATTTCGTTATGTACCCAGTAGTCATTCAGGAGCAGGTTGTTCAGTTTCCATGTAGTTGAGCGGTTTTGAGTGAGTTTCTTAATCCTGAGTTCTAGTTTGATTGCACTGTGGTCTGAGAGACAGTTTGTTATAATTTCTGTTATTTTACATTTGCTCAGGAGTGCTTTACTTCCAACTATGTGGTCAATTTTGGAATAGGTGTGGTGTGGTGCTGAGAAGAATGTATATTCTGTTGATTTAGGGTGGAGAGTTCTGTAGATGTCTATTAGGTCTGCTTGGTGCAGAGCTGAGTTCAATTCCTGGATATCCTTGTTAACTTTCTGTCTCGTTGATCTATCCAGTGTTGACAGTGGAGTGTTAAAGTCTCCCATTATTATTGTATGGGTGTCTAAGTCTTTTTGTAGGTCTCTAAGGACTTGCTTTATGAATCTGGGTGCTCCTGTATTGGGTGCATATATATTTAGGATAGTTAGTTCTTCTTGTTGAATTGATCCCTTTACCATTATGTAATGGCCTTCTTTGTCTCTTTTCATCTTTGTTGGTTTAAAGTCTGTTTTATCAGAGACTAGAATTGCAACCCCTGCCTTTTTTTGTTTTCCATTTGTTTGGTAGATCTTCCTCCATTCCTTTATTTTGAGCCTATGTGTGTCTCTGCATGTGAGATGGGTTTCCTGAATACAGCACACTGATGGGTCTTGACTCTTTATCCAATTTGCCAGTCTGTGCCTTTTAATTGGGGTATTTAGCCCATTTACGTTTAAGGTTAATATTGTTATGTGTAAATTTGATCCTGTCATTATGATGTTAGCTGGTTATTTTGCTCGTTAGTTAATGCAGTTTCTTCCTAGCCTTGATGGTCTTTACAATTTGGCATGTTTTTGCAGTGGCTGTTACCCGTTGTTCCTTTCCATGTTTGGTGCTTCCTTCAGGAGCTCTTGTAGGACAGTCCTGGTGGTGACAAAATCTCTCAGCATTTGCTTGTCTGTAAAGGATTTTATTTCTCCTTCACTTGTGAAGTTTAGTTTGGCTGGATATGAAATTCTGGGTTGAAAATTCTTTTAAGAATGTTGAATATTGGCCCCCACTCTCTTCTGGCTTGTAGGGTTTCTGCCAAGAGATCAGCTGTTAGTCTGATGGGCTTCCTTTTGTGGGTAACCCGACCTTTCTCTCTGGCTGCCCTTAACATTTTTTCCTTCATTTCAACTTTGGTGAATCTGACAATTATGTGTGTTGGAGTTGCTCTTCTCGAGGAGTATCTTTGTGGCATTCTCTGTATTTTCTGAATTTGAATGTTGGCCTGCCTTGCTAGATTGGGGAAGTTCTCCTGGATAACATCCTGCAGAGTGTTTTCCAACTTGGTTCCATTCTCCCCGTCACTTTCAGGTATACCAATCAGACGTAGATTTGGTCTTTTCACATAGTCCCATATTTCTTGGAGGCTTTGTTCATTTCTTTTTATTCTTTTTTCTCTAAACTTCTCTTCTCACTTCATTTCATTAATTTGATCTTCAATCACTGATACCCTTTCTTCCAGTTGATCGAATCGGCTACTGAAGCTTGTGCATGTGTCACGTAGTTCTTGTGCCATGGTTTTCAGCTCCATCAGGTCCTTTAAGGACTTTTCTACACTGGTTATTCTAGTTTGCCATTTGTCTAATCTTTTTTCAAGGTTTTTAACTTCTTTGTGATAGGTTCGAACTTCCTCCTTTAGCTTGGAGAAGTTTGGTTGTCTGAAGCCTTCTTCTGTCAACTTGTCAAAGTCATTCACCGTCCAGCTTTGTTCCATTGCTGGTGAGGAGCTGTGTTCCTTTGGAGGAGGAGGGGTGCTCTGATTTTTAGAATTTTCAGTTTTTCTGCTCTGTTTTTTCCCCATCTTTGTGGTTTTATCTACCTTTGGTCTTTGATGATGGTGATGTACAGATGGGGTTTTGCTGTGGATGTCCTTTCTGTTTGTTAGTTTTCCTTCTAACAGTCAGGACCCTCAGCTGCAGGTCTGTTGGAGTTTACTGGAGGTCCACTCCAGACCCTGTTTGCCTGGGTATCAGCAGCGGAGGCTGCAGAACAGTGAATATTGCTGAACAGCAAATGTTGCTGCCTGATCGTTCCTCTGGAAGTTTCATCTCAGAGGAGTGCCCGGCTGTGTGAGTTGTCAGTCTGCCACTACTGGGGGATGCCTCCCTGTTAGGCTACTCGGGGTTCAGGGACCCACTTGAGGAGGCAGTCTGTCCGTTCTCAGATCTCAAACTCTGTGTTGGGAGAACCACTACTCTCTTCAAAACTGTCAGACAGGGACATTTAAGTCTGCAGAGGTTTCTGCTGCCTTTTGTTCAGCCATGCCCTTCCCCCAGAGGTGGAGTCTACAGAGGCAGGCAGGCCCCCTTGAGCTGCAGTGTGCTCCACCCAGTTCGAGCTTCCAGGCCGCTTTGTTTACCTATTCAAGCTTCAGCAATGGCGGGCGCCCCTCCCCCAGCCTCGCTGCTACCTTACTGTTCGATCTCAGACTGCTGTGCTAGCAAGGACCGAGGCTCCATGGGCTTGGGACCCTCTGAGCCAGGCACACAATATAATCTCCTGGTGTGCTGTTTGCTAAGGCCATTGGAAAAGCACAGTATTAGGGTGGGAGTGACCCAATTTTCCAGGTGCCATCTGTCACAGCTTTGCTTGGCTAGTAAAGGGAATTCCCTGACCTTTTGTGCTTCATGGGTGAGGCCTCACCCTGCTTCACCTCACACCCAGTGAGCTGCACTCACTGTCCTGCACCCACGGTCCAACAAGCCCCAGGGAGATGAATCCAGTACCTCAGTTGGAAATGCAGAAATCACCCATCTTCTGCTCATACTGGGAGCTGTAGACTGGAGCTGTTCCTATTCAGCCATCTTGGAACCACCAGGGACAGTCTTATGAATGATAACCTGAAATACATTTTCCAAGTTTCTTAAACCCTCTCCATCTCATTCAGGCACAACGAGTCATAGATTTGGTCTCTTTACATAATTTCATATTTCTTGGAAGTTTTATTTGTTCCTTTTCATACTTTTTCTCTATTCTTGCCTGACTGTATTATTTCAGAAAGTCTGTCTTCAAGCTCTGACATTCTTTCCTTAGCTTGGTCTATTCTGCTATTAATACTTTTAATTGCATTATGAAATTCTTGTAGTGTGTTTTTCAGCTCTATCTTGTTATTTATGTTCTGTTCTATACTGGCTGTTTTGTCTTTCATCTCCTGTATCATTTTATTGTGATTCTTTGCTTCCTTGAATTTGGCTTCAATATTTTCCTGAAGCTCGGTTATCTTCATTCCTACATATTCTGAATTTTATTTCTGTCATTTCATCCATTTCAGCCCAGTTCAGAGCTCTTGGTTGTCAGAGTTCTTGTGTTTGTTCTTTCTCATCTTTATGGTCTGATTTTTGTTCAGTCTTGGAAGTCACTGAGCTTTGGATGGTTTTTGTTTTCCCTTTGATCCTATTTAATGACCTTGAGGGTTTATTCCACTATAAAGTGGATTCAGCTGACTGGTTTCATTTCTGGAAGATTTTAGGGGGCAAACACTTAGCTCCCAACTCCTGGACTGCCTGCTCTAACTTTGAGAAATTTGTATTGGGCCTATACTTTGTTCTCTGGATCCCTGAGGTTAGAAATGTACTGCACTAGATTGGGCCGTGGTGTTCCGGGACCTCTGGTCACTACACTCCAATAGGTGGTGTCAGCCAAAGCTTTTCGTAGTGCACTGCCAGTGGGATCTGTCTTTCTCTGTACATGCAGCAGCAGCAGCAGCAGCAGCAGCAGTGCAGTAGAGTGCAAGCTTGTCAGCTGCAGCAGGGTGCTAAGTGGGCCAGTGGGCCTGTTTCCATGTGGGTGTTTCCCACAGTGACAGAGGCAGCATGACTTAAGAGGGCAGGGGCCCCTGCCAACAACTGTACAATCAGTCACACTGGTGGTGGTGTTAGTATGGTGGTGGAATGCCGATGGGTGTAAGTCTGTATGCATTCTCTGTGTGGAAGGCAGGGGTGGTCACTCAGGGCTGGGGAGGATCTGCTGTTTCTCTGTGCCTAGTTTCATTCCCACAGCAGTGTTGGCACAAGTGTGGGGCACTGGCAGGTGTGGGGCTGGCTGGCTTTGTGCCTGCCAAAGATCTGACTGCAAAGGCAGTGTGGTGGAGAGTGGGGTGGACAGCATTCTCACCACAGCAATGGCTCGGGAGAGTTCACACTTAGAGGTGTACTGGCAAGGAACGCAAAGCCCACCCGCACATACATGCTGGTAAAGTGATGTGGGGGGTTCCCATAGGCCTGAGGGAAAGCTTCAGTATAGGGAGGAAGTGGGTGGGCTGGTGCATGGCTGTAGGGGCTGCTCCACAGGAGCTCCCCACTGGTCAGGCAGGGTCCATCAGTGCACAAGCTATGATGTGTTCCCCCAGGTCACCTGAGGCTGCCCTACAAGCAGGCGTAGCCAGGTCGGGGCACCTGGAGAAGCCAGAACACCACAGGTGCTCATGTCGGACCAACCTACTCTGATGGGCAAGTCAATTCGGTAGAGTTCAGATTCAGCAGTTCCCCTAGGGCTAGCATCTCCTGTGGCAGCAAGTTGAGCTTGGGGGATGTTCTTCCCTGGACATGCTCCACTACAGACGTTCTGGCACCAAACCCTCTGTGCTTTAGTTGGTATGCTGACCCTAGTACTTCTCTAATCCGCTCTCTCTGCTAACTCAAGTGTCTATGGTGGTCGAGGGGGTTTCCTTCTGCCAGGATTCCAGTGGCCCACGGCAAGAGCGCATTACTCCTTGCCAGTTTAACTCACCCATTCCTCCAGAGTTGTTGGGGGCCAGGAACGAGTCCCAGTGCACTGTAGCCCTGTGCAGAGTTCTCAGCCAAATTCCCTTCAGCCCAGCTTCTGTAGCTTCCCTCTGTTTACTCTTGTGTATTCCCTCTGAACATTTGTTAGGAGCGAGCCAATCTTCTCAGTCCCTCAGTGGCAGCTGTTCCACCTGGCTGCGTCTAGTTGGCCATTTTTCTCTCTATCTTGATTTCAAATCCTCTTGTTTTCTTTTCTTGAAATTTTCTGTCCAAAAGCCAATGAGGCCAAAGAAGTTAGGAGGTTGAAGATGACGGGACTCTGGCCTAAAGAAGGGTATGAGAGCCCAAGCATAGTGAAGGAGATCCCCTGGGACATGCGGTCCACTGCCATGTGGTGTTGAAGCCCGAATGGTGTACAAAGGCTTTCATGTGTGGGCATGTACCAGTGAGGAGTGTTGGATCTGCATAGGGTGTTGTAGGCATTTGGATATAAGTGGAGGTTATCGTTGGTGGTGGTAGGTTAGTTACATAAAAGGGATTTGATAATAAAATCTAGGTTATTAAGAATAATGAGAGAAATATTTCCTACTATCAAGGAAGGGAGTTAAAAATATAGAATGGGAGAAAACTAGAATAAACATTGTTTTACCAGATTAGAATTGGATATACTGATGTGAGCTCATGATTTTTCTACCTGGAGAGAACTCAAATCCCCATCAATGAGTAAATACATAATGTTATATTCATAAAATAGAATAATAAATTGCAATAAAATAACAATTTGCAGCTTCATGCAACAATATAGATAAATCTCACAATAATATCTTTTAACAAAATATGGTAGACACAAAAGAATACACTCACTGCAATTCTATTTATTTAAAGTTAAAAGGCAAAAATATTGTTTAGGGACATTCTCTAGTGACAAAAACATTTTTAAAACATGGTAGTGACTTAGATAAAAAGTGGAGCTGGTCAAAGAGCACACATTTCAGTTTGTAAGATGGACAAGTTCTGGATATCTATGGTATAGCATGGGTGGCAATCAAATAATTTATTTGATTATGGTAATCATTATGCAATATATATGTAAGTCATCACATTGTCACATTACTTCTTGAATATATATAATATTTGTCAAATAAATTCTTAAAAACAAATATCTTGTGCTAAAAAATTTAAAAATCTGTTATTAATTTTAAAATATTTAAAATAAACACCGCATATTCTCACTCATAGGTGGGAATTGAACAATGAGAACACTTGGACACAGGAAGGGGAATATCACACTCTGGGGACTGTGGTGGGGTCGGGGGAGGGGGGAGGGATAGCATTGGGAGATATACCTAATGCTAGATGACACGTTAGTGGGTGCAGTGCACCAGCATGGCACATGTATACATATGTAACCTGCACAATGTGCACATGTACCCTAAAACTTAGAGTATAAAAAAAAAAAAAAAAAAAAAAACGAAAAGTGATCCAAAAAAAAAATAAATAAAAAAAAAAATAAATAAAATAAAATAAAGATTAGAATAGTGGTTACCTTTAGAGGGATAAGGATAAGGGGCATGAAAGAAGTTTCAGGAATGTTGTCCATCACCTATCTTAACATAGGTAGCAGTTACATGGGTATTTGCATTCTGAAAAATCATTGAGCTGTACGATTTTACAGTACTCTTTTTATGTGTGTTACATGTTATAACGAAAATAAAGGTATGACTATAGAATGGGTCCAAAATGGTTATATTATAAACATCGTAGACTTATGATTATCTAAAATTTCATAGATTGTATTATTTTTATTATCAATGTTTATCTTCATAATCAGCTTAAAATTAGATGGCATTATTCCTCTTGTATTGATGATGAAAACACTCTCAGAAAGGCTAAGTGATTTCCCTATAATTTTTAGCTAGGAAATAGTAGAGTTGGATACCAAATTTAGTCTTAAGGTTCAAGTTCAATATTCTTTTTACTATAATATGATCCTTAGTACAGTGCCTGACATATTGTGAGTTCTCAATGAGAGTTGCTGAGGTAAACCATAAGATATGGATATGGGTCTCCTTTTCTGTGCACTAGCAGTGCTCTGTTTATTCATCTATTTCTGTAAATATAGCATTCTGTTATAAATGAGTATTTATGTCTGGGTTCTCTACTGCACTCAATACCTTGAGGGCAAGAACAACACATCATCCATCTTTGCATTATTGCTGCCTAACACACAGGTCATAAAATTAGTGTCCAATAACTATATGTTGAATTAATAAATAATCATAGAAAAACAAGGCTGATGTGCATAGAGACAAATCTAGAACAAGTAATTGCTTAGCTTCTGATATGGTTTGGGTCTGCCCCCACCCTAATCTCATCTTGAATTGTAACTCCTACAATTCCCACATGTTGTGGGAGGGCCCCAGTGGGAGGTAGTTGAGTTGGGGAAAGTCTTTTTCATGCTATTCTCATGATAGTGAATAAGTCTCACCAAATCTGATGGTTTTAAAAAGAAGGGTTCCCCTGCACAAGCTCCCCCATTCTTTGCCTGCTGCCACCCATATAAGATGTGACTTGCTCCTCCTTGCCTTCTGCCATGATTTTGAGGCATCCCCTGCCACGTGGAACTGTAAGTCCATTAAACCTCTTTATCTTCTCAGCCTCTAGTATGTATTTATCAGCAGCATGAGAACAGACTAATACAGCAAATTGGTAGTGGAAGTGGGACACTGCTGTAGATACCCAAAAATGTGGAAAATGTGGAAGCAACTTTGGAACTGGGTAACAGGCAGATGTTGGAACAGTTTGGAGGGATCAGAAGGAGATAGAAAAATGTGGGAAAGTTTGGAACTCCCTAGAGACTTGTTGAATGGCTTTGACCAAAATTCTGATAATGATACGGGTAATGAAATCCAGGTTGAGGTGGTCTCAGATGGAGATGAGGAAATTGTTGGGAACTAGAGTAAAGGTCACTCTTGCTACATTTTTGCAGAGACTGGCAGCATTTTTCCCTGCCCTAGAGATTTGTGGAACTTTGAACTTGAGAAAGATGATTTAAGGTAACTACTGGAAAAAATTTCTAAGCAACAAAGCATTCAAGAGGTGACTTGGGTGCTGACAATGTGATAGAAAAGAAAATCCCATTTTCTGAGAAGAAATTCAAGCTGGCTACAGAAGTTTGCATAAGTAATGAAGAGCTGAATGTTAGTAACCAAGACAATGGTGAATAAGAGATCTTTGCAGCAGCCCCTCCCATCACAGGCCTAGAGGTTTAGGAGGACAAAATGGATTTTTGGGCCAGATACATGATCCCTTTGCTGTGTGCAGTCTAGGGACTTGGTGCCCTGCGTCCCAGCCACTCCAGCTGTGTCTAAAATGGGCCAAGGTATAGCTCAGGCTGTTGCTTCAGAGGGTGGAAGCCCTGAGCCTTGGCAGCTTTCATGTGGTGTTGAGCCTATGGGTGCACAGAAGTCAAGAATTGAGGTTTGGGAACCTCTGCCTAGATTTCAGAGTACGTACGGAAATGCCTGGATGCCCAGGGAGAAGTTTGCTGCAGGGGTGGAGCCCTCATGGAGAACCTCTGCTAGGGCAGTGCAGAAGAGAAATTTGGGGTTGGAATCCCTACACAGAGTCCCCACTAGGGCACCACCTAGTGGAACTGTGAGAAACGGGCCACCATCCTCCAGACCCCAGAATGGTAGATCCACCAACAGCTTGCACCATGCCCTTGGAAAAGCCACAGACACTCAATGTCAGCCCATGAAAGCAGCCTGGAGGTGGCCTATACCCTGCAAAGCCACAAGGGCGGAGCTGCCCAAGACCATGAGAAGCCACCTCTTGTATCATTGTGAACCAGATGTGGTACATGGATTCAAAGGAGATAATTTTGGAGCTTTAAGATTTGATTGCCCTGCTAGATTTTGGACTTGCATGGGGCCTGTAACTCCTTTATTTTGGTCAATTTCTTCCATTTGGAATGGCTGGATTTATCCAATGTGTATACTCTCCTGGTATCTAGGAAATAAGTAACTTGCTTTTTGATTTTACAGATTCATAGGTGGAAAGGAGTTGCCTTGTCTCGGGTAAGACTTTGGACTGTGGACTTTTGGGTTAATGCTGAAATGAGTTAAGACTTAGTGGGACTGTTGGGAAGGCATGATTCATTTTGAAATGTGAGGACGTGAGATTTGGGAGGATCCAAGGATGGAATGATGTGCTTTGGCTTTGTCTCCACCCAAATCTCACCTTGAATTGTAACTCCTACAATTCCCATATGTCGTGGGAGGGACCCAGTGGGAGGTAATTGAATAGGGTCAGGTCTGTCTTGTGCTATTCTCATGATAGTGAATAAGTCTCATGAGATCTGATGGTTTTAAAATGAGGAGTTCCCCTACACCAGGCCTCTCTCTCTTTGCCTGTTGTCATCCTTGCAAGATGTGACTTGCTCCTCCTTGCCTTCTGCCATGATTGTGAGGCCTCCCCAGTCACGTGGAACTGTAAGTCCATTAAACCTTTTGATTTTCTCAGTCTCAAGTATGTCTTTATCAGCAGCATGAAAACAGACTAATACAGCCTCACAATGCTTAGGATAAGTATATAAATGTACAAGCTCTGTAAAAAGTATTTTATTCTTTTAAGAAGCACTTCTCAATCCTCTGCTCAAGTCTTGTTCTAGAGATTTGAGGTTTAAACTTTATAAAGAAGGTGATGCAGCTGGGTGCTGTGGCTCACACCTGTAATCCCAGCACTTTGGGAGGCCGAGGTGGGCAGATCACGAGGTCAGGAGTTTGCGGCCAGCCTGACCAACATGGTGAAACCCCATCTCTACTAAAACTGTACAAATGAGCTGGGTGTGGTGGTGTGTCTCTGTAATCCCAGCTACTCGGGAGGCTGAGGCAGGAGAATCGCTTGAACCTAGGAGGTGGAGGTTGCAGCGAGCCAAGATCATACCACTGCACTCCAGCCTGGGCAACAGAGTGAGACACCAACTCAAAAAAAATAAAAATAAAAAAATTAAAAAGATGGTGATGCTATACTAGTTATGTGCTAATAAGTCCCCTTCTAGCAATCCAAATCTTATCATTGCTATGTCTTAAATTCTGTAATTAAAAATCAATTTTCTATAATTTGAAAAACAGAATGAAAGTAAATGTATAATTACATTTTAAAATTAGTGAAAATTTTTTGTTAGTGTGCTCAGATCTTTAGCTTAACTTTAAAATCAAACAGTGGTACACTAATGCTTAATTTTATTAGAATTACAGTTACAATTAATTTTGTATATGATATTTATGAAGTGACTGTTTTATGTCTTCTAGAATAGTTTTCTTTTCTGTTGTTCTTTATCTTCCTACGGATTTCTATCTGAAATTCGTATTAAGAAGGATAATGAAAGTGAAGCAATATACTTTACAAAATTGAGGTTAGCATTCTTTAACAACAAAAATATTGATTGTACCAAATCATAAGAGATATAATTGATTTAAAATTTCCCCTGACCATTAAAGAATCAATAAAAATATGTAAAAGCATAAATATAAGTGTCCTGGAGCAGTGACAGTGTTCATCTGCATGACATTCATATTGTATTACCTATTAGCACAAAATTGTTACAAGTTGAAATAATAAGGATGTCACTGAATAATAGCAAAATACATCTGCATTAAAATATACCTGGAAAGTTTCCTAAAATTATTCATATTTTACTAAATTAACAGTTTATAAAAACTTAATTTATATAAAAGGAGACAAAATGTTAAATGTGAAAATGCTTGTTATACTGAGCATCATCTTTTAATCATTCAAAATTGTGCCTTTTTTAACATGTAAATGTGGCTTTACAATTTGGCCAAGATGTTTCCAAAGTATTAGCTTGAGATTCTGGTTTTGATCATAATGCAGATAAAACTTAACCTCATTCTGTACACTATGGAATTGAATAAAACATATTTTCTTGTACTGGGCAACAGAGAGCATAGGTCTTTGAGAAAACAGGAATATATTAGGTGAGCACTACCTTTACCTTGTTTTTTTGCATGAGGGCACATTTGAAACGGGAGAGGCAAGTGGAGCTCAGAATGTGATGGTCTTGCTGAGTGGAGGAAACAGAGAAGTTCATGGCTGCTGAAATGGATGGGATTCACAGGAAAAAGTAGTGGTGCAGAGAGAGCTGCACAGAGAATTGAGCACATACAGTTTTTTTGAGTCTCCCTGGGGTCTTTAGCCAAATTTAAGTTTCACATGCCCAGCATAAGATTGTGCTAATCATGGCAGAAAGCAAATACCTGTGAACTGTGAGATGAATGGAAAGTCTAGAGGTCACATATATTGGAAGATAGATTTCTGAGCTGCCAGAATGGAGAGAACTGTTAGGAGGTTCAAGACATTCTATCCCCAAATATGACACCTTGGCATTTGAAAAACAGTAGAAGCAGGACAGTCACTCTCACCTTTCCCTTGCCATTACTCCTGAAGCAGGTCATAAAAACTTCATTCCAGTGTAACCTTCTGTATACCCAGATGAAAGAAACATCTTGTTCTCTAAAGCAGAGATATCAAATAGAATCTGAACAAACACACTTTGCTAATTTCCTCCCAATTTATTGCCATTCGATTTTCCTCCCTTGCAATCGTGCTTCTCTACAACTGTTCACACTTCATCAAACTACGCATAACGATACCTAGGTTTCCCTATTTCTTTGAATCTTCATTTCTAGAGTGCTCTGTCAGGTAAAATTGACATTAAATACACAATTAGGCTTTTATTAATCTGTCTTTTATTATAGGTGCCTTTGCCATAAACCTAGCAATGGGTGAGGAAATAAATATTTTATCCCATACAACTGACAGGAAACATCAAGAACTCATTTAAAATTTCAGGACATTTACTCCTAAGGAATAGGGTTATCTCATCCTAGGAGCATGGGCTACTGTAGACACATGCAGTCAAATGTTAAAAAGCAAACTTTGGCAGTATCAGGGTGAGCCACCATTTTTTAACTGTCTTCCAGAACTAAATTCAATAATTAGAAATAGGAAACAGCAAAATTCCTGAAGACAGGTGAGTAAAAATAATGCAAATTGAGGCTCCAAATTTACAAAAGGACTTTAAAAACCATGAATAGAACTTCAATGTTTTATTGGACAATATCAAGCAGTACAACAAACATGCAATCTGAGATTTAGAGGAGAGAAGAGAGATAGGGACAGAAAAAAGTTTTGAAGAAATAATACCTAAATTTTCTTCTCCAATTTTGATGAAAACATTGACACACAGATTCGACAAAAAACAATTAACCCTAAGTCAGAATTACATAAAGATGATCACGGGTAAGCATATCACAGTAAGATTTCCAAAATGAAGATAGGGAAAAAAAACCACTCAAAAGCACTAGAGAAAAAAAAAAAGATTCTATTCAGCTGGATAATACAATTATGTTTAGAAAAATACAAAGAAGAGGGTAATGAGAGACATTTTAAAGTTCTAAAATAGAAGAAATAATCTATAATTATATGCCCAATAAAATATATTATGAAAATGAATGTAAAATGAAATATTTTCAGATTAAAAAAAGGCTAAGGAAAATTGTCACCAGTAAAC
The DNA here is from genome assembly GCF_000001405.40 of Homo sapiens. Lineage (NCBI taxonomy): Eukaryota > Metazoa > Chordata > Mammalia > Primates > Hominidae > Homo > Homo sapiens. The sequence continues at coordinate 65,781,781 of NC_000004.12, forward strand.
CTGTCTTACAAGAAATGGCAATGTAAATTAATCATGCTAAAGAGAAGTGTTATAATAAAGGCACTTGGACATATTTGAATGATGAGGTTTGGATGAGGTACATGTATAGGGAAATATAACATTTTCCCCACATTTCTTAATTTGTTCAAAATGCAATTGCTTGATTAGAGTACATATAATAAATTTGCATTGAGGGTTTTTTAGGGTATGTAAAGTTAAATGTATACTAGTGAAACTGCCTTTGCAAAAATTATAAGAGTGAGAGAAATCTGACATAGAAAAATTATGACAGTGAAATAAATCTGACCTAACTTACTCCACCTTGCCTCTAACCTCCAAACTTCCCTTATCTATTTCTAGGCATAGGCCAACTAACTAGGAAGGAATTTAGTTTATAGTTTAACTTTAAAACAAATGTAGTAATAGCTGCTTCCCAAAACTAACCTCTTCCTCACTCAGGGACCCAAACTGCTTTTGTAAAACTAACAAATTAGCCACAGAGTTAAAATTAACGTTCAAGAGTCACGTAGTCAGAAGTCACAAGATTTGCAACCTTCCCAATTTCTCCTATGGATAACATCACCATTGTAAAACCTTAGATTGGTGTGAGGTATTTTCCAGACTCTGCATTATGATAGACCACTGGTACCTCCTGAACCCACATTAAGAAACCGGCTCCTCTGGGTCGTGTGATCCCCACCCAAGAACTGACTCAGTGCAATAAGACAGCTTCAACCCCCTATGATTTCATCACCAACCCAATCAAGCAGCATTTCCTATTCCCTAGCCCCTTGTCTGCCAGACTATCCTTGAAAAACCCTTTTCCTGAGGTAAATGGTGCTGAGAGCTGGGAAGGAATCTGGAGCTAGATAAAAAGACCAACAACCTGGATAAAGAAATTCTCACTTACCCAAATGATGGTTTAGACACACAGTCTTGACTATTTTTAGTATTTCATTCTGTGCTTCTTGTCATGCTTAATTTTAATCATGAAAATAGAACTGAAGTTCCACATCTAAACTTGTGAAACAGAAGAAAAAGAAAAAAGACAGCCTTAGAAAGAGCTGATGAGCAAAAGGAATTGGGTCCTTGGCAGAAGCAGGAACTCAGAGTCAAAATATCTGTATTAATTACAGGACTTTAGGAATTCATGGAAATGTTGATGAGTTCATTGAACTTCCAATAGAAAGTAGATAGGTGGATATATCTGATTTTGTTTAAATTTTAAAAAACATGGTAACATTGGCTGGGTCACATTGACTGATTCAATGTCTAACATAAATTAATTTAACCCGTCACTGTTAATTTGCTTCAATTTAACAGACATTTGGATTTAGTAACATCTTCTACTGTTTCATTAATTTTGGCATTTACCATTTTGTGAGAGGCTAGTATGGGTAAATGTTGTAGAGAATTTAATCAAACAGAATTCTTCTGATGATAGACATAGTTTATAGCATAGAACATTCCATAATCATACTGAATGATAATACAGACAGAAATAATTCAGAGGCATGAAAAGGGACAAATAAAGGGTTATGGGTGTTTATAGGAGAGAGAAATCACTTCCAGGAGATCTTGATAGAAAATGTAAAATTTGTATTGGGCCCTAGATAATAGGAATAATTTGAGCACATGGGGATGGGGTGATGACAGGACATTCATTCTATTTAGAGGAAGGAGGTGCAAAAGAATGGATACAGAAAAATACTGGGTGAAAATGGAGAATACCAACTTTGTTTTTGTTGTAGTGTGTGAAGAAGAAAAATAGGTTAATAGATTGTGAAGCTAGAAAAGTGTTAGTTTCAGAAACCATGAACCTCAGTCCTAGAAGTTGTGTCTCTGGCCAAGAATAATTCTTTTTGTGTTTCTCTCAGTGTGGGTGGGGGTTGGGGGAGCTTCTAGAACTCTTCTTCAGCAACATAAATACTTTAACTGAGTATTGAATATTTTGTGTAAGAATATTTAAGATACCTTTGCCAAAGTCCTTAAAGAACAGACTTGAATTAAAGGCACTGCTGAAGAAATGGCTTGTCGGGTGGGTACGTGTCAGGACTATTTCAGAAATAGAATGTACAGAACAAGGTAATACACAGTTTTCTCACTCACAGTTAATGCTACCAACACTCTCACAATTGGTGAAGGTGAATCATAGGAATCATTTTAGATATTGCCCTTTCCTTTGTCTCCCATAATTAATCCCATAAAATAGATTTTTAATTTCTCTCTGTCTTTCCATTTTCAAGAGTACCGCCTAGGCCTCTCTCATGGATAATGGCAATAGCCTCCTAATTCTTACCAGCTTAAAAATAAAACCTAGCTGAAATTATATAATTCTCCATTGTAAGTATATCCATGAAGTACCATTATACTAACAATAAAATTAGAATTTCTAACTATGGAGTACAAAGCCCAACATGATCTGGTTCATGTGGTTCTATAATTCCTTTCATGGGCTCACTTATTATATTCTACCTATATGGGTGCTTTTTTCATTCTGGCACATCCCAAGCTTTTCCCCTCTTCTGGGACTTTGCATTTGTCTCTTTGGATGAAATGTAGCCCCTTTTTAGCTTTGTTGCATGGCAGGCTCTGACTCACACTTTAGTTGTTAATTTAAGTGTTACGTGTTTAGAGTCGTTCTCCCTGATATTTTACCTAAACTACCCCCTATCTTAATAAATTCTGGCTGCTATATCAAATACCGTAGACTGGGTGGCTTAAACAACAGGCATGTATTTCTTTCCGTTTTGGATGCTGTAAAGTCTAAGCTCAAGGTGTCAGCAGATTTGGTTCTTGGTGACAGCCTGCTTCCTGGCTTCTAGGTAGCCACCTTCTTACTGTGTGCTCAACATGGCCTCTCCTCACTGCGTGCATATGGAGAGACAGAGAAATTTCTCTCTCTTCCTCATCTGATTTAATTTAGACCTTATCACTTTTTAAAGGCTCCACCTCCTAATATCATCACAATGGGGTTAGAACTTCAACATATGAACTTTGGAGGAGGAGGGGGTGCACATAATCCTCCATAATACATACATACATACATATGGAGTGGTGTTATGGAATGGTCTATACTACTGCTCCACACATACCCAATGTTTTACTCTCTATCATATCAAATTGAGAATTATTTTATGGCAATTATCACAATTATCTCTTCCATATCACTGTTTTTTTCTTCTTGGTTATGTAGCAATCTGAAACTATCTTGTTCATGCATTTGGTGACTTGTTTATTTTTCCACTAAAATACAGCTCTCATGTTTTGTCCTTATTTATATCCAAGGACCTGGAAAATTGCATGGCACATAGGAATGGTTCATTAATTATTCTTTACATTAGTGAATACATTATTCTAATAAACAGGGAATGTTACTAAAAGCTACTATAACATATCCTGTCTGAATTACTAGGGGAATCTTTAATGAAATTGAAGAATTGGTGATAAAAAGTTCATTAGGAAAGGAAAATAGCGAGCTAAATTTGAGGGGTACAATTAACACAACTGTAAAATCAGTTTTACATAAGTTTTAGAAGCACAAAGCACTGTGGGGATATAAAGGTACATACAGCATGTTCCTGTTCCTAGTATTTCCCATTTAGCAGCTCATAGCTGGATTTATATTAGTCACTTTTCTGATGCACTGGGTCCTAGATGCTCAGAGGACCCTAATCCCCTAATCAAGAGTGATCTCATGGCATATAAGAGAATTCAACTTTCAGGATTAAAGTGAGTACATCAAGGTCTAAGCTGAAAACAGATGGCCTACTCAAGTAGGTTATGTAAGAGACCATATAAAAAATGTGGACATGGTTAATGAAAATCAATATGGGGTAGTAAAACACAGTGGGACCTGTCACCATGCATAAGCCTGCAAGGCTAACTGGAGAGAGTAGTTGCCTAAATGCAGTTAACTGCTGTTTAGCAGAAAGAAAACTCTCAAAATACCCCCCTACATTTTTACCTCTGCTGTCCCTGGTAAGTGGCTGATACTTTTCATTGGTCAACTCCACCAGAAGCCAAAGGGCAAAAGAACCTGTAGCTTTATTCTATAAAATTCTGCCTCCTTAAAGACAGAAAAGAGTTAAATAGCAAGAAGTTCCCATGTTTTGACCAATAAATATTCATAGAATCTAGAAAAAAGGCCTGATACGTAATAATTCCTCACTAAGCATTAAAAAAAGTTAGTGGGTGAATGATTGCAAATAAGATGTAATCAAACGAGGGAAAGTTACTGAAAGCTATTAAAAGATATTCTGTCAGAGTGCCAGGAGAATGGTGATATCTGAGGGTATATCTTAACATATGTGGCAAATGGAAATTACCTAGAACAATTTATTTTCCATTACCTGTAACTATTTCAGTAATGCGTTCCTGTAGTTACCAGTGCAGAATGCCTGCTATGTGCAAAGCATTATTTGAAACCTTTTACAACTCAGTGAGGCAGAAAAATGAGGAAAAAATATTCTTTGTTCCAGGTTGCACAAATGCCAAGTGTTGGACTGTGACTAGAACTCACATCATTCCAATTTCAAAGTTAGTGCTCTTAACCATGGCATATTGCCTCCTTGTACTGTGAATCACCCGTTTCTTTTCCCCTATGGTCATGATTTCCCAAATTACTCTATTATTCCCATAACCCCTTTCTTCTATGAAATAAAAGATTTAGATGAGGTGATTTCTAAGATTTATGCCATTTAGGAGATGTGATATATTTAGGTACGTTATAATTATTTGTGTGATATTGTAGTGTAAGAACATGACTAAAAATTTGGAGGTAAAATACATAAAATAGGAAACGCAAAAACAGTAAATAATAATTACTCCTTGATATAACCTAGATTTCTGAAGAAATATTTAGGAAGGAAACTCCAAAGTTTAAATCAGTAATACCTTTACTGCAGTAGAAAGTATTATGTTACAGGGTGGGTAATGTGTTCTTTCAGTTTAAACTGCCTTTTAACTGGATTATTTATCACATATGCAAATAAGCTATTTAATTAATAAGGAAATAGATACCACGGTTGAACCTCATTGAAGCCTGTTCTTTAATTACATTGATATCCTGAGTTGTTGTAATGTGATATTATAGTATCTAAGAGATTCATGGATCAAACAGTATTTTAGAGTTTATGAAATATAGGAATATTTTAGTATTTTCTCATGCACATTAATGTAAGTAAAAATAAAAAAATACTATTTTTGTCTTTACTCACACAACACTTACAACACAAAATTGTATGGGGTTTTAACTACACCAGCCAACTATCCAACTCTTCAGACATCAACTGAGTGTCCTACAATTCAGTTATGACACTAATTACCTACAGTTTCTGCAGACCCTGCTGGTTAAAGGCTCAGTCCCCCAAGACTGCCCCCCACTTCAGATGACAATCGCCAAGTAATACGTCCCCAAATTAGCCACACTTCTCTCTGACTTGGCTACAACTTGAGAGTTCCTATGACACCCCTTCTCAGGTTCAACAATTTGTGAGCTATGATGGCTCACACAATTAAGGAAAACACCTGCTTACATTTAGTGATTTATTATTAAGGATATGACAAGGGGTACAGATAACTCCAGATGAAGAAATGCAGAAGGCAAGATCCAGAAGGGTCCTGAACACAGGAGTTCTGTTCCTGTGGAAATGCAGCACGCTCCTGGCACAAATATATGTTCGCCAACTTACAAGTCAAATCCCAATATTTTAGGGACTTACTGGAGTTTCTACAATTTAGGCATAACTGATTCTTAACTCAATCTCTTGCCCCTCTGTCTTTCCCATGCAGGATGCTGAGGTAGGGCTGAAAATTTGAAGCTTCTAATCATAGCTTGATCTTTCCGGAGGCCAGCCCCCATCTTGAAGCAATCCCCCTCATTAGAACAAAAAAATGCTCCAATTACCCAGAAAATTTCAAAGTACTTAGGAGCTCTTTGCCACTTCTATACCCATATCACCTAGGAAATTAAACGGGTTTTAGGAGCTGTGTCAAAACCAGAGACAGAGAACACACATAAATTTACTAATAGGTCACAGTGAGTCAGGAAAAATTTCAGAATTGATTCAAAGGTAAGAGAAGCCTGTGTTTAAATGTAGGCTCTGCAGTTTTTAAGCCAGTAATGCAGAACATTTTACTAAATACTGTGAGGATACTTTATTCGGCTTTTGTGAGGATAAGGATATATAGGTTATACACATGCTTAGTATAGTGCTTTGTCTATAGAATAGACTCAATAAATGGTGACTAAATTATAATTGTTAATAAAAAAATAATATCATAAGCATTGTAATATATACATTCTTATTATTTAGCATAAAATCTTACAATGAAAGTCAGTTTCCATTTGTGCTGAATTCAGCTAAGCCACTGAGCGACATCATATATTTGGGGCTATAATTTAGTCAAATATGATTCAATCATTACTCTAGTGTTTTTAAAAAAATGTTTAATGAGCATCCTCTCTCACAGGTAAAAACAAAGAAACCAGCCAATAACTTCAGAGTTCATAAAATGTCTAAGTAAATCTCTCTTAGTTCATTTTCCAATACATGTGGTGTTAGAGGCCAAAAGAGATACGTAGATCTCTGTATATGTATTTACTAGTCAGGAGTCTCCAGAGAAACGGAACCACTAAAATGAACACACATCTATTATCTTCTTTATATGTGTATAACAGGAGATTTATTATAAGAAATTAGCTCATGTGATTATTGAGGCTGAGAAATTCTAAGATTTGCTGCCTGCAAGCTGGAGACCCAGCAGCTGGTGGTGTAAGTCAGAGTCCAAAGGCCTGAGAACCAGGAAGCTGATGGTTTAAATCCTAGTCCAAGGGCAGGAAAAGATGAGATGAGATGTTTGGTAAGGAAAAAGAAAAAAAAAAGTGGGGGGAATTCTCCTTTGTTTGACTTTTGTTCTATTCATTCCTTCAACAGGTTGTATGATTCCTGCCCACACTGGGGAGAGCAATCTATGGAGGCTACTGAGTTGATTACTAATGCCTTCCAGAAACACCCTCACAGATATACCCAGAAATAGTGTTTAACCAGATATTTGGGCATCCCCTGATCCAATCAAGTTTATACATAAAATTAATTATCAGAGTACAGTATAAAAATTCACGATACATTTCAGAAGACAGTGAAGTAAAGAAAGGAGCAGCAAGGTAAATATGCAATAATCATAACCAGGGGGATAAAGCACTAGATGCAGAGAATAAGGAACTGCCAACATTTGTACAAAATGACTTAACAAATATTTATGTATCATAAACATGAAAAATGATTAATTTATTAGGAAATAGTATATATTCATTGAAAATATTTAATTCTTACATATATAAAGCAAAAGGGAGAGAAAACTCCTACTCTCCAAAATCTCATTCTTTGTGTGTGTGTGTGTGTTTGTGTGTGTGTGTGTGTTTGTGTGGATATGTCTATAAAATGAAGTCCAGTCTTGCTTTGGACACTTTCTCTCAAACATTTTCATAATTCTCAAGATTGTTTTTATGTGTTGCCTGAGTATAATGTAGACCTCTCCACATTGTGTCAGGGAAAGTAATTTTCCTGCTATAAGTACCAGTGAAGTTTGTAAGATGTTTGTGTGTGTCTAAAAATGAAAGATATGTTTGTGTGGGGCTAAAAATGTTGTCACTCACATAAAATTAACACATAATATGCTTTAGCTATAATCCTCCTAATGCTGCGTTAAACACTGTTGATCTCAGTCATATGCCACTCTCTAGGGTGATACCCAGTGAGCCATGCCCTGCATAATCTTCTCCCCTTGAATGCTGCAGAACATGTGACCGATTTCTAGTGAACAGAGTATGACAAAGGTGATGGAATAATCACTCCCATGATTTTATTACATGATATAAGACTGTATCCTAGTAGACTTGATGGAGATTCTCCTATTGGCTTTAAAAAATTATGTTACCATGTTGTGGAAATATCACAGAGTCATTTAGTAAGAGCTGCAAGTGGCTTTTTAGAAGTTGAGAGTGGTCCAGAAATGACAGTCAGCAAGAAAACAGGGACCTCAGCCTACAGCTAAAAGAAATTGAATTTTGCCAATGGCCGCATGAACTTGGAAGAAGACCCTGAAATTCAGAAAAAATGGAGCCTGGCCAAATTTTGATTGATTGCAGCCCTCTGAGATTCTGAGCAAAGGACCCATCTAAGCTGCCCCTGGAATCCAGCCTAAGAAAACTGTAAGATAATAAATGTATGTTATTGTAAGCTGCTGTGGTGTGAATTTTACAGATGACCTCAGCAAATTTCTGACTACAAGTACCCGCTGGATAACTAGACACACCTGATATTCATCAACAGCTTATTCAGCAGTGGATTCCACATCATAGAGGTACTTTTCCTTGCCCCTCCACTTAGGTGCTCACATGTGGTGTTGGTGAGAATGGTGGGAGTAACTAAGAGAGAGTTCAAGTCGGCAACATAATGCACCTACAGCCAATTTGACTTGCAGGCTCTGCAGTTCACTCCCACCAAACTCTTTCAGGATGGTGATTTTCTCCCAGAATCCCAAGCCAATGCACTTCCTGCTTAGTTTGGAGGCTCGTTAATAAATCCCACGGGTCCATGTAAGTCTGACACAACTGGAAAACATAGACCAAGATCTTTTACAAAGAATGCCGAGCTTTTCACAAATGAAGACAATGAATTGCTTATTTTATTATTAATTTATAATTACAAGTTATTTTAAGATATTAAGTTTATATTATAAATTATATAAATTAATGTAAGAAATTTGTTATTTACTTTCATAATCTTGTCTTCAGTTTAAGTTCTTTTCAGTTAATCTCTCTGACATTCCTAACACTTCAGCTAAAACTTTAGTATACATGCAAATAATGTATAAATCTTTTACAAGAAAATAGGAAAATGTTATACATATTTGCCAGCAATAAATACGATGTAGCATATTTCCTGGTTAGTATAATATATATTGTATTTTATCGGCTATGCTATAACCCATAATGAGTGTTAATACACCACACACACACACACACACACACACACACACAATTTAGTTTTATCCTAGTTTTGTTAACATCTATTTTCTTCTGAAATACATAGTCTAGAAATAAAATTAATATTTTAAGTGAAAAATAATGTATACTTTCAAAATTCAGGTAATATACAAGACTATAAAGAGACACTTCCACTGGAGAGAAATAATATGAAAGATTTTATGCACTCTTAGTTAAGTATTGTTTGATCCATAAGTTGTTAGCTTTCCATTGCTTTCATTTAACAAATATTCCTTTGTAACTATAATTTCTCTGTGCACACCTCCTCGTACAAATTTAATTTATCCCCTTCCTTTCAATATTTATAATTTTCCTTAGCTCATTTTGAAATATTATCTGAGAAACTTTTGATAAATAACTTTATACCCACTCCTAGCAGTATCTGAATAGTAATTTTAGCCTCAACTTATTTTTGTATTGACTTTAAGGGAGGCATATGACTCTGGCTTTAGTCACAATCCATTGTCTATTAGGAACAGCTGTCAGGATTGGCCAGTATTTGAATTCCAATAAGGATGTATGACATATCAATTCTTTTGCCTTTCTAGAATGTACTCGTGCATCATCCTAGTATATTCCTGGGAAGATAATAATAAAGGACCCACACTGCTTTCCAGTTTACCTTAGATGAAAATTGTAACTTTGTCACAACTGTCTGAAAATTTCTCTCTGGCAGTCATTTCTCCTTTCATAGGGAAGGAATTTACTAGTATCAGAAAGAAACTTAATCCCCACACATCCTCCAAAATTTCAATTGTAATTAATTGCTTAAAACAATAACTATACAAAAAACTTCTAAGAGATCTTATAAAATAAGAACAGAAATCAGTCTCAAACTAGAGCTAGGTGAGGAGCCTAATCTGTGTACTACAGTTGAATGTGGAATGTAGATAGAGAATTGTGATGGCTTTGCAATATGTCAACCTAGTTTCCCTGAATATCTTCTTTTGCATGTTTTCATTAGAGTGAGCAGCAAGGGATATTCTTGGAAGATTTGAAAGGAAGAAGAGAAACAATGGTCATTTTGTAGTTCACGGACTTATTGCAGATCTGCTGAGTCACCTCTTTGCTGTGAAGCAGCAGCTGGGCTTGCAATTGTTCCACTTTTCTCTGGATCTTTCTTCAGTTTCTGCGACCAGGTGTATATGTTTAGCTCTGTAACAAAGGGCTCCAGTTTCTGCCGTTCATCTTTTTCACTAAAAACAAAGGCAACAAGAAACCACATAGAATTCAATGTGTTTTTGTGGATTTCTAGCTTATGCTTCTAAGTTCCGCCCTGCTTATAACCTTCTCTTCCTGACTGACTCCCCTGTGGATTTCATGTTCCGGTATGGAGACAGCAGCCTTAGAAAGACAACTTAGTTGGTTTTCATAATTAAGTTAGTCAAGTCACTGTAACAGATCATCTCTCTCCCTTTCTTGCTCTCTCTCTGTCTCTCTCACTCTCCCACCCATCTCTCTCACACACACTGTCCTTTTCTCTTTCTCTCTCTACCAGTTCTGCTTCCCTTTTTGAACCCTGAAAGACACAAGGTAAAGACAATGACCAGGGAAAACTCTTTCAATATGATTTTTTTTTTTTTAGTGAAGGGGAGCAGAGAAATTAGATGATATCTAAAGATAATATTTAGTCAAATAATGATTATAACAAATAGGGTGTCATTGATTCTCTGTTTCCAGAAGAGAGAGAGAGAAAAAAAAATGTTGACTATGTGAAAAAAGAAATTAATTCTGAAAGCAAAGCTTAGATAAGGTAAAAAGGGATGAGATCTTTAGAATAAGTAAAAAGGTCAGCCATTAATAGAAGTGTGGAAAATCATCAATTCAAAGTTATCCATGGAAAAAGAGGAAAGGCAGAAAGTATAGGCACAGATTCAGATGTGTTAATAGATTTCAGGGAAGGTAAGGGAGTTTGAGTTTGATTTTTTTATTATTATTTTTCTTAATAAGATAGGAAGCAAGGTTTTCATTTAAGAATAAGGAAGGAGGAGATGGCCAACGAATTTTTAGGAGAGAAAAAGAGGTGTGGAAAATATCTTTTGGAAAAGAGACAAAGCAAATATAACGGAAAAGTGTTGTAGCAATGTTAACCAGTATTAAGAAGTTATTTAATATTAAAATTCCATGAATTAAAATCAAGAATTCTCAGCATAGTTGTGGCTATTCACCAACAGTATTCAGCTACACAGGACAAGCACAGAGTAAACAGAGATGGCATTATGTAGAGTGTGCCTTTCCCAGGTGTGTAGAGTAGACAAACACTGTTCATAAAGATGGATCAATGAATCCAAACTGATCAAATAGAGATAGAAGGACATGAGTAGATTGATTTCTGGAAAGAAAAATGATAAAGTTAATAGTTGGGAGTGAATTGGTGGCTGTGATGTGATTGAATAATTAATTGAGTAGATTCATTCAAACAGGTGAAATGGACCAGGTGAATAGGTGAATACCTAGTCCAGTAGAAGAGTTTACAACAGGCTCTCCAAAAAGGTGGTTGCTGAAGTACCATGGTTCAGAGATCAATTTGTCCATGAAATCTTTTCTGTTTAACTCAAGTAAAAATTTATTGTATTGTCATACACATTTTTCTGTTACACTTCAAATCTCTATGAATTATTTTCTGGAAAACAATAGATTTGGAAATACTTGCAATTGTTTCACTTAGTGTTGACTGGGAGATTTTCTTTTTTCTTTTTTTTTTTTTGGAAACAGAGTCTCGCTCTGTCACCCAGGCTGGAGTGCAGTTATGCGATCTCGATTCACTGCAACCTCTGCCTCCTGGGTTCAAGCGATTCTCCTGCCTTAGCCTCTGGAGTCGCTGGAATTACAGATGCATGTCACCACCTCTGGCTAATTTTTCATATTTTTTGTGTAGTTGAGGTTTTGTCATGTTGGCCAGTCTTGTCTCAAGCTCTTGACTTCAAGTGATCTACCAGCCTCGGCCTTCCAAAGTGCTAGGATTACAGGCGTGAGCCAATGTGCCAGGCCTTCACTGCAAGATTTTATATCTATCCTTCATTTTTTTTTTATTTCTTCATTTAATCCTTCCCCTTTTCCTTCCTTTCTTTCTTATTTTTCATTCTCCAAACATTTAATGAGCATTTATTATGCACTAAGTAGTATACTTGTCACTGCTATTGCAACACTAAATTTATAGTTCTAGTAGAAGAAAAAGTCTCAAGTCCCAAATCTCATGTCCTCACATTTCAAAACCAATCATGCCTTCCCAAAAATCCCGCAAAGTCTTAACTCATTTCAGCATTACTCAAAAGTCCACAGCCCAAAGTCTCATTCAAGATAAGGCAAGTCCCTTCCACCTATGAGCCTGTAACCTGTAAACCAAAAGCAAGTCAGTTACTTCCCAGACGCAATGGAGATACAGGCATTGGGTAAAGACAGCCATTCCAAATGGGAGAAATTGGCCAAAGCAAAGTGGTTACAGGCCCCATGAAAGTCCAAAATCCAGCAGGGCCGTCAAATCTTGAAACTCCAAAATCATCTCCTTTGACTCCACGTCCAACATCCAGGTCACACTGATAAAAAAGGTGGGTTCCCGTGGTGTTGCACAGCTCTGCCTCTGTGGCTTTGCAGGGTGTAGGGCCCCTCCAGGCTGCTTTCACAGGCTGGCATTGAATATCTTTGGCTTTCCCAAGTGCACAGTGCAAGCTGTCAGTGGATCTACCATTCTGGAGTCTGGAGGATGTTGACCTTCTTTTCAAATCTCCATTAGGCAGTGCCCCATTGGGGACTCTATGGGGGCACCCACCCCACATTTCCTATCCTCACTGCTGTAGCAAAGGTTGTCCATGAGTGTCCCACCCCTGCAGCAAACTTCGGCCTGGACATCCAGGCGTTTCCATACATCCTCTGAAATCTAGGCAGAGGTTACCAAACCTCAATTCTTGACATCTGTGCACCTGTAGGCTCAACACCACATGAAAGCTACCAGGGCTTGGGGCTTGCACCCTTCAAAGTCACAGCCTGAGCTGTACCTTGGCCCCTTTTAATAATGGCCTGAATAGGTTGGAGTAGGGCACCAAGTGCATGGACTGTACTCAGTAGAGGTATCCTGGACCTGGCCCAGAAAACCAATTTTTCCTGCTAGGCCTCCAGGCCATGATGGGAGGGGCTGCCGCAAAGTTCTTCGACACATCCTAGACACATATTCTCCATCGTCCTGGAGATTAACATTCAGGTCCTCTTTATTAATGCAAACTTCTGCAGCTGGCTTGAATTTCCTCTCAGAAAATGTAATTTTCTGTTGCATTGTCAGGCTGCAAATTTTCTGAACTTTCATGCTCTGTTTCCCTTTTAAAACTTAATGCCTTTAACAACACACAAGTAACCTCTTGAATGTTTTGCTCCTTAGAAATTTCTTCTGCCAGATGCCCTAAATCATCTCTCTCAAGTTCAAAGTCCAGAAAATCTCTAGGGCAGGGGCAAAATGCCTCCAGTCTCTTTACTAAAACCTAGCAGGAGTCACCTTTACTCCAGTTCCCAACAAGTTCCTCATCTCCATCTGAGACCACTTTAGCTTAGATTGCATTGTCCATATCATTATCAGCATTTTGGTCAAAGCCATTCAACAAGTCTCTAGATCCAAACTTTCCCACATTTTCCTATCTTCTGAGCCCTCCAAACTGTTCTAACCTCTGCCTGTTACCCAGTTCCAAAGTTGCTTCCACATTTTCGGGTATCTTTTCAGCAGTGCCCCACTCTACTGATACCAATTTACTGCATTAGTCCACTTTCATGCTGCTAATAAAGACATACCCAATACTGGGCAATTTACAAAACGAAGAGGTTTAGTGGACTTACAGTTCCACATGTCTGGGGAGGCCTCACAATCATGGTGGAAGATGAAAGCCATGTCTCACATGGAGGCAGACAAGAGAAGAGAATGAGAACCAAGTGAAAGGGGAAACCCCTTATTAAACCATCAGATCTTATGAGACCTAGTCATTACTAGGATAACAGTATGGGGAAAATTGCCCCCATGATTCAGTTATCTCCCACCAGGTCCCTCCAACAACATGTACAAATTATGGGAGCTACAATTGAAGATGAGATTTGGGTGGGGACACAGCCAAACCATATCACTAAGATTACACAGGGCTTTATTAAAAAGTATTAAAAAGTTTGGATCTTTCTTTGGAAAGATCTTTCTTTCTTTCTTTCCTTCCTTCCTTCCCTGCCTCCATCCCTCCCTGCTTCCTTCCTTCCTTTCTTTTTTTTTTTTTTTTTGGAGGCTTGCTTTGTCACCCAGGCTGGAGTGCAGTGGCACAATCTCAGCTCACTGCAGCCTCCACCCCCTGGGTTCAAGCAATTCTCCTGTCTCAGCCTCCTGAGTAGCTGTAATTACAAGCACGTGCCACCATGCCTGGCTAATTTTTGTATTTTTAGTAGAGACATGGTTTCATCATGTTGGTAAGGCTAGTCTCAAACTCCTGACCTTGTGATCTGCCTGCCTTGGCCTCTGAAAGTGCTAGGATTACAGGCATGAGCTACCGCACCCAGCTTTTATTGGCTATTTCTTTCAGGAATTCCCTAAAACACTGTTGTATATAGTCAATACCCAACATTGACATGAAGGCTTCCAGATTACAAAAATGTAACTGTTTTCTTAATTACCTATAATATTATGAAAGTTAAAGTTTTTTATATATACATAATACATACAAATGTACATATATGTTTATATGTATATTTATTGTATTTTATAATTAATAAAATACACTACAGTAATTACATGGCTATAATTATTAGGAGCAAACTTTTTTATTTTACAAAGAAAGAAAAATTGCTCATCAAATTTAAATGTGATCAGTAAATGTTAACCCAGTACTTTGACTGTTTTTACACTGTATAATAGTTATTACTACTTAGGAAATATTAGACTGTTCAGCTTTTAAAACCAATGCTTTAGAAAAAAGTGCTTGTGACACCATTATGTGACTGATCAACTGGCCTTTAAAAAAAAGAAATTATAACAACAGGCTATTTCTATTTTTTATATGGGGTAATGATAACTTCTCATTTTGTATAATTGTCAATTATATTAAGTGATTTGCTAAAAGATCATGATTGTCATAGTCATTATCACCATCATTATTATCAAAAGGTCCCAAAAAATAGTTTACAGTACTAGACTCTATTAAACATAAAAGAATTGAGGCTAAATGGAGTCTTTATGTTAAATAAATTTGGCTTTCTCTTCTATTTTAAGATTTGTGCCTGAGGTTTACATAAACATGCCTATTTTAAGAAATTGCATCTATTAATATAAGGTTGAGTGGCTTAGGTGAAAGGAAAAAGGCTCTAGGACTGTAGAAAAGTATCTTCAGCATCCTATTTGGATAAACTGCTTTTTATGATAGAAATAATACCTTCAAACATTAAATAATACTTTGCATCTGAATGAAAGGCTGTGAGCTAATTTAATTTTAGATAGTCCAAATCATGAAAACTAAAGATTTAACCAGACTGTTGTCATATAATTTTAGTTTCTGTAAAGTAACTCATAAAGAAACCATTTGACCACTACTTCCTGACTATCCTGCATTGGAATGGAGAGAAATAAACTCATCCTTTTTCTAATGAAATTGAGTCAAAAAAGTGTAATATAATTATACATATATCCAATAGTTATTTAGTATTCTATTGGGATGGTAGATACTTTGGCATTGACTGATTTTTCTTTAATCTAGTGACAAAGTTGAATTGAGAAACATGGTCCTTGAAACTCGCTTTCTGATTGCCTTTCTAACTATGACACTTTTCAAAGTTCTGTTATGTGTTTTACCCAATCTAGAATAAATAAATCTGACTTTCTGATTAAAAGAATAACAGGCTGTGCACGGTGGCTCATGCCTGTAATCCCAACACTTTGGGAGGCCAAAGCGGATGGATCACCTGAAGTCAGGAGTTTGAGACCAGCCTGGCCAATATGGTGAAACCCCATCTCTACTAAAAATACAAAAATTAGATGGGCGTGGTGGTGGGCCTCTGTAATCCTAGCTACTCGGGAGGCTATGGCACAAGAATCTCTTGAACACGGGTGACGGAGGTTGCAGTGAGCTGAGATCGCGCCACTGCACTCCAGCCTGGGCGACAGAGTGAGAGTTTGTCTCAAAAACAAACAAAAAAACAAAAAAGAATAACAATAACTGGAATAATATAAGTTTTGCTACTTAATAGTTGAGTTAATTGTCTAGAAATCCCGAAGTCTATTTTTTTTTAAATTCAGGAATATCTAATGTAAAATATAAAGTGATGACTTGTGAATTAATCAAATGAACTTTCTGTTTCCTCATCAAGACAAAATGTAGAACACTTAAGGAATAACTTTTTGGTTTTTACCTACATGCTATTCTTTTCATTTGACTGTATCATGATTTATATATTCTTGGACCTTTATCAAGGAAGAAATGTAGAGCAGATATGCTGCAATGCACACCTCCTGGCTGAGTAAGTGTAATACCTTTTGCTCTCATCTGCCATTAGCAAATATCCACAGATCAATTTTTGAGTTACATTACTTCAGACAAGACTCTCTCTGAAATGGTGTATAAGCCATAAAATTATCCATAGAGAAATATTTATATCAAAATCCTTTCAAATATAAAGTTTATTATAATATTTTGTATTTAGCTAATATATTATTTACTACAATAATAATGCTGAATAACAAATAATCACAAAATCCCAATGGCACACAACAAACATGCAGTCATCTACTGCAGGTCATGTAAGTGGCTGTGTAGCTCTTGCCTCACACACATGCCCTTGGGGGTCAGCTGAGTGACTGCTGATTTAGCATGATCTCAGCATAGACAGTTTGTAGCACTTGGATCAGCCACCTTTTTATCTCTGGAATGCAAGCCCAGACCTGTTCTCAATTAATTGCAGAGTAGAAGAAATAAGAGGAAAAGCTCAATCACGCAAGTGCTTTTCAAACCTGTGTTGTTGTCACATTTACTAACTTCCACTGGCCAAATCATATCAGATGGCTGGGCCTAGAATTGGAGTGGAGGACACTGTGTGTTAGATGCTATCATGTGCTGTTTAGTTCTTCCTTTAGGAGTGAAGGACAAGTTATCCCAGTTGCTCTGAGTGCTGCTGGCAGGAAGCTCTCAAGTGTTAGCCTGGTTTAATAATTGCCTCAGCAGAAGAGAGCCACCTCGAAAAGATTATGTCTTCTTGGGGCAACTAGTGTTTAATGACTGGTTTACACAGGAGTATTAAAACCTGACACTTTAACCACAAACAGGGAACAGTTCTGAAAAGTGATTCAATTTTCAGATCTCCCTGTAAGGTTAGTTGAGAATTCCATGAAGACTCCATTGCTGCTCAACATCTCCTTCTGTCTGATTCTGCTTCCTTTCATCTCATTCCACAGGTGTTGAGCCCAAGAGCGTTTGTTAATTCACTTCCTGCTCTAATCTCCACCCCAATGTCAATTTCCCAGAGAATGTAACCTGCAACACACTGCAAAATCCCTCAAAGTTCATAGTGGCTCAAGAAAAAGGTAGTGAACTCCTTAACACTATCAATCAAGCAGAATATTTTATCATAACAATTAAGCAGGGTGAGATTTGATCATCCTTAAAACAGTAACCACATAAAGATATTTTTATTTTTCTTTCTTTCTTTTTCTTTTATTTTTTTTAGACAGGGTCTGAGTCTCTGTTGCCCCAGCTGTAGTGCAGTGGTGTGACCTCGGCTCACTGTTACCCCCACTTCCCGGGTTCATGCAATTCTCCCTGCCTTCGCCTCCGAGTAACTGGGATTACAGTTGCCCATCACCAAGCCTGGCGAATTTTTGTATTTTTCATAGGAACGGGTTTCACCATGTTGCCCAGGCTGGTCTCGAACTCCTGACCTCAAGTGATCGGCCTGCCTCGACCTCCCAAAGTGCTGGGTTTACATGTTTGAGCCACCGCGCCCGGCCAGGATATTTTTCTTAATTCCAAAAAACGTGCTCTGACTTTCAAGGCCCTCTTCAGTTTGTACTTGGCACTTGTCCCCAAAATCATCGTCCAATTCTCCTTTAGCATTGACTAATATTCTAGTAAGCCAGCAGCATAACTAGCCTGTGCCCACATTTTCTTTATTTTTATTCTTGGTCACATTCCTGACTCTGTTTGAATGCTATTGTTTCTATTGGGCTGCCTGTCAAGGTTTAACTCTTTATTCTAAGCTGATTTCAAATCTTACTACTTACTACTTGTTCTCTCTTGGGATTCATCACAGTTGGACAGCATATGATCCCTCCTAGCACATTATACCTCTCTTTGTGCACTTATCATAGCCTGCTTAATAACTTATATTCTTGCCTGACATCCTGCTGGGATTCCCAAGGGTAGGGATTCTGTCACAGTCACCTTTTTTATTACTTAGGTCTTCTAGCAAGGTGAATTAACATAGTTTCTTTTTTAAATATAAACAACTGAGTGATATATTAAAAGTCATCTATTATCCATTATATTCCATAAAGATTTCTCATATAGAAATATGTGTCAATAAATATCAGATTTTAAATAGTATTTTGATGGAGAATGTGCATATTTTTTTTTTCCACAGGACAAACATGTTTCAAATGCAAACAAGAAGAAAAGCTGTTGCAGCAATCTGGATACTCAAAGTGAACAGATGATGTACTCCAAGCTAAAGATCTCAATTTTGACCTCTTATTTATTGGACCATAGTATTATATACAAATTACACGCATAACTTATATACATATATATGTGTGTATATATATATATATAAATACACACGTATATATATATATGTTGACACATACACTTACATATACATATATGTCTGTGTATATATTATGTGTGTGTGTGTATATATGTGTGTGTGTGTGTGTCTGTATTATTTTTAGGGTACCCAGCAATTTTTTTTAAAAAACCAGAATTTTAAGATATGCAGACACAGAAATGACTGTCGTAAAGAGAGATGGTTTCCCTCACAGGTTCCTAGAGACAGGAGACACTCCATACCACATAGGGCCACATAGAAAAGCATCAGGATCATTCAAGTAGCAGAGTAAATGAGGGAAAACAGGTGCAAGAGCCTTTATTTTAGTTTCTCTGAGAAGAAATGGGTTAGGCAAGGTAACAAGCCTAGAATTGGCTAGTTTGAATAATTTCATTGGGCACTGAGCATCCCTAGTTGTCTAATACCTGGTCCTAGAATGATTAAGGAAGGAAGATAGCAGCCCAGAGTGTAAGAGCCGAGTAAAAGTGGTAGCTGGGGCCATGCACTGTGGATTGGTTGGTTTGCATATGAAAAACACACTCACAGAGTCCCCAAGTTATTAAAGTATCAAAAATACAGAAAGAGACACAATTAATATATACATATATATGTGTTTTGTAATTTTTTACACGTTCTTTTTTTTCCGGACCACATGGGACATTTTTACAGTTATGTTATGTATAATCTGTTCTCAATAAGTACTTTCATTATGTATTATTTATTCAAACTCATTCAAAGTGAATCTCAAGATGCTATTTATACAACCTATCCTCCTCTTGGAAAATATACTTTTTAAATCAAGAAGCTGTTCTTCTCATTGTTACCCTTTGGCTTATCTTCTTGACTTATTTTATAATCAATTACAGCACACAAGCTTAACTTACTTAAAAAGATCATAGTTATATAACAGTTCGTTCTTTTCCTACCAATTTCTCTCAAAACACACATCCTTTATCCTCTTAACACAAGAGCAAGCAAACTTATTTTCCTGATTTGAAACTCCAAAGCACATTTTATTATTTCAGCTGCTCACCTGTTTTCAATTCCTCAAGAGTTTCACCATATAAACAAGTCACTACTTAGCCAGCTCTTTTTATTCAAATGCAATATTAACATTGTAATCTACAAACTATAAATCCTGACTCGGAAAATATAGGGACCATCAATAGTGGGTTGATATATTCTAATTTCCAAAAGAAGAACACTAACATTAAAGAAGTCATGTGCCCTGCAAAATTTTTCTTTAAAAATTAAGGATAAATAATGGTATCCCAATATAAAAGAGGAACTTTGTCACTAGCAAGCCATCCCTACAAGAAATACTAAATAAATAAATTTCCTGAGGATAAAATGTTGAAATAACAAGAAACTGATCAGTAACTTGAATCTATATGAAGAAATGAAGAGCACCAGTAAGGATAACTACACAGATAAACATACAAGACAACATAATGGATGTTTTGGGTACAACTTATTTATCCTACTTGATTTAAGAGACAATTGAATAAAGCAGCAAATATTAGTTTGTGTTCTTGGGCATGTGCTATGGCTTGGATATGGTTTATTTGTCCAGACCAAAAGTCATGTTGAAAATTTGATTCCCAACATGGTGGTGCTGGCAGGTGGGGCCTACAGGAAGGTATTTGGGTCATAGGTATGTATCCCTTAGGAGTGGCTATGTGCTGTTCTCCAGGTAGTGAGTGACTTCTTGCTCTCATGAGACTGCAGTTGTTCTCACAGGAATGGATTAGTTCCTGAGAGAGTGGATTGTTATAAAGCCTGAGGACACCCCTCAGGTTTTCCCTCTTTGCATGTTTTCAGTTCCCCTTTGACCTTCCCAGCCATGTTTTTTTGCAACATGAAAGCCCTGGCCAGAAGCCCTTGAACTTCTCGACCTGTAGAACTGTGAGCTAAATAACTTTTTTTCCTTAAAATTTATCCAGTCTCAGATTTTTTTTCTAGCAACACAAAATAGACTAAGAGAGAATGGAAAGTATAAAGGTGTAATTTGTAGGACTATATCAGCAAAAAGGAGGAGAGAGAAAATAATGTTATATGTAAGGGCAAATTTCTTGAATACTATTGAAATTAATTTGCTATTAATCCAAACTAGATCATTATAAATTCAGCCGCAAATTATAATCCTGGGAGAAACTACTAGAAACTGTCAATTATGGGTGTGTGTGTGTGTGTGTGTGTGTGTGTGTGTGTGTATGATAAATATAATTGGCAATGGAATTAAAATGGCACACTAGAGAATATCTATAACAAAAGTGGGAAGTTAGGGAGAACAGATGGAAAAAAACAACTTATTACATACAGAAAACAAATAGCAAAAGGCGTGATGGTCAGAGGTACAAAATAATACTGATTAATATCAAGTGTTTAATAGATTGGTTTAAAGATCAGGTAACTTAAAAGAGGCAGTTGAAAAACTGGTAACAAGAAGATCTGAAAAAAACATAGGTGGATAGACCTCTTCAAGTATCTATAGACTATGAAGATATTTTTGTCCCATTTCAGTTCTTCATAAAAATCAACATATGCCAAGAAAGATTTTAATTATCATATTGACAAGAATAAAAAAACAAAAACTCTACAGTAAAAACACAAATAAACCAATTTGAAAAATGGTCAAAGGAATAAATAGTCATTTCTCCAAAGAAGATATGCAGATGACCAATAAGCATATAAAAATATGTTCAATAGCATTAGTAACTAGAGAAATGTAAATCATACCACAAAAGATTCAACTTCACAAACCACTTGGTGAATATAATAAAAAAACAGACATGAATAAGTGTTGGCAAAGATGCTGAGAAATTGGGATACTCATACATTGATGGTGGGAATGTAAAATGGTACAGTCAATTTAGAAAACATTTTGACAATTTCTGAAAAACTTAATCATTGACCCAGTTGCAATATGACCCAGTAATTGTGGTATGAGATTTATATTCCAGTGAACTAAATGAGTATTATACACACAATAACTTATACACAAATGTTCATTACATTATTCATAAAATCTAAAAAGTGGGAAAAAATCAAATGTCCATCAACTAATGAATAGCTAAGCAAAATGAGGTATCTATATAATTAAATATCACTGAGCCATGAAAATGAATATGATACTGATACATGCTACAATATCAATGAACCTTGAAACTATTATGCTAAATAAAAGCATCTAGAGACAAAGTTAATATATTGCATGATGCAGTTTATATGAAGTGTTCAGATAAGGAAATCCCTAAAGATAGAATGTTAATATTCCCTCCCAGCATCCAGTGGGACATAAGGAAGATGAAGGATTGGGGAGCGAGTGCTAACTGGGATGGGGTTTTTTCGGGGGAGGGGATGAAAAAGCTTTGAAATTAGTGGTAATATCTGGACAACTTTGTGAACACACTAAAGACCATTGAATTGTACACATTAAAATGGTGACTTAAGTGACTTATGTATATTTTCTCAATTAAAATATTGAAACATAAGGTTTTGTTTATCATCCTAAAGTCAAATTTGCCTACAAAACACCCCCTTTATATTTATGTAACAGCCAATTAATTCATCTTGGGTTAAAGATTGTACATAAGAACTCCATATCACATTTCCTTGCTAGAATTACAGAATTCTACCCGGATAGCAAGATTATATAATAAGTGTACTTATATTCATATATCTGATTTCTGCTTTATTTACAAGTGAATGTACATTTAAGGTAGTATATTAACAAAGTTATAATTACGCAGTTTTTCATTTTTGACTGATTTGAAGAGTGTCCAAAGCAGTTTATTAAGAAAAAAAATCTGGTGTTCATTTAATGAATGCATAAAATTTATAAAGAAAATACTATTCTAAAGCTTATAATTAAAATATTCCTCCATGCTGATAATATTTCCCAGCTCAGTCACTATTGAATTATTTCTTCAGGTATCTTCTATCATATTTTTGAAATTTTTCTACCATTTCTTGATTTCATAAATTAAAATTATTGAACCATTTTCAATGATGTATAATGATATTTTAGGTTTCATTTCTTTATGCCCAGGCTCACACATACCTTCTTTCCCCCCACATGCTCAAATGTGATTATACTTCACGTATTGTTAAGTTTATATCATTTTTATATAATTATGATTATGTTCTTATTGTTCACAGAAGCCACATACTCTTGTATGATTTCATTTCCATCTTTTCTTAATAGTTTTCAGACCTAATGACTGCCTTGCTTTCATTTGCCTACTTTTTTTTTTTTTTTTCTCTGAGACAAAGTCTTGCTCTTGTCACCAGGCTGGAGTGCAGCGTCGCCATCTCAGCTCACTGCAACCCTCGCCTCCCGGGTTTGAGTGATTCTCCTCCCTCAGCCTCTCAGTAGCTGGGATTACAGGCGTGTGCCACCATGCCTGGCCTTGCCTAAGTTTCTCAGTACCCATTTTTTCCTAAAATTTTCAACAGAATTCTCAATCTCTTCTCAGTGTTAAGTGCATCGTGGAATCTATCATTCCATATTTGATCACGTGGCTATTCCTCTATGAGTCCTCTGTCCTTTGGCTCCTATACATACGGCTAGAAAACTGCCAGCTGCAGAGCTGGCATCCTCACTCACACTTTCCTTTAACATCATTCTGGAAAATTATTTAGCCTTTATCTTGTATTTAGTCCTTTTTTTGCTTTGTTAATTTATTTCTTTTTTTATGTGAAATGTGTTCTGCGTTAGCTTTCTGGGAAAGGACACGTGGAAATTAAATATTTCGCACCTCTGGGAGTGTTTGCAATCTTTCTTATTTCTGTTTGTTAATTTATTAGACTATGAATTCATCAGGACTTCTTAACACAGTGTCACAAACTGACTAGCTTGAACAGCAGAAATTGATTGCCACACAGTTTTGGAGCTAGAAGTCCAAGATCATTGTGTCTGGGGGGCTGGCTGGTTCCACTTGAGGTGTCTTAGAGGCTGTAAGGAAGAAACTCCTTCATGCCTCTCGCCTAGCTTCCAGTGGTATGCTGATCTTCTTTGGTATTTTTTGGCTTATAGAATCATCTCTTAGCTCTCCGCCTTAATATCTTTATGGTGTTCTCTCTGTATGTGTGTCTATGTCCAAGTCTCCCTTTTTCATAAGTGCATGATATTGGAGTAGAGGCCCATCCTATTTCACTATGTTCTCACCTAACTAATTTAGTGGCCAAGACTCTTGAGTCCCTGGAGGTTCACTGAAAGACACTGACGTGAAGCAGATTGATTAATATGAGAAAAGACACACAAATTTAAATAACATTATATATATAGTAGCCTTAAAAATAAAGACCTGAAGATGCAGAGGAAATTGTCCATTTTTATGCTGTGTTAAACAAAGTTTGGACAGCCATGTAGAAATATGATTAGATAAAAAGGATATAATCTAATGTTAATAGATAGGTTAATTGATTAATAAATTTAGTGGGGAAACCCAGTAAAACCTGTCTGTCTAGATTTTTCTTGACCTGTCTGAGCATGCATTTCTTTTTTCTGGGTATGGGGCAGGGCCTCTCTCATAGTCAAACCAGGTAGGTCAGATAATTTCTTTATGGCCAGTTTTTACACAGACTACTTACAGGTTTTATGACTGGCTTTTGGGAAAAGAGGTTGTGGTTTCTATGACCCACCTTGGAGAGAGAGATTCTAGTTTCTGTGGCTACTCTTGGGGTAGAATGGAAATGAGAGACAGGAGGACAAGGGAAGGTTACAGAAAAAGAATTGCTTCTGTGGCTGTTGCTGATGCCTTCTTTTTGGGGTATTGTTTTCTGATCTCCAATGCTAATTATGTGCACATTGATCTTATTTCCAAAAAAGATTATGTCATGAGGCACTGGGAGTTAGGACTAAGGACTTCAACATACACATTTTGGGGAAGATTCACTTCAACCCATAAAATGGACTATACAGTTTTTGTTTATAAATTATTTTACTTCAGGTAATTAAAGTCACTTTGGCATCATAGACTATATTTTAGCATTGTTGAATGTTTTAATGCTACTTGGGTCCTGGGAACTTGTATCTGTGTAACGTATTTCCCTCACCTTTTCTTTTTTCTTTTTTTTTTTTTTTTTTGATTTTTCTTTAATTCCTTAGGTATTCTGAAATTTTTGAATGGCATGCTCACTTCATTATTGTGTTAATGAAGTCTCTAAATCAGCCCATTCAATTGGCATATCACTTGTGGTTCAAGAAGGGAAAGAGAACCTGTATGAAAGAGATACGTGTGTATGCACATGCATATTTATATGCTTACATAGACATATAAAGAAATTTCTATGATTCAAGGGCCTGGATAAGTTAAGTTCACAATCCGTAGGAAAGATGAGCTCATCTACTGAAGGAATTACTTCTCTCTCTTGCTAATTCAATCAGGCCCACCCAGATAACCAAAAATACTGTAATCTTTCTTACTTAATGTCAACCAATTAGGGGTTTTACTTGCATCTCTGAAATACTGTCATAGCATATCTAAATTAGAGTTTTATTGAATAGTTTGGACTGTGCCCAAGTCAATCTGAATATCAAACATACCATCAAAATCAATAAATAAAATTATCTTCATTTTCAGGAATTTTCTAGAAATATTTACACTGTACTTTTCTCCCCAATCTTTCTTTTCTTTTCTTTTCTTTTTTTGGAAGTACTGCAATATCAAGTCAATGTGTGGAGGCATGGAGCAAGTGGGGCAACTTTCTAGTCCATCTCCTAGTTCCAAAAGTCCATTTAATATGTTGTCTCAGATAAGGGATATATCACATATTAAACTGACAAGAACAGATACTGCAGTTGCTCTTAGCCAAAAGACCAGGAAGTGATCTTCAAATTTCTTTATTTTATTTCTTCTCTTTTGGAAACATTATGAGACACCTGTTGAATACTTGGCTTGATCTCTCCTTTAAAAATTTTTTGTTTTCCTATTTTTTGTATTTTGACTTTTTGTTATATTTTCTATTATATTACATAAATTTAATCTTTTAGTAATTGAAGAAACATTCTATTTTATTTATAATTCACCATATTTTAATTACTTGATTTCTAAATTCTGTTTTCATATATGTCCACTTGTGGAACTTTGGGTGCAAAAGGTTATCTAATTACTCTGAGGACATGATGGTTAACACTAAGTGTTAACTTGATTGGATTGGAGGATACAAAGTATTGTTCCTGGGTGTATCTGTGAGGGCATTGCCAACGGAGTTTAACATTTGAGTCAGTGGGCTGGGAAAGGCAGACTCACTTTTAATCTGGGTGGGCCCAATCTAATCAGCTGCCAGTATGGCCAGAATAAAAAGCAGGGTGAAGTATGTGAAAAGATGAGCCTGGTTTAGCCTCCCAGCCTACATCTTTCTCCCATGCTGGATGCTTCCTGCCCTTGTACATCAGACTGCAAGTTCTTCAGCTTTGGGACTTGGACAGGTTTCTTTGCTCCTCAGCTTGCAGACATCTGATTGTGGGACCTTGTGATTATGTGAGTTAATACTCCTTAATAAACTTGCCTTTATATATACCTCTATCTTATTAGTTCTGTCTCTCTAGAGAACCCTGACTAATACAGATTTTGGTACCAGGAGTGGTGCTAGAGGAAAACAATGTTAAGGATAAAGTCCTTTCATTTGTTTTGAGTTTTCTGGAGTTGGCTGCTTAATATGATTAGACCCCAAAATGCTAAGGAATCTACTTCTAATAGTATGGAGAGCACTGATTGTCCTTGGTGTGAAGTGTTTAGAGAGAGTTATGCAAAATAAATGCATTTGACACTCTTGATTCACCACTCATGAGAAGCAAGGAGTTTTGTGACTCTGTACATAATACCTTTGATAATATGCGGAGAACCAAGGACCATAATGAAGCTGGTTGGTTGCTCCTAAGTTCACTGGACAAAGTGATGAAAGAAAATTATGAACTCAGTGATTCTAACTCCCTGCTTCAGAAGCAGAAATAGAGCCTGAAATCTTCTAATCTAATCTACTAAGATTTCCCTGAGTGACAGTCTTATCTCCTATAGAGAAAGAGCTGAAATTGTGGAAAAACAGACACAAGCTCTTATCATGAGAGTGGCTGACTTGCAACAAAAGGTGCATGCACAGCCTCACCAGGTGTCTGCTGTTAAAATGAGGGCATTGATTGGAAAAGAATTGGACCCTGCAACTTGGAATGGGGATGTGCGGGAGGACCCTGATGAATCTGGAGACACTCAGCTTGTAATCTCTGATGAAACTTTTTTTGCCAGAAGAAACAGCTTCCACATCCCCAATAGTGGCAACATCCCCTACCAGACCCACACTGCCATCAGCCTCTCCACCTTCGTCTGAGGAGATAGACTCTGTGCTGCCTCAGGCAATAGTGGTGGCTTCCCCTGAGGCAGTTGCCAGGCAAGACAATGTTGATTCTCCTCAGGGCCCATCCCAACAACGCTGCTTGCTTCTAGAACTATAACTAGAGTAAAGTCCCAGCAAGACCCTAGAGATGAGGTTCAGAGTTTGATCCACAAGGAGGTGTGCTACACTCCAAAAGAACTGCTTGAGTTTTCTAATTTATATAAGCAGAAATCTGGAAAACAGGCATGAGAAAGGATATTAAGGGTGTCGGATAATAGTTGAAGGAACATAGAATTGGATCATGCTGAATTTATTGATTTGGGGCCACCAAACATGGATACTCCATTTAATGTTTCAGCTTGGGAAGTTAAAAAAGGTTCTAATAGTGTATTTGGTTGGTTAGCTTAAATATTAATTAAAAGATGGCCCACTGTAAGCAAGCTGGAAATGCCAGATCTCCCTTGGTTTAATGTAGAAGAAGAAACCCAAAGGCTTAGGGAGATTGGGATGCTGGAGTGGATCAGCCACTTTAGACCTACTCATCCCAGCTTGGAGGGTCCAGAAGATATACCCCTGTTTAATACTCTGCAAACCAGATTTGTGAGGCAGCACCTGCATCCTTGAAGAGCTCTGTGATTCCTCTTTTCTGCATGCCAGATCTTACAGTAAAAACTGTAGTTACTCAACTACACAATTTAAATGCAATAGGAATAATTTGGCCCCAAAGTGGCAGGGGCCAAGTGGTGGCACTCACCCCTCAAAGGCGATTTGATCATAGCTATCATAATGGACAGCAGAGGCAAAGCGGCAATCAGAAGAGCCTGACTTCTGCAGAACTCTGGCATTGGCTAATTAATCATTGTGTTCCTAGAAGTGAAATTGATAGGGAGCCTACCGCATTCTTATTTAATTTATATGAGCAGAAAACTTCCAGGTCGAGTGCACAAAAGACTAATTTGATTTATAACAACAGAGAATCATGGCGCCTCATCAATTTCCAGACTTGAACCAGTTTACAGACCCAGAATCCCTTGAATGAAGGGGAGTCAGCATCCCCTTGAGAAAGAACCTCACTACACTACCAACAATTTATGCTGTTTTTCTTTTTCTCATCCTTCCCCAAGGAGACCTATGGCCTTCTACCAGGGTAACTTCAATGGGCAAAGGGAAATGATCAGACATTTCAGGGACTGCTGGACACTGGCTCTGAGCTGATGTTGATTCCAGGGGACCCAAAATGTCATTGTGATCCTCCAGTTAAAGTCGGGGCTTATGGTGGTCAGGTAATTAATGGAGTTTTAGCTTAGGTCTGACTTACAGTGGGTCCAGTGGGTTCCCAGACTCATCCTGTGGTCACTTCCCCAGTGCCATAATGCATAATTGGCATAGACATACTAAGCAGCTGACAGAACCCCTAATTGACTCCCTGACTGGTAAGGCAAGGGCTACTATGGTGGGAAAGGACAAATGGAAGCCATTAGAGTTGTCTGTACCTAGAAAAATAGTGAATCAATATCAGGGGAAACCAGCCCCCAATATTCAACGTGGGTTCTTTTCTATTTCCCTAAGTGTCAGCCAGTCTGAGAAATAAAGGGAAAGAGAACAAAAGAGAGAAATTTTAAAGCTGGATGTACTGGGGAGGCATCACATGTTGGCAGGTTCCGTGATGCCCCCCAAGCCACAAAACCAGCAAGTTTTTATTAGTGATTTTCAAAAGGAGAGGGAGTGTACGAATAGGGTGTGGGTCACAGAGATCACGTTTTAAGAGCAATAAAAGATCACAAGGCAGATGAGCAGGGCAGGATCACAGGACCGGGGCAAAATTAAAATTGCTAATGAAGTTTTGGGCACGCATTGTAATTGATAGCATCTTACGAGGAGACGGGGTTTGAGAGCAGACAACCTGCCTGACCAAAATTTATTAGGCAGGAATTTCCTTGTCCTAATAAGCCTGGGAGCCCTACCGGAGACTGGGGCTTATTTCATCCCATATCTACAACTGTAAAAGACAGACGTCCCCAAAGTGGCCATTTCAGAGGCCTCCCCTTGGGAACACATTCTCTTTCTCAGGGATATTCCTTGCTGAGAAAAAGAATTCCGTTCCATATTTCTCCTATTTGCTTTTGAAAGAAGAGAAATATGGCTCTGTTCTGCCCAGCTCTTAGGCAGCCAGACCTAATGGTTATCTCCCTTGTTCCCTGAACATTGCTGTTATCCTGTTCTTTTTTTTAAGGTGCCCAGATTTCATGTTGTTCAAACACACATGCTTTACGAACAGTTTGTGCAGTTAATGCAATCATCACAGGGTCCTGAGGCGACATTCATCCTCAGCTTAAGAAGATGATGGGATTAAGAGATTAAAGTAAAGACAGGCATAGGAAATCACAAGAGTATTGATTGGGGAAGTGATAAATGTCCATGAAATCTTCACAATTTATGTTCAGAGATTGCAGTAAAGACAGGCGTAAGAAATTATAAAAGTATTAATTTGGGGAACTAATAAATGTCCATGAAATGTTCACAATTTATGTTCTTCTGCCATGGCTTCAGGGTCCCTGACTTCCTGCAACAAATCAAAAACAATATCACATCCCTGGAGGGATAGTGGAGATTAGTGCAACCATAAAGGAATTGAAAGATGCAGGAGTGGTTATTCCCACCACATCCCCATTCAACTCTCCTATTTGGCCTGTGCAGAAGACAAATGGATCTTGGAGAATGACAGTGGATTATCCTAAGCTTATCCAAGTGGTGACTCCAGTTACAGCTGCTGTACCAAATGCAGTTTCATTGCTTGAGCACATTAATACATCTCCTGGTACCTGTTATGCAGCCATTGATTTGGCAAATGCCGTTTTCTCCATTCCTGTCCATAAGGCTCAACAGAAGCAATTTGCCTTCAGCTGGTAAGGCCAGCAATATACCTTTACTGTCCTACCTCGGGATATATTATCTCTCTGGCTTTGTGTCATAATCTTTTTCATAGAGACCTGATTACTTTTCCCTTCCACAAGATACCACACTAGTCCATTACATTTATGACATTATGCTGATTGGATCCAATGAGTGAGAAGTAGCAAACACACT
This sequence comes from Homo sapiens, assembly GCF_000001405.40. Lineage (NCBI taxonomy): Eukaryota > Metazoa > Chordata > Mammalia > Primates > Hominidae > Homo > Homo sapiens. Next base: position 65,812,025 of record NC_000004.12, read on the forward strand.
GGACTTATTGGTGAGACATTTGCATGCCAGAGGATGGGAAATAAATTTGACTAAAATTCAGGGACCTTCTACCTCAGTAAATTTCCAGGGTTCCAGTGGTGTGGGGCCTGTTGAGATATTCCTTTTAAGGTAAAAGATATGTTGCTGTATTTGGCCCCTCCTACAACCAAGAAAGATGCCCAATGCCTAGGGGGCCTGTGCAGATTTTGGAGACGATGCATTCCTCATTTGGATGTGTTACTCCGGCCCATTTATCAAGTGACCCAAAAGGCTGCCAGTTTTGAGTAGGGTCCAGAACAAGAGAAGGCTCTGCAACAGGTCCAGGCTGCTGTGCAAGCTGATCTGCCACTTGGGCCATATGACCCAGCATATACAATGGTGCTTGAAGTATCAGCGGTAGATAGGGATGTTTTTGGAGCCTTTGGCAGGCCACCATACAGTGGAGGCCTCTAGGATTTTGGAGGAAGGACTTGCCATCTTCTGCAGATAACTACTATCCTTTGATAAACAGCTCTTGGCCTGTTACTGGGCTTTGGTGGAAACTGAATGTTTAACTATGGTCATCCAGTCTCCATGAGACCTGAACTGCCTATCACAAACTGGATGCTTTCTGACCCATCTAGCCATAAAGTAGGGTGTGCACCTCAGCATTCCGTCATCAAATGGAAGTGGTATATGCGTGATAGGGCTCAAGCAAGTCCTGAAGGCACAAGTAAGTTACATGATGAAGTGGCCCAAATGCCCATGGTCTCCACTCCTGCCATCCTGCCTTCTCTCCCCAAGCCTGCACTGATGGCCTCATGGGGAGTTTCCTATGATCAGTTGACAGAGGAAGAGAAGACTAGGGCCTGGTTCACAGATGGTTCTGCACTATATGCAGGCACTCCCCCACCCCGAAAGTGGACAGCTGCAGCACTGTAACCCCTTTCTAGGATATCCCTGAAGGACAGTGGTGAAGGGAAATCTTCCCCTTGGGCAGAACTTGGAGCAGTGCACCTGGTTGTGCACTTTGCATGGAAGAAGAAATAGTCAGATGTGCAATAATATAATATACTGATTCATGGGCTATAGCCAATTAATGGTTTGGCTGGATGGTCAGGGACTTGGAAGAAGCATGATTGAAAAGTTGTTGACAAAGACATTTAGGGAATAGGTATGTGGATTGTCCTCTCTGAGTGGTCAAAAAATGTGAAGATATTTTATCCCATTTGAGTGCTCACCAATGGGTGACCTCAGCAGAGGAGGATTTTAATAATCAAATGGATAGGATGACCTGTTCTGTGAACACCACTCAGCCTCTTTCCCCAGCCACCCTTGTCATCGTCCAGTGGGCCCGTGAACAATGTGGCCATGGTGGCAGGGATGGAGGTTAGGCATGGCTCAGCAACATGGACTTCCACTCACCAAGGCTTACCTGGCTACGGCCACTGGTGAGTGTGCGCAATTTGCCAGTGGCAAAGACCAACACTGAGTCCTTGATATGACACCATTCCTCAGGGTGATCAGCCAGCTACCTGGTGGCAGGTTGATTCTATTGGACCTCCTCCATCATGGAAAGGGCAGCAGTTTGTCCTCACTGATGCACGCTTATTTGGGATATGGATTCACCTATTCTGCATGCAATGCTTCTGCTAAGACTACTATCGGTGGACTCACGGAATGCCTTATCTGCTGTCATGGTATTTCATGCAGCATTGCCTCTGACCAAGCCACTCACTTTATGGCTAAAGAAGTTGAGCAGTGGGCTCATGTTCATGGAATTCACTGGGTTTACCATATTCCCCATCATCCTGAAGGAGTTGGATTGATAGAATGGTGGAATGGCCTTTTGAAGTCACAATTACAACACAAATTAAGTGACAACAATTTGCAGGGCTGGGGCAAAGTTCTGGAGAAGGCCGTGTATGCTCTGAACCAGCACCCAATATATGGTACTGTTTCTCCCATGGCCAGAATTCATGAGTCCAGGTATCAAGGGGTGGAAATGGAAGTGGCAACACTTGCCATCACCCCAGTGACCCACAAGGAAAATTTTTGCTTCCTGTTCCTGCAACATTACATTCTGCTGGCCTACAGATCTTAGTTACAGAGGTAGGAACCCTGCCACCAGGAGACACAACAACGGTTCCATTAAACTGGAAATTAAGAATGCAACCTGGACACTTTGGACTCCTCCTAACTTTAAGCCAACAGGCTAAGAAAGGAGGTACGGCGTTGGCTAGGGTGGTTGACACAGACTATCAAGATGAAATCAGAGACTGGCACAGTGGTGCACACCTGTAATCCCAACACTTTTGGAGGCTGAGGCGGGCAGATCTCCTGAGGTCAGGAGTTCGAGGCTAGCCTGGCCAACATAGTGCAACCCTGTCTCTACTAAAAATACAAAAAAATTAGCCAGGCGTGGTGGTGGGTGCCCATAATCCCAGCTACTTGGGAGGCTGAGGCACGAGTTCTCTTGAACCCGGGAAGCAGAGGTTGCAGTGAGCCGAGATTGTGCTATTGCACTCCAGCCTGGGTGACAGAGCAAGACTCCTTCTCAAAAAAAAAAAAAAAAAGATGAAATCAGTCTGCTATTCGACATCGGAGGTAAGGAAGAGTATGTATGGAATATAGGAGATTCATTAGGGAGTATCTTAGTATTACCAAGCCCTGTGATTAAGGTCATTGGGAAACCACAACAGCCCAATCTAGGCAAGACCACAAATGGCCCAGACCCTTCAGGAATGAAAGTTTGGGTCACTCCACCAGGAAAAAACAACAACAACAACAACAACAACAACAACAACAACAACAACAAAAACATGACCTGCTGAGGTGCTTGCTAAAGGCAAAGGGAATACAGAATCGGTAGTAGAAGAAGCTAGTCATCAATACCAGCTATATCCACGCGACCAGCTACAGAAATGAGGACTGTAATTGTCATGAATATTTCCTCCTTCTTTTGTTAAAAACATATTTGTGCATGTATACATTTGTACTAAGAAAATATGTTCATTTTTTCCTTTATCATGTGACATAAGATTTATTGACTTCATATCAGCATTTAAGTGATGTTAACTTTATGTAATAGCATTTGGGTTGGTAATTGGTGTGTTTCCGTTTGTACGAAGGAGAGTTGTATTATGTTAGGTATAATTATGACCTTATTATTATCTTTCTTTGAAGATTATAGATGATTTCAGGAGATGTGTATGGCTTCAAATTGACAAGGTTTGCACTGGTGATGGTTAATACTGAGTGTCAACTTGATTGGATTGAAGGATACATAGTATTGTTCCTGGCTGTGTCTGTGAGGGTGTTGCCAAAGGAGATTAACATTTGAGTCAGTGGACTGGGAAAGGCAGATCCACCCTTAACCTGGGTGGGCACAATCTAATCAGTGTGGCCAGAATATAAAGCAGGCAGAAGAACGTGCAAAGGGGAGACTGGCTTATCCTCCCAGCCTACATCTTTCTCCTCTGCTGGGTGCTTCTTGCCCTCAAACATCAGACTCCAAGTTCTTCAGTTTTGGGACATGGACAGACTTCCGTGCTCCTCAGCTTGCAGATGACCTATTGTGAGATCTTGTGATAGTGTGAGTTAATACTCCTTAATAAACTCCCTTTATATATACATATATCCTATTAGTTCTCTCCCTCTAGAGAGCCCTGACTAATAAAGAGGTTATTCTTGCTGTGTATGATATATATTATACATCAATATAAATATACACAAATATATATGTGATCTGTTTAAGAATATATTTAAATGTTCACAGACATATAAAACTGTATTATTCTGTTAAGACTTATGTAATATAAGCTTTGGTCTCTGACTTCCACATTAGATCTTTTTCCTAATAATCTCTGAATGCTTAGAATTTTGCCAAAATTTAAGGAAGCACATCATGGACCTACAAAAGTTTTTACTCGTCGTTCTTCACCACACCTAGTGTCTAGCCATCCTACCATTTCATTGGCACTCAGCCCTCCCTCATCACACCCTGCCTGCCTCCGGGTCCTTATTTCTAGAGATTTTTTTCTTTGGCTAATCAATTTCCCAAGTAAAATAATTTTTCAGTCTTCTGCCTGAAGTTTATTAGTCTAGCTATCAATACTTTTGGAGCTTAGTGGGCAAGGAAATAAAGAGGTCTCCCTTTTCATTATGCAATTTTCATTTTATCTCTCTTTTTATTATAGTGCTTTACTTCTGTCCTCTAACATACCTGACTATGTTTCTAATCTTTCTATCTCAAGTTTTCTATAAACTTTACACATTATAGGCTGCAAATGGAGCAAATACCACTTCATTATGAGAGAGAGAGAGAAAATGGTAGTGTCTTAGCTTTTTGTAAAGATATATAACTAATTTATCTTCTTTATCTCCACACCCTCAGCCCCACAATAAGAAGTTGGTGGCTGCAATTGTTAAGTATTCCTGAGATTATGCAACTTGAATTTTGTGCAAGATTCCCACCACTCCCAACCTTCACATTTATATTTTAGCTTCTCTGCTCTGCTAAGCCAGGTACTAATGGTTTGTTGCTTTCCTTCCTTAAATATCATTGATATTATTCATCTCCTGTCATCTCATCTTGTATTCTCACTGAACCTGTATGTTTAAATAATTTTTGTTAATTATCTTTCTGCAAGTCTTTAAGAGCTGTTAGAAATACACATGAGTATTCAATTATCCAAATGTACCCAGACAAAGCATCTATTTGGATTTTATTTTCTAATCCAATTTCATGGGGTTTGTATTTTAGCACTGATATTTATTTTCCTAATTGTATTGTGTCATTAACTCATGACATGAAGTCTTCTGCTGACATACTCTGTGTTCACTGTTTACCAGCTCTGCTAACTCCATGTTCCCAGCTGATTTAGTTACAGAGCAGTTCTAGGATCAGAAAAGAACAGTCTGAGATAGTGTACAGCATTGTCTAACTCTTTCTGCAGATATTGATGTAACATGGGCTGTTTAATGGTGTAATCTCCACTGTACAGTTGCTATTGATCTCTTCCAGTGAGTCAACATGTACTTGGTTTATTCTGAAGTCATTTAAACAATAGAGGAAGACTAGAGATTTCACAGTCAAATTACATCCTTTAGTCTATTACTAATATGCAAAAGAGCAATGTTTAATATTCTATACACTCTTCACTTAGCTGTCAAGACTGGCTAATGGAGTTCTCTGATAAGAATCATAAATTAAAATTAAGATTGGATGCTGTGTGGTCGTCGTTAACCTTGCTCTATTCATGTAACAATAAAAAGGCTGTTAAGAATAAGGCTCTGAAGCCAGACTACAAGTGTTACAATTCTGACTATGTCACTTACTTGTATGCAATTTTGGGCAAATTTCCTAATCTCTTGGGCTTTAATTTCTTCTTCTTTAAAATGTAAATAATAGTGCCTCTCAGGGTAGGGGTTGGGGTGTGATGTCAGTAGGATGGCAGAATAGGAGGCTACTGACTGTCTCTCCTCCCACAGACTCAGTAAATAAACATCTACACACGGATCAATTCTCTTCGAGAAAAAGCCACAGACTAGTTTGAGAGAGTCCTCCACGCAGTACAGCTGATAAAATATTCACAGCAAAAGATAGAAAAATCTGATAAACCCTTGCACACAAAACCCACCTCAGACTCAGCACCTTGCAATTGGAAAAGAACCCTCAACTCCCAGTTTCTCCTTGAGGAGTAAAGAGTTTTGGCCGCACATACAGAACCCCAACTTTTATGGATTTTACCAGGGGATCTGACTCTTAAATCACCTGTCTCTAGAAGTGGAATGGACATGGCATTATGAGTTTCCTCGATCCTCAGGGAACGAGGAGGTGATTTTGAATGGGCATATTAACACTTCTCTTCTAGCAGCTATTTCCCTCAGGATCAGTCCAGAGAGAATGCCCAGATCCCAATTTCCCTTTACTTGCACACTATTCCAGCTGCTGCCCCTGGGTTGAACTTCTGGCTAGCTTACATCTGAGAGCCAATGGGGCAGATAAACACTAGACCTCCATACATCTGAATGAGAGTGTGGCTACTTCCCTCACCTTCTTCCCAGGTTTGCTCTAGCAAAAAAGCAAGGGCTGCAGATTTTCTTTGGAAAGAGTGTGCACACATTGAGACTTGCAACTTTTGCAGCTCCCATCCTAAAGCTTGGCTCGTGAATCAGCTAGCTCTGAGAGTTGATGTAGCTCTATATTCCTGAGTTTTCCTAGATCACAGAGACAAAGGCATGGTTTGGGTGCATATCAAATAGCTATTCTCCCCAGGTCCAGAGTGTGCCGTATGAATGAAAACACAGGGATTTGCTTCAGATTTTCTCCCTGGGTTAGTGCAGAGTGAGTTAGAATTAAACTCTAGCTGTCAGTTATCTTTTTCCTGAAGATAGAAGGAACTGGAGCACACAAAGCACTCCAGCCTATCCAGCTGCATCTCAAGGGACTGGCTTCTATCGTGCTTGTCTCCACACACTGATAGGACTTGCCACATTCTAATCTCCTAGGGCAACTAATAAAAATTGCAATGATTTGAACTAGCACAAAAATTTGAGAGTAACCTAGGATCTCTTGCAAGGCTGATTGCTGAAGTCTATTCTTACATGATGCCAATCTGACAAAACTGGGAGAAGTGATTATCTAACATGTATAAACCAACATGGAGAGTCGGCCAAAATGAAGAAACAGTGAAATATTTTCCAAATAAAAGAACAAGATAAATCCCCAAGAACCAACTCTAGTGAAATAAACGTATGTGACTTACCCAACAGGTAATACAAAAAATAGTCATAAAGATACTCACTGAGGTCCAGAAAAAAAGGCATGAACAAACTGATAATTTTAGCAAACATAAAGAAATACAAAAATAGACCAATCAAAATAATAGAGCTGAAGACTACAGTAACTGAACTGCAAAATTAATCAATGGTTCACAGAAAACTAGATCAAGCAGAGGAAAAACCAGTAAACTCAATGAGAAATTCATTGGGAATCATCTAATCTGAGGAGCAAAATTTTATAAAAGAATTAAAAATAGTAAAGATGCTTAAGGGATATTTACAGTATACAATCAAGGTAACAGTGTATGAATTATTAAAGTAATAGAAGGAGAACAAAGGGAAAAAGGGACAGAAAGCTTGTTTTAAAAAATAATGGCTGACAACTCTCAATCTCAGGACAGGAAATATAAAACAAAATCCAAGAAGCCCAGAGGATACCACATAAGTTGAATCCAATGAGATCCACATTGAGACACATTATAATCAAATTGTCAAAAGTTAAAGACAAAGTATGTATTTTGAAAGTAGCAAGAGAAAAATGACTTGTTACAGATAAAGAAGCCCCTATTAGACTGTCGGCAGATTTTTTAGCAGAAACCTTGCAGGTCAAAGGGAGTGGAATGATATGTTCAAAGTGCTGAAAGAGAAAGAAATGCCAATAGAGAAGACTATACTCAGAAGTCCTGTTCTTTGAAAATTAAGGGGAGCAAAAGATTTTTTCAGATAAAAGCTGAGGGAGTTTATCATTGTTAGATCTGCCTTATAAGAAATACTAGAGTGAGTTTTATGACCAAGTGGGATTTACCCCTGGGATGCGAGGTTGGTTAAATATACCTGCCAAAATAATATGATAAACCACATTAACAGATTGAAAGATGAAAATCACATGATAATCTTAATAGATGCAGAAAAAGCATTTAATAAAGTTCAACTTCATGATAAAAACTCTCAAACAAGTATAGAAAGAAATTTCCTCAATATAATAAAGGCCATTTGTGAAAATCTTACAACTAATATAATCAATAGTAACAACAACAACAAAACTAATAGCTTTATCTCTAAGATCTTATTGGAAAACAATTTTGATTGCTTTTTATTATCTATTTCTATTTTCTCTAGCTGTTTCTATTCAGCATAGTGCTGGAAGTTTTAGCCAGATCAATGAGGCAAGAGAAAGAAATAAAAGGCATCCAGATGAGGAAGGAAGATATTAAAGTCTCTCTGTTTGCTGGTGACATGATCTAATATGTAGAAAACTCTAACAACTCCACCAAAAAACCTGTTAGAACTAATAAACAATAAAATTGGATGGTAAAAAATCAAAATACAATACTCAGTAGTGTTTCTATACACTAACAATTACTCTGAAAAAACAAACCAAGAAAACAATCCCATAACAACAAAAATAAAAATCCTTAGAAATAAATTTAACTAAGGAGATAAAAAAAATCTGTAGACTGAAAAGTATTAAACATCGAAAAAATAAATTGAAGAAGACACAAATATGTAAAAGGATATTCCATGTCCATAGATTGATTGAAAGAATTAATATTGTTAAAATGTCAACACTACCCAATGTTGTCAACAGATTCAATGAACTCTATAAGAACGTCAATATTTTTTCTCAGAAACAGAAAAAATAATCCTAAAATTTGTATGTAACCACATAGAACCCCAAATAGCTGAAATAATCTTAAGAAAGAAAAATAAAGTTGAAAACATCACAGTTCCTGATTTCAAATTATACTATAAACTTATAATAACCAAAACAACTTGACACTGGCATAAAAACAGCCACATATGCTGATGGAACAGAATAGAGCACACAGAAATAAACATAAGCACATATTGGCAACGAATTTTTGAAAAAAAAAATAGCAAAAAGAGACAATGGAGATAGGATGGTCTCTCCAATAAATGGTGTTAGAAAAACTATGCAACCACGTGCAAAAGAATGAAATGGGACTCTTCTTTTACACCATACACAGAAATCAACTAAACATGGTTTAAAGACCTAAAGGTAGACCTGAAACCATAAAACTCTTAGGAGAATACATAAAGTTAAACCTCCTTGACGCCGGCCTTGGCATTTTTTTTTTATTTTACACAGAAGGTACTTGAAACAAAAGCAAAATTAGACAAATTGAACTATCTCTAACTAAAAAGCTTCTACATAGCAAAACAATCAACAAAATGAAAACGTACACTATGAACTGGGAGAAAATATTTGTGAACCATACAGCTGATAGGTGTTAATATCCAAAATATATAAGGATATTAACCACAAATCACCTCTGTAGCAAAAATATAAGTAAATTGATTACAAATGGTGCAACGAACTTGAATAGAGGTTTTTTGAAGACAACATATAACTAGCCAGGAGGTATATGAAAACATGCTCAACATCACAATGACAAAATATACAAATGAAAACCACAGTGAACCATTGATTCACATGGTGGAAATGTAAATTTATTATTAAAAACAGTATAGAATTTTCTAAAAACTTAAAAATAGAACTCCCACATGATACAGAAATTTTACTTGCAGATATATAGCCAAAGGAAATAAAATCAGCAGCTTGTAGAGCTATTTGCACTCCCACGTTCATTGCTGCATTACTCACAATAGGCACAATATGGAAACAACACAATTGTCAGTCCACAGGTGAATGAATAATGAAACTGTGGTATATATAACACAATGGAATATTAGTCAGCCTTAATAAAGAAGGAAATACTGCCATTTGCGTCAACATGGAGGAAAGTGGAGGACATTATGCCGAGTGAAATAAGCCAGACACAGTAGGAAAAATACTGCATTATTTCACTTCTATATGTGGAATCAAGAAAAAGTCCAATACATAGTAAGGGAGAGTAGAAAGGTAGTTACCAGGGGCAGGGAGGGGAAAAAATGATGATATGTAAGTTAAAGGGTGGAAACTCGACATTATGTATGATGAATATGCTTAAAACCTAAATATAAATATGCCTAAAAACTATGCACATCAGAAGGACTATAATTAATATTCTATTGTATATTGAAAATGTGCAAAAAGATTAGATTTTAGGAGCTTTTAATACATACACACACAACTATGGAAAGTGATAGATATATTAATTTGCTTATTTGTAGTAACTATTTTAGTATGTGTGTATATATATATATATATATAAGCACCACGTTGTACACCTTAAATATATAAAATGAAAAATAAATTTTAAAATCTCCTTCCTCCTTTTATTTTTTAAGACAAATAATTAAATATTTAATTAAACTATGTCCTTAGAGGATAACAGATCTCTAGTATTAGCAGTAGTAGTAGTACTAGTGGAGTAGTATTAAATGGGAAAAGAGTTCAAAGCTGGTAGCTAGGCAGCTGAAGAAAACTTCAAATTTGGCTGTCAGCTGAGGAAATCATATTTTCAGAAGAAAAAAACATTTTTTTTCTTCTTTGAGGTCATCATCAAACATTTCAAATTTCTAAACACTTCAGTAATATTGGAAACTCTTCATGTACTCTGGTAGGGACTGTTTTCAAATGGATTCTTTAAAGACAGTAAAAGTTTTTCCTTTCCTGGAAGCATTTAAGGAGAAGAGGGGAGATAAAGATGGAAGAGTAAAATCCTCTGTGTCCTCTAATAGTAAATTCTTTCTTGTTATATTGCACTTCCTTTGAATAGCAGATTCATATTAAATAATATGACTCACAAACTCAAATGTTCTCAGACAATATATACAGCTTGGAGAAGGTTACATTATTACTTATGATCTAGAGATCATTGTACCTTGTGTTTTTTCCATATTTTCTTACACTTATGTTCTTAAAAACTATACCCAGGTTTGTCTTATTATTAGTGGAAGTAGTGATTTGGTCCAGAAAGGACAAGAGAATTTATATAATAGGAGCTTAGGGACTTAGAATGCTTTAGCTTTAAACAATTGTTAAAATGCATACCTGATTGCATTTTATCCCCTCTCTCTCTCATTTGTACACACAAACACACAAGTGTGTGTATATGTGGCATTTTTCTCAATGTCTTTTCAAATGCCTCTATTATTCTGCAGATGAGAAAAAATGATACACAGAAAGTATCAAATGTTGTGGACATGCTAATGCCCTGACCCTCACCCATCCCCACCAAAGTTATTCTTAACCTAATTCCTGTAACCTGTGAAAATTTTATCTTACATGACAAAGGAGACTTTGCAGATATGATTACGTAAAGGATCTTAAGATGGAGAAATTATCCTTGATTGCCCAGGTGGGCCCAACATAATCAAAAGGATATTTATAAGTGAAAATAAAAAGCAAAGGAGTCTATGTTGGAGTGGTGTAGCGTGAAAAAGATTTAACTGGCCAATGCTGGCTTTGAAAATGGAAAAAGGTGTTATGGCCACAAAATGCAGGCAGCATAGAGAAGCTAGAAAATGAAAGAGAATGGCTTCTCTTCTAGAGCTTCCAGGAGATTAGCCCTGGAAATATGCTGATTTTTAGCATTGTCAAATCCACTTCAGACTTCTGAACTCTACAAATGTCTATTAATAAATTTGTGTCATTTTAAAGTATTAAATTTATGGTAATTTGTTACAACAGCATTAGGAACTTAATTCAATAAATGATTAGTCTAAAGCTTTATAAATATAGGCAGACACAATACTTCAAATCTATGGATTACCAGTCTAGTGCTGTCATACCATAACAAAATATCTCTAATACAGATAGAATTCTATAGCTTATAATTTATATATGAGAAGTACAGATTAAAAATGTTCTTGGAAAAAAGTATATACACAGCAATATATATTTAACTGTTTACACCCTGTCTTTTTAAAAACACTACTAACTTAGGGTAGAATAGTTAAATGATACTATAGATTACACATGATGTTGTACATAGGTCCAGATATAAGCACAACCCCCAATTAATTTAAGACAGATTCCGGATTTACCTGTGACTAGTTACAAAAACTGATTAATTCAATGGGTCTAGATACTTCTATTTTCTTACCATCATTATACTTACTTTTTTTCCCAATTTTATTCTCTTGTTTGCTTCGCCAACCTCAATTTACTTTGTTCTTGCTGTTCACTGAGAATTAGGTTTAGATGTATTTTGTATGTAAAAAGTTGGCTGTGTGGATATTAAATTCATCTCGCATGAATTTCTTAGTCCATCCCCATTCTCATAGCAGCAACTACCTCTGCTTCCCTTCTTTAATAAAGTCTCCTGGAAATGAGTCTCTCTGCTCTGACAGGGTTAGTGGCGCCATCTTTGTGGTTGATCCAGTTCTCCTTTAGAAACTGGCTATTAATCTCCCTGCTCTTCGCTGGCATTTTAATTCTCTCCCTCTTGTATATTCTCTTTCTTCTGCTTTAAAATATGGCACATTTTCCCACATCTCCTATCATAAAAAAAACTCTGTCACCTTTTATGATACTACCCTATAAATCTCTTGCCTTCATCGTATCATTTTGAAAGAGTGGTCTACAACTTATTTTGCTACTAACTTAAGTTTAGGTTTTAAAAATATATTACCCGCATTCGTTTTATAAATAAAGGAAATCCGAATTCAATGTCCAATTCACTCTTAAGATAATAAGAACCCTGAACTAACCATAAGGGTGTTTTGGTAAACATACTGAAACGGGGCACCTAATTACAAATTCAATGTTTCCTTTGCAGTCTTCATTCTGCTTGAAATATTGACAGCACTTGACATATTAATTACACATTATTACTGCTTATAAACCTATTATTTAGCATCTAGATACTTGTTAAGCTAGGAGAGTTTTGTAATCATTGACTCCTTCCAATTCCCAAAGCCCAATATTCAATCAATCACTAGTCATACCTGATCAGAAAGTATAACAGAGTATAAATTTTCAAGTAAAAAAATGTAAATAGAAATTATTCAAAAAAGTGTAGGGAAAAGAAGGGATGTGATGTTGCTTGGATGAATAATGCAAAAGCACAAAGAGAAATACAATTATAGAGTCCAGGAACCTGGTGCAACTTGGGCTTTTTCTGCCGAAGTCTGTGCTCCAAATCAGTTCTGATGCTGCCAGGATGCCTTCATAGAAACTTTGAAGCCTTGACTACAGAGGTCACAGTCTCCTCCAAAACCCAGAAAAGAGTCACTTCTCTTCTACTTTGTACATATTCAGATCTCCTACTAGTGCCTCCCATTGGCAGTTCACAACTAGAAGTAAGTTGGCAAAAAGCTTGAAAAATATAATTTGTGTGATCCCAGATTCTTACAAACAGTAAAGGGTCCTAGTGATTGGGAGAAGTAGGGAACGTAGAACCCAGGTTGCTTGGAAAAGTTTAGGGGGCAAAAAAAAAAAAGGAATATAAAGTCGTTCAGGGTAAAATACTACTCTCCACTTCTAACCCAGGCAGATCATTTTATAGACTGCTCAAGATGAAAGAGTTGGGAGCAAAAAGGCATATGACACACACAATCAATCACTCACTATTACTCATCGCTTATTCATGTCTCTTCTTCCAATCACAACACTTGTTTCTCTTTATATTCTAGATTGTATGCAATAATAAGATATCATGCTTCCCTTTAAAGTGATGCAACTGTGGTTTGCATAAGACACTATCTCCCTCTTCCAAAGCAGATAGGCATAGTGTCATTACCCTCTATATTAGCTCTGACCATGTTAATTCCCCTTTGAGTTCACTTACAATTCCAACCTGAATATTTTGTAATGCAAATTTGTAAAGATAACATCAACATTGACTCTATGGAAATAAAATTAGGGAGTGGAGGGTGAAAGGATTTAATGGTTTATACATATGTGTATGTTGCTTCAGCTCATTTCTGAATGGACCATAGTTGTTTGCTGCTTCATTCTTCCACTGCCTATTCCATGTTGCTGTTTTCCTCAGTCAGTATTTCAGCTATTTGGTGTTAATCACCTGTTGGAGTCACAAAATTTTTATTCCTAAAGCTTTCAGTCATTACTGATTTTTGCTGTAGAGGACTATGAAAGTGACTAAAGGCTGATCTCACCAGCTTGCAAAGTTATGATTATTCTGCAACCAATAAAATTTTTTGCCAGAACATTTTAAAACTCTCAATTTTGCTTATAAACATATAGAAAACTGAAAAAAATAAAAATAACGTGTTTAATACATCATAATTTAAAACATTCGATACATTGAGAATTAAAGTGTTTTATTTCTTTGTAAAATCTCATCAAGAGCAGTTTGAACAGTGCTTGCCTTCCTCTCATTACATAATTTAGAGATGGAGTGGTCATCTTATCTATGTCTTGGTAAATTGTCATACTTCTTTTTGGGTTTGTCTCAGCTTACAGAATTTTATATTTTACACTTTCAATGTCATGGGATATCTCTGAAAGTTCTTTTAATACGGAACTTCCCCAGGGATATCATCATACTTTTCATCACTTTCCTTTTTGTATAAGTTACTTCACCTTTGCTGTGTATTCCTCTGTCCACATATTCAGGGTCTTTCCCATGGCAGTAGCGTCAATATTCAGGTATTTCTTCTTTAACTGTACTGATGTCTTATTCAATTTTCCAGGGATATCACTTTTTATTCCTTTGTTACACTTTCATCTAAGCTGGCCAGTTCCCTCTTAATTATCAATTGTTGTCAATATCCAAATAGGTTTATCACTGGGAGGCAAAGAGGCAATGTAACTATTTTCTTTCCTGTCTGAACATGAACTACATAAGAGTTTCATTGACCAAACATCAATAGACTTTGAAAAAAGTAACATGACTGGTCACTGATCATAATGTCCATCTGTTATTTACATAGTTATTTGTGAATTGAAGAACTAGCAGTGAAGATTATATGTCATACAATTACTCAAAGTTAGTATGCCATGGTTCTCGGAATTTGAACTGTGTTGTTAGGGGACTGGTGTTTAAGTAAACCATGGTGACTGAAATTTGTGCATATTGAAGCCATACAAAGTGAGGACAATCTGTACATATTGCTTCCATTTAACAATGGAATGCTGTGGCACATCACGTTATTTATGACTTTCTGTATCAGACAACACCCAGTTCATAAAGAGCAGTCCAGTTTGCAGAATTTTAGATTCCTGCTCGGGCCCAATGACAAGCCAAAAGCTTTTTCTTAAAAATAGAATAGTTATTTGCATAAAATTCACAGTTTTGCTCAAAATCCTAGAGCTCTGACATATTGAGACTTGCTAGAGACTCTATACAACTCCCTAAAATCTTCCATTTGCCTTCTTTTCTGTAACTCCACAGTCTTGCATTGTTTCCACATGCTGACAATTTTAGTGCAGTATCTCTTAATTTGCGACTTTAAAAGAAAGGCCAGCCTCCTAAAGATGTTCTCTGCCTGCAATATTTTCAACTCTCATATTTACAACATAGTGGAGTATATAAAATGAAAATCTGACCATGTAAATTTTCTGCATAAAATCTGTCAATGTTTCCTTATAACTGTTAGGACAAAACCAAACTTCCTTAGCATAGAATAGAGGGATGACCATCGTATGACTTCTCTTTAATTTGTTTAGTCTCACCTCTACCCAGCCCCCTTTCCTAGATTCTATGATCCATTTACTCTGAACAACCTAAGGGTACCTAAATGAATTCTGATTTTCTTACTCCTAATGTTTCCTTATGGGGCTCTCACTCTTTCAAACCTCCAGCTTTACCTGCACAATGTTTTTTAACAATAATCCTGATAACACGTCTTTGGGCATGCCTTCTATGACCCACCTAGTTGGAATAATTATTGTCTCCTAATTAACTATAACTATTTTAAAAATTTAGTTAATTTTGTTGTGCTTTATTTTTTACTTGCTTTATTCCCTACTTTTTTGTGTCTCCCTCTGCTTTTTGATAAGTAAATATATTTATTTTTGTCCCCTAAGGCTTAGTTTTTTCAATCTCTTTAAAATATTTTATCTTTCATGACAGCATTCTTTTTTATTTTCTTCCTTTGTCTTTGGTCACTGCTATCTATCATTTTAAGTATCTAATGTTCTCTTGTAACTATTTCATTGTATTGGTTTTACACAGGTTCTGACCAAAGCTCTTCTGCTATGTTTATGTGTTCTTTTGCTACCACATTGAATCCTCATGCATTAAGAATTATCTTGGAATTGCTGCTTCCTAAATCTATGCCTTCACTCCCAAAACTCTTCAGATATCCCAAGTGATATTCATAGCTGTTTATTTGAAATATTTAATGTCACAACAAATTTGTTTAAAAAATTTTATTTGTACATATTTATGGGGTACCTGTGATATTCTGATACAAGCATACAGTGTGTAATGATCAAATCAGGGTAACTGCGGCATCCATCACCTTAAGTATTTATCATTCCTTTGTGTTTTGAACATTCAAATCCTACACTTTTAGTTATTTTGAAATATACAATAAATTATTATTAACTATAGTTGCCCTTTCATGCTACCAAACACTAGCTCTTATTCTTTCTAATTGTAGTTTTATATCTATTAACCATCACCCCCTTTGCCTTCA
Organism: Homo sapiens; assembly: GCF_000001405.40. NCBI lineage: Eukaryota > Metazoa > Chordata > Mammalia > Primates > Hominidae > Homo > Homo sapiens. The sequence goes on from NC_000004.12 coordinate 65,828,303, forward strand.
TTATTCTTCCTAGCCTCTATTAACCATCATTCTACTGTCTATCTCCATAAGTTTCAACTGTCTCTTTCTGTCATATCTGACTCTAATTACAACAAATTCATTACATGCAGAAATAAATACTTCTGTCCCTTACAATTTATTTATTCTACTAATGTTAAGTAATAGCATAGTCACTCATTTGATTTTTTGGAGTCATTTATTCTTGACATTTTTCACTTAGTTAAATAAGTTTAACTCATGAAAAAAAAGAGCATATTCTATTTCCTATACAACATGCAAAATTACAGTAATAAAGAGTTGAAAAATATCAAAACACCTGCACTTAAAGTAATCAGAAAAGCAGCAAAAGTGCTTTAGAGAAAAAAGGTTTTCAACGAAATGCCCAGTTATTTGTTATCGAAAGACAAGTGGTCATCAACATCTTCAGAGAGGAGATACAACTTAGATGTTAAGAGTTTCCCAAGTGGATTAAACTATATATGGATAACCAAAGAGATGCGAAAAAATATGTAATGTTTCTTGATCTTCCTAACTCCAACAGATGTCCAAATATGTTGAAATAATACCTTCAAAGCTTCTCTATATTCATTGCCTGCCTTCTATAAGAATCAGAAGTCCTTGCTCCAGTTGTCATTATATTTCCTAACATTTAGTTTTACTCCATTCTCTTCTATCCTAAATGCTTAGAGCAACAACTTTAAAACTGTTATGTCATTTTTCTTGCATAAAAATAATGAACAGCTCCTAATTTCTACAAGACAAATGCAAATCATTTATATGATATGGACGTTTATACACAGCATCATAGCCTCTTCTCTTGTATTGCCATCAAAAACACATTGAAAAATAGGGATCCATGGTGAGAAGTGCTTGGGATTTGGAGAAAAAAAAGAAAAAAGAATAAGCGGTGACCTGGTGACTCTGTGACATGACATTGGACATGCAAAACTTGCTCTTTGCAGCTTCTCTTTTTCTCTCTATTTATCTCTATTTATTAGATATTTTTCATCTGTCTATCCTATTGCCTTATATTTGCTTTTCTCTGAGATGCTTCTAGTCTTCTTAAGCTTATTTTCATTTATATTTTAAGATTTCATTGAATTCTTGTGAACTATGGTACATTCATGCTACAAATTATTATTGATTTTTTTCTTATTTTCTTGATACAACTACTTAAGTTTTTCTTTGTGTAGTATTTTACTATAAAATAATGGTCCTTATTACGTTGTATTATAATTGTGTATTTACTTATCATTTTTTGTATGGTAATTAAGCTCCTTGACACAGAACACCTCTCTAACTTAGGATAATACCTGGTTCATTGTGTATGTTCAGTAAATACTTGTTGACTAAGAAAACAAAGCTTTGACCTAAACTACTTTTATAAATCAAATATACATTTTTATATAAAACTCTTGGAGAAGAATTGTAACAATTCTGTATGCTACACATTCCCTGAGAGTGTTTACTAACCTAATCTATCATAGACTTTCCCTTCCTCATGGTTGTAACCATTAAAACAAATTCTCTGAAATATTATGCTTAATTTTTCCTATCAGCAGTAGTCACAAGCTGATTCAGATGATAAAGATGAGCCAGTACTTCAATGTGGGAGTAATCACAAGAACATTTTCCTGGAAGGCTTTCACTCACTAACGTTTCTCTTGACATCTTAGGTCATTTTTCTAAAGAATCATCAATCTACACAAGTGCATATTTCCTTGCCTACAAAACTGATTTAATTATTTAATTGAGTCAGTGTAACTGTCTATGTTCAATAAGTTTCTTAATCTTAGTTTAAATTTAATATGTTATCTCTTCAATTCTATATGTTACTTATGTCTTCAAATCAGATTTCCTGGAATAATGTTATACTTTGAGATTTATCTTTCAAGAAATAGGAGCCCTTAATTGTTACTCTATTATGCATCAACCAGCTTAGTAATAAATTGATCTCTTGTCAGATCAATTGTAAATAAAATATTCCATTCATATAGGAAAAGCCCCTTATTCTTAACATTTAGTATGTTTTCTTGGCTTTAAGTTATTTTATTTACTGTTACAAATGTAGTTCTATGAATAACTGTGTAATAGAATAGCCATTTCAGTGAATTGAATCATCACTTCAGGAAGGCAACTGATTGACATTTTTGGTGACTATCTTTTTAAAAAAATGATGTAATCAATACAATATTCTGTGACCATATCTATGAATGTGAACTATAAGAAAGAATGTAATTATTTAAATAAATTGACACATTTCCTTTTTTTTTTTTCTTTGAGACGGTCTCGCTCTGTCTCCCAGGCTATTGCACAGTGATGCAATCGTGGCTCACTGCAAACTCAAACTTCTGGCCTCAAACAATCCTCTTGCCTCAGCCTCCAAAATTGCTGTAGTTATAAGCATGAGCCACTACACACACCCACATTTATTTTTAAAAGCAATAATACATTTTAATATATTATTTTTACCCATTTTACTAGCAATAAACATTCTTAATAAGAAAGTGAAAAGAATATTGAATTAGTTAACGAGTAGAGAGACTACAAATGAATAAAAAGAACAGCAAAGCTCTGTTGATTACTTGAAAATGAGAAAAATTGCATTGTCTTTACAGATAATATATCATTTATCACGTTATTAGTTTGTACTATTTCCTTTTGCCAATGCCTAATTCAAAAATATTTCATGAGTGCCTCATTCTTGTAAGTACTCTGTTTTGTATTATAGGGTATGCAATTACCGATAAGAAATTAACACTATTTAGAAGAAGCTCTATTTTAGAGGGTATATTAATGGTAATATTATTCTGTTTTATAAGAAAAAAAGAATTTTTTTTTGCATTAGGGAATAGGGAGATGATTTTTCTGTACCATTCTGCTAGATCTATTCTTTTCCAAAGCTTCAGAGATACAAGGATAACAATGTGCTAATTAATTGGGAGTCATAAACATATGTTCTCAGTATAAAAGTTCAGTCCTAATACATACCAAGCTCCAAGAGCACTTGGCACAAATTATATCATTAGCACTAACATTGACTTTGCATATATCACTCTTATTCCTCATATTTTTCTCTTTGCATATAGAGGAGTTAAGCACAGTATAGCTGCTTACATGGTTGTAAGTGTGTATGTGTGTGTATGTGTACATGGCAAAGAAATATTATTTTTAATATAGTTATCCTTTATATGAACATTCTCTTCACACAAGGATGGTGAGTGAATTTATAATGCAGTTAACACAGTATTGATAAACACATTACTTTAGTAGACTTTTTTTTAACTTTTGATACTTATTGTGCTCTCTTCTTCCTTGAATTTATTGAATCATTTTATTTCTAACTCACTTATAACACTAAATATATCTTACAATACCTTATAATTAAGTAAATACAAATTATTAGTTATGTACTCAATATAATAAGATTTAAGTGATATCCTAGATACTGTCATCCAGCCTTCTATATATCTCAGGTATATTTCTTACACTGAAGATGCTCCAGTTAAAACTGTTGATTGCTATTTCCTAAGGTGTTAGCCTCAAATCTCTATGTACTTCCATTCTTTGGCAAACATATCTGAGGTGCAATTAAGCCATGAAAAATATTCTTGTCTCTGAAAACAAGATCAATCTAAAGCCAAACTTAAATAATATTTTATATGATTTACCTTTCCTGTGAGTCATGTTTTCATTTGGCCGTTTAGTGTTGAAAGAGGTTAAAAGGATGCACCGGGCTATCTTATTACACAGCCTCCCCGGAAAATGAGTCTGAAAGAGATTAGCAATACAAGCCATTTCAAAGTACCATCCGATTCGAAAATAACACCTAAGCCAAGCCAGAAAAATATTCCTCTCATTAAGCAGAACTCCCAGGCCTAATCCCAGAGAATAATGATCAGGCGTTGATCCAAGTGAGAATTATTACTCTTTGGGCAGGAAGAAAGGAAAAGACTTGTATTCCCATCCAAGGCTAGAATACTTCACTCAAAGTCTTCTATGATATGTGAAATTTCTTCTGTTCAGCTTCGATATCTGAATGCATAGATTTTCCCTGGAAGAGGAGATCATAACCTCAGAAACATTACGCCACACCTTAAATAAACCACATTTCTAGCCCTTGGCATTATTCCTATGATTCGACATAAGATCAATAGGATGGGTAACTCAGCATCTCAAGAACGTATGTGATTGTTTTTTAGATGCTACCCTAAAATATAGGAAATGTGTCAATACATTATTAAAATTAAGTATGCCTAAAGCACATAAATATTCAGGTAAGGATATACAACATGGTTTAATTCACTTCTCAAATTATTCATAGGTATAGTCAGATTTGCCAATGTTATAATGTGTATCTTAAATTAGTCTATCTTACTCAATTTTAATAATATAAACAATGCAAAATTTGTTCTACGTATTTCAAGTTTTAGCAATATGAGGGCACGTTAGTCTTTTACAGAAAATGAAGTCCCCAAGTATAACAAAAATACTAATATATGTTTCCTTTTCTTTATATTTTTCTTTTTCTGCTTATTCTGGCCAAATTCTTTATAGTATGAGTAATTTTGAACTTGCTTTCGAAGATTTGTATATGTTTGGTTCACAAAACTGTCAAAGACTTTAGAAGAAAAGTAAAATACAGGCCAATAATTTGCATAAACATTGATGCAAAACTCCTAAACAAAGATTGCCACTCCAAAACCACGGATGTTTGGGTGTTTGGGTGTGTGTGTATGTGTGTGTGTCTGGTGTGTGTATTACACATTTTATATATATACAATATATGTATATATTCTCAAGAATAATGTTAAGTTGCCAAAGTTGCCTTAGCACTAGGCAATGAATAAGGGTAATTCATGATATTAAGAAAATAGGGAAAAGTCATATGACTATTTTAATAGATGCAGAAATATAACTTAATCAGTTACCTATTTATAACCAAAAATCTTAGACAAGGAATAGAAGAACACTTCCTTAACCTAATAAGGTATGACTAAAAGGAAATACAAAGGGAAAACAAAAGAAATCATGAGTTGCAGGACTTTTTTCTGAAATAAGGTTTTCCTTCGGAATGTGTGTTTCTTCTGTAATCACATACATTTAACATTTGATCAGAATTTCCAACTAGTATAAAGTAAGATAACTAGATAAATGTGTAGGTATTGGAAATAACTACATAAATTTGCCATTGTTCATAATTGGCATGATTTTTAATGTAGAAAACAAAAAAAGAGAATATAGATTAACTGTTGTAACTAGTAAGTAAATTGGCAAGTTTTCTAGAAATAAATCGTTTTCTTCACACAAATAAATAGAAAATGAAACTAATGAAAGATATACAACTTAACACATCACCAAAAGTTGAAATGTCTGAGAATAAAAGAAAAAAAGTTGTATATATTTATATATACAAACACAACTCTCTGTGGAGACAATTTCAAAGTAAGCCCCAATAAATGGAGGATCATGCCACGTTTTTTGGATTGGAAAAGTTTATGTGAATATGTTAATTCTGCTCAAATTTTCTGAATATGTGATGCAACTCTAATCAACATCCTAACAGATATTTTAGTGAAAATTTAAAGGTTATTTAAAAATTTGTATAGAAATGCAGAGGTCAAAGTCTATCCAAGAAAATCTTGAAGAACAACAATGAAGGACTGACATTCCTAGATATCAAGACTTGGAATAAGCTACATTAATTTTAACAGTGCATTATTTCACTTTATATTTATCTTTGGCTTATTATTATTGCCTGTATTTAAACTTTTTTTAGTAGTTTTCATAGGGTTTAAACTATAAATTTTTAATCACATCTGTATTAGTCTGTTTTCATACTGCTGAAAAGAACTGCCTTAGACTAGGTGATTTATAAAGGAAAGAGGTTTAATTGACTCACAGTTCAGCATGGCTAGGGAGGCCTCAGGAATCATGGGGGAAGGTGAGGGAAGAGCAAGGCACCTTCTTCACAAGGTGGCAGGGAGGAGAAGTGCTGAACGAAGGGGAAAGAGGACCTTATAAAACCATCAGGTCTCATGAGAACTCACTCACTGTCATGAGAACAGCATGGAGGAAATCACCCCCAGGATTCAATTACCTCCACCTGGTCTCTTACTTGACATGTGGGGATTGTGAGGGTTATGGGGATTACTGTTCAAGATGAGATTTGGGTGGGGACACAGAGCCTAACCATATCGACATCCCACCTTCGAATAGTATTAAATACCTCCTAATGGGCGATATAGGAAACTTACCACCTTATGCTCCTAATTCCTCCCTCCTATATGTTGTGTTATTGTTGTCATACATTTTACTGTTACATATGCTGTACATAACACAGTATACTTTTACTATTTTTGCTTTATACATTAATTTTAGGGCAATTAAAATAAATGTCTTAAAATATATTTTTTCCTTTGTTTTAATCATTTCCAAAGATTTTATGTCTTTTTGTAAATCCAAGTTTCTGTCTGGTATTATATTCCTCCTTCATGAAGAAGTTTAAATTTTTTTATAGTGAAAGTCTACAGGAAATTGATTCTATCAGTTTCTTTGTTTCAAAATATCTTTATTTCATTTTTGAAAGGTATTTTTGCTGACTTGACAGTTTTGAGTTATTTTTCACCACTTTAAAGATGTCATCTGTTGTCTTCTGTCTTCATATACACCTTGGGGAAAATATGCTTTGCTAACCCTTTCCAGCATCTGAAGACTTTTATTTTTTGGGGGTGATGGCTTTGGGCAGGTATCCATTCCTTTTATGAATCTGTGGCTGCACTTATCCTTTATGAGTACATCAACAAAGCAAGGCTTCTTTTCTCTTACACTCTACCCAGTCCCTCTCATGACCTTGACATATGTCAATTGAGAAGAACCTGCAAAGTGGGTATAAGAGCCCCTTATGTCATTGGCTCCATAGTTTCTCTATTCTCATTCTAGCCCACACTTAGCCTCTAGAAATTTGTAAGGAGAAAGAAAAGAAAAGAAAAGAAAAGAAAAGGAAAAGAAAAGAGAAAAACCATAGATGGATTATCCTTCTTTACCCTGTTATATGGTTTCTATCATATTTTCCTACAATTGCACTCCTACAGGTCAGCCAGAGCTCAGGCTGTCTCTCCTTGGAGGGTCTTAGATGTCAGGTTACTTGGTTGCCCTATAATCTCTTCTCTCAAATGGCTTCAAAGAGCTTTTTCTTGTTGTTAGATTTGGAATGATGCAATTTTTGGCAGTCTACATCCTAGGCAAAAGGTGGCTCTCTCAATCAATATATTATTTATCACGAACAATACAAAGATCTTACAGTGTTTTACCTCTGAATGTTTTAACCTTTTCCCAGCTTATGTGATATTACTTTGTACTATTACATCTATCTCTTTTGAAGTCCACAAATAAAATATTTTTATTATTGCTGTAGGTAATTTGTTTATTTAGATACCCTAAAAAGAAATGTTAACCACTAGGTTTATGTCCTAAGTTTTCTCACACATCAAACCTTCTTTAGTTTTATTAAAGCACATTTTTTTGCTTTTCTTTTTTTTTTTTAATTATACTTTAAGTTCTGGAATACATGTGCAGAACGTGCAGGTTTGTTACACAGGTATACATGCACGGTGGTGGTTTGCTGAACCCATCAACCTGTCATCTACGTTAGGTATTTCTCCTAATGCTATCTCTCCCTCCCCTAGCCCTCCTCCCCACGACATGCCAAGGTGTGTGATGCTCCCCTCCCTGTGTCCATGTGTTCTCACTGTTAAACTCTCACTTACGAGTGAGAACATGCAGTGTTTGATTTTCTGTTCCTGTGTTAGTTTGCTGAGAATGATGGTTTCCAGCTTCATCCATGTCCCTGCAAGGGACATGGACTCATCCGTTTTTACAACTGCATAGTATTTCATGGTGCATATATGCCACAATTTCTTTATCCAGTCTATTATTGATGGACATTTAGGATGCTTCCATGTCTTTGCTATTATGATCAGTGCTGCAATAAATATGAGTGTGCATGTGTCTTTATAGTAGAATGATTTATAATCCCTTGATTATATACCCAGTAATGGGATTGCTGTGTCAAATGGCATTTCTGGTTCTAGATCCTTGAGGATTTGCCACACTGTCTTCCACAATGGTTGAACTAATTTACACTCCCATGAACAGTGTAAAAGAGTTCCTATTTCTCTGTATCCTCTGCAGCATCCGTTGTTTCCTGACTTTTTAATGATCGCCATTCTAAATGGTGTGAGATAGTATCTCATTGTGGTTTTAATTTGCATTTCTCTAATGACCAGTGATGATGAGCTTCTTTTCATAAGTTTGTTGGCCACATAAATGTCTTCTTTTGAGAGTGTCTGTTTATACCCTTCACCCACTTTTTGATGGGGTTGTTTGCTTTTTTATTGTAAATTTGTTTAAATTCTTTGTAGATTCTGGATATTAGCCCTTTGTCAGATGTATAGACTGCAAAAATTTTCTCTCATTGTGTAGGTTGCCTGTTCACTCTTTTGATAGTTCATTTTGCTCTGCAGAAGCTCTTTAATTAGATCCCATCTGTCAGTTTTGGCTTTTGTTGCCATTGCCTTTAGTGTTTTAGTCATGAAGTCTTTGCCCATGCCTATGTCCTAAATGGTAATGCCTAGGTTTTCTTCTAGGGTTTTTATGGTTTTGGTCTTACATTTAAGTGTTTAATCCATCTTGAATTAATTTTTGTATAAGGTGTAAGGAAGGAGTCCAGTTTCAGTTTTCTGCATAGGGCTAGCCAGTTTTCCAGACACCATTTATTAAATAGGGAATCCTTTCCCCATTGCTTGTTTATGTCAGGTTTGTCAAAGATCAGACAGTTGTGGATGTTCGGTATTGTTTCTGAGGCCTCTGTTCTGCTCCATTGGTCTATATATCTGTTTTGGTACCAGTACCATGCTGTTTTGGTTACTGTAGCCTTGTAGTTTGAAGGCAGATAGTGTGATGCCTCCAACTTTGTTCTTCTTGCTTAGGATTGTCTTGGTTATATGGGCTCTTTTTTGGTTCCATATGAAATTTAAAGTAGTTTTTTCTAATTATGTGAAAAAGTCAATGGTAGCTTGATGGGGATAGCATTGAATCTATAAATTACTTTGGGCAGTATGGCCATTTTTATGATATTGATTCTTCCTATCCATGAGAATGGAATATTTTTCCATTTGTTTGTGTCCTCTCTTATTTTCTTGAGTAGTGGTTTGTTGTTCTCCTTGAAGAGGTCCTTCACATCCCTTGTAAGTTGTATTCCTAGGTATTTAACTCTCTTTGTAGCAATTGTGAATGGGAGTTCACTCATGATTTGGCTCTCTGTTTGTCTATTATTGGTGTATAGGAATGCTTGTGATTTTTGCACATTGATTTTGTATGCTGAGACTTTGCTGAAGTTGCTTATCAGCTTAAAGAGATTTTGGGCTGAGACGATGGAGTTTTCTAAATATACATTCATTTATAGGACTGTATTCTTTTTCGTGAATTTGTTGATAGTAAATATAGATTATGTTTGTTTCAAACTTATTTTATTTAATATTACCCATTATTTTAAAAATACAGTTTCAGTAGTATTCAATTGAAGGTTTAAAGTTATTTTCCTTGAACACTTTTAAAGATTTCACTTATTTCTGGCTTCCATTATTGTATCAAGAAGTTTGAGATCAGTCTAAATACTTTTTTTTTATAGGCGTGATACTGTGAAATATATATTTGGTCTTCATCCCTGTTTCCTGACAGACAGGTGGCTCCTAAATTCCTTGGGATCTTCCAGAGTAATAAGAGTGTATTTGATATGCCAATGAGATGACTGGTGAATGGCAGCTCCTAGGTAACTTCAGGATGGAGGCTGCTCGAAGAAAGGCCAAGTCATCATTAGAGGGTTAAGACTTTCGGCCTTACCAGAGAGGGAAGGTGGGCTGAATGTTAAGCTGATTACTAATGACTGATGATTTAATCAATCATGCCTACATAATGAAGCTTCCATAAAAACTTCAAAATACAGGATTTGAAATGAGCTTCCAGAAATCTGACCATGTGGAGATTCCTGGAGAGTGGCATGCCTGGAGAGGGCATGGAATCTCCATTTCCCATCCCATATAACCTCACCCTATGCATCTCTTCATCTGTATCCCTTCTAATAACTTTTACAATAAACCAATAATGATAAGTAAGTGTTTCACTGAGTTCTGTGAGCTAGTTTGGCAAATTGTTCAAAGCTGGGAGATAGTTTGGGAACCCCAACTTACAGCAGATAGGTTAAAAGCACAGTTTAAACAACCTGCACTTGCAACTGGCATCTGAAGTCATGGGGCAATTTTATGAGGCTGATCCTCAAACTGTGGGTCAGTCTGACACTATCTGATGCTATCTCTAGGCAGATAGTGTCAAAATTGAATTGAATTAGAGGACACCCAGCTGGTGTCTGTGGCAGAACTGATTTGGTTGTTGGCGTGTTGGAGAAATTCTCACATAATTTTTGGTAGCCAAAGGTCACAGAAGTTTTCTGTACTGATTGTGTTGTGAGAGTATACTGGAATAAATGTTTTTTCCTATATCCTTAATAGGTAATCAATATTTTATTTCAGACTATTTTAATGTATTTTCTTTAATTTTTTCCAACAGTTTTACTAGTGTATGTCTAGTTGTTGTTGTTTTTATCCTGTCTGTCATTAAATCCTCAATATAATAAATCATGTCTCTCACAAATTTTGCAAACTGATCATCTGCTTAACTATCACTTTAATTAGGTTTTTAACATTGCCACGTTAATTTAGGACTATACACATATAAGAGAGCAAAAGTTTTATGTATAGGTTTTTATTAGGTCACAATTTTATATTCAGAATACATAGTAGGGAAGAAAATCACATATCACAAATAAAGAGATACCCAGGAGGAGGAAAAAATTTACTTCTGTATTTACCTTTCTCAGGATGGTAGGTCACTTTCAGGCTATGTTCCCTATCATCTGAAGGGATACAGCACCAACAGTGGAGATAGATTGAGTTTTCTTTCCTCTGAGACAGTCAGGGAAATACATTGCAAGCTAAGCTAGGGAGAAAATAACTCATTATTCATAGCATAGTGTCATACACTCTGTAGGCTTTCAACAGTATAATTGATGATGATGATGATGTGACAGTCTTATGTGTATTTCTCTTTAGTCCTTGACATTATAGCTTTCATTATTCTGCCTACATGTAACAAAGTAAACTAGAGAGTCAGTCATATACACTGGAATTTCAGAAGGAAAAAAGATGTCAGATTTCAAAATAATAATTCTTTCCTTCTGGATTTCTCCTTTATTCAAAACCACTCTCCCTGACAGCTTTTCTCTTTATTATTCCTTTATAGAAATCATCCCTGATTGCAATGAGCTCTGTCTCCAATTTTTTGTGACAGGCATCTGAGAATTATGGCACTAGCATTTACCCTCTTGTTCACTTCAAACTGTTCCTTCTGTTCTTGGAATAACGCAGAAAATATGATGTTTGAGCAATGCAGGCTTAAAGGACACAGGCAGTTTCCACTGATGTCAGTGGTAGCGACCTCTAGTTCTTGAAAGAAAGGTCTTACCCTTTATACCATTTCTAATACCAGTATGGGCCCTCCTTAAAAGCTGAACAAGGAGAGGACTCATAGAATTAAGGAATTTCAAAACTCACACAGACCCTGAGATTTTATTCCAATCTTTTAATTTTGTGTATTAAGAAACCAAGTCTACAAGAATTTCTATGTGCTCAAAGCCACACATTTATTTCGTTGCTGAAATTCTTGTTCTATACATCATTAAAAAACCAATTAACACATCAATTTTGTATACAGTCCTCTTCTTCAACATAAATCAATTAGTGTGAAGCTGTGTAATATAGAAAATATAATTTAGAGGTTTATTTTTTTAAAAAGAGGAAGAAAAATGAGCTATTTAGCTTATTGCTGCCAATGGCTTAATTTGGCCAGTGAGCAGTAAGAAGCAGGGTTTGGCATTGACTGCTACTCAACCATTTCTCTCACAACATTTGTCCTGGATTTTTCCCAGGGAAACTGAACAATAGATCATAGATTTTGGGATATTGTTTCTTACTCTTGTCAATTTGTCAGCATGGGTTTTTGAAAGATACAACTTATAAATGTGATACAATAATAATTTTTTTAATTTCAGCAAATTTAAGCTCTACATATGGCACATTTCTTTTTCTATTCTATCTGTCATCTGTGTCTTAGAGATGGTGAGTTCTATATTTTATGAAATAAAAGAATCAGATAAACTTTTTCATAATAAGAACAAGTAATTCATAATCCTAATCTTGGGTATGTTTGTATTTCAAAGGAAGCCTAGAGGGAGAAACTTTCTATCTAAATAATAAAACTTCAGATGACAGTATCCTAAGTCTACTGGCTAATCTGCCTGTAGGGTCATCTAGGGCAGAGGGTTTTATTTTTGCTTCCTATTATTACTAAATAATTGCCAACCTTTCATAAGTCATCATTGATTGTATCCTTGAAAATGTTGCTATGTTTTAGTTTTCTAGTATGCCACTTAAAAGTTAAAATGGCTACCTTCATTTGTGGGACAGTTGATAACACACTCATTATTCCCTCTCACCTTTCAAATGATCAAACACATTAACTTTAGTTCATTTTTTATATTTTTCGGTTTTAGGCATCAGCTATTGATTTAGTTCTTTAATACTCCCACCACTTACACAAACACTGAACACTGGTATCTCCTCCCCCTTTCTGTCAGTGCAGCTGGAATTTTGAGTTAGATTAATGTTGAGTGTGTATATCTTATAAATATGTAAACACTATTCTCAACCAAACCATACAATATATAATATTATTCCATTTCTTTTCTTGCACAATTTTTTAATGTTTTAATTTTTACTCTATTAAAATGTTTTTTGGAGGCAGAATTTCACTCTGTTGCCCAGGCTAGAGTGCAATGGTTCAGTCATGACTCACTGTAGCCTCGTGTCCTGGGTTCAAGTGATCCTCTTTTCTCAGCTTCCTAAGGAGCTGGGGCCAAATGTGTGAGTCACCCTGCCTGGCAGTTTTATATTTTTATTTTTTTGCAGAGATGGGTCTCACTATGTTGCCCAGGCTGGTCTCAGACCTCTGGACTCAAGCGATCCTCCCAGCTTGGGGTCCCAAAGTGTTGGTTGGGATTACAGGCATGAGCCACCACACCTGGCCTATTTTTCTTTCCCACTTTTTAAAAATTACCAATGTGGCTCTCTGTGTTCTTATCATGACTGCCTCCCCAAACATTTTAGCAAATACTCACTTAGGCTTGACTAGGTGCCAAGTAATTTTCAAATGCTTTACAAATATTCATTAAAAAACTTTGAGATAGATAGTATGATTATCCTCATTACATAATTAAGAAGCACATGGTTAAGTATCATGTCTGGGTCAAATTTATGGTTGATAAGGACAATCTGTCAATTGTATTTATAGCTAAATAAGTTCAAAATTTAAATATTAAACTAACTTTATAGAGATAAAATAAAATTTATTATAATTTGGAAAGAAAATACAAATTTTATCAATACTTAATTCTTCATGATTTTGTTATTTATTCTACCAGGACAACTTGAGCAACTAAATAGAGAGTGAGAAAGTCAGAGGACTCAAGTATTCAATTCCGTGGGTTATTATCTTTCTCTGGGTATTTCAGGAGCATAGAAATGAACTTTATACAAAATTAGAGCTTCATCGAACTATTCTTGAATAGCTAAATATCTCATCACCTGGGAAATTTATACTGCTATTATTCTTTCATAGTAAAAGTAACATAAAACTGAACATCTGTTGACTTTTTCTGAGGACTGAGATCACTCACCCTGTCATCAGTATTGAACTACAAGAGTAATAGAAATAATATATCTACAAATCCACTACAAAGATTAAATAGATATTAATAATTTTCTATAGTTATTTCAGATCCCTCTTTTCTCTCACTCTGTATGTCTGTAGCACTTAATGTAAAATTCAACACATAAAGTTGAAAACCAGCTTCTGTCTTTTCCAGAACTTTTCATCATCAATTTGAATTTATCCTTCAATTTGGTGTCTTCATATACGTAATAATTCTATATTTTATTGTTTTATGTGCATTTAAAAAATGTGCTATTTTATGGCATATACAGACTTATAACTTCATTTTATTTGTGCAACATTATGATTTTGAGATTTATTCATTTTTGTTCCTGTATTCTAGCTTATTAAAAATAAATCTGTATATATAAAATTTCATTTTATGATGAAATTATATTTCATTATTTTCTATTCTGAGATACATAGAGATTGCTTCCACTTTTTATATATAGGTAGGATATGTAAGGGCATAATTTGGCAAAGAAAGAACTAGGTCTTTGGCAAAATTCCATGACAAATAACAAACCCTCCTGTGATATAAAACAAAACATAAATACACACACACACGAGATCATGGAATAGGATTTCATGTAATAAGATTTCTTCCTTCTTTTATTTGTTCCATAAATATTTGGGAGCCTATCATTTTCAGGCACTACTTTAAGCACTTTGGATATGTCTTATTTAGTCTGAGCTCTTATAACAAATTACTATAAGCTTGGTGGCTTATAAACAACAGATATTTATTTCTTACTGTCCTGGAGGCTAGAAGCTTGACACCAGTATTCCAGCATGGTGGGGTTCTGCTGAGGGTCCTCTTCCAGGTTGCAGGCTGCCAAATTCTCATTGTGTCCTTACACGGTAGTAAGAGAGCAAGAGAGCTCTGTGAGTTCCCTTCTACAAGGGCACGAATCCTATTAATGAGGGCTTCGTCCTCATGATCTAATTATCTGTGAAAAACCCCAAATCCCATACCATTACACCAGGGGTTAGGTTTTCAACATATGAATTTTCAGAGGGGAAAAAATTCAGCTTATAATGGGATATATTAGTCAACAATACAAATATCTGGACTAAAGCCTAACATTAATCTAGGAAGTTCATATCTTCTTGGGATTTCTGAAACATGGAAACCCCTTATATTTTGGCCTTCTAGCTCCATTGGTCACTGCAAGTGTACAGTAGTTTTACATTTTCAAGAAATACAGAAGCTTTATTTATTTTTATAATAAAAACAAACCATTTTGAAATGCCTTGAAATAAAACTATCCAGTGGTGTCTACTGCATAGCAAAGACGGCATTATGGGTAAAGAAAATGGCAATGTTAAAATGGCAAAGGTAACCGAATGAATGTTGTGTCCTAGAAATTCCAAGTACTCCGGATTGACTGCAGCAGAGGAGACACGTATAAGGTTCTAATTGTAATAAGTTTGCAAACACAAATTGGGAGGCATTGTACAGTGTTGCCTTGATGATCAGTCTGGAGGTTGGCCACTGGTAAAGAACATTCTTCTTCCCTCTCCACCCACAAAAAACAGGATCTCACTCTGTCAACCAGGCTGGAGTGCAGTGGTGCGATCACAGCTCATCGAAGCCTCCAATCCAGGGCTCAAGCTTCAAGCAATCCTCCCACCTCAGTCTCCTGAGTAGCTGGGACTACAGGCACATGCCACCATGCCTGGCCAATTTTTGTATTTCTTCTGTAGAGAGAGATGGGTTTTGGCCATGGTGCCCCAGCAGGTTTTGAACTCTTGGGCTCAAACCATCCACCTGTCTCAGCCTCCAAAAGTGCTGGGATTACAGGCATGAGCCACTTTGCCTGGCCTATTTCTTCTTAATAAGGGGTAAAATATTTCTATTTATCAGTGTTGCTTAAGCTTTATTTATTTATATATTTTCTGTGTGAATTGTACAAAGGTAAATGTCAGCCTTACACTCTAAGAATTAATAAAATTATGATTTTTATATAAGTATAGTAATCTTTGAGTTCAGTTTATTCTAAAAATACATTAAGTAGACAAAGATTTATTTCACTTATTTTCATACCGATAAATTTCAAATGTTCCTATCCTTCTATATGAAACTGGACAAAGATATTATTGCCAAATATATACAGAAAAATAAAACTTCGGTGATAGAATTTTCTTACCCAAATATGTACTTGTATGTCTTCCTTCCCAAAAAGAGTGAGAAGAAAGAAACACAGAAAATATTAATTGCCATTTGTTGTTTTAATAAACATTCATTGAGTGTCTGCCCAAATTCTATTAAAGCCAATGTAAACATATTTTTCAACTTGTTGCTGACTCCTTAAGCCTGATTAGGTGGAAGAATGTTTATATTCACATTGACTGTGCTGGACATGAAGGAACCCACTTCAACCATCATAATGAAATAGAAAGTATTCGTGGATTATTGTTGTCATTCATACTGTTTGAACAATATTAATAAGAAAGAGACAGAAGACATTCCTTAAGAGTGGTTGTATCAGTGGTCTGCCTAACCGGAAGTGAAGCTGTATTTGAAGTTCCTTTAACAACATGTTAGGGTCAAGTCATTAGATATTTCTCTAGGCAGAATCTATATAGAGTATTAGTTTGTTGAGGATCCATCATAATTTATATTTTCTTACATGCAGGCAGCAGACAGTGAACCCCCCTCTTAAGATTGTAATTCTACTTTCCGCTGACATTAAAATTTCTAGAGATGTTTGTAGCAGAGAGGACTACAGTCGGTATGATGCGAACACAGAAAAGATACACAGAACAAACACATCAACAATGCAAGAATGGTTCAAACTACTTATGTGTCGTGAGGGACAATCATAAATTTGAAACATTATACATAAGCTGAAATGAAACAACCTCAATTCACAATTAATTATACAGAAATCATGAATAATTCTTAACCTAATAGACTCTTTGTCTTTGGTTTTGTTGGTTGCTTGGTCTATTTCAATTTGTTTTAGTTTGTTTTTATTTTTTCATGAATCTTCCTTGTACATAAAAGGTCCTGGTACATCTTTCTGTGCCATTCAAAAACAGTTTTATATAGAAGCTTTTCAGGGAAATCTAGTCTCTCCCAAACAGATAATTTTAATAACCTAATTAGATTGTCTGAGTGCTTCACTGTTACAATGATAGACAATATATAAACACCCAGGCTGTCACCTGAACACTCAGCAGAGCCAAATTTGCATTTGAATGGTTGCCAGAATGTATTTTTTTTTGCTTTTGAATTCACCGCATCATGCATTCTTTTAGTCTTTTGTAAAAGAAAAATCTGCAGCAACATTGCAGAAAGCGTTGTTAATTCATTTTTTAATGAATAACGCCCTTTGGCATTCTCTTTGATAGCCATGGTTTGCTGGAATGAACAGTGTACACTTCTCTTTTTGGATTACTACAGCCCTTTTCAAGCTTGAATATGCCTTGAGGTAAAATAGAGGGTTATCCATTTGTACACAGGAGGGAAAGTACTTAGATGAATACCGAAATAGAGGTATTTGGGGGCATAATAAATTTGCTTAGTGGAGATTGAGGGCTAAATGAATTTGCCTATGGAATAATATTTTAATAGAATGTATAGATCAAGGTTATGCCTTTACATAAAATGTGAATTAAATATTTCAAGTAGTTTTCCAGATAATATAGCATAATGGTAATTTCCAAACTATGTTTATCTATGATTTTGATATTCTTTTACCAGCCAAACTTTAACTTGTTTTAATAAATATTCATTGAGTGGATATAAAGGTCCAGTTACTACACAAAGAAGTGAGGATACAAGCAACATAAAAAGTAATCTCTTACTTTAGGATTTATGTCATATGAGAAGAGACAGACAAGTATCTAGCCAACCATGATGCAATGTAATAAGTGGCATAATAGGAGACACATAGCAAGCACAATCATAACTAAATGGAAAGAACAATTAATTTTGCATGGAGGGACATCTGGACAGATTGCACAAAGCATGTGACATTTGAATTGAGAACTGAAGCACTATTTGGCTTGTGGCAGGTGCAAGGGGAAGTCAGGGCATTCCAACAAAGAGATCACTGCAGGCAAAATCACTGAGTCAGAGGAAATCTTTAGGTAATGGCAAAGAAGATTTAAAAAAAAAAAATGGTATGGAGAAGTACCAGGAAATGGCAAGAGATGAGGCTGGGAAAATAAGATGTCAGAATTAGCTTCTACTTAAATTTGCCTATGTAGAAAAAGCCCACACAAGGATCTGACAATCTGGGGCCCCTGGTGACTCCAGAAACAATTTATGTGTGTTTGTCAATTGTTTTCAAACAGCTGCCAATGAGAATTTGGAATCAAAACATGGCTTAAAATTAATCTCTGATTCTGCTATTTTCTATCTGTATTTTTATTTGTGGCCTACTCCAACAATGACATCAATAAAAGCCACAAATATAAAAATTATATAAATACTTTAAAAGTGAATGAGATTAGATTAAGTGATGGAAGATATCAGAGAGGCACTATTTACGAAGCACATATTATGTGAGCCATGAACCAGTCCTTTATGTGTTTTTTCTTGAATCCATTCTTTGCTTCCTCCATGTGGGGCTCTACTTAACAGAAGGTTGATCCAATAGGTTATATTTGCCGGGTCCCTGTGGCAGCAGACTTAGTGTCTGGGTTAAAGCAATAGGAAGCAGTAGTGAGCGATTAAAGGGTAGAACTAAGGGGGAAGCCAGTGTATTTTTCCTCTTTTTTCTGGCAGGTCCTATATTCCCTCTTGGCTCCAGCTCTGACTAAAAAAGCCCTAAGTGGTTACCTTAAAGGAATACGCTTTTGGCTTACCCATTTTCTAGTTGCCAGTGTTACCACCTTCATATTTTATAATACACTTAGAGTTTGCAATGTCTTCTGCTGGTGTTAATACTTTACTATCTCCAGTTTAGTTTCACAGCTTTTCTACTACCAGGATGACAAGTTCTTTCTATCTTAAATATTTTAAGAGAAGTTTTGTTTTCCTGAGTGAACACTGACTGATCCAACACCATAAAACTTACTGAAGACATTAGGTTCACCTAATTACTTTAGGGGGTTATTACTACTATTATGCATTTCTTACAAATGAACAAAAATATAGGGAAAAGAGGTCTGTAATTCTTGTCACTTTTGAATTCAAAACCAATGCTGCTCCACACTACAAAAAAAAAAAAAATGTCATTTTGTGATAACCCTTTCCAGGAGAGCAAAGGGAAGAGAAATATGAATAAAGTAATGCTTGAACCCTCAGCTGTTTTCACTTATTTCCCTCTTTGCCAAGATGCATAGTAAATCTCATCACAACTCAGAAGTGACTCTTGCCTTTACAATCTACCTCAATGGCATTCATTTCCTCCCACCTCCATCCTAGAAATCAGAACAGAAGAACATTTTCTCCTACTAGTACAAGGTTTTAAGTTGCCAATCATAACTGCACCTCTGTTGAATCAATATGTAAACATATTTTAAAAACCCGATAAAGTATTGGCATATAACCCAATCTTTCTCCATATATATGTAAGGGTATGGTAAGAAATAAAGCCAGTTTTAGTGCTGTATGTCTTCGAGTCTCTTAATAGAGTGCTTTTGTCATTGAGAGCTAATTCCACTGAGGCAACATTAAGTGACCCCTACCTCCTCCTTTTCCAAACTAACTGTATATTTTTGTCTTCAATCCTAAACAAAAATTTGAAGTCATTAAGAAATACCGAGAGAAACTGCTATACTTTGGTTTTACCTAGGTATTTTACATAGTGTTCTCTTTCATTGCAGTTTCCCACCTGCTGCTCAATGACATAATTAAAACATCAAAATCACTTCTTTTATAATAGACAGTATTCCTAGCAAGTTGCATTTAATAGAAATGATATATTTGGTAGTTAACACCAAATCTCTTAATTCTTTATATCTCATTCCCCATGTTTAATACTACTGAAACTGTATTTTCTCTCTTTCCTTTCTCTTTTAGTTTAACAATTTAACAACAACAGTGGTAGCATTTTATTTATTTTGGTGCATTGGTAGACAAAATGCTTTTCACTATCATCAAATCTTGAAGGAGTGACTTTAAGGATACATTTTGAACAGGAGATATTCACTGGAAAAATAACTATGTTTTAGATAGGCTGACTTTTCCATACGCACTGATAGGCTTTTTATAACATTTTTTTCAGGGAACAGTAAACTTTAAAAATAATGTCAAAAACCACTGATTTTAATTAATAAGTCCCTTAAGCATTGAATTGAAAGTCCTATAATTTTCTTAGTTAACAACTAGTTTTCTCCACATTTACTGTATCCCAAACTCTCTTGTGAGAAGTAGATGTATATAGAAGACTAATCAACCACGAAACAATAATTATTAGGTATGCACAAGTATCATTCAGGTTTCAGTTAAGGCAACTTCAAACATTGGCAAGGGTGGAGTATCAGCAGAAATGATAGCCAAAGAGTGTCTAGTTGAAATTTGAAAAAGGAAAATACGTTAAAATTTGAAACAGGGAAATGTGTCTAAATTTGATATAATTTCAGCTCTTTGATTGAACTACTATTTCAAATATTCATGTCAAGAAAGGGTCATATACAAATGAGATTATAGAGAGTGAGGTCAAACAAACCACACTGGTATACACAAAGGACCAATAAAGCAATATTACTTATGGAGTCCCAATAACTTTTACCATAAAGCAAGTCTCAATCAACTCCTTAAAATTACTTTTAGAAATCTGTATATACATGTTTATGTCTTGAAAGTTGATAGGTTCAAATTAAAATCCAATAGTCTATTTTGGCCTCTGAAAAGTTATTAGAGGAAGTGTCTTATTTAGTTGAGATAATGAATTATAACTCCAACCATAAGTATTTCTATGAGCCTGTGTTCTGCATACTCAAGTACTTTACTGTTGTATCTACATAGTATATTTTAGATAATAATTTATTCAATGTGATGAAATAGAAATGAATGTGATTCTCCAACCACAGAGGAATCTATCTCATATTCAGCATGGGGTAATGGAAGGATATCATGTTAAATCTGCTGAGATCTGAATAGTACCACATACTATATATGTTACATTAATCATGAAGTTTATACTCCTTAAACTTATTTTCACTTTGAAGATCATCTAAAACTACTAACTTCACAACACCATTAGAATATTTAAATGGTAATACAAGTTTTATTAATCAAAAGACTATCTCAATGACAGGGAATTTTTAATTTTTTAAAATTCAAATTTTGTCTTCTTAATGCAAAATATTCTTCAAACACCAACACAAATGGATCTTATGAGGTTCACAGTTTAATATTATTAGATATTTCTGAATCACAACAAATAAAATATTATATCAATATTTGTGTAGAAGTAATATTTAACCTAAAAGGAATTATTTTATGGCAACCTATGCCAAGACCATTATTTTTCAAAATAATATTATTTTTTGTATAGCTTATTACATGAATATTTAATAATGAGTTATTGGTGTTGATATAGAGATAAATATTAATTTTACAAAATAAATTGCATAGTCATTTCAGATAGCTGTTATACTTACTTCTTATAGGTATAGATTTTATACATTTCTGTGAAAACAGAGCCTAGAAAAATAATTTTGGGTATGGCTAGTAAAAATGTAATCTGTCAGAAGGTTTTCATTAAAGTAAATCAGGTATATTCTATTTGGTTTCCAAGATCTCCTTCAAACTTAAGCCATGCTGGCTTCAATCTTGAATATACTCCAAAACTAACAAAGAAAACTGGTAAGTGCTGAGGAATTATGGGGAATCATGCAATATCTTTCATATGTAGCATAATGATAACTAAAATGAGAACACTTCATGGTCATAATAATGAAAGTTATTTTCAGAATTCTCAGCTTCCTGGGTTTGGAAAGCAATCAGAACATCTATTCCTGTTGGAGAAAATGTTCTTTAATCCAAGTGTTGTCTGAGAAGAGGCTCTTCACAAACAAACAAAACTGAACTCATCCAAACCATTCTATATCGATATGTAGAATGATAAATAAAGAATAGTTACTGTTTATAGATTCCACATTACAGACACTAACTTTAATTATACAGGAACCTTTTTTTTAACTTTATAGTTTAACAAACTAAGTCACTAAGAACTTGATAAGAAACTTGCCAGAACTCAAAAACTTGGAAAGTAGAAAAGATAGACTTTAAACCTAGGTTGTCTATAAGAAAGTTTGTACAGTTCATCACCTCTCAATACTGTCTCTATATTTCATGAGATCTTATTATTAAGTTTAGCCAGAAAGGTTTCTTGTTGATTATTTTTATGTACAAAGACGGGAGAAACTGACCTTAATGATATCTGTATGGTGAAGGAAAAGAAGAAAAGGGAAACAATGGATGCTGATAGTTTATTTTTTGACAGAAACTATTTCTAAACAAATGCAATGATTAAACAGAAGCAATACTTACCTTACTATTTTCAGGTAAATCTACAAATATCAAAGTACCTTTTATATGTATAAAATTGTGCTAGATACACGTCATCAGAGTTCAAGTTAGTTTATGTGTCATTATGACAGGAGATATACGTATGAAATACAACAACTAACAGTACAAAGCAGGGTTAACTATAAATACTCTAGAAATTTTGAGAAAGTTAATCTTGCTATATAATGATAGAGCAGGTATAAATAAAGTAACTGTGAACTGAACTCAATAATGTGCTATATTAAAATAGGTAAAGAGGAGAGGAGTAGTATTCTGGATGGGATGGCTGTGATCACCAAGGTCCTAAGACAGATCTTAGTTTTAGACACATGGTAGGTATGGAGAGGCAAACTAAAGAGAGCTGAAGAATAATAGGCTACTATGCAATGCCTGGCACATAAAATCAATCAATAAACATTTATTGAATAAAAGCATCAAATATCTACGCTAAATATTTGAAAGCAGGTTCCACTGGGACCGGCAGTAGGTGTGAGCCCATGCATGGTTCCAGCTGACAGGAGAGGAGAGCTGAGAAAATATAGGATGTGATCAGCCCTAGAAAAGTTATAAAGAAGGCCAAATCAACATCTTTAACTTGTTGATAATGCAGAACTGTTAATGTTTTAGATCAGATAAATTGAATAATGAATATCGTATTTTAAGACAGAATAATTTGTGATTAATTTCCCTTTTTTTGTTTTTAAACAGAGTCTTGCTCTGTCACCCAGGCTGTAGTGCAGTGGCATGATCTTGGTTCACTGCAACCTCTGCCTTTTGGGTTCAAGCAATTCTCCTGCCTCCGCCTCCCCAGTAGCTGGGATTACAGGCATGCATCACCATGCTTAGCTAACTTTGTATTTTTAGTAGAGATGGGGTATCACTATGTTGGCCAGGCTGGTCTCGAACTCCTGACTTCAGGTGATCTGCCAGCCTCGGTCTCCCAAAGTGCTGGTATTACAGGCGTGAGCCGTCGCACCCAGCCAGTGCTTAATTTTCATATTAAGCACTCATTTGAGATTTTGGGAGTTCTTTGAAAGCTAAGACACTCTTCTCAAAATAACTATTGTCATTTTCACAAAAAATTCCAATTAAAATACAGAAGTGCGTGGACATTTAGAGGCCAGGTTAGGACAGAGTGTATTTGATATGAACTGAGGTAGAGAGATGACGTAGGAGACTGTAGTAATGCAGATATGAGCTAATAAATTATCTATTAGGATTGTAAACATAAGAATGAACAGACATAAATGAGTGTGAGATTCAAGAAAGAGGGGTCCGCAATACTCGGTCTTTTTAGTGGTGTTGTTGTTTTGTTTTTTTGAAGTTTATATTTTAAATCTAATTCATGTTATTGTTTAGCCAATGTGTTTTCATCTCATCTATTGAGTAATCTCATGTTCATTAGCAAGCAGAACTTTAGGTATTACTTACCTTATCTAACAAATTGAGAAATAGATCTAGCAGGTTTTTTTAAATATAATAAAACTGGAGCACATATTAATTTAATTTTTATAATTTCAGTGTTTGTAACACCAAAAATCATGACCTCTCCACTTAAACTCCACTGCTTAAAGGCTGATACATCTACTTGGTGCTCAATTAGGCCACATAATTTTTTATTCAAAGAGAACCAGAAAGTTGACAATAGAAATACATGGTAGAAAGAAAAGATATTAAGTCCACATCGTTATATAAACTTAGATTGTGTAGTTTTGAAAACAGGATCAGGTTGGACAATTTTAAAAAGAAATAGATGCATTTTATACCTTGTCATTTTAATATGCCACACATAATATTTGTATCTTTACAAATATTTATCTTTAATATGCTATATATAATAAAATTATCTGTGTAATGATATATACAAAGATACTTTTTAGGTAACTGACACTTAATAAGTCCTGTAAATTTTATTGTTTATGCTAATAATGCAAAATTTCAATTAGTTTCTCTTTTAAGGATGATTTACTCTTTTACCTCAAGAAAATCAGAATTGATGCCAGCTATATATTTTCATCAGTATGATTTCTTAAAATTTAACTGTGTTCGTTATCTATTGTTGAGTAACAAATTGTAAAGAAAAAAAAACCTCTGAAAGCAGTGCAAATTTGTTATCTGAAAGTTTTTGTAGGTTACAAATCTAGGCAAGGTGTGGCTTCAGGGTATCATCAGGCTTACATCAGGGTGCTGGCTGAGGCTCTAGTCATCTGGGACATGAAGTCTTCTACCAAGCTTATTGACTATTGGTAGAATAACCAATTCTTTGTGATTATTGGTGGAATAATGATTTCCTTGTGATTGTAGGATGGGTTTTCATGTTCTCAGTAGCTGTAAACAAAGGACAACTCTCAGCTCCTAGAGGCCACCTTCCATTCATGGCTATAGGCAATTCATAACAGCCAGAGCACAGTTGTTTGACATACTCCTCTGTGACCAGACAGAGAAAGCTCCCTGCTTTTAAAGAGTTCATGTAATTAGGTCAGGCCTACCCAGATAATTTCCCTGTCTTAAAGTCAACTGTTTTGGGACATTACTTTTATCTTCAAAATTCCTTCAAGCAGTACCTAAATTATCATCTGATTGAAAAACTAAGAGAAAAAGGGTGCCCGGCAGGGCCTGTGAATTCTGGGAAAGGGCATCTTAGAATGCTGCCTTCTATGCTAATTAAAACAATGATAGTGTAATAAAGTAAATGAAGACATGTGATAATTTTCTCTAAGGAATCACCTACTAACTAATCTATTAATGCCTGTCTCATTTTAATAAAATTATTTTCTTTCTTTCCTCAATATTAAAAATTAGCTTTATGAGGAGAGCAATTGGTGTTATATATTAAATATCCTTAATTAGCACAATGCCTGGTAGGTAAAACAGTCAACATAAATTAATGGAAATCAGGTTTGTTACCAACAATTTCAAAATAGTCAAAACACTTAACCAAGCATTTCACTATGGACAACCCATCTTTTCTTGAGGAGATGATTTTACGGAAAGTATAAAAATCTAACCATGCAGCAAGTTTTGCCCATATTCAGTGATATTTGGCATATGAAGGAAACCAGACCCTATACTCTTTGTGTAGTCACTTCGTGGCATTTTGTGCTTTAATTTTAGCATAGAATTTTCTGACTAAGGAAGCATTTGGATGTTTTTTAAAATGTCAACAGTACAAGAGAAAATGTCATGTCTGCTTTTAATGTTTCCCCCTACTTTATTCCTAACATCTAGAAAAGACCCACAAAAGCAGGCAAGAAACAAAAGGGAGAGGTGGCTTTGAGCCATCTCCATTCTTCACTCTAACATGGGCCTGTCATTGTAACAGCTTCACTGAACATGTTTCAAAATGTTAGTATCTCAACAGTTCTATCACCATTTGCCCCTAATTTTTACCTTTCCTTGGAAAAGTGGACAAACAAGTGGGAAATGTTGCAACATAAAAACCAGAACTTATTAACATCTTCCTTCAATTATCTGTCACTGCATAGAAATATAATTCCAAAGACAGATAAATAATAATTTCTAAAGTGTAATTGACTAAGCAATACTGAAAATGAGAAAAATTAAGAGAAATTTTTAATTTATATTCACCTGTTTTCTGACATTATTCTTTTTATCTCTAAGTACAGATAAACAAATATCTCAGTAGAAAACTATCTTGTATAGGTATTTTCTTCTTCATCTTGTCCAAAGACTTTTCTTAATAGGTATTTTTACCTCCTAGAAATCAAACTTTGAATAAAATGGGATCTAGTCCAGTTGCAGATAAGACATTTCACTCTGAACTGGTGGACAGTCTTCAGTCTTACTCTAGTTTTGGGCTAACGATAAACTACGACTTTTTAATTAATTTTAATTTTTTTTTGAGATGGAGTCTCACTGTGTCACCCAGGCTGGAGTGCATTGGTGTGATCTCAGCTCACTCCAACCTCTGCCTCCTGGGTTCAAGCAATTCTGCCTCAGCCTCTTGAGTAGCTGGGATTACATGTGAGCACCACCACACCTGGCTAATAAAGTAAGACTTTTTTAAATTTCAATTTTTTTTTCCCTCAATCTGGTGAGAATTTTAGAAAATTTCCTCAAATAAGTGAAAATAAATAACTCTAAACCTTAAGTTTGAATGTGAAACAATTTCTCAAGCTATTCAAGAAAATACTTTAAATTTCTGATTAGGATACAACATCCATTTCCATGAAACAATACTAAGTAAGTTAAAAAAATCTGATACAAATGCTTGATGATAAAAGTAAAAATGTCATTTATTTTACCTATTTTATTTTTGACTATATTTTTACCCTGTAAGGTATAATAGTTTATCTGTTTTATGTTGTGATCAAAGGTGGAATAATTTTAGAATGAGATTAAAGCATTTATAAAAACTAAATAGGATTACGTTTCCTAGAAGTAAATATAACTTTTATTTTGAAGTGTAGAAACATCACAACTTTCTTTGGCTGTGAATAATTATAAGGTTATACTAACAAGCCCATTTTAAAAGCAGATTAATTTGAAAATAGACACTTTTTCTCTACATCAGAGATAGAAATAAACACTTTTGTTGCTACAGTCACAAATCAAGGGGACAAATAAGAACTGTAAAGAAGAAATAACTAAAGGAGAACAATGCAAAGAGTAAGACAATAAATAAGAATGTTTAATATTTTTAAGAGTATGATTGTATATTGCAACAAACCAGATTCTATATTACCTTGGAAATGCCAGAGAGAACAGTGTGGTCTCTTTTGGCCATGCTAATTAGCTCTATCAATACCTACTCTAGGCAGCTGGAACCCTCTTGCCTGGGGAATAGCCAGCCTCCTCTAATCCAGTAAGTAGATGATTCCACTGAATCCTATCTCAGGTGAGTGATTTTTATCTCTTATCTTTGGAGAAGATAAATAAAACAATTCATCCAAAAGCAGCTTCAGTCTGTGTGTTCATTCCCTTTCTTATAGTCACACCGACTGGCATCTTCTAACTTTAGCTACAGAGACAGAAAGTGAACGTCAAATTTAAAAAATATCCTTAAATGGGTCAAACTATCTGAGAGGTGCCAGATATTTCTGACTGTATGACCAATTTTAACCAAAAGCATATGTTTTTTAAACATATGGTGAGTACGCTTTAAACCAAGGGGGAAACAAACCCAAACCGGGCACAAATGCCTCATCTTTACACTCAAACATCTAATCCAGGTAGACATAGTTTTTATGTATTACTTCAGGCTGAAGCTGAAATGACATAGGCATATCTATCAAACTGGCAAAATTTATACTATTCCCAGTATAACTAACTAAGTTTTCCACACTGAGAATTACTAAATGATAGAAGAAAACTTTTTACAACATATAACAAGGAAATTACATGATTAAGCTCTTTAAAAAGCAAACTGAAATATTGTTTTTATTGGCATTTAAAAAATGTATAGAAAGCCAAGTTTCATTTTTGGTCAATTTGCTTTTCATGTTCTGAGAAACTTTACTTAATTTTTTATAACAATATCAATTTTATAATTACTACTCTCCAAAAACATCTCTAAATTTTAATATTTATCCTGTATAGTTCCACTTCTATTTTCAATAATGTCGAAACTTTAGTTTGCTATTTTTGTCAATCCTTCAAAACCTGCTGTTGTTTTAGAGAAGATAGATAACCTCTAACACCAGGAATTTCACAGTTCAGTGGAAGAGACAGATACTTGATAATTATTATGTAACTTTGTCAGTGCTATGGGAATTTGAGGTAAAGGTAAATTAAAAAGCACAATAAATGCATTGAGGAGAGACCCAAAAGCCATATTAATCCAATTTTGTAACTTCAACTTAAAATGATTCTTGACTTCCACATTAGTAATACAATAATATCCACATGCTTTGGCATGACATTGAATGACTCCACAATATCCTCTCAACCAAGCAGGCCAGCATCATACCCAACAGTTTCCTTGCCCACCCAGCTTTTATATGCCAAATACACTAATATGGTTATTCTCTCCGTAACATACCATAATATTTCTTGTACTTTTATATAGATCATGACATATCCTAAAATGCTTTTATCTACCAGTTGGAGTTAGTGGGTACTTTTGTTAATACCCAGTTCAAATAGTTCTTCTATGATGTTTTCCACCTTTCAAGGCAAGATTTAGCTTAAATAATTTTATTATTTCACTTTTCTTAAGTGATATATACATATATCATATTATACACACACACACACACACACACACACACACACACACAGACATGTGTTGCTTAATGACAGGGATATGTTCCAAGAAACGCATCTTGAGAAAATCTCACCATTATTTGAACCTCATAGAGTGTAATTACACAAACCTAATGGTACAGTCAACTACACACTCAGGCTATATTGTATAGCCCTATTATTCCTAGGCTACAAACCTGTACAGCACATTATTATACAGAATACTGTAAGCAATTGTAACACAATTCTATTTGTGCATTTAAAGATATCTAAGCATAGAAATGGTACATTAAAATATGATATAGTTTGAAGTCAGGTAGTGTGATGCCTCCAGCTTTGCACTTTTTGCTTAGGATTGTCTTGGCTATACGGGCTCTTTTTTGGTTCCATATGAAATTTAAAGTAGTTTTTTCTAATTCTGTGAAGAAAGTCAGTGGTAACTTGATGGGGATAGCATTGAATCTATAAATTACTCTGGGCAGTATGGCCATTTTCACGATATTGATTCTTCCCATCCATGAGCATGGGATGTTTTTCTATTTGTTTGTGTCTTCTTTTATTTCCTTGAGCAGTGGTTTGCAGTTCTCCTTGAAGAGGTCCTTCACATAGCTTGTAAGTTGTATTCCTAGGTAGTTTATTCTCTTTGTAGTAATTGTGAATGGAAGTTCACTCATAATTTGGTTCTCTATTGTTGGTGTGTAAGAATGCTTGTGATTTTTGCATATTGATTTTGTATCCTGAGACTTTGTTGAAGTTGCTTATCAGCTTAAGGAGATTTTTGAGCTGAGACAATGGGGTTTTCTAAATATACAATCATGTCATCTGCAAACAGAGACAATTTGACTTCCTCTCTTCCTATTTGGATACCCTGTATTTCTTTCTCTCGCCTGATTGCTAGAACTTTCAATACTGTATTGAATAGGAGTGGTGAGAGAGGGCATCCTTGTCTTGTGCCAGTTTTCAAAGGGAATGCTTCCAGCTTTTGCCCATTCAGTATGATGTTGGCTGTGGGTTTGTCATAAATAGCTCTTATTATTTTGAAATACTTTCCAACAATACCTAGTTTATTGAGAGTTTTTAGCATGCATGGTTTAAATTTTATTGAAGGCCTTTGCTGAATCTATTGAGATAATCATGTGGTTTTTGACATTGGTTCTGTTTATGTGACAGATTACATTTATTGATTTGCATATGTTGAACCAACCTTGCATCTCAGGGATGAAGCTGACTTGATCGTGGTGGATAAGCTTTTGATGTGCTGCTAGATTCGGTTTGTCAGTATTTTATTGAGGATTTTCACATCGATGTTCATCAGGGATATTGGCCTGAAATTTTCTTTTTTGGTTGTGTCTCTGCCAGGTTTAGTATCAGGATGATGCTGGCCTCAAAAAATATAAGCAGATACTTCTTAAAAGAAGATATTTATGTGGACAACAAATATATGAAAAAAAGCTCATCATCACTGGTCATTAGAGAAATGCAAATCAAAACCACAATTAGATAATATTTCATGCCAGTTAGAATGGCAATCATTAAAAAGTCAGGAAACAACAGATGCTGGAGAGGATGTAGAGAAATAGGAACACTTTTACACTGTTGTTGGGAGTGTAAATTAGTTCAACCATTGTGGTAGACAGTGTGGCAGTTCCTCAAGGATTGAGAACTAGAAATACCATTTGATCCAGCAGTCTCATTATTCAGTATATACCCAGAGGATTATAAATCCTTCTACTATAAGGACACATGCATACATATGTTTATTGCAGCACTATTCACAATAGCGAAGACTTGGAACCAACCTAAATCCCCATCAATGATAGACTGGATAAATAAAATGTGGCACATATACACCATGGAATACTATGCAGCCATAAAAAATGAGTTAATCTCCTTTGCAGGGACATGGATGAAGCTGAAAACCATCATTCTCAGCAAACTAACACAGGAACAGAAACCAAACACCACATGTTCTCACTCATAAGTAGAAGCTGAACAATGAGAACACATGGACACAAGGTGGGGATCACCATACACCAAGGCCTGTTAGAGGGTGGGGGGCTAGGGGAGGGATAGCATTAGGAGAAATACCTAATGTAGATGGTGGGTTGATGGGTGCAGCAAATCATCATGTTTTGTGTATACCTATGTAACAAACCTGCATGTTCTGCTCATGTATACCAGAACTTAAAGTATAATAATAATAATAAATGATATTATAATCTTATGAGACCACTGTTGTATATCTGGCCTGTTGTTGAGCAAAACATCATTCTGTGATATATGACTGTACATATGAATAATATACTTCAATAGACCTTGCCATATTTAAAGAAATTGTTGTAGAATTATACACAGAATTTGAACTGTAAACTCTGCCATTTACCTAAAACACTGTTGCTTTATATGGAATATCTTCTCTGCTAATAATTCACTAATTTTGATCTATCTTTTATTTGGAAGTAGTGCATGCTTATATTCAAAGTATTTTTGAAAAACAGACAAGTAAATGTAAATGATTGAACAACTGTTGTGCTTATGTGTGTGTTAATTTAAATGTAACCACAACACAACTTATTTTTGTCTCTCACTTTTATTTCAAGCTGCTCAGTAGGATAAAATTTCCCCTTTCCTCTGAAAAAACTTCTGCCTTCTCTGGTCACTTACCTAATCACTTCTTATATTCTGTACTCAGCTCTCCAAAACCATGAGGGAGAAGAAGTCAGAGAATAATGAAGTTCTTCCTTACGTGATGTGCTTCTTATTCCCAAGCTATCTTTGTACTCTGGACCTGGCTGATGTTGAAAGCAGAGCATTCACATGAGCATTTTCTGGGTTCTTTAGAGGCTCCCCTGCTGGAATCCCTCAATTGTAAGTTTCCAGAAGTTGCTGCTGGTTTTCAGCAGTTCACTACATGCAGAATCTCTCCATTGAACTTTAAAAAAATGACCCCCAGACTGAAAATTGCTTTGAATAGTTGCATTCTGACACCTTGTATTGGAACTTCATATCAGCTGTGTTATGTGTCCATGGTGGAAAATTCCAATTAAACATTAAATTATATATAAGAAAGAAAATGAAGTTGATTTCTAGTTCCAAATGACCTACACAGAAATAACAGTTGTATATAGGTTTGCACATACTTTACAAACATTTTTAGGTATGTAGAAACAATGTATACACACACATGCACACACACATTAGTGCAAATGCTAGTGTATGCATATCCATATGTATTGTATGTGTGTATATAGATATACATATGTGCAAATATATAATGTATATGCATATATGCAGTGGATGTATGTGCACATACATCTTCTATGTGTGTGTGTGTGTGTGTGTGTGTGTGTATATATATATGTGTGTGTATTTCCACATATAGACATTTGCAACTTGCTTTAATTGCTTAGAATTTGTGGACATCTTTCCAAGTCTAAATATTAATTTACTTGGGCTGGTGCTTGTTATAGTTATTTTCTTTCTGCTTTTAATTTTCTTTTTTGACATTTTAACCAAGCAAACATTAAAAAGAGACCATCTGTTATTTACGCAAACCTTGATTGACCTGCTTAACTAGGAATCACCGGAGCCCAGGTGGACAGATCATGACAGTTGTGTTAAGGAGCTCTAATGGGCTGAGCATGGTGGCTCGTGCCTGGAATTGCAACCCTTTGGAAGATCTAGATGGAAGGATGCCTTGAGGCCAGGACTTTGAGACCAGCCAGGTCAGCATAGCAAGCCTCATCTCAAAACAAAACAAAACAAAACAACAAAAAAAGAGGATCACTAATGAATGACTCTGGCTGCCACTGTCCTCAGCATGGAAAGGAAACAAAAGTTAATACAATGTGTATTGCTTCATCTTCTCAGTGGCCCCATTGTTCAGAGATGGTGTTAACAACCACATACACCATTTTATATCTCTTTAAATTGCTTATGTTGTCATTGCGTAGACATACCATCTGGTTAAAATGAAGATTTTGGTCATTTATATATTACACAAAATTGTATAAAATATCTTCCCATGCATACACACACATACATACTCATGCATGTATATGTTTTATTTTAAAAGCTGATTGCAGGATTTTTCAAAATACACCAATACATAAGTCATGTAAAAATAATCATTTCCAATAATTTAAATGCCTTTGTTAACATTTTGATATGTTTTCTCCCTGTGTTAATAGATAAAATTCACACTTTTAATTACTACTTAAATTGGAATTATTTTGGATTTATAACTTTCTGTGCTATCTTTTAATAACACTGAGCTCTTAGATTGTCTCTTAGAATTGCTATTACAAATAGGTGAAAGTCTTCCTCACACTATTTGAACTCTGATTTATTTTTCATCATTTAAAAAATGTATAACTAAATAAATAAATTTTACTTGCTTTAATTTTGGCATATGTTACTAGATTGAAACAAATTTTATGTCTCTTTGACTTTTCTTATTTCTTAATTCGTGAATGTTCTACTCTCTCT
Source organism: Homo sapiens (assembly GCF_000001405.40). Lineage (NCBI taxonomy): Eukaryota > Metazoa > Chordata > Mammalia > Primates > Hominidae > Homo > Homo sapiens. Next base: position 65,861,352 of record NC_000004.12, read on the forward strand.
TCCATAACTCTATAGTTATCTCCCCTATCTTCTGATATTTCCCAGCCTTGTTTTCAGTTGGTACTTTATCTTTGTTTCTACTTTTATATTCTGTTTTTCTCTTACATTGCTGTTTCTATGTAGTTGGCAATTTCTGAGTCTACTGTAACCCCTGTCAAGGAAGAGAGCTTCTTTCATTTGCTTTTAGGCTCACCATCATCCTTTTGTATGAGACAAAATTCACCCTGTATTTTATCCAAGTTTCCAACAATTACCACATACAAATAAGCAACACACACACATAAACACATACACATACACACACACACACACACAAACACACACACAGAGTCATCTAGCCTATTCCACTTAAGCATTTCCTACAGTGTACTGTTTCCCTTACTGCTAACATAGCTAACTCTTCCTTCTGCAAACCCCTAGACATTTCAGTGCCTTCTGCTTGCTACAGGTACTCCATAACCATCAAACCCCCTTTATTCTCATCCTCTACTATGAACAACTGTTCACTTTCTTAGCTTACACTGATCTAGAATCTACTCTCAAGAGATTAGCACTTACTCCCTCACATATTATATTTTTTAGGTATAGAAGTTAGGGCTAGTATCTCTTTGTTTCCCATTTTTGCTTCCAGTCTTTTGTTTATTCATCCACAACTAAACCATATTCCTTTCGAGCCTTTCTTTCTGACTCTTTCACCTACTCTTTTCCTTTGTTACTTTGAGTCCTTGCAATTGCTTTTTGTCTTCCTCTGCACCACAATGGGTGATTTCATTATCTATGTGAAGAGCCCAGCCAATACAAGAGCTTCTCAATTCCTTGACTCATGCGCCTGTACCAAACTAATCACTCTAGCTTCACTTCAGTTACTCACCTCTGAGTAACAAACTCACTCATTGAAGTTTGTTGTACTCTGACAGTACTAAAATCACTAAAGAAGCACTTCACTCTAAGATAGATAGATAGATATAACCATGGAGTCCTATTTGTAAAACTAGTTTCAAATACTCCACAACTCATTTTCAGCCCATTGATCTCTAAAATATCCACTTAAGCAATTCATCTGTTATACACATATACTCATAGTACCACATATTAATTAGATTTTTAATTTAGTGGTAATTTCATTCATTTTCATAAGATTTTGCCAATTTTACTCTGTCTATGTAAACTCCTTTGTAAACCCCATGAAAGCAGGAGCCCCCTGTCTGCTTTGTTCACTTTTGTAGTCAGATGCCCATCAATCAAATAGTCTTGGATCTGTTATAGGTACTTATGCATAATTTTGTGAACCAAAAAGGAATAACTTTTACCTGTTGTTTCATAGAGAACACATTTCTTTTATGTTATTAAGGATGCCAGTTTTGTTTTTCTTAAAACTGATTTTAATGAATAATTTTCTGAAAGATCAGTCTAAGGATTTCTTGTTTTTTTTGCAATAGACTTGAAGTTGAGTTGTCTTCTCTTTGTTCTTTCTAGAATGAGGAAAGATATATACAGATATTTATGTGCAGTTTTATGTATGTGTCTGGATTCATCTTCTTGATTATTTTGGAATTCTCCATGCAGCTCTGCAGCCTGGAAGCAGGCTGAGATGCAGAGCTCTTAGGCTAATTTCTAGGCCCAGAGGATATTAATCGAGTATAATCCTGATAGACAAGACTCTACCACGTTGCTTGTTTTTCCTAAAGCTTTGTTCAAATGAAAAAATTCTGCATTGCCCAGAACATTATAAGTGCTTTTTCTGATCTTGCTCCTACCAAGGGAAATTTATTTTTGAAAATCTTTTACTCTAATATGAAGTGTCATTAAATTTCCTTCCTAATTTTATTAGATATTTTAATCTCTGAATGGATTAATAGAGATAAATAGAAGAAAAAGATAGTTATTTATCTTCCTCACGGTATAGTCTAAGGCATCATGTACCATAGAACAAGTCCTTACTTTATAACTATAAAAGGTAACTCACAAATCAAGGAGCAAAAAGCAAACAAACCTAATAGAAAACTGCACAATGTGTCTGAGAAACTATTTCACAGGAAAACAATTAAAATTATTACTAAACATATGGAAAGACATTTAAGATATGCAAATAAAAGCAATATATGTGGCACCATTTAAACTTGTAATACAGTACCAATTTAAACTTTTGGCCATTCATATTTGCATGATGTTCCCTTTGGATTTATTATCTATTCTTTTTTAAATGTCTTTTACCCATCAATCAGGTAAATTAGGAATTATTACATTTTCTTTCTGGAAGTGCAATATTTTGGAAAGGGACAAAAATTTCTAAAGTATAATAATATATAAAGTGGAAAAAGATTTTGCCCCATCAATTAACTTATAGAAAGTTTTTTCCATCAAGTACACCCAATGAAATACTAATACTTATGTGTGATAATGTTCTTTGTATCATTTTTAACAAAATTTCAACACAAACAGAATATTTACTAATATAAAAGAGATTAAATAAAAATTTAAATCATAAAAGACAATGGAATACCAAAATGTTGTGAAAAAGAGTTTGCTAGGCAAGGGATAAGAACAGACACTTCTCAAAAGAAGACATTTACGGGGCCAATGAACATGAAAAAAGCTCGAAATCACTGATCACCAGATAAATGAAAATCAAAACCACAATGAGATACCATCTCATGCCAGTCAGAATGGCAATTATTAAAAAGTCAGGAAACAATAGATTCTGGCCAGGCTGTGGAGAAATAGGAATGCTTTTACACTGTTGGTGGGATTATAAATTAGTTCAACCATTGTGGAAAACAGTATGGCAATTCCTCAAGGATCTAGAACCAGAAATACCACTTGACCGAGCAATCCCATTACTGGGTATGTACCCAAAGGAATATAAATCATTCTACTATAAAGACATATGCACACATATGTTTATTGCAGCACTATTTACAATAGCAAAGACATGGAACCAACCCAAGTGCCCATCAATGACAGACTGGATAAAGAAAATGTGGCACATAAACACCATGGAATACTATGCAGTCATAAAAACGAATGAGATCATGTCCTTTGCAGGGACATGGATGAAGCTGGAAGCCATCATCCTTAGCAAACTAACACAGGAAAAGAAAATCAAACACTGCATGTTCTGACTCATAAGTGGGAGTTGAACACATGGACACAGAGATGGAAATAGCACACACCAGGGCCTGTTGGGTGGTGGAGGGTGAGGGGAGGGAAATTACAAGATGGGTCAATATGTGCGGCAAACCACCATGGCACATGTGTAAAAAAGAGTTTGATATATACCTATGCTCATAAATAATGCAGGAGTCACGACAGTATATATGGTCTCATTTCAGTTTCTTGAAGAAGTGTACACACACACAAATGGAACATTTCTGGAAACATATACAAGAAAAGATTAGCAGTTTTTACACCTGAACAGCATGGCTTGGTAGGCTGGGAAAAAGGACTGTACTTTTCACTTTCCATGATTCAGTATTGTTTAGGTGTGTGTGTGAGTGCACATGCATGCGTAATAATAAACTTTTAATACTGTTAGAATGAAAACTGTACATACTATAATATGTAGAAGAAAAAAGAAAATTGAAATGGTAGCAATTGTGCTAAAGGGACAGGTGTTCATGTTTTCCTTTTGTTTGTTTGTTTGCTTTGGGTAATGTGCACACTGGAAATTTAAGGCTTAGGAAGAACCTTAAATTAGGGTGCCTGGTAAGAATAGGGTATCAGAATGACAGGGGAGCCTCATTTACCAGTTGTAATATTAAATTCTGTTGTAGATAGAGAATATACTACTCTGATTTTTGTAATTAATTACCTCTCTAATTCAGTTTGCTTTATTATGTTTTTGACATGTTCTTGTTTTCATAAATGTTTTAGTAAATACATAGAGGCACAGTATTAGGTAGTGCTATCCAGATACCATTTTAGATATAGTTCAATAAATGTATTAAATTAAATATTATTAAATAGTAACATTTAGATTAAGAGTAGTTTAAGCTTGTTATTGTAGACACCCTATAACTTGATATATTTAAACATATATTTAGCATTAGGAAGCAAGAGGATGTTCTTTGCCACAGTTCTCACATAATTACCCTTAAGAGCGCACTTATATTTATATCTTGGCTTCTTAATTTGTAAAATGAAACAGTAACGCTACTCCTATTAACTTCAAATGAGATGACACTTTTGAAAATATGTAATGCCTTCTACAAGGGCATAGAGATTATTAACAATGCAAACCAGGTTATGTCAGAAAGAGTAGTATAGGAATGCCACAGTCTCCAGTTGTTACATGAACGTTGGCAGCATCCTCTTAAAAGGTGTCCTGATCTCCAGTGCTGCCTCCTACAGGTCATTTCCCACAAAATAATTTACTGATGTATATTTTTCAAATGAGTTACTTTATATCACTTTTATGCTTACTACCTCCTATTGCTTCCTATCACAGAATGAAATCTCAATTCCACCATAATCTAGATGATTCGATCCAATCTAGACCCTACCTTACTCCCTAATCACATACCGTATTCCCTCCATGGCTCTCATGGCTCAAAGCAGCTTAATGTACTTCAAGTACAACAACCTTTTTCAGTGTTCTTCTTTCCACTGCCTGGAATATTTTCCTCTGGATCTTTGCATTGATATTCCCTCACATTATTTATCTCTGCTTAGAGATCACCTCTTTGATAAATGCTCTATCAAAATAGCCCTGCTCATCACACATTATCTCTTTACCCTAAGCAATGTTGTATATTTAAGTTTACTTGTTTATTGCCAGAATGATTCTCCCAGCACCTAAGTTACATTTGGGCAAAGGGTCTACTTTCACTAACTTATACCCAGAGATTAAAGAGGCAAATAATATGTTCATAACACATATTTATTGAAGGAATAGATCAATGAATATTTGAACAAATAAATGATATGTAATATAACAACTATTTACCTGTTATATTTTCACTGTATTTTTACATAAGTTTTTTTGTTTTTCATTTTTCCATCTAATTAATAAAAATAAGGGTTGCACCTCATTTTAATAATCTATAGCATATCACTTTTATAAACTGGTAATTATTGATTCAGGTTTTAATTGAATTAGAAAATTGCAAAGCAACGTTTTTCATCTGATTTCCCATCATGACAGCTTGATATGTTTTTATCTTTTTTATAAAGTATTTTTTAAAAATATTGATATGGTCAATTTGAAATTGCTCGGTTTCCCACTAATTATTTCTTGCTACTGGTGCAGCGAAATGGATGATATATGTGTGCTTCCCAGACTAACATAGGTATTCAGGCATATACAATATAGCACTTCCTAATGCATCCATTTGTTGTGCTGTGTTAAGATAGCAAACAGAGGCTACAGCTACCAGGCCCTTGAAGGTTTTCTCTCGTTTCACTTAACAGCTTTATGTAGGTGCCTGAATACTGGCATCTGGACAATATGTCCCCAAATGAGCTCAGTGTTGCTTTATTAGCATGGTAGAAATAAATTTGAACTGGTGATTTCTTGTGTCCATTTGGTTTTAGTTTTAGTTTAGCTTAGTTTTGCATTTTATACACACTTGCATTAGTGCTACTATATATACCATATCCAAAGTAATACATTCTTATGATGCCTAAGTATTTATTTTACTTAAGAAACATGGGTCTGAATAATAGCATTATAAAACACTGGTGAATTAATGAACACATATTTATTTAGATAAATAAAATGTATTCAAACAAATAACTATTTGCTATCTATTTGTCTTTTTAAAAATATACCAGGGATTACAGGTTGAGTATTCCTTTTCTGAAATGCTTGGAACCAGAGAGTTTCAGATTTTTAAATATTTCCATATATGTAATGAGATATCTTGTAGATAGGACCCAAGTCTGAACACAAAATTCATGTATGTTTTATATATACCTTATACATATAGTCTGCAGGTAATTTCATGCAACATTTTAAATAATTTTGTGCATGAAACAAAATTTGTGTACATTTAATGGAAACATTAAAAAGTAAAGGTGTCACTGCCTCAGCTACCTGTGTGAACAATCTGTAGTTGTCTGGCATTACCATTATTTCTGACTCTGAAATTATATGCTACTGATAAATAACCATTTTCTTTTTTTTTTTTTTTTTTTTTTTTGAGACAGAGTCTTGCTCTGTCGCCCAGGCTGGAGTGCAGTGTCGCAATCTCAGCTCACTGCAAGCTCCGCCTCCCAGGTTCACGCCATTCTCCTGCCTCAGCCTCCCTAGTAGCTGGGACTACAGGCGCCCGCCACCACGCCCGGCTAATTTTTGTATTTTTAGTAGAGACAGGGTTTCACCGTGTTCGCCAGAATGGTCTCCATCTCCTGACCTCGTGATCTGCCCGCCTCGGCCTCCCAAAGTGCTCAGATTACAGGCGTGAGCCACCGCCGCCCGGCCGATAAGTAACCATCTTCTTACACTAAGTCACACACAGTATTTAATAGTAAAAAAAAAAAAACAACATACCGTTCATGCAGTGAAAAAATAATGTGTCAGCGCAACTAAGCAGCACCGTAGCATCACTACAATAACAGTATCAGCTTTAAATAACAGCAACAAGAAACAATGGCAGGCTTTCAGTCTTCCCCTATGATGCTGTGCTCTGATTAAAAGGTTACTGTACCGCACATTTTAATTTTTTAGGTGAGGAAACATCAGAAGCCATTGAGGGACCGGGAAATAGGTCCCTAGGGATGAAGAGGCATTCCACTGGGTGGCTTTTTAAATGTTTCCTCTAGAGTCATCTGCCTCACTAACAATGGTTTTTGTCCAAGAAGTATCTCTTTGCATAATGGGGAAGCTGCTGTGGGCAGGTCCAGCCTGCACAGGTGCCATTATATTACCCTCTGCGGGTCTGCTTGCCTGTGGGCATGTGGGAGAATCTGGGAATGCACTGAAAAAATATATCACAGCTAAAGAGAGCTGAGAAGGCCTTTTACCTGGTGACAGTGAATGAATTCTGTGTTGTGTATCCGCATTTTGACTGTGACTCACCACAAGAGGTTAGGTGTGGAATTTTTCCCTTATGATGTAATATAGGTGCTCAAAAAGTTTCAAATTTTGGAGAATTTTGGATTTTGGACTTCCATATTAGGGATGCTTGACCTGTATAGGTTAAGTGCTTACAGGTCTTATTTCACTTAATCGTGAAAACAACCCTACAGAATGGGTATAGCTATCTTTATTTTATAGGTGAGGTGAGTAGGCCTGAGAAAATTTAGATAACTTTGGCCAATTTACACAGCTGATGAATAACAGAGCCAGGCTATGAACTCATGAATGACTGAAAGCCCGTAGGGTGCTCCCTGTCACCACTGTGTAGTCTTGGAAAAATCACTTAGCTTCTCTGAGCCCAGGGTTACACATCAATAAAATGCAATATTTTTTATCTTTCTTAACTATTCCTGTATAAGGCTGGGCACTAGAAATCTTGTCCAGCATAGGCTTCTTCCCCTAGCTTGAATCTTATGCAATGTTGTGTTACCTTTCCTTTTTTTGTGTGTTTAGGAACATAATAAAGAAACAATTTCAACACTTAAAAACTAAGAAAACTTTAAAAATAAGTGATTTATTACATTTAACTAAAAATATTCTCAGAAAACTAAAGGAATACAACATGTATCAGGTAGGAGAGACCACTTTACGGCTTTCACCATTCACATTCCTCTTGGAGTATTTTGCCGCCTTTGATGACCTGTCATTCTGCATAGAGAAGAATATAACATGGGGAAAAGGATTCTGAAGGTGAAGTGACAGAAGGTACCTGCATAGTCCCTAATCTGAATAACTTCATGAATTTTTGTTGTTTCTTTGTTTCTGAAAGTTTCTGAAGCATTGGGAAGCTGCCATCTAAAATGACCAGTTGCACATTTGTCAGGTTAAATATGTTATATGATGGATTATCCAATTGCTAGTAAGCAAGAAAGGGGCAAAGAAGTCAGTGATTGGGCCCATTTCATGTATGGTTTCCATTGTTATGTTGATTGACAACTCAAATAAAAATGGATGTTTAGATTAAAACTTCAGTTCAAAGGACTGAAATGTTAAAACAAAAACTCTCCTATCTACCTGTAAAGAAACAACTGAAGCAAGCTTGGGTGTCAAACTAGGAAATGGTAAGGACTGTAGTGAACTGAAGTGCATACAGCCTGCCAAATCAGCCACAAATAATTTCCAACTGATTTTTGTCAGAAAAGAATGTGGGTACAGATTTGCCAAATCTTTTTATTGTTCAAGAGAAAGCAAGAATTTGAATATTAATCCAAACATTAATCTGAGTTATTTTAATTTTCAAAGGCTAGTCACAAATTAAAATATTGTGAAAAATATTGTAGAATAATAAAAAAGGAAAGAAAGAAATTACATCCAGTAAAAATTCAGTCTTCTGGTCACTAACTTGAAAATGCTGGGGTAAAGAATAAAATCTTCTGTCCCTCAATTTTACTAAGATATTTTTTCAGTGTTTATTTGGATAAATAACTGTAGCCATTTATCCAAATCAAAGCCTAATATATTGGCTCAAAGTTGTACAGCAACTTGGGGTTTTAGGATGACGTGTATAACACTGTAAGGCTGGGTATGCCTGCAGAACCTAAATATATGCAACATATCTTGTGGACCTGTATATTAATGTACCTGGATTTTGTAAGAATTAAAGAAGATAGTAATTTTAAATCAGCTATTAAATTTATTGTAGGAGAAGCTAGATATATAGAAGTTGCTATAGTATTTTTATAGTCATTTACTAAAGTATTATAATTATTAACTAACAAAGTCATTGTATTGAGTACTTAAAAAAATCAAATCCTACCTAGAAGACAGGAAGAACAGTTATTATTTTGATCTGTACTTTATCAGATGAAGAAAGAGAGACTTAGGATGTGTGGAAGAAAGATGAGGGAGATACAGAAAGACAGACAGACAGACAGACACAAACATACATACGAGAGAGAGAGATTTACTCAAGATTAAAAAGAATTAGACTTTGATCTAGATTATCTGATTCAAGGATTCAGACATTGTTGAAATATTCTTGTGTCAGCTCTGACATGTAAAAAGCTAGGAAATTCTCACTTCCATTTTTGCAAAAAAAAAAAAGCTGAATAAAGTAGAAATCAACAACTTTTCAGAGATCAGTCACAGAAGTCAGGTTGCAGGGCAAACCACCAGTGTGAATTTGGAGAGAGAATGAAGTCAGATCCACAACTGAGATCTGCTTATTGGTAGCAGAAGCCACTGAAGCCAAAACTTAGATGTAATTTTGATGGACTTCTGGAGGCTATGCATATGCTAGCATGAGAGTAAGAAACTCCTGGAGTCCTCACACTAAGGGAGTATCCCAGATACGATTTTTACCCTTCAAAAACCTCAAAGCACCTCATGACAAAGATTAAAGGAATAAAAATAATATTAGAATATGATAGTAATGAAAAATAAAAAAATAATGTGGTAGAAGGTAACAGGAACTGTTCAAATGAAAATTTTTTATAAAGAATGTCCTAGAGATATTAGAAACAAGAGTTTAAGAATGAAACACTTGACATGGAAGTACTGCAGATTTTTTTGCAATGTAAAGTCAAATCTATAACCACAGAGTGGTTGAGATAGTGTGCAGGACATTCAGTAAGAAGAATCTTTTATATGATAACAAAATTACCCAAATTTATGATAAAGGTAGTATTGGAGAGTGGGACAGTATTTCAGAACACAAATCTTCATAGAATGAAGGGAGATACTTGACATTAGATGACTGTATGTACTAAAAATATTAGAAATATTAAAATAAATGAGCTAAGCATTCAACTTAAGAAGTGCATATGAAGACGGTCAATATCCAGAGAAATATTACACAAATCCGAACCTTTTTATAATCATTCAACACACACACACACACACACCATCACACATAAAGTATGATGTTACCAAGATTTAAAGAAATTTGAACTTACATACACTGCTTATGTGCCTGCAAAGCAACATAACCTCTTTGGAGACAAATTTTATTGTAGCTAATCAGTATGACCATGTCTTGTCAGACAGGCCCAGCAATTCCACATGTAAGAATTGTTCCAAGAGCTGCATTTCCCATACTACCTTGGACTTAAAAGTTGGGTGGTCAATTAAAAATAAAGACATGGAATCAACCTAAATGCCCATCAGTGATACATTGGATAAACTAAATGTGTTATATATACATGATGGATTACCATGCAGTCATAAAAACAAGAACGTCTTTTGCAGGGACATAGAAGGAGTTGGAAAATATCCTTAACAAACTAACACAGAAACAGAAAAACAAAAACTGCATGTTCTCACTTCTAAGTGGGAACTGAACGATGAGAACACGTGAACACACAGAGGGCAGCAACAGACATTGGAAAATACCAGAGTGGAGGGTGGGAGGAGAGAGACGATAGGGGAAAATAACTAATGGGTACTAGGCTTAATACCTGGGTGAAGAAATAATCTGTACAACAAACCCCCATGACAGAAGTTTACCTATGAAACAAACCTGTATTTGTACCCTTGAACTCAAAAGTAAAAAGAAAATCAAAACAAAACAAAAAACCAGATGCTTAAAATGTAAAACAAAACAAAACCAAAACCAAAAATCTACCCAGGCTTCTCTAGGGAGGGTCCTGGGAAAAGGTTGTTAGTATTTAAGAATTGGCTGGGCATGGTAAATCACATCTGTAATTCCGGCACTTTGGGAGGCTGAGCCGGGCAGATCACTTGAGGTCATGAGTTCAAGACCAGCCTGGCCAACTTAGTGAAACCCTGTCTCTACCAAATACCAAAATTAGCCGGGCATGGTGGCAGGTGCCCATAATCCCAACTGCTCGAGAGGCTGAGGCTTGAGAATCCCTTGATCCCGGGAGGTGGAGGTTGCAGTGAGCTGAGATTGTGCCACTGCATTGCAGCCTGGGGGACAGAGTGAAACCCTGTCTCAAAATAATAATAATAATAATGGCATTCAAGAACTAAGTAAAAATAAAGTGATTCTTACCACTCAGGCCCCACTACCATAGAGAAACCCCAGCACATAGGAAAAATGAGAATGCTAAGAATATTTATTGACAAAAAAAAGTTCATCACAATAAGAAAGTATCAACTGAAATATATGTAAAAAAATAAGTACATAAATAGTGGCACATTTATATGATGGATTATATAAAGTTCTCAAAGTGAACAGGTAGATATAACATAAAGGAGTGAATCTCAAAAACAAAATATAGAACCAAAATAAGAAAGACTACATGTTCACAAAATGTGATAACAAGAAACATGTCAAATAACACTATGTTTTTCCTATAGATGTGTATACAGATAAAAAATTAGAAATTCTCACCGTATTCCACATATTCCAGATAGTGTTTATCATGTCTGGGGTATGTTACAAAGAAAAATGGCAATGGAAACAACCCATAGAGTTTCAAATCTACCTAAAATATTTTTAGTTCTTTAAATATATCTGAAGCAAATATGGCAAATTATTAATACTTTATGAAGATGTACAATATTTAAAATTTTAAGTTTATATACTTTATATTAAATTATAGTTTATTTCTACATAATTATATTTGGACAACTTTATTCACTTTTAAAATTGATTAAATAAGATAACTAAAAATTATCTGTATGGACAATAGCCACAAATAGAGCATATACTCCATGACAGTGATAGTTTTCATCCTTTGCTACAAGGAACACTTTCCATATAGTTTTAATACTTTGTTATCCAAATATAAAAATTAAATAAAGCTGGGTGCTGTGGCTCACGCCTGTAATCCCAGCACTTTGGGAAGCCGAGAGGAGGGGATCACGAGGTCAGGAGATGGAGACCATCCTTGCTAACATGGTGAAACCCCGTCTCTACTAAAAAAAAAAAAAAAAAAATTGAAAAATTAGCTGGGCTTGGTGGCAGGTGCCTGTAGTCCCAGCTACTTGGGAGGCTGAGGGAGAGAGTGGTGTGAACCGGGGAGGCGGAACTTGCAGTGAGCCAAGATCGCGCCACTGCACTGCGGCCTGGGTGACGGAGAGAGACTCGGTCTCAAAAAACAAAACAAACAAACAAAAAATCAAATAAATAACTTGTTAATTATGGTTAGTCTATAAAATGGTTGTTTGACTTGTAGACTAAAATAAACATTATAAAATAGGTTCTACCCATAAATCAATAAGCAATCAAAAGCTTGCTATATATGTTTTTAGATTACAGAAAATAAGGTTCAGTGTTTAGAGGAAAACTGACTACACAATAAATAATATCATATTTATTTTTAAAAAGAGTTAAAAAATTTTTTTCTGCGTAAGTGTTGCCAGAGGGAATTTTTATGACAATTCTTGTACTTTGGATCCAACTGTATGCATCTACTTTTCTGTTAACTTGAGGTTCTTGAAGGCCAGGGTTATTTCCTTTATTTTTGTTACTCCAGAAGCTGCACCTCAGACTGAAACATCCTAGTGGCCCTATAAAGGCGCAAATTGAAGCCATCTCAGATGCAATAAGGGGGAGGAAAGACAAATAAAACAATAACAATTCACAATAAAATCCCCTGATTAGCTCCGTAGGCTCTGTCTTTACACTGATATTAGCACAAGATCACAACCAAATATAAAAAGAGCCTTCTGCTATTTAAAAAATCCAGGTTATCATTGTCCTTAAAAGTATTTTTAGGCTATCTTTATTATACTTCAATATATACTCCACACAATATGTGACATGTCTGTTCTTTCCAGAAAATTTAAATCTACAAATGGCACTAAAAGGAGAAACATTAAAAAATAAATTCCTTGATAAAAAGAAGAAAAATGGAGGACAAGAACTTCCAGACCACAAATGGAAAAAAGTAAGTGAAGTTCTTGAGATTAAATTGCTTTTTCTTATTAATTAAAAACATCGTCTCTGTGTCAGAGTAAATTTTCTCAGTGCGGAGAGATGCATGTTTAGTGATGTTTTAGGAATTTCACACACAGAATATTTAATCACAAATAGACACTTTATTCAAGGATACAGTTGGGATTGTATAAAAAGGCAACTAAATTTCTATAGAGTTTGCTATTAAGACTATAAAATTTGATGTTCTCTTACTATAGGTATTGCAGCACTAAATATTACTTACTTTTGAGTATGCTTTTACTTTCTTCTGTCCAGTAGGTAATGTGCTCTATTAAGAGATAGTCTTTTATCATCTGCTTCCAAAATAAATAGTTAACACTCTCTGCAGTGCAGGTGTTCAACATTGTAAACCATTTCTAGCCAATAGTAGTAAAAAATAATGAATTTTTTTGACAAGCTTAAAAATTATCTTTTCAGAATGATTTCCTGAAGGCATATCTTTGGGTAATATGAAAGTAAAATCTAAAAATATTTTTGATTACCTGGCATATATGCTTCAACAGTAGATTTATATTACAGAAAATCCTTATTTTTCTTTAAAAATTGTGAGCAATGTATATATACGTTTTGGCTGATCTCAATATTCTAAATTTTGAAACAAATCTCAGAGCATATCATAAAAAATCATAACTAAATCTAAATGAAGGCTTGCTGATATATCACCTAATTTCCTTAACAAGATGGTAAACAAAATGCCCTTTTGTCTGAAAGATGTTAGATGGATTAGGGATGGTTGATATGTGAAATGTCTCATCCTGTTCTAAGATAGTTTGCTGATTTCCGTTTGATTCAGTTTCTATATGTATTTGATCTCAGTATAGACTTATTGTATTGATAAGTTATGTTCACATTGAATGACTTCTTACTTTTCTCAGGTATTAATATATGCAATATTGATGCCAGTGTGTGTGTGTGTGTGTGTGTGTGTGTGTGTGTGTGTGTGTGTTTTCTACATAGCCGACTGCTGTTCTTTAATTTTTTTTTCTATGAATGAAGAGGCCCTGAGACATTGATTATAGCTAGTTCTTACACTTTACAATGCTACAATGCTGTTTGTCAAGTTGACTTGCTTCAGAGAAAAGCCTAGACAGACTAAAAAATCCCATTTATGTTAATCCAAATAACATAGTTGGGAGCAACTCAGGGTCTGTGTTTTGTTTTGATGCAATAGATATTTTAAAACTCCATGATATTATAGAGATAACAACCCACAGTGACACTACTCCATGAATAGGGCATGAGACATTCTAAAGTTACGTCATCTCAAAATGAAATAATTTTGAACTTAACTTTTCATTTCTTTTGGTAGGTAGTTCCATATTAGACCTGTTTTCTGTCAAATATTATTTTATACATTATTACATTGCAGTCAGTTTTACATAAGCAGTCAGTTTTACATAAACACACAGACACACACACCAAAAACCTGACTATGTTAGAAATAATCCTTTACCATTCCTTCTGAAACTATTTCAATCAATAGAAAAAGAGGGAATCCTCCCTAACTCATTTTATGAGGCCAGCATCATCCTGATACCAAAGCCTGGCAGAGACACAACAAAAAAAAGAGAATTTTAGACCAATATCCGTGATGAACATCGATGCAAAAATCCTCAATAAAATACTGGCAAAACGAATCCAGCAGCACATCAAAAAGCTTATCCACCATGATCAAGTGGGCTTCATCCCTGGGATGCAAGGCTGGTTCAACATATGCAAATCAATAAATGTAATCCAGCATATAAACAGAACCAAAGACAAAAACCACATGATTATCTCAATAGATGCAGAAAAGGCCTTTGACAAAATTCAACAGCTCTTCATGCTAAACACTCTCAAAAAATTCGGTATTGATGGGACGTATCTCAAAATAATAAGAGCTATTTATGACAAACCCACAGCCAATATCATACTGAATGGGCAAAAACTGGAAGCATCCTCTTTGAAAACTGGCACAAGACAGGGATGCCCTCTCTCACCACTCCTATTCAACATAGTGTTGGAAGTTCTGGCCAGGGCAATTAGGCAGGAGAAGGAAATAAAGGGTATTCAATTAGGAAAAGAGGAAGTCAAATTGTCCCTGTTTGCAGATTACATGATTGTATATTTAGAAAACCCCATCGTCTCAGCCCAAAATCTCCTTAAGCTGATAGGCAACTTCAGTAAAGTCTCAGGATAAAAACTCAATGTGCAAAAATAACAAGCATTCTTATACACCAATAACAGACAGAGAGCCAAATCATGAGTGAACTCCCATTCACAATTGCTTCAAAGAGAATAAAATACCTAGGAATCCAACTTACAAGGGATTGGAAGGACCTCTTCAAGGAGAACTACAAACCACTGCCCAACGAAATAAAAGAGGATACAAACAAATGGAAGAACATTCCATGCTCATGCATAGGAAGAATCAATCTCATAAAAATGGCCATACTGCCCAAGGTATTTTATAGATTCAATGCCATCCCCATCAAGCTACCAATGGCTTTCTTCACAGAATTGGAAAAAACTACTTTAAAGTTCATATGGAACCAAAACAGGGCTCGCATTGCCAAGACAATCCTAAGCCAAAAGAACAAAGCTGGAGGCATCACACTACCTGACTTCAAACCATACTATAAGGCTACAGTAACCAAAACAGCATGGTACTGGTACCAAGAACAGATATATAGACCAATGCAACAGAACAGAGCCCTCAGAAATAATACCACACATCTACAACCATCTGATCTTTGACAAACCTGTCAAAAACAAGAAATGGGGAAAGGATTCCCTATTTAACAAATGGTGCTGGGAAAACTGACTAGCCATATGTAGAAAGCTGAAACTGGATCCCTTCCTTACACTGTATACAAAAATTAATTCAAGATGGATTAAAGACTTAAATGTTAGACCCAAAACCATAAAAACCCTAGAAGAAAACCTAGGCAATACCATTCAGGGCATAGGCATGGGCAAGGACTTCATGTCTAAAACACCAAAAGCAATGGCAACAAAAGCCAAAATTGACAAATAGGATCTAATTAAACTAAAGAGCTTCTGCACAGCAAAAGAAACTGCCATCAAAGTGAACAGGCAACCTACAGAATGGGAGAAAATTTTTGCAATCTACTCATCTGACAAAGGGCTAATATCCAGAACCTACAAAGAATTCAAACAAATTTACAAGATAAAAACAAACAACACCATCAACAAGCAGGCAAAGGATATGAACAGAGACTTCTCAAAAGGAGACATTTATGCAGCCAACAGACACATGAAAAAATGCTCATCATCACTGGCCATCAGAGAAATGCAAATCAAAACCACAATGAGATAACATCTCACACCAGTTAGAATGGCAATCATTAAAAAGTTAGGAAACAACAGGTGCTGGAGAGGATGTGGAGAAATAGGAACACTTTTACACTCTTGGTGGTACTGTAAACTGCTTCAACCATTGTGGAAGACAGTGTGGCGATTCCTCAGGGATCTAGAACTAGAAATACCATTTGACCCAGCCATCCCATTACTGGGTATATACCCAAAGGATTATAAATCATGCTGCTATAAAGACACATGCACACGTATGTTTATTGTGGCACTATTCACAATAACAAAGACTTGGAACCAACCCAAATGTCCATCAAAGATAGACTGCATCAAGAAAATGTGGCACATATACACCATGGAATACTATGCAGCCATAAAAAAGGATGAGTTCATGTCCTTTGCAGGGACGTGGATGAAGCTGGAAACCATCACTCTCAGCAAACTATTGCAAGGACAGAAAACCAAACACCACATGTTCTCACTCATATATGGGAACTGAACAATGAGAACACTTAGACACAGGAAGGGGAACATCACACACCAGGTTGTGGGGTGGGGGGAGGGGGGAGGGATAACATTAGGAGATATACCTAATGTAAACAACAAGTTGATGGGTGCAGCCCACCAACATGGCACATGTATACATATGTAACAAACCTGCACATTGTGCACATGTACCCGAGAACTTAAAGTATAAAAAAAAAGAAATGTCATCATAGCACAAGATAGAGTCTCTATTTCCCAGTCTCTGTAGGATGGTAGAGACCCAAACTCAGGAGGCAAGCACCTTGCTTTAAGTTATAAAATTAATTTTTCCTTTGGGTAATGTCAAAGGAAACAGAGATAGCCTGTGATCCTTTTAATCCCAGCTCCTAAAAATTTTCCTGCCCTTTGTATCAGCAGAGTTGAGCTCAGACTGAGTTCTGATCTCTCTCTCAGAGATCAGAAGATTGCACCAGACTTGAATAAATCTTCCTTGCTTGTTTATTTTGGTACAATGCAATTTTTGCTTTGACAGTTTTCATTGTAATTTTTTATGGTGTTTTCTAAGAACCTAGAATAGTGCTTGCCTACCTATTAGGTACTAAAAGGTAGTTATTGAATGAGGGAATGAGTAAATGAATTATTTTTCTTTTTTCTAGTGGCCAGATTTCGAACTTGTTGACACAAGACTTTCTAAAGAATTCTTTCCTTCAATCTTCAAATCCTAAAATATTCAAAATGGTAATTGCTTAATCAGTCTCAGAGCAAAACCGTTGGCTTATGGAGGGTAAATGGATAGCACGAATAATAAGTTATTGATTTTGGAAGCCACTGAGATTTGGGGGTTATTTGTTATTATAGCATAACTTTGCATATCCTGATTGTATTGGGCCTCTAAAATCACGTTGTAGAAGGAAATTATGGAAAATTAAAATAAAAAATTGATGAAAAAAATATTGCTCAAAGAAGTAACTAAAACGTACGTTTTCAAATCAAGGAATCACATAAGGATATGTTTTCTACAATAAAGATAAATCTAAAAATAATTCTTTAGAAGATCATTATATTTGTTTGTAAATTTCCCCTTGACTACATTACTAATATATGTGTAAGAATGGAGCATAAGAATATATCTGCATGGTTAGAAGGATTGGGACCATAATATCAACATTTTAACCAAATTTTTACAGAATTTTCAAAAGCCATATGAGGAAATGGTAAATAAAAATAAATGCATGCTTTTTACATGGACAGCATTATAATAATTTAAAGTCATTTATTTTAGTTCTGAGTCTACCAATGTCTAGTAAATTACGGGTCAAAAAATGTTTATAAATGTAATTAAAATTTTCGAGGCATCATGTGCTTATGAATACAAAAGAAGTCACATCAGCAGTAGAACCTGACTTTGACTGGCTTATTACTTCTGCTTTTTAATTGAAAGGACTCCCTTGTTATTGAGAGAGTACTTGAAGAGATCTTATGAATGCAGAAATTCCACAATGCCTACATTGCTCCTCTCAGCAGCATCAATATTCTGCTGCTCCACACCAGTCCCGTCTGGTGCTGACCTGCTTTGTGTTGCTTCACCAGATGTGAAGGTTGCTGCCATTATTATATTAAAGAACATTATTCTGCCCCTTGATGCAGAAATGTTCTGTGCTAATGACCTCCAAGAGCCTCAAAATGGCAATTCTGAGCACTGCTCTGAAAGTCAGAAAATGGTCCTCCTCATGTCGTGTTAATGACATGCTTTTTAGGTCTTGTGATTTTTTGCACATTTCAGTAGCACATCTATTTTGATTTTGCTCACAGCATGTTCAAGACTAGATTCAGGTGTATTATAACTGAAATTTTCTTTAAAGTACTTTGTAGACATATGCGTGTCACATATGTTTTATCTATACCTTTTCAATAGTTTTAACATTGAACTTCCTTAAACTAACCCGAAGCTCACATTCCAGAAGGAACTATGAACAGACTTTAGCACTCTTTATCTCTGATCAAGCATGGGTATTACTAATTAACATAATGGATGCTAGAAATTATTTTACAGGTTTAAAGATTGGTATTCAAAACGTAGGAATTGAGTAACTTTTCTTGGAAAAAAATATAGCCAATGCTCTTTGGAATGAGTCTGTTAAATTAGGATTCAGGGCAATCCCGTGTACAAATGATTATCGAAGAATTCTGCCTCCTGACTCTGAGTTTAAGTTTGGATGTATGGTGCCTGAAGAATACTGATGCGCTTGCCTCTAGTGAAACTTTTATTCTAGACGCTCTCAGAACACCTAAAATGATAGGGAGTTGAGGCTTTGCTGAGATTACAGAACAGTTCGTTTGACTGTTTCTGTGCCTGTTTACTAATAAATGTATGTACAGCAGAATTCAGTCTGTAACTTGGTTCCATTGAACATAACTAGAAAAGGGAAGGGGATGGGCAAATAGGGTGAGTGCCTACATGGTCCTCATGTACATTTTACAATTCAAGGCTAAAAATGTTTTCTAGTAAGATTTCCAGTAATCCTTAATGTTGAAATTAATAATGGAAATAGTACAGGTCAGTTTGCACAAGGTAACAGCCAACAAACACAGTTCTACATCTCTCAAGAGCTTTGATGCTGAATCTCACTTGTGGTGCCCAATTTCTTATTCTCCTAGAATGAATTATAACAAGGTCAGTTGCACAATATGCATGTAAATTAACCAAAGGTGGCACAATTGACAAATGCATACTTCAACATATATTCAGTGATGTCTGCATTTCCAACTGGACAGCTTGATTGTGTTCTTCTAGTTCCTCTGTACACACTCAAACCATTTATAAGAGGCCTGTTCCGCCACTTTTCCACTTGGGTCCAGGCATAGCCAAACTCCTAAGAGAATAAGGTCATATCTTCACCATATATGACAAATCTATACACAATAAAATATGAATTACATGTGATTCAAAACACAGTATTTTTTTCAGTGTGAGATTAAGCTACAGACAATTTAGGGGTATCACCAGTCAGACTCCTAGGAAATACTGGTGCTTGTCAGTTTTGATATCTTAGGATCTGAGCTAATTTCAGTCAATTTAATTGAAAATGAAGTGTTTTGGGCATTTTTGCTCTCATAAGAGTCATCTGGGTTAGTTAATAGGCAAATAAACAAAACAAAACAATTTATTTTTCTAAAAGTCTTGTTTCTTCATCTGTGTGAACACAGAAAAACTTCCTCCCCAATGTTGGTGCCAAGGTTCTATCTTGAACTGTTAGATAAAACACAGGATGCCAGTTAAATTTGAATTTCAGATACACAACAAACAATATTTTAGTATAAGTATGTATGATGAAATGATGGAGATATATTTAAGAATTGCTTTTCATCAAAAATCCAAATTTAAGTGGATTTTCTGTATTTTTATTTGTTAAATCTGGCAATGCAGATTATATAAATACACACACATATACACATACACACAGAATTATAGATTTAGACAATTTAGGGACTAAAAAATGATCTATAATGAAGCAAGTGGTCTTTTATATATCTTTCTAATCTGTATACATTGAGGACTTGTTTATTCTCCTGAAAATTCTGCAGATACATGGCACATATAGCCCTTACCCAACTGCACTTTCCATGGATCTTTTAGTTTAAGAATACTTTGACTTCAAAAGCCAATAAATAATCAGAAATAAATCCTTCTCCTGGGCACAAATGTGAACTAAACTCTAAGCTGACTGATTTGGAGAGCTCAGCTTCCCATCAGCTAGCAAGTCTTTACTTTCAATTACTTTTTTTTTGCATTCTCTTTCTGTATACAGCATTTTAGGCCCTTTGCTCTTAATCTTGTTAACTGAATTAGTCACAATAACTGATTTTTCATTTTACTTTTCTGGCTTTTATCTGTTAGATAAACTGCAAATATAGACTGTCTGCAAAAGAAAATGCTTCTATGTGCTGTACTCCATCTTTTTCTAGTGCCTCTCTACTCTCTTTCCTTCGCAAATGTGAGATATTCTGTATTCTCACCAATTGTGTTAGGGACCAAAAGAGCCTCAGTGCATTTCTTTATAACAGGTTATAAAGTTTTAGACACCTTTCTCTAAGGAACTCAGTAAACATTACTAACATTATCTAGTTAGTTCTCACAGCATACATGTAAGGCTTAGTTATCCGACTCTTGTAGCTTCTGAATGATGAAATGACCATAAGGTCACGAAGCACATTATCAGAACTTCTCAAATTGTTAAAAGGAGCTCATAGAACTTCTGATAGTTCCTCTAACCGTTCTCTCATTTAAAATCTAGACATGTCTTTTTTCTGAGTTCTTCCCACAGGTTTCTCCTTTTCATAGCCCTAATTCATGCTCCCGGATTATTTATTTTTTAAATAAATAAATATCACTGTGACGTGCTATTTTTAAATAAATATATCACAGTGGCAACAAGGACTGCACTTTATAGGTTCTTGGTAAACTGTGCTACTATGTGGGCAAGTTGTACAAACTTTCTGAGCCTCAGTTATTTCAAATGTGAAAAGTACTTTTTTTTTCTGAGTTGTGATAGGAATGTACAGTGCTGAATATAAAGCACTAGATATAGTTTCCACTGATTAGAAGGCTGTTGGTAATCTTCGTTGTTATTAGGTGTATATCCTTCTAAATTTTACCAAAGAAATTTATGTGTAAGAAAAAACATGGCAGAACAACATATTTAGGTTTGAATTTGGGGTACATTATTTACTCTTATAAAATCTTAGTTTTTTCATCTGTAAAATAATTGAGATAGCAATCATATCTTGCACTTGTAAAAATTAAATTGCATAAAATTTGAAGATGTGTCCAGCATGGTGTGGATAGATGGGCAATAAATTAATGTTAGTGAAAATATTAAAGAGGAGAATATCTTTAGAAAATTTTAGTGTCGGGCCCTTTAAAGCTTTTACTGGCCTGCAAACTTACTTATAGATATTTTGAGCATACCAATTAGTAAACACAAATAATCGTTTTTGTTATTAGCACTTCTTAATTATATGATTTATGTATTTTAAAAATAGTGATTATTTGTGGAACAAAATGCAATTCTCTGGAAAATCTTAAGGTCCTGAAAAGTTATGTTCTAATTTCAACATAAAGAAGTATGTTCTAAAATAAAATGGGTTCATGCTTTCATCAGTTTCTCCAATCTGTCTGGTCTTTGGAAACTAACCTATTTGATCATATAACACACTATACCTGGGGCTATTTATAAGTTTAGTAATGTTAATTTCCTATGCTTACTTCTAGGGGTCATCTTTAAGATTTTGTTCTGACTGCTTATTTTAGTGTTCACTACAATATTTTACATATTACAACTACACATAAAGACAATAAATACCACTTCCATTTTGACCTGTCACCTTGGATTTTCCATTTTGGTTTTAAAAATTAAAATTAGTTTTTATTGTTATCCCAAATTATGACTTACTATCTTTCTCTGAATTTAGAGTTTGTGTTTCATAATTCATATGAGAATGTGATGGTCAAACCACCATTTAAATAAAAATAAAAAATTAACTTGAAACTCAGGCAAAAAAAGAAATGGCATATCATATTTATTTCTGCTTTACAAAATTTAATTTATTAATTATTCATTGTCTTTTAAAGTGATAGAAACTGAATTTTAAAATTAAATTGAAAGTATTTGAATATTATAGAGCAGTTTGTTTTTTTGCATTTTTTTCCTAGCCATTTCTAAACACTCTAAACTTCCCGTACTCTTTTAGTAAGATTTTTATGTATAATAAAATTTTAGGAAAGCTATAAATTTTATATTTGAATAGCATCAGTCATGCTTTAAATTGACCCAATGGAGTGGTTTTACATCATAAACATGAATGATAAGAGAAAATTCTACTCAACTTAAGTATATGAAAGATGTTTTTAAATCACACCCTTCACTGAAGTTATTGGTTTAAACCTTAAACTCAACCTCAATAAAGATGCGAGCGTGGGCTCAATCATGCCTACAGTTATTCATGCAAAAACCCTATGGAAATCAACTACTTATTGCTTAGAGTTTTGTATGACTTTTTGAGAGTAGAAATTGGCTAATTCCTGTTTAAATCACTCCAGTCTTAACTTGGAATGTGATAGGAAAATTTGTACCTCTCCTTGGGAAAATAAAATTGAAAATTAGTTAAAATGGAAAATCTTCCTTTTACTCCCTCACATCTTCTGCTGAACTATCTTCTTGAACATATAAATGACTTTATTCTGCACTAACCTAAATTGGTGGCAAACACCCTAATTATAAATTTATTTGGCTGGTATTGAATGCCTATAAATTAAATATAATCTTCTATAGGCCATAGACAGACCTTGTATAAATTAGATTATTCAGTCAGAAATAGAAGGTATGTAATTCTGAGTGTATTTTCTCTCACATGATATGAAATGTAGTAAACCAATTTCTCTGGCTACTCTAACTTGGCAATGTCCATACAATTATCACAGAACTCAACCTTAAGGGGCTTCAAGGACACACAGATGCATCACCAAATCTCCCCTACATGGCTGAGGCACACGTTCCCTCAGCTGACGGGAGTGCTGGCTGCAAAACCACATCACATATTGTCTCTGGATTACCCTCAGAGGAAAGGAGATGCCACCCTAAAGTTTATGGCCTTTTTCTGGGGCAGCTCATATCCAGTGACTATTTGATGAAAGAGGTACAAAACCTGGTTCATTTACCTGAATTTGAGAGAAATCTATAGGCCACCCTAGCTCCAGGGTTTGCCAGTGGATCATCTGAGCCTTCTGTTGAAACACTTCATAGTTCAGCTTCTCCCTCTGCTTAATCCTGCTTCCCTTACCTTATGTTGGGTGTAGACCCTGAGTGCATTCTCAAACTTGGTCCTGGGTACACAAACAATGGCAGAGTAGGGTGTACCTCCATGAAGAACTGGGGATTCACTCTTTCTCTGTGGCATTATCAGGAGTATATTCTTCAAAATGCTTGGTGATTAATTTATTAGTAAACCTATGCAATTTATTAGTAAACTTCTAGGTTCAAATGATTATTCCTTTCAGTCAACAAACTCAGGCCAGGCCTTTCTAGTGTGGCCTACTCCTTACTATTCATGGTTCAGTAATGTTTGTCTCGTGCTTTAAAAGTTCTGAAAAGTAAAATACCTGTGTCCTATATTTGGGAAGATACATAAGTGAATAAAAGCATCCAGTCATTAACTCATTTATTCATGTAAGATATATACTATTTCTGCCCCTATTTAGCAGATAAAGAAACTAAAGCGCATACTACTTTAATTTACCCAAAGTCATGCAGCTCATAAGTGGATAAGCTGAGATTTAAACCCCAACTGTCTTGCCATGAAGAATTCAGGAAAGGAGAAGGAAATTTAAAAGTGTGGATGTGGATGTTGAATTATGTAAAATATATTTAAGCAACAACATGTTCAATGGTTCTGTGGAATATGTGGCTGGAAAAGTACATTGATGACAAAGCACACGGCCAAGACATTTGGTTTTTACTCTATGTGAGTGCAGTCAATGACTAAATTGTTTTGGAAAGTAAACTGAGAGGATAACCAGGGTGTGTAAGAAAAGAATATTTAATTTTTTCATAGCGATTATTTTAGAAATTGGCTGAACCTAGAAATCCTTTAACATCTAATAAGTTCTGTTGTAGCATGCTTTAACTCTTCCTTCCTCTCTTTCATTTCTAGGTTAATGAGGGCTCCTCTGAATAGAGGAAAGATGCCTCATTTGAGCCTTTTATTTGGGTGCATTAATTACTTTAATGGTAGTAAATATAAATTTTAAAGGTAGAGAAATGAGGCTTTTCTTAATTAAATAACTCATTTAGGGGTATATTTATTCTAGGGTGGCTATTCTTCCTGAACAGGGGACTACCTAAGAATGAATGGCCTGCTGAAAAGAATCAAGTACCATGAAACTGAATATTAAAGAAAATATTTAGCAAATAAATATCTTCAAGGAAAATATGTGAAGATTATGATTGATTTATATTTTCAAATTTTTTATAACAGACATGTTCTAACAAAGGCATTGCAATGAAAACCTGAATGGAAGATTGGTCTCCTTATGGGAAACTCATGAGAACCTTGTGGAGTATAAATTAAAATGAAATATAATTTTTACTACTGTAGAATATGTCATTTTATTCTTTCTTCTATTTTTCTACTTTAATGATTTCACTAATTTTTCTTTCTTATCTGAAAGTGACCATTACATTTTCATCTAAAAGTGTCAATGTCCCAAAAGTGATTGATAGTAAAAATGAAAATAAATACACATATAAACTAATAAAAAATCATAACAAGCCACATTTGTGGTAAAAATAAATAAAAATTGATTGCTCTTGCCCTTAAACTCACTTAACTTTCTTTAATTATGAAGTATTACACAAAAATACAATTCTTCTTTATTTTAACTATGAACACAAAAAATAATTCACGCATAATTGTTTGAATATTCTCTTGAAGCAAAGGATTTGAAAATATATCATAAACATTGAGTTAAATGCTGCAGCTGGATACTTGGATATGTACCAGATTCTCTCAATTTCCACTAATGAGTGTGTCATTACTTTCTGTTTATTATAATAATAATCTCCTTTCAATACACCATAGAATATATAATAGAGCCAAAATTTTTAACATATGAAAATGCCTAACCTTATGTATCTCTTTCTGTCCCTTCTAACTTTTATTGCTCTATATGTTTTAATAATTTATTATTTTCATTAATGCAACATTTTATTCCTTACAGTAGTTAAAAATTTATTTACAAAAATATTATTTTCTCTGGTTATTATTATGTTGCTCTCCGTAAGTTTTTTATTGGTCCTATTTTTTTTTAAAAAATTTGATATATTCATCTTATTTCCTTTCTACTCTAGAAATGTTTTCTTTCTTTCTTTTTCTCTTTCGTTTTTTCTTTAAACTCAGCTTAAATATATTAGTCTTTTGTGTTCCCTTTTTCAATTATCAGCCTGTACATTTTTCTTTAGTTTCCTAAACCAATCCTCTGATTCAAACTCCTCATCAAGACTCATTTATGCAAGAGAAAGCAAAATAATGGAAAATAGCACTAGCGACTGAACAATTAAGAAAGAAATATTAGGTGGTTTCGGGCCAGGCGCGGTGACTCACGCCTGTAATCCCAGCACTTTGGGAGGCCGAGGCATGCGGATCACGAGGTCAGGAGATTGAGACCATCCTGGCTGACACGGTGAAACCCCGTCTCTACTAAAAATACAAAAAAATAGCCGGGCTTCGTGGCGAGCGCCTGTAGTCCCAGCTCCTTGGGAGGCTGAGGCAGGAGAATGGTGTGAATCCAGGAGGCGGAGCTTGCAGTGAGCCAAGATCCCGCCACTGCACTCCAGCCTCGGCAACAGAGCGAGACTCCGTCAAAAAAAAAAAAAAAAAAAAAAAAAGAAACAAACAAATATTAGGTGATTTCATTATGTTATTATACTCAATATCTACTAAACACCTATTCTATTGCAAACATGGTAATATAATCAAAATAAATGCTGTCAAAAATGGGGAATCTTATGTAAACTTTTCTTCTAATCTCAATTCTAAAGCAGAATAGTTGACATTAGCAAAAGTATGGTGTATCTTGGAAATGTTAATACAGTTGATTACTCCAAAAGCAGCCCTACATATTGAGATTTTCTCCTGATTTTTTTGGTCTTAAGTTAATATGCCAAGAGCGTGCTTTGGGGAGCAATTTAATGACTGGAGATATTGCCATTATCTGTAAAAGTAGACTAATTTTTTTTCATGTAAAAATGTACAGTGGGAAGTTCTGATCTCACTGGCATAAATGTTCAATTGACTTAACATTTGTATAAATTAGCAGAGATTCAGGTTATCAAAACTTGACCATTAATATAAAATTTAATACATCCTAGTTGAGTTGAAATATTTTAAACATATTTTAGAAATATACTTTTTTGTTCAATAAGGGTATTTTATATCAATAGTAATGCTAAGACTATGTTCAGTGTTAAGCTTCACTCTTCTAATTTCAAGCTTCTGGATTTTTCTTGTCCATTTAAAGTTTATATTAATCTCTAAAGAAGGTCAAGTGTCATTGGCCCATGTAATCTGATCAAATGAAAACAACATTTTTATTGTTTGGATTTTATTTTCTTAAAGTGAAAATTTAAATTATATAGTTTGTTGCAAATTTGATACGAACACATTGTTGCTGCAGAGCTTTTATCAAACTCAGGAAATTTCAGTTATGAGATGATAAAAATCCAAGCAATTAAAGATTTCCAATATGAAAATTTAAACATCTTTTTTACATTGAATGATTTTACTATTTTCAGATGCATTATATCTAATTAGCTAATAAATATTATATATGTTGACATAATTATTCTAGTTATCTGTTTGATAAATGTAAATATGTCATTTGAAAACGTAACATGTGCCCCTTTCAAAATACTAAGGTTTGCATTTAAAACCAAACATTTTCCCAAGTGGCATAATTTAAATTAACATGGTATCATATGTTGATTTGACCCAAAAAATTAATAATGGTTTATATTAATGAGTATTTTCTATCTTCAAGGAAGTTTTGTAGGGTCTTTTTCCATAAATTAACCTATTCTAACCACATGATAACTAAAGAAGTTACGCATTAAGATTATCTTCATTTTATGGTAGAGGATACTGAGGCACAGAACAGTAAAATAATTTGCCCAAAGTCATAGAGCTACAGAAAGTTACAAAACTAGAATTTGACTATTTAGGTATATATACATAGATATATATATTTCTGAATATTACCTTTTTATCTAGATATTGCCCATTTACATTTTAGTGGTCTCTTTCCTGCATGTAATTATACTGTATTTGAAAGAAATGTAGACATTTTTATTTGAAGAGGGACTTGATTATAACTGTCCTAAAGAATCATGAACTTTTTACTCAATACTACTTAAAGTAGGGAGCCTGATTTTATATATATATATATTTATGTTTTTATATATATTTATATATTTTTATATATTTTTATATATATTTATATATATTATGTATATGTATGTCTATGGAATTAATCAGCTTGGGAATTCTAACAGAAACTGCAAATAAAAGATATCCAACTTTACACAAGCAAAGAAGAAATTCTTGTTCTATAATTTGTGAATCCAGTTAAGCAAATTTCAGAATTGCTATAATAATCAAAGAATTTGAGCAATTATTCAATAATCAATGAATATCACTATTTAGTGTTAAGCACCCTTCCAAGTACTTGGTAAAACAGATAAATAAGACAGTTTTTTACAAAAGAAGGTAACTGTCTAATGAAGAACACACATACACACTTAAACAATATATTACATTACTTTGTAAACATTTTCTACAATAGAAGAAGTCATTAGTGCTATAAAAATACAAATATGATCTGTATGATGCGGCCTGGTGACTCTGGAAGATTTTATTCTCACCTTCTTCAAAAAATATTGAGGACCTATTTACATGCCTTATACGGTTGTTAACCCTTAGGATACAAAGATAAAGCAGATCTCCTGCACTTAATATTTCATGGTCTAAAAGTCAAGAAAAACAAACAATTGGGAGGCCGAGGCAGGTGGATCACGAGGTCAGGAGATCGAGACCATCCCGGCTAAAACGGTGAAACCCCGTCTCTACTAAAAATACAAAAAATTAGCCGGGCGTAGTGGCGGGCGCCTGTAGTCCCAGCTACTTGGGAGGCTGAGGCAGGAGAATGGCGTGAACCCGGGAGGCGGAACTTGCAGTGAGCCGAGATCCCGCCACTGCACTCCAGCCTGGGCGACAGAGCGAGACTCCGTCTCAAAAAAAAAAAAAAAAGAAAAAAAGAAAAACAAACAAATATATAGAAAAAGTAATGAATGTTATAGTGGAAAGTTACGTAACAAATTTATGGGATAAACATGAATATTAAAGAGGAAGTTTCCAAAATAAAATATCAGGTAACAGAAAGCAAAGGAACACATATGGAAAAAAACAAATTTCAGGAGAATACAATGTACAGAGGAGTGTTTCCAGCAGAGCGTGCCTATAGGAATTAGCCAAGGAGAAAACTAGAGATATGGGCAAGGCCAGGTCAGGAGGGCCAATGAAACTATGATTGAGAATTTTGGATCTTTTTTTTAGCTCATTCTTTATGTTTTTGCTTCTAAATTTTCTTTCACATAAGAAGCAAACATTCTGATATTTTGGGTTACAATTATACCTTTGAGGAAAGTTTTCTAAGTGATGGGAAGAACTGAAATTAGAAGATTATTACAGAAGCCAAGATAATAAATGATAGAAACCAGAACCATGACAATAGTCAAGAAGATTTAAAAAAAAAAAGTCATCTATTTAAATAATCAAAAGGTAAAACTAGAGTGCCTGTTGGACGGACTGGTGAAGAAGAACAAAAATAAAACTGATAATTATTTTTGATCACGTCATCTCATATTCTTGTGCATTAAATATGGTCATAGAGATTTTCGTTCTGCTTTGCATGAATAGAATAATAGCCTAGTGGTAAATCATAGTTCCTAACCTACAATTGTGAACTGTGTTAGAGATGATTTTATGTGGGGGAACAAAAAAAAAAAAACACTTTGGAAGGTTGAGGTGGGTGGATCACCTGAGGTCAGGAGTTCAAGACCAACCTGGCCAAAATAGAGAAACCCCATCTCTACTAAAAATACAAAAATTGGCTGGGTGTGGTGGCAGGCACCTGTAATCCCAGCCACTAGGGAGGCTGAGGCAGGAGAATCGCTTATACCCGGGAGGAGAGTTTGCAGTGAGCCGAGATGGCGCCATTGCACTCCAGCCTGGGCAAGAAAAGCAAAACTCCGCCTCAAAAAAATAAAAAAATTAAAAAATTTAAAAAAAGTGCTTTGCAGCATGTCATAAATTTTATTTAACTGTTGTATAGGAAAAGCAAAAATTATATTTACCCAGTATTATTGGCATTGAAATTGGACTAAAAATTTTGAAACGTACCTGTCATATTTTGATCACGTATTAACAATGCAAAAGCATGTAAATGACTGCCGAATTTGGAATGTATCTTCAAATGTGATTAGAGCACTTGGTTAGGATCACAACTGAGGAACACTAATAGCAATGCCTGATGTAGTTAGACATGCAACTGAATTTAGGAGTGCTGATTTCCTGCTCTCCGTTTACCTCTCACTGAGTTATTTTATACTCCCTCTCATTAATACCATTAGATCAATTTGAAAATATGTCTACTAGTCAAAGAAGATGTCCGAGATCAACAGTATGGGAAGGATGTGAATGAAAAGAGAAAACTACATTAATTGCTTCATTCAATTCATTTAGCATAGGTGTCAAGTTGCCTATTCTTTAAATAAATTAGGATTGTAAATGGCCTCTATTTGGGTCATTCCGGCTCTACTTATAGGATATGATTTATATCTTTCTTATTTTCTCCTGTTATGTATTTCTGAGGACACTTAAGTCATCCATAAATTAATCAAAGAAGCACAAGACCCATGATTAATTTTTTAAAAAAAGTTAAATTTGTGTCTTGGAGAAAAACTTTAAACTACAGTGCTGGGATTGAAGTTTTTAATTAAATTGGTTCCTGTGTTCTTTCCTCCAAATATGTTTGGTTTACATTAAAATTTGACATTTTAATCAGGCTGACTGCAAGCGAACTCCAAATTAAATCTGTACCCAATGTACCTAAGTGATAAGAGATGTGAAACATGTCACTTTTTTGAGAAACCACAAATATCAAAAATTCATCAAGCACTATTTCCTGAATTTACAAATACTTGTATTCATTAGATGGGAATCTTGTATAATTTTAAAAAATATTATCACTTCCATGTGATTTGATTTTAAACAATATACTTTTTGTCTATTTTATTGTTGTAATATTTCTAGCTATGAAATAATTTTGCTTATCAGATTATCAGTGTTGGATGACAAAAAATTTCCTTCCGTTAACATTTCAACTCCTCTATGAAGGATTTAAGCATTCTTTATTATAATCCAATAGAAGCTTGAAGTTTTTTTGTTTGTTTGTTTGTTTTCCCACTACTTCACAACGTGCAGCCTGTACTCTACCTAAATTGGAATCTTAATTCTGTGCATGACTGAAAATCACCTCCACGTCTTCACCCATGTTGTTCTCACTAGCATGTCTTCCTCTGTTTAAATCCCTTCCTTTGAGCATGTTTAAGTATCTTACTATCAAACAGTTAATAGTTCCTTTCACCAAACTTGTTCCCTCCCTTCTTGAACTAACATAGTATCATATGTATTTAAATCATATGGTATTATAAATATTGCAACAGTGACTTATATGCATACTTATTTTGGAGTTGTACCATTGTTAATCTCTTCTATTGTACTGTGGGGAAAAAATGTCCCTCAACAAGTATTTAAATTTAATTATTCTTCCCTGGAAATGTTATTCTTTGTTTCTTTTTATTGCACTGAGTCATTTCTACTCTTTTTGAATGTATAATTTCCCACTATTTAACTACTTAAGTATCTTCTTATAGTGTTATTAGTAAGCTTTCTAAGATCTGAGAATGTATCTTATATATTTTGGATCTGCTCAGATGCATAGCACATTATTGCTCAGTAAAATACAAAGGTTGTTAGATTTCATTCCTGTGAAAATTATTCTGTTTAAAAATCAAGAATGCTCATTTGATGTGTTAAATAGAATCAGTTTCCTTGGTACATTTAAGATAATGAGGCATTGTTCAAATCATAGCACCTCAAAGAACTTAGAGTGATTTCAGATAAAACAATATAATGAATATACATTGTGCAAATAATCAAAATATTATTAATATGATACTAGAGATTAAACACTAGGGCCCATGATCTGTTTACTCAAGATGTTTACAGTGAAATGCAGCATAGGAAAGAATTCAGAGTAAGTTTGCATTACCCCCAAACAATGTAAAATGCTAAATTGCTAACATGTTTTTGGTGGATTTTAAGTTAAGGATGTCTAAATATAATTCATTTGGTTGATCCCCCACTTTTTTTCATGTGTGTAAAATAGAGTGAAATAGTCAATAAAGTTAATTTACTGTTACAGTGAGATCCGGAAAGCAAGCAACTATGAATCTGAATAGTTTCTGGAAGCATCCGATTTATATCTTTTCCTTCTTTGTGTTTTGTTGTTTATTTCTTCATTTTTAAGCAATGCATTTTTGACCTACAGCTTGGCAGCCTCAAAGCAACAACCCTTTTATTCTTTCTTAACCTGCAATGGCCTCACTTCCAGAGCATTATGACTTTATTCACCAGCAGGTTTGTTTTAAGACTACAACGAGTCCTACTTCCTGCTCAAAAAATGTGCTAAAGTTTCTGGCTGGGCCTTAAGACATTTTAGAAGCTCCTCTTTGCAGGAGAGAAAAGGCACCAAGCCAGTTACTATGCACATGCATAAATCTGTCAATTATCTAGAATCTGGCACAAAATTCATGTCACTTAGAGGAAAAACATGCTGAGAGGTTGCAGTTCCAACACAGAAATTGCTATTTGTTTTTTTGTTTTTTTTTTTTTTTTGGTTTCATGAATGAGGTTTGTAGTTTGTAGTTTGGTCCCTTAAAATGGACAGGGGGAAAACAAGAAAGATAAGCAAGCATAAAAAGCATTCACAGAATGTTAATGCACTCTGATTTTTAGGGATAGCTTATAATCTCTTGAATATGTGCATAGTAAAAAGGCTTCATTTCTGATATATGAAGATCTATGAATTGTTAGAGTGGATGAAAGCAAACAGTGTAGTGAATTCAACCTTTAGTCTTTTGAACATTCTTAGTTTCTATTATCTTCTTTGGTGGTAATTGTCATTTTGAATTCACTTGGGGTGATTTCACTAATTTAATTACAGAATAGGTATGTAGATAGAAAATGAGGTGAGGAAGGTGAGGAGCTAGAGCTAAGGAAATCAGAGCAGATATGTTCTACCACGTGAAATAGTTGATGGAGTGCTATTATTGGCACCATTTGTAACTAAAATTGAAGGTGATCGCATCCTAATGTAGTCACATGCTTGAGGTGCTTACTTAACCCGACAGCTAGCAAAGTGTCTGCACTATAGAAGACTTCAACACATGAGTGCTATAAAACATTCCAGTTCGTTGTCTTTGTGCCCAATTGTGTACCTGCATTTCAAATTCAGAGCTCAATACTTTTATGGAAATGCAACTCTTGAGAGTGCTGAAAGACGCAGGCAGATCATGCTGCTCAAATGAAGAGAAAAGGAAATGTTTCTAAGACAGTTATACTAAATACAGTGAGCATGTAATGATCAAGAGAGGTTTTTCAAAGCTTTTAGGTGCAAATCAAATCTCCTTAAAGGATAAGCTTGCAAATTATTCAGCATTATACTTGGAAGAATGTATCCCTAAAGCTGAAGTTGAAAACAGTTTTCTCTGAATTTATTTAGTTTATCTAAGTTGTAGGACAGTTGGTGATTCATCCTTGGGTATTTGTTCTTGGCAAAGCTTCTGATTTGATGGTAATTTCAAAAGTAAGAATAAAAGCACTACTTTAATAGTAAATTCTCAAGTACATTTCATTAAAAGTGGTCCAAAGCAAATTTTAATTAAAGGTTAAATGCTGTTTGCCATGCAAGACACGGCAGAAGTTAAAGCAAATATGTCATTCCTTCCAAATTCTACCTCTGTTTTAATAAACCATTCTAAAATCACATGCACTTTAACACATTTTCATTATCAGAATTATTTATTCATCCTTTTGATCAATTAAATGAATGATACTTATGATCACCACAGAAATATAAAAACTTAAACAAAATGTTAAACATAACAAATGTGATTGATAGGAACCATTGATCTGTTTTCCATTTTTATAATTTTGCCATTACAGGAATATAGCAAGTTTTATATAAGTCAATAGGTTCTTAAAAGAATGCATATTCTGCTACTGCTGAAGGGAGGTGGTCTATAAATGTCAATTACATCCTGTGGGGTGATGGTATTGGTCTTCCAAATCTTTGTTGATTTTCTGTCTAGTTATTCTATCAGTAGTTGAGAGAGGGGTGTTGGAGTCTCCAACTACAGTACTAGATTTGTCTATTTCTCCTTCTATCAATATATGCTTCAAATATTATGCAGTTTTGTTGCCTGTGGTATACACTGAGGATTGTTATGTCTTTTAGGTTGATAATTGTTACTAGGTAGTATCCCTCTGTGTCTCTGATAATTTTTATTTTGTTTTGAAGTCTACTTTATCTGACACTAACATAGGAATTCTTGTATTCTTTTACTATTTCATGATATAACTTTTTTCATTATTTTAATTACCACATAACTACGTTATTATATTTGAAGTGAATTTCTTATAAATAGCATATAGTTAGGTCACTTTTTAGAATCAACTCTTCCAGTGTCCTTTTCTGCACAGGTTTATCTATGTCATTTACAGTTAATGTAATAGGAACCGGCATTATTTAATAGTTTAATGTTTTGTTTTATTTCATTTTGTTATTTTATTTCAATAGCTTTAGGGGTGCCATTGATTTTTGGTTTCTTCAATAAATTGTACAGTTATGAAGTCTGGACTTTTAGTGTACTTGTCATCCAAATAGTGTATTTTGCCCCATCTCCTTTCCATTCTCCCCACTTGTGAGTCCGCAGTGTCAATTAGACCACTCTGTAAGCCTTCGTGTACCCATAGCTTAGCCCTTACTTATAAGTATATTATTAGGCATGTGTTTTTTGTGTAGCTATTATAAGTGGGAGTGGGATTGAGTTCTTTTTTTTTCCTACTTTTAAGTTCTGGGATACATGTGCAGAATGTGTAGGTTTGTTACATAGGTATACATGTGCCATGGCGGTTTGCTGCACCTATCAACCCATCATCTAGGTGTTAAGCCCCGCATGCATTAGGTATTTGTCCTAATGCTCTCTCTCCCCTTGGTCCCCACCCCGCAACAGGCCCTGGGTGTGTGATGTTCCCCTCCCTGTGTCCATGTGTTCTCATTGTTCAACTCCCATTTATGAGTGAGAACATGTGGTGTTTGGTTTTCTGTTCCTGTGTTAGTTTGCTGAGAATGAAGGCTTCCTGCAGGGATTGAGTTCTTGATATTGTTTACAGCCTGGCTGTTATTTTCAGCAGTGCTACTGTTTTTCGTACATCCATTTTGTAACCCAAGACTTTAGTGAATTCATTTATCAATCTAGGAGACTTTTGAAGGAGTCTTTAGGGTTTTCTAGGTATAAGATTATAGTAGGCCATTCACGCATTGCTATAAAGAATTTCCTGATACTGGGTAATATTTAGACAAAAGAGGTTAATTGGCTCACAAGAAGCATGATGCCAATTTCCACTTGGTTTCTGGGGAAACTTCAGGAAGCTTACAATCATGGGGAAGGTAAAAGGAGAGCAGGCATATAACATGGCAAAAGCAGGAGCAAGCAAGAAAGAGAGAGAGATGTCACACACTTTTAAGTGACAAGATATTGCACAAACTCACTTTTGTGAGGACAGTACCAAGAGGATGGTACTAAACCACTCATGAGAAATTGCCCCCATGATTCAATCACCTCTCACCAGCCCCCACCTCCAACATTGGGGATTACAATTCAAAATGAGATTTGCATGGAGGATACAGATTTAAACCATATCATTCTTCCTCCATCCTCCATCGAATCTCATGTCCTTCTCACTTAGAAAAATACAATCCTGCCTTCCCAATAATCCTCCAAAGCCTTAACCCTTAAGGCATTAACTCAAATTCCAAAATTCAGAGTCTCATCTGAGACAAGGGCTGGTCCCTTTCACCTATGAGCCTGTAAAATACAAGCAAGTTAGTTACATACAATATAAAATGGGGGTGTAGGCATTGGGTAAATACTCCCTTTCCAAAAGGGAGAAATTGGCCAAAAGAAAGGGCTACAGACCCAATGCAGTTTGAAACCCAGCCAGGCAGTCATTAAGTCTTAAAGCTCCAAAACAATATCCTTTTACTTCATGTCCTCCTTCCAGGGCAAACTGGTGTGAGGTGTGGACTCCCAAGGTCTTGAGCCACTCCACCCCTGTGGCTTTGCATAGATTAGCCCCCACATCTGCTCTCACAGATTGTTGAGTGCCCACAGATTTTCCAGGCTCAGGGTGCAAGTTGTCTGTGGATCTAACATTCTGCAGTCATGAGGATGGTGGCTCTCTTCTCACAGTTCCACTAGGCTGTGCCCTAGTGGGGACTCTGTGTGGAATTCCAACCTCATATTTTCCCTCTGTACTGCCTTAGTATAAGTTCTCTGTGAGGGCTCTGCCCCTGAAGCAAGCTTCTGCCTGGACACTCAGGTTTTTCCATACGTCTCTGAAATCCAGGTGGAGGCTTCCAAGACTCAACTCTTGTATTCTGTGTACCCAGTGGCTTATCACAATGTAGAAGCCACCAAGGATTATGGGTTGCACCCTCTGAAGCAGTGGCCTGAGCTGTACCTGGGCCCCTTTGAGTCACTGTCAAAGCTAGAGTTGCCAGGATACAGGGAGCAATGTCCTGAAGCTGTTCAGGGCAGTGGGTACCTAGGCCTGGCCCACAAAGCCATTCTTCCCTCCTTGGTTTTCAGGCCTGTGATGGCAGGGGCTGCCCTGAAGGTCTCAAATGCCTCTAAGGCCTTTTCCCATTGTCTTGGCCATCACACTTGGCTTCCTGGTTATTCACATATCTAGAACAAGTGGTTGCTCCACAATCTGCTTGAATTCCTCTCCTCAAAAGTCTTTTTATTTCTTTGCCACATGGCTAGACTGCAAATTTTCTAACCTTTTATCTTCGGCTTCCCTTTTACATATAAATTCCAACTTCAAGTCATTCATTTGCTCCTGCATCTCAGAATAGGTTGTTAGAAGTGGTCAGGTAAACTCTTGAACATTTTGAACACAAATTCCTTTCACCAGATACCCTAAATCAGCATTCTCAAGTCCAGATTTCCATAGGCACTCTAGGACATGGACATAAAACAGCCAACTTCTTTTCTAAGGCATAGCAAAAGTAACTTTTACCCCATTTCCCAATAAGTTTCTCATTTCCAACTGAGAACTTTGCAGCCTGGACTTTATTTTTCATATTATGATGAGCATTTTGATCACAACCATTTAACCAGTCTCTAAGAAGTTCTAAACATTCTCTCATCTTCCTGTTTTCCTCTGATCCCACCACATGCTTCAAAATTCTGCCTGTTACCCATTTCCAAAGCTGCTGCCACATTTTCAGCTATCTTTGTAACAATGCCCCACCCTTCAGATACCAATTTTCTTTATTAGGCGGTTGCTATAAAGAAATACCTGAAACTAGTTAATATATAAAGAAAAGAGGCTTAATTGGATAATGGTTCTGCAGGCTTTACAGAAAACATGGTGCCAGCAACGCCCCCTTGGCTTCTGGAAGGCCTTAGGAAGCTTACAATCATGGCAACAGGTGAAAGAGGAACAGGCACATCACATGGTAAAACCAGGAGAAACAGAGTGAAAGGGGGGAGGTGCCACACCCTTTTAAGCAACCAGATCTCATAAGAACTCACTCACTATCATGAGAACAGCAGAAAGAGAATAGTACTAAACTATTCATGTGAAACTGCCCTCATCATTAAATTACCTCTCACTAGGCCCATATCAAACACTGGGGATTAAAATTTAACATGACATTTGGGTAGGGACACAGATCCAAACCATATCAAAGATCATATTATAAGCAAACTGGGATAGTTCGACTTTCTATTTTCCAATTTAGATGTTTTTTACTTCTTTCTCTTGCTTAATTGCTCTGCCTAGGACTTCCAGTACTATGTTGAATAGAACTGGTGAAAGTGGGCATCTTGTCTTGTTTCAGTTCTCAGGGGGAATACTTTCTATTTTTACTTATTCAATATGATGTTGGTTGTGGCTGATATGGTGATGTTGTTTGGCTCTGTGTCCCCACCCAAATCGCATTTTGAATTGTATTTCAATAATTTCCATGTGTTGTGGGAGGGACCCGGTGGGAGATAATTGAATCATGGGGGTGGTTTCTCCCATACTGTTCTTGTGTTAGTGAATAAGTTCACGAGATCTGATGGTTTGATAAGGGGAGACCCGTTTCACTTGGCTCTCATTCTCTCTCTTGCCATCACCATGTAAGAAGTGCCTTTCACTATGATTGTGAGGCCTCTCTGGCCACATGGAACTGTAAGTCCATTAAACCTCTTTCTTTTATAAATTGCCCAGTCTTTGGTATGTCTTTATCAGCAGCATGAAAATGAATTAATACAGTAAATTCGTACCAGTAGAGTGGGGTACTGCTGAAAAGATATCTGAAAATATGGAAGCAATTTTGGAACTAGGTAACAAGCAGAAGTTGTAACAGTTTAAAGGACTCAGAAAAGACAAGAAAATTTGAGAAAATTTGGGACTTCCTATAGACTCGTTGAATGGCTTTGCCTAAAATGCTGATAGTGATATGGACAATAAGGTCTAGGCTGAGATATTCTCAGATGGAAATGAGGAACTTTCTGGGAACTGAAGCAAAGTGACTCTTGTTATGTTTTGGCAAAGAGACTGGTGGCATTTTGCCCCTGCCCTAGAGATTTGTGGAACTTTGAACTTGAGAGAGACAATTTCGGGTATCTGGCAGAAAAAATTTCTAAGCAGCAAAGCATTCAAGAGGTGACTTTGGTGTTGTTAAAGGCATTCAATTTTATAACGAAAGCAGAGCATAAAGGTTTGGAAAATTTGCAGCCTGACAATGCGATAGGAAAGGAAATCCCATTCTCTGCGGAGAAATTTAAGCCAGCTGCAGAAATTTGCATAAGTAACGAGGATCTGGATGGTAATCCCCAAGACAATGGTGAAAATGTCTCCAAAGCATGTCAGAGGTCTTCACAGCAGCCCCTCCCTTCACAGGCCTGGAGGTCTAGAAGGAAAAAACTGGTTTTGTGGACTGGGTCCAAGGTCTCCCTGCTGTGTGTAGCTTAGGGACTTGGTGCCCAGTGTCTCAGCCACTTCAGCCATGGCTGAAAGGGGCCAACATAGAGCTTGGGCTGTGGCTTTAGAGGGTGAAAGCCTCAAGCCTTGGCAGCTTTCACATGGTGTTGAGCTTGCCAGTGCACAGAAGTTAAGAAATGGGGTTTGAAAACCTCCATCTAGATTTCAGAGGATGTATGGAAACACCTGGATGTCCAGGCAGAAGTTTGCTGCAGGGGCAGGGCTTTCATGGAGAACTTCTGCTAGGGCAGTCTGAAAGGGAAATGTGGGGTTGGAGCCCCCCACAGTATCCCTAGTGGGACACCACCTAGGGGAGCTTTGAGAAGAGGGCCACCATCCTCCAGATCCCAGAATGGTAGATCCACCAACAGCTAGCACTGTGCACCTGGAAAAGATGCATATACTCAACACCAGCTCCTGAAAGTAGCCAGAAGGAGTGCTATACCCTGCAAAGCTACAGGGGCAGAGCTGCCCACGATTATGGGAACCTACCTCTTGCATCAGCATGACCTGGATCTGAGACATGGAGTCAAAGGAGACCATTTTGGAGTCTTCAGATTCAACTGATCTGCTGAATTTAGGGCTTACTTGGGACCTGTAGCCCCTTTGTTTTGGCCAATTTCTCCCATCTGGAATGGCTGTCTTTACCCAATGCCTA
The DNA here is from genome assembly GCF_000001405.40 of Homo sapiens. NCBI lineage: Eukaryota > Metazoa > Chordata > Mammalia > Primates > Hominidae > Homo > Homo sapiens. Next base: position 65,900,727 of record NC_000004.12, read on the forward strand.
TACCCCCATTGTATCTATGAAGTAACTGATTTGCTTTTGATTTTACAGGCTCATAGTCAGAAGGGACTGGCCTTGTCTCAGATGAGACTTTGGACTGCAGACTTTTAAGTTAATGCTGAAATGAGTTGAGAGTTTGGGGTGCTATGGGGAAGGCAGGATGGTTTTGAAATGTGAAGATATGAGATTTGGGAGTGGCCAGGCATGGAAAGATATAGTTTGGCTCCTATGTCCCCACCCAAATCTCATCTCGTAGTTCTCATAATTTCCAAGTGTTGTGTCAGGGACCCGAAAGGACATGATTGAATCATGGGGGCAGGTCTTTCCCATGCTCTTCTCATGATAATGAATGGGTCTCACGAGATTTTATAGTTTTAAAAAAACTCTGCACAAGCTCTTACTTTGCCTGCTGCCATCCATGTAAGATGTGACTTGCTCCTCCTTGCCTTGCACTACGATTGTGAGGCATTTGCAGCCATGTCGAACTGTAAGTCCATTACAACTTTTTCTTTTATAAGTTGCCCGGTCTCAGGTATATCTTTATCAGCAGTGTGAAAACGAACTAATACATATGGCTTTCATTATTTCAAGGTGTGTACCTTCTATGTCTAGTTTGTTGAGGGTTTTGATCATGAAAGGATGCTGGATTTTATTAAATGCTTTTTTTTTGTATCTGGGGAAATAATATGGTTTCTGTTTTTAATTCTCTTAACGTGGTGAATCACATTCATTGGCCTGTCTATGCTGAACAGTCCTTGCATCCCTGGGATGAAACCCAATTGTTTATGATGAATTATCATTTTGATGTGCTGGTGGATTCACTTCGCTAGCTTTTTTTTTTTTTTTTTGAGAAATCTTACATCTACGTTCATCAGGGATGTTGGGCTGTAGTTTTCTTTTTTATTGTGTGCTTTCCTGACCCAGTATCACTCTCAGGGTCATAATGACTTTGTAGAATGAATTAGTGAGGGATTCCCTCCTTCCTGATCTTTTTTTTGGAATAATTTTAGTAAGATTCATGTGACTGCTTCTTTTAATGTCTGGTAAAATTTGGCAGTAAATCCATCTGATCCTTTGCTTTTTCTTGTTGTTGGGAGGCTTTTTATTACTAATTTAATATCATTAGTTGTTACTTATCTGTTCAGGGTTTCTGTTTCTTTCTGATTCAAGTTTGGGGGGTTGTATGTTTTCAGGAATTTATCCATTTTTATTAGATTTTCTAGTATGTAATGCATAAAGATGTTCATAATAGTCTCAGATGATTGTTTTGTATTGCTGTACTATGAGTTGTAATGTCTTCATTTTCATTTCTTATTGAGCTTACTTGAATCTTCCCTCTTCTTTGCTTGGTATTTTAGCCAGTGACCTATCAATTTTTATTTTACTTTAAAACAATGTTTTTTTATTGTATTGATCTTTTATATTGGTCTTTTGCTTTCAATATTATTTAGTTCTGCTCTAATATTTGTTTCTTTTTTTTTTTTTTTTTTTTTTTTTTTGAGATGGAGTCTTGCTCTTGCTCTGTCACCCAGGCTGGAGTGCAGTGGCATGATCTCAGCTTGCTGCAAGCTCTGCCTCCCGGGTTCACACCATTCTCCTGCCTCAGCCTCCCAAGTAGCTGGGACTACAGGCACCCATCACCACACCTGGCTATTTTTTTTTTTGTATTTTTAGTAGAGACAGGGTTCACCATGTTAGACAGGATGGTCTCGATCTCCTGACCTCGTAATCCACCCACCTCAGCCTCCCCAAGTGCTGGGATTACAGACGTGAGCCACCATACCCAGCCCCATATTTGTTTCTTTTCTCCTGCCATCCTTGGGTTTGGTTTGTTCTTGTTTTTATAGTTCCTTGAGGTGTGATATTAGGTTACCAGTTTGTGATTGTTCTGTCTTTTTGGTGCAGGCATTTGGAACCATAAACTTGCCTCTTGCTACTTCTTTTGTTGTATCCCAGAGATTTTGATAACTTCTGTCACTGTTATCATTCATTTTGAAAACTTTAACAATTTTCAGCTTATTTTTTTCATTGACCCAAAGATTGTTCATGAACAGATTCTTAAAATTTTCATGTAATTGTATAGTTTTGAGAATTCTTAAAATTGATTTTAAATTTAATTTCATGGTTGTCTAAGAAGATACTTGATAGGATTTCTTTTTTGTTTTGTATTTATTGAGACTCATTTTGTGGTCTGTCATATGGTCTATCTTAGAAAATATTCCGTGTGCTAAGAAGTATGTATAATTTGTTAGTTTTTGGGTAGTATGTGCTATAAATATATGTTAGGTACATTTTTTTCTAAAATCCAGTTTAGTGTTTCTTTATTGACTTTCTGCCTTGATAATCTGTCTAGTGCTGTCAGAGGGATGTTGAGGTCATCACTATTATTGTACTGCTATCTATCTCTTTTCTTGGGTCTAGTGGTAGTTAATGAATCTGGGAGCTCTGGTGTTAGGTGCATATCTATTTAGGATTGCTGTATCTCTTGTTGAATTGATTCCTTTATCACTATATAATGACTTTCTCTATTTTTTTTCTCTTACTCATTTGAAAGTCTGTTTTATCTAATATAGGAATAGATACTCCTGCATGATTTTGGTTTTCAGTTGTGTTGCATATTTTTTTACACCTTTTTACCTTGAGTCTATAAAAATCTTTATGAGTTAAGTGGGTCTCTTGAAGCCAACATTTATTTTGCTTTTTTTAAGTCCATTCTTACAATTTATTTCTTTAATGAAGGGCATTTAGGCCATTTACATTCAAAGTTAGTATTCATGTGTTGAGGTACTGTTACAGTCATCAAGTTGGTTGTTGTCTATTTACTTTGTTGATTACATTGTTTTATAAGCCCTGTAAGTTTTATATTTTCAAGTGTTTTATACTGGTGCATATATCCTTAATTTCAATGTGTAGAACTCCTTTGAGTGTTTCTTATAGGACTGGTCTAGAGGTGGAACATTCTCTAAGTATTTGCTTGTAGGGGGAAGATTTTGCTTCTCCTTCATTTATGAAAATTACTTTTGTAGCCTATAAAATTCTTTGTTGACAGTTGTTTTGTTTGAGGACTATAAAGATAGGACCCTAATCCCTTCTGGTTTGTAAGGTTTCTGCATGAGAAGTCTGCCAGTAGCATAATAGGTTTTCCTTATAAGTTGTTTGGTGCTTTTGTTTCACTTTAGTTAGGGGAAGTACTCAGATGTCACAGGTGATGGGAGGGGCTGTGGAACTCTCAAAAGTCTCTGTGTTCTGCTACCAAGGCAGGTAAAGGGGCAAAGCTGGGTGAGGGCTGGATCAGACAAGTCTGCAGTCTGGCTCCCCAAGTGTGAGCACACGTGGAAGCCCCAATGGAACTCAGAGGGCATAAAAGTAGTACTATAGCATGCAAAAATCAAAGATTTAAGAGACTCATGGATATGGGTTTTGTAACCAGTTCTATGTTTACTAGTTGTATGAGTTAGGGCAAATTATTAAGCTAACACACACACACTTCAATCTCAAATCTCATATTAACTTCTAGATTTTACATCATAGTTTTCCTAAGGATTAAAATGAGATATCATACCTGCTGTAGCTTATGAAATATGTTACCCAATAAATCATATCTAGTAGTAGCATAGCAACAATATATGTTGGATCACTAACTTATAAATTAAAACTCTCTCACTTATGTATTAAAGATAGTTAAGTTGTTTTATATTCCATGGAAAGAAAACTTTTTTTTCATACATTTCATCAAATACAATGTCAAATAATTTACAAATAAATGAAAAATACACAATGTTCAAAAACTAATGTTATTTTATTGAACTGAAAATTTTAATGGTTCTACAAGGATAGAGATTCTTACTCTAAGTAACAGAACCTATATAAGAGATTCTCAACTCAGCTGTTCACTTTAATGCAGATTCCTGGGTCTCACCCCTGGAGGTTCTGAATTAATTCAGCTGGTAGAGAGCCTGGGCATTGTGATTTAAAAAAAATATTCCCAGATAGTTCTTATGTGTTGCCTAGGTTGAGAATCCCTAGTCTAGATTACTCTTTCTCAAACTTCAGAGAGCATACACATCACTTAGGGATATATTAAAAATTGTACAGTCTGATTCAATAGACACAGGATGAAGCCTAAGATTCTGCATTTCTACTGAGCTCCTATATATTGATGATACTGTTTTACCACATTTTGACTAACATAGATTTAGATGATTATATCTGATTGATTCCTGTTAATTGTTAAAGATGGATTCTAACATTGAAAATGTTTCACACTTTAAAAAAATCAAAGGAAAAAATTATTAAAATTGAAAACAGAAGCAAATAAGCCTAATTCTACGAGTGAGATTTACTATAAGGACACTGAAACTGCAAAGCAAGCAGCTGTATTGTTAGCAAAATTATTGTCATATTGAAACTCCATTAGCAATATTGTAGTTAAAGCAAATAAGTAATTATATGAATTGTTGTAAAACATGATTTTTATGTAAACAAGAAAGATATAAAATCAGAAAACTTGAATAAAACTTAACTTTTAACATTGTAATATTAAATGTGAAAAGGAAATATCAGTGTAAACTCTTGATTGATATGTATGAAAGAACATATAGACAAAGGCACCCTAGCAGTAATGAGCACCCCTAGTGCCTAGTGTTCTCTAAACTACCATCATACATCCACTAAGTATTTTTAGATACTGGAAGAAACTGAGGCTAATTCCAGGTCTAAATCAGGGAAAGCATAAGATATGGATCCATTCAAAATGGATCCTAAGAGTTTTTATTATATTATTCTTGCAACTTTAAAAGTTTGAGCATTTTCATAATAAGGTGTAAGGAAGGGATCCAGTTTCAGCTTTCTGCATATGGCTAGCCAGTTTTATAATACCATTTATTAATAGGGAATCCTTTCCCCATTGCATATTTTTGTCATGTTTGTCAAAGTTCAGATGGTCGTACATGTGTGGCACTATTTCTGAGGTCTCTGTTCTGTTCCATTGGTCTATGTATCTGTTTTGGTACCGTTACCTTGCTGTTTTGGTTACTGTAGCCTTGTAGTATAGTTTGAATTCAGGTAGGGTGATATCTCCAGCTTTGTTCTTTTTGCTTAGGATTGTTTTGGCTATGCAGGCATTTTGATTAGGTAGGATTAGAATAGCATTTGGTCTTAAACTAATTTTCACCACCACAGAAGAGTAATTCTTCCACATACTATACCTGATACTGCATGAATTACTAATTTTTTTCACCCTCAAGAGTGATGTCAGGAAATATTCTCACCCCTCTGAGAGTTTGGGACATTTCTCCCTCTAATCCTTTCAGGTAGTTATTTTGCTAGCCTCTGTTAATTTTCTTAGACATGTGCTCTAATAAGTATTTAGCTGAAGGCTCAAAAAAGATTCTGTGAAGTTCCTCAGATATCACTCTCTCTTTCTCTAATTCTGTCTCTCTCTTTGTTCTCTTCAAACTTCCAGCTTTGTGTCTTCAACTCAGTAAGATTACTAAGCTTCACCTAGATTCTATTCTCTTTTACTGCCTAAAAACTCTGTCTTGGTATTGGGCTGTGGCAATCACAGTACACACACCTCACTTGTTTGCCTTCTTTCAGTAATCATTGTTCTTTGTTGCCTGATGTTCATTATCTTAGAAACCATCATTTTATGTATTTTGTCTGCATTTTTATTTGTTTCAGATGGGAGGTTAAATCCACTTTGATACTCTTATCTTATCCACTAGCAGATATTTTGCGTTTTAGCATTATATACTTGTTCAGTTTATGTTACCTATATTTAACCCATTCCACTTCTTATTGCCTTTTTGTTTAAACATAAACCCTCAAAAAATCTGAAGACTATAGTAAGAGAAGATCAATACTGTTTATTTTCATAACATTAGAATAAAGTAGGTTGAGATAATCAGATTAAGTAGGAAGCAATAAGGACCCACAGTGATAATTTGGGGATTAGGTAAAAGACCATAGAGTGAGCAGAATAGGTTTTTGTTTTTAAATAAAAGGAATGTACTTAGAACTCACATATAGGATATCACATTGTATTTTAAAGAATATGGAAAAAGAAGGCAAATACTGCATGGTGAAATATACTTTTTTATTTCTGATTTAATTCTTTCATGAGAAACCTAGATATAGTTTTCAGAAAAAAATCATTTTTAAGAATATGTAATATATGTTTAGTATATAGTTTCATACTGAGCCACTGTAATCCTTGCAAGGATTATTGAAGAACAATTTACTAACTCATGTAGTCAAATTTAGGAAATTCATAGAAGTCAACTTATAGGGTTTAGAGGGAATAAAGTTGCTATTATGCTACATGAATAAATATATTTTTTAAATATGCTGGATTCTGGCTATTACTTTTAATAATAATTATACTTCAGGGATTATAGAGAGGCATCTATAAGGTGTTCCTACTCATTTCCTTTCCCATATTTTCAGAAAGAACTAGAAAAAATAGAGATGCACAAATATATTACTTAAAAGATAAGCATGCACAGGCCCAGACACACACACACATACACATAAATACCCTTCCAAAGATCTGTAGAATAACAAGAAACAGGCTTGCTAATTTTCGATAACAATGTCTTCATCGTTGCTCATTTTTAAACATTTAAAAATTATATAAGTTAACAAAGCCTGCCCCAGTTTTTTTAAATAAGATAACTGTTCTGAAGGTCTTGTTAATGATATAACACTTCAGCTTCTAACCAATGGTATTTCTCTGTTTCATTAGTTGAAAACCCTTTGAACTGACAATCTTTTGTGCACTCAAATTCTCAATACTGAAACCAGTAGTAATACCCGTGCTTAACTAGATGAAGAACAAAGAGCAGATTATAATAAGATTTTCTTTGTATAATAATTGAAAAGTAAAGAAAAAATACTACACTGACAAGAAACTTAGGGCATGTTTTATACTCTCATCAATTGTAAAGCAAATCTATTAAGGACTGTAATAATGTATTTATGCAAACAAGGTGGTTTTCTTATTATATAGAAGATGTCTTATTTAACGATAATAAGTTAGGAATGAAAATACGCTTTTTTGTAGCAGAGGAGGTGCTTATGAGTGAAGTATCTCATAGAAGTACAAGTTGTAAATAGTGGTATTTATTTGCAAACCTTTAATTTCTAGGTATATATTTTTATCTGTAGAAACATGATATCACATTTATGTTTCAAATTATGTTATTCCTGCATGTTGCATTGCAATATAAATTGTCACAAATAGCAACCAATTTTTGGATAATTAAAATAGATCTTATTTACTGCAACTTGAACTTTTCACATGGGAGCAATAAACATTTATTTACCATCACTCAGGGTGTTGATATATTTTAAACATTTTGCCATACTGTGCTCTTGAATCTCAAAAAGATGGGCCATCACTATGTTGCATATGTTGCTATATATATTAAAATCTTCCTAATGCTAAATTTAACATATAAGAGGAAATTCAGTCCCTAAGTATTGTCAAAGGAGAAAAAATTGTGTTCCTGAACAATGACCATCTGTCAAATGAAACTATACTAAAGTAGTATGTGGTAGCCACATGATAGGATCTCATTTACTGAAATTGAACTGGAAACACTGAATGAATTTCATATAAGTAAGGGCCTCAATTTGACCATGGAGAGACATATAAAAGAGAAAACTCACTCAGCTTGCAGATACATTACTTGTATTTTTCTCATTACCCTACCAAGATATTTAATGAAGAAAAAGAAAGTTGGGGGACAGGGAATCATACAAATGACTCTTCATATATATGAACACATTTATCTAATTTCTATATAGGTCCTGTAGAAATGTTTTATATGTGATAAGCTGGAAGAAACACCTGTGTCAGGTTCACCATAACACACACAGTAAATTCAAAAATGTAAAAAAAGTCTTTGAAACCGATAGGACCACACTAAGTCTCTTCCCATTTCAATGGTCCCATATATAGTCTGATTTTTACCCCTTCAGTTTTTCTTTCAGGCTCTATAAGCCAAATAATTTAGGTGAATTTTGTGCCCTCTGTATGCCAAATCTATTTTGGTCCCTCTGCTATTTAATATTGGCATTTTGCAGAGAGAGTATTTTAAGTCTTGATGCTTTTTCCATTTGTATATATAAAACAGACTTGTTTTGTTTCTCCCTTATCCAAATATAAAGATAGTCAAGTAATTTTATTCTTTCTAAATTATTGTTACATAAATGCAGTTATCAAAATTGTTATAGTCCAGGCCAACCAGAAGCAAATTAAAAACAAATTATTTGATATAGCAACTGTCTTACATAATAGTTTTCAATGTATGCTGTATCCATTTAATGTAGCAATTGCAATGTTTTGCCTTATGCATTGGCTCTTATTTAGAATTCATGATTGTTGCTCTATTACCCGAAATTTTATTGCAAAAGAATAAAATATTGTTTGATTTCATTTCGTTGACACTATGTTTTGACACCTGCACATGCAAAGCCTACACATTCTTTGGTACTTCTGGTTGAATCACTGACATTTCCTTCAGTTCTATCTTTCATAGGCTTTTGTAGTGTCTCCAGTTTATTCAGAATGTTAATTTTGCTGATATGCTTGATATTCATTCTAAAAGGTATACCCACTTATTCTTCACACAGAAGTGTCTTCCTTTTTCTGCCTAACATTCAACATTGATTAAAATTGACTTGTTAGGTATTTCTCCTAATACCTAATGTAGATGACAGATTGATGGGTGCCGCAAACCACCATGGCACCTATATAACAAACCATGTATACCTATGTAACAAACCTGCACGTTCTGCACATGTATCCCAGAACTTAAAATATAAAAATAAAAAAAGTAACTTGTTAATGCTGTTCAAAGCACAGTTTCTCCCTCAGGTAAAACTTACAAGTCCTTGATATGCCTTTTATCAACACATCTACTTAGTGTCCAGTATCATGTCTAGCACTATGTAGATGACCAATGAATGTTTGATGAATTAATATACTAACAAATTGATGACTGTTACATCATCAAAAGATAAATTTGGTGAATTTTACCTTTTACTTGTCTGTGACAATCTGATGTAAAAACTTTTATTCAGACTGACCGCTGATCATGTCAGAGGCAACTGTCTCTTGCTCTAGCTTGGAGGGAGAACAGACAGATTCCACCTCCACTTCTGTCTTCCACATATAGCTATCACATCTTGGCTGGGGGCTACACTGCTGATGCTGTCCACAATGCTCTATGTCCTTAGACACAGTAGGGTGGCCCACACAGGTCTAGCCCAATATGCACAATCCTGATATGTCAGGGAAGCTAAAACTCCAGGAGCTAAAACTTGACCATTGTGGTATAGGAGTTAATGGGCAAGTAGACAAATTCTTCTCCATTTTTGCTCCTTATAAACACTTGTGAGACACAGTTTATATGGTTTCTCAGGGGCGTGGTCTCACATATCAGACCATCAATCACCTGCATGGTAGAAGACAACTTGATAATATATCTTCATGGACTGTCTCTCATTTCTTGATTTGATTTTCTTATTTTTTATCCTTCATTCATGGAACTGTATTATCGCATAAAACAATATACACAAGCTCCATGTCAATGGCTCTGGCTTCTGGAGAACCCAAGCTAAGTGCACCCTTATCAAACTAACCCAAAATTTCCTGTGCCCCTTATTATTTCTAGGTTTTCACATTATAATAGAAATCTATTATACTTCAAATATCCCCTTCATTAAAGCAAAGTTACCATTAAGTAATGCATTTGTACAACATAACTTTTATAGGTTCTTCAACTAAGTCACAGAAACTCTAAGATAAAAAGACATGTCTCAATTTTTAAAGTTCCTAGATCAAGAAGAAGAAACATGCAATAATGCAAATACGATGCCTTACAGAACAATACACAGTAAGATAGAGTGAATGGGATTCCCAAAATCCCCAGCTATTTAAAATAACTAAGATTAAATTTAAATGGAATAACATGTATCTCATATATATGTATCAGATTAATGTTTTTGGTCTCTCTACTCTCTGACTCAGTGTCTATTTCTGTAATGGTTCTGCCCGCAGGATAGTGAGAAAAGAAAATGAGCATGTGTGCCTCATTCTCTCTTTGAACTATCTGCTGTCAGACAGAGTATTTATGTTATAAACATTAGAAGGACAAAAAAAATTTGTAGGTGAGATAGAACATGGTTTGCACTGAGGCTTGTGAATGGTGTGTAGTCTGCAATAATGGGTGTTTTAGTCTGTTTCCTGTTGCTGTAATGGAATACCTCGGACTGGGTAATTGACAAAGAATAGATGTTTATTTAGCTTACGATATTGGAGGCTAGAAAGTCCAATCAGGTGGTTGCATCTAGTAAGACCCTCGTGCTGCTTCATAACATGGAGGAAAAGTGAAAGGAAACAAGAGAAAACTGAGGAAGCCAAAGTGGATTTTATAAGAACAAAATCTCATAACTGGCCTCTCTCAGTCATCTCTTTAATGCCCCATCTCTTAATACTGTTATATTGGCAATTAAATTTTCAACACATAAAGTTTTGGGGAACACATTCAAAGCATAGCATTCCACCCCAGTCTCTAAAATTTACATCATTTCACAGTACAAAATGTATATATTCTATCCTAATAGTCCCAAATTCATAATTCTTTCCAGCACCAACTTAAAAGTGCAAAATCTAGAGTCTCTTCTGAGACTCAAAGCACAATTCATCCTTAGTCCAATTTGCCTCTTTCTAAGAGCCTGTAAATTTTTTTTTAAGTTATGTTTTGTCATGTTATGTTCAAAAATATAATGGTGATACTGGCAGAGGGCAGATATTCCCATTCAAAATGGAAAAAGTAGGTAAGAAGAAAGAAGAAACATGTCCAAAGTAAGTCCAAAACTCAACAGGAAAAAAAAATAAGTCTTAAAGCTAGAGAATAATATTTCACCCCATGTGTCCCTTCCTGGACATACTTGGGAGAAAGTTGGTCCCTCGAGGCCTCGGGCAATCTGGGTCTCATGGCTTTTCTGGTTGCACCCCCCATGACTGCTCTCCTGGGGAGAAATCAGTTGCCTGAGGCTTTGTTGCATGCTGGCATTGCACACTGGTAGCTCTACAGTTCTTGCTTTCTAGCAGCAGTTCTGCTTGTGTGGCTCCAGTGTGCACTGCCCTGGTGGAGATTCTATACAGTAGCTCCAACCCCATATATCTGCTCTGCATTGCCCTGGTGGTAACTCTCTGTTATGACTTTACCCCGTTACAAGTTTCTGCCTGGGTCTGAGAGCTGTTTGATACATCCTTTGAAATCTAGTTGGATTTTGCATCCTGTACACTTTGAATGCCTTCAGAATTAGCACCTCATGGACAACACAAAGGCTTACTATTTGTGGCCTCTGGATTAGTGGAATGAGCCATATCTAGGTTTGCTTCAGCTTTGATGTAGTGATACCAAGGTTTCCAGCTTTAGTGTGTTGGGACAGTGAATCAAGCTGTACCTGGGGCCTCTGGAGCCATAGCTATAGTATTGAAGGAATGCTGCTTCAGGATGCAGGAAGCAGGGACTCAAGGCAGCTCAGGGCAGTGAACTCTTTCTGCTCTCAAACCTTAACATTCTCAGCTTGTGATGTAAAGGGCAACCTCCAAGATTTCTGAAAAGCTTTCTGGGTCTTTCCTCCTGGTTATTAGTACTGATGATAAGCACTTGGCTCCCTTCCAGCCATATTAATCTCTTTAGTAACTGGGCCACATCTTGAGCTCTGTGTTCTGAATATGCCTTTTCACTCTTCACGTGGCCAGGCTAAAAATTTTCCAAATCTCTCTACTTTGTTTCCCTTTTAGTTATAAGTTCTGTCATCTCTTTGCTCTCCCAAATGATTAGACGGAGCCAAAGGCTGCCATGCAGCTTCTTGAACACTTTGCTGCTTAGATATTTCTTCCACTAAAAATCCTAGTTCAGCACTCTTAAATTCTTCCTTCCACAAAGTCCTTAGAAATGGACAGAACTTTGCCAGATTTTATAACAAGGATGGTATTTCTTTCAGCTTCCAACAAGATATTTCCCATTTCTATCTGAGACCTCAACAGGATAGTCTTTACTGTTTATATTTCCATCAAAATTTTGATCACAACCACTTAAGCAATTTCTAAAGAGGTTTAGACTTTCCCTTGTCCTCTTGTCTTTTTCTGAGCCCTCAGAAGAAACATCCTTTATGCTCCGCTTATGAAATTCTAGGCTTTTTACAGCCTGCCCCTCAAAATTCTTCCAGCCTCCACCAATTGCTCAGTTCTAAAGTAACTCCCATATTTTCAGGTATTGTTTTGGCACCAACACCACTTCTTGGGACCAACTTTTTGTCTTAGTCTATTTTCTGTTGGAGTAACAAAATACCTGAGACTGGGTCTTTCATAAAGAATAGAGGTTTATTTAGTCCAGTTAGAGGCTGGGAAGTCCAAGATTTGGTGTCTGCATCTGGTGAGAGCTCTGTGCCGCTTCATAACATGGCAGAAAAATGGAAGGGATCACATGACAAGAGAAGGAGTAAGAGAAATCTCAGGAAGCCACACTCACTTTTACAACAAACTGCACTTGTGATAACTAACCCCTCCCCAGGAGAACTAATTTATTCTTGTGAGGACTAACTCAGCCCCCAGATGAAAGCATTAATTCATTCATGAGAGCTCTGCCCCCATGACCCAGTCACCCTGTAAGCCCCACCACTTGATACTGTTACATTGGCAATTGAGTTTTCACCACATGGACTTTTAGGGGATACAGTCAAATCCTAGCAATGGGCTTGTAACTACACTTTCCGCCATGTAACTTCCTAGTTCTTTTCACCAGTGAGGCAAAGTGTAATTGTGAGTCCCTTGATTCTGAGTTCAGCCAAGTTATGTGCTTGACAAAAGGGATGTCAGCAGACGTGATCCATGTATAGGATTAAAAAAGCATGTGGTTCCACGCTCATTCTTGTTCTCTAACACTGTTATGATCACCGTATTAGCTCGTATGTGACAAATGAAACACAGGTGTCCCAGTATCCCCTGGTATCCCAGTTGACAGTCTACTAAAATCCAGAAAGATTAGTGAGCCAGATTAAAACCTGAAGAGCTACTCATTCTAAATGGTGAAACACAGCCAGATGAGATAAATAAATGCTCATTGGTTGGCATCATTAATTTTTGCACAGATTTGTTATGTACCATAATTGTGGCAGTAGATAACTGATGCAGAAATGGGTTCCAAAAAAGGAGTGCTACCATATAAAAACATAAAATATGTGGCTTTGGCTTTGAGGTGGATGACAGTAGAAAAGAAATGTTAGTAGAGACTGAAAAAATACTGAGAAAACTATTAAAACAGCCTTGAAAAAATGAAAAGGAAACTTCTAAAGAAGTCTGAAAAAAAAAGCCAACTGTGCTATATCTTTGTAATCATCTATTAAGAATGTTGACCCAGGTAACTCGAGTTTTTTTTTTTAAAGATTGTTTGGATTTGGGAAGATTTATTTAAGCATAAGGTCTCTGTCACCACTACTTAGCTCTACTGTCGTAGCTAAACTAGTTGTCACTAACATATAAATGAATGAGCATGGCTATGTTCCAATAAAACTTTGTTTAATGATCTGTGGATTGTACTTTGCCAAATTCTGATTTATCTCAAATTATAGAACTTAAGAATAAAAGCACATTGTCAAATAATAGCATTCTGTTACTTTTGGAATGAAGCACTCATATAACATCAATTAAGATAAACATGGAATACAGAGTAAATTTACATTTGAATATTTGTGGGATTCCTTTGTCAGTTATTAAGTGGATGGCACATCTATATTTACAAATTAGGACCCATGATATAACGGCTATAAAGATTTTATGTAGAAATACTCTTGTTCCATGTTGCTCTAACATATTAAATACAGAGAAAATTACAGTCTCCCTAAATGCATTCTTATCCGTATTTTTCCCGCAACATTTTATTTTGGAGATTTCTGTCTCCCTAAATGCAATGTATACACCCAAAACTATCTATATACCATAAAACTAAATTATGGGAATTGATATTTCAAAATATACATTGTTGTACATACTGAGAGAGAAAAATTGTTCACCTTAAGAAATAAATATGTGCATAAGAAATAAATAAATCTCCAAATTATTTTGGAGATTTCTGTCTCCCTAACTGGAATGTGTCTCCCCAAAATATCTATATACCATAAAACTAAACTATGGGAATTGATATTTCAAAGTATACATTGTTGTACATATTGAGACAGAAAAAATTGTTCACCTGAAGAAATAAACATGTATGTAAGAGAAAACTACCTAGTTTTAGGGTTACTACAAATTCAAATTTTTCCAATCACAATCTATTCTGTTTCAAGTAGGAAAGCAAGACATCTGCCAGATGTGATGCTCATTGAAATACAATATGTCTTAAAAAGGCCCAAGTTGAACATATTTCATGCCTCTACTTAACACTTTGAACATATATAGTTGTTATAATAATTATTTTAATATATGTATCTGCCAATTCTGTTTTAGCACTGGGTATTATATATGTAATTGCCACACTAAAAAAAAAAAGAAATACAATATGTCATTAATATTGTAATTAGAGGAAACTTCATATAGATACCAGATGTATATTGGTGCCTGAATTGTTTTTTGGTATAAACATAAATTGAATCTTTTTCTAGGTTTTAGTAAAAGTTGGAAAATAAAATTAAAAATGGAGTATGAATAAGATGCTATTGTAGACTAAACTTTTTAATATATTTTGGTTATTAGAATATTTTGTTTTATAAAAATTTGTTTTATATATATTTTATCCATATATTTTAAGCAACAAAATCATTCTACTCTTTCTTCTGTCAAAAGTAAGAGAAATTAAAGATTTCTTAGTAGCTATCAACCAATTATTATAACCACCTGGATTAGAAATAGAGTTAGATATCCAGAGACACATATATTGTATGATCAGCTGACAATTTATCCCTTACTTAGCATCCTATTTATATTGACTAATTTAATATTTAATCATATAATTTAATATTACTTGAGGATCTGCTATGTATTATACAATCTGCTATTGACAAGACAGATTTCTTGAACTCACACAGATTACAATCTACCAGGAAGGACAGATTTTAAACAAATAAATTTGAATGTACATGGCATAAAGGAAAATACCATGTATAATAAAAACATTAGAACAGTCACCAAATTTTTTATGGCCAAGAAAAGAAAGCTCTTCTAAGTATATTACTTTGCTGCCTAGATCTGAGGCATGAGCAGGAATTAGACACTACAAGGGTTGTGTGAACAGAATTTTAAGCAGAGGGAATAATACAATGTAAGGGAACTATGAGAAATAAAAGTTGGTATACTTCAGGTTAAAAGGTCAATGGGGCCAAAGCATGATAATACAGAAAAATAATGTTAGAAAGTAAGGTTGGAAAGTTATATTAAAGTGAATTATTGAGGCTTTGTGATTTTTTAAGAGTTTTAGCTTTCAACCAAGAAAAGATGGACATTCATCAAAGGGTTTTAAAAAGTAAAGAAGTATAATTATCTCCTTATTTAAAAACTGTTAGATATTTTTTGTATGAAAGTATCAAAAGTGAATATTAAGAGATTGCTATTGCCCAGAAGCAAAAGAGTGGTAGTACATGTCCTATTAATGCCGATGCAAGTGAGAGAATTATGGATATTTGAGAATTATGTTAAGTGTTACAATTAACTGGAATTTCTGGTTTTATTGAAACAGTGAATGATGAGAAAGAGGACATGGACTAGGACAATTTCCAGATTGTTGATATGAGCCACAGCCTATTGCCATTTACTGAAAAAGAAGGCCATAAATTCCATGATACCAAAACAAGACTTATTCACTTTCTTTTAGGTATAAAATGAAGTATTCTCACTATCTGGATCTTCTGTTTATACTGTGATATAATAATGTCATAATATAATATATTATGTAATAATACATTTGCAATTTGGCTTTTGAGCCAGTTTCCCAGCAGAAAGCTCCTAAGCCCTTCTAATATCCTGAGTGATAGGGATGATATAAGTATCTTTCGCTATAATATTTGATCTTAGTTTCCAGGTCCTGACATAGCAGTTTCTAAGGCTCTTGGAATTTCCAGAGTAATGAGAGTATCTTTTGCATGCTATTAAGATGACTGGTGGCTCGGTGTTCCTCTGTAGCTTTAGAATGGGGGCTTTTCACCAGAGAGATCAAGACATGGCTAGAGGTTTGGAACTTGTGGCCCCAGCCCTAGGCCACTGGAGAGGGGAGAGTGGCTAGACATTGAGTCAATCACCAGTGGCCAATGCTTTTATCAATAATGCCTACATAATGGAGCCTTGATAAAAACTCTGAACAATGAGGTTTGAGGAGCTTCTGGGTTGGTGAACCCTATCGTCAAAGCTCTTGTGCTCAGGACCTTTTTGGACCTCGCTCTGTGTACCTTTTCATCTGTTGTTCATTTGCATATTTTTGTTGTATCCTTTAAAATAAAGTGGTAACAGTAAGTAAATTGTTTTTCCTGAGTTCTGTGAGTTTCCAAATCATTAAACATGAAGAGGGGTTGTGAGGATCTCTGATTTATACCAGTCAGTTGGAAATACAGAAGGTTTGGGAATGAGCCCTTCATCAGGGCGGTCTCATGCTACCTCCAGGTAGTTAGTGTCAGAACAGAATTTAATTGTTAGACTTCTACTTGGTGTCTGGAGAGTTGGCGAATTGGTCACTGATGTGAAGAAACCTCCACACATCAGGCATCAGAAGTATTCTGTGGGTAGAAACATCATAGTACCTACACATACTGAACCCACATGTAACAGAGAATGCACTACTCTTTCTTTGGGTCTGAAGCAGTGTGCCATTGTTGTAATCCACCAAATATATCAGCTTCACAAAGAATGGTGTTCTCAGTTGTGGATGGGCCCTCTGAGTCATAACAGTGGCAGATGATGACACAAGCATTCCTCTCTGGCTTTTCCCTTCTTTGGCTACATTCGAACAGTGCAATCTCAAAAGCAGATTGTTTTACTTTTTTTATTTATCAAGACAGAGTGTAGAGATCATGAATGACAATGCTCTAGGTCACTACATACGTGGGATAGAAGAAAATCATCCATCACTTTACAAATGCAGATTTATCTTTTTATGTCATAAATAGACTGTTAAAGAAAGTATTTTATAAATAGAAATGAAATTCTCAGTGATTCATACTAATGAATAAAGGGCTCAGGAAATTCTGCAATAGTGTTTACCATTAATTCTAAAGAAATGCTTTTCAAGTCATTAACAGTAATTCTTCACAGATGCAAAATAAAATGACTAAATTGTTATATTTAGTAAGAAAAATGCCAATTTTAGATGTTAAAATATCTTAAGAGAGAATATTTCTTTATAAGATTTATGATTTATACTAAATCTTATAAAATACTGTTTATACGAAAACAGTAACTTATTTCATTGCAATTCTATGTTATTTGTTTAATGCCTTCTGGAATGATTATAAAAATCATTTACTGAGACCTTATTAGGTACTGGTTAAGCATTTTACATGTATTAACTTCAATAACACCCATAAATTATGAAGTTGGCATGATCTGCATCACCACTTTACATATGGGAAGCTGACATACTGAGAGTGAGTCTAATTTGTCAAAGGACACCGAGCCAGTAATTTGAGAAGCTTGAATCAGAGCCCAGGCAACCTGAGATAAGCTCCCTATTTACCCATTAAGCTGTGCACAACAGGGAACTCAGACCTCATATTCATGATCAGAATAAATCCAAATTTTTTAAATATGAAAATTAATTACACCTGTTCCTCCTCACCAATACAATAGGAATCTGGCATACTATAAATATTATCTTTAGAAGGTGCTTCAGAATGCATCATCATTGTATTGGTTGTGAATTTATGCACTTTGCCTCATTGTCTGTCGATGCGTTCCCATTGTTTTTAACAAATCATTCTCCATTTTGTATGGTTCCTTTTAATGATGCTTTTCTAGACTTTGTGTTGCTGCTCCCCAATACCACCCTCAGTTTCAATTATTTTCTAAGAGAACTCACAGAATTCAGCAAAACTGCTATACTCATGATTATGGCTTATTAGAGCAGAAGAATACAAATTCAACTCAGCAAAGGAACAAGGTACAGAGAACAGAATCCAGGAGAGACAAGACACAAGCTTCCAGTTTTTCTCTCTCAGTGGAGTTGCAGGGACAGCACTTAATTCTCCAAGCAATAATGTGTAATAATATGTATGAAGTATTGCCAACCAGGGAAGCTCAGCAGAGTTGGTATCCTGTAGTTCTATTGAGGGTCAGTCACACAGGCATGGAGCAACCCTGTGGTTGACTTTAGTTATGCAAACTTCAGCCCCTCCAGATATAGATACATCAAGCTGATACAGCCTGGCTCAAGGTCCTCACCATAAATCTCATATTTTGCTTAAATGGTCTGGTGTGGCCTAAGGCCCCAGGTGTACAAAACACTTTTATTTGATATTCCAAGGTCTTAAAGGTTATCTCCCAGGAGCCTGCCAACAATCAGTTATTTGGAATGTATAGTGTTTGAACACCTAAAACATGCTGAGTTTATCCTTTCCTGCACAGAATATCTGCTTCATTCTTTTCTACTTGCTTGGCTCTCTGGATACCCACAGCATTTCATGCCTCCTCTGATTCTTTTAAATAATAATTGCAAGAAGACTTCCCCTCTACTGTTGCTTCAGTTCTTATTCAGAGAACCTCAAGAGCTGTATAACTGTATAATTATCACTTTTTTAGAATAGTATGGCTGTGAAATCAAGAAAAAAGTGTCACTTTGCAAAAATAACGAAAAACTATAAACAAATATGCCATTATAATTTGAATCACATTTGTAAAACTTCTAGATATTCATGCTAACTCCACCACATCTTTTTGTAAATACACGACTTATTGCCTTTAATTTGTCTTGTACTTTCAAAAACTGGAAAAACATTGCTCACATAATTTTTTTTATTTTTTAAGTTGAAGTATTTATAGTGATGTTATTTGCTTTTATATTGTGATAAAATATATGAAATATCAAATTTACCATTTTAACTATTTTTAAAATACAATTCAGTGGCAAAAACATTTTTGTTTTCCAAGCACATGGTACAGACTAGTCTACTTTCTGCCTTTATAAATTTTACTCTAGGTACATTATACAAGTGGAATTATGCAATTCCAATTATTGGGAAAAAATTCCCAATTTTTATCTTGTGTCAGTACTATTTAACTTAATATTATGTTCTCAAGGTGTATCCATGCTGTAGCTTGTATCAGAATTTAAGAGTGAATAACATTCAAATATGTATATATATATATATATATATATATATATATGGATAAATGGATATATAGATGAAAGGATAAACAAAATGTACTATACATATTTTTTTCTTTGTTTTGTTTATATATATATATTTTTTTCTTTGTTTTGTTTATCCATTCATCTGTTGATGGACAGACATTTGGGTTGCTTCCACATTTTTGCTCTTATGAATAAAGTTGCTATAGACATTGGTGTTTAGAGATCTGTTCAAGTTTCTGCTTTGAATTCTTCGGAGTGTACGTGTAAGAATGGAATTGCTTGGTCACATGGTAATGAAGTTTAGTTTTTTGAGAAACCACGACAACATTTTCTAGAGTGGCTGCACTATTTTACATTCCAACCATTAATGCACAAGTGTTTCAATTTCTCTGCCTCCTGACCAATACTTGTTATTTTCTATTTTCATGATAAGAGCTTTCCTAATGGCTGTAAAGTGATACCTCCCTATGAGTTTGATTTGCATTTCCCAATAAGCGATTTTGAGCATATTCTCATATGTCTACTTGCTTTTAGTGTATCCTCTGTGGAGACATGTCTATGCAAATTATTTGCCCAATTTTTAATTGAGTTGTATTTTTTTGTTGAGGTGTCAATGTTCTTTACATATTCTGGCTACTAATCCCTTACCAGATATGTGATTTGGAAATATCTTCTTCCATTCCATGGGTTGCCTTCTCACGTTCTTGATAGTGTTCTTTAATGCTCAACATTTATAAATTTTGATGAAGTCCAATTGCTATGGTTTGAATATGTTCCCCCAAGAGCAGGGGTTGGTAACTTAATCCTCAATGCAACAGGGTTTGAAGGTTGGGCCTAATGAGAGGTGTTTAGGTGATGAGGGCTTCACTCTCATAAATGGATTAATGCCAGTTATAAAAGAGGTTAAGGCTTCAAGTTTGATCTCTTGCTCTTTCTTGCCCTTTCTTTGTCCTTCCACCATGGGACTGTGTCCAGAGTTGGCTCCTTCCAGTGGGTCATGGTCTCACTGACCTCAAGAATGAAGCCACGGACCTTCCCAGTGAGTGTTAACAGCTCTTAAAGGTGGCATGCACCCAAAGAGTGAGCAGCAGCAGGATTTATTGTGAAGAGCGAAATAACAAAGCTTCCACAGCGTGGAAGGGGACCCGAGCACGTTGCCACTGCTGGCTGGTGTGGCCGGTTTTTATTCCCTTATTTGTCCCCCTCCCATGTTCCGTTTTTGTCCTATCAGAGTGCCCCTTTTTCAATACTCCCTGTGATTGGCTACTTTCAGGATCCTGCTGATTGGTGCATTTTACAGAGCGCTGATTCGAGCATTTTACAGAGTGCTGATCTGTGCATTTTACAATCCTCTTGCTAGCTACAGAGCGCTGATTGCTGAGTTTTTACAGAGCACTGATTCGTGCATTTTACAATCCTCTTACTAGACAGAAAATTCTCCAAGTCCCCACTGGACCCAGGAGGTCCACCTGGCTTCACCTCTCAGGATGACACAGCAATATGGTCCTCAAAAGATGCCAGCCCCTTGGTTTTGGGACTTCCCAGTCTTTAGAATCATGAATCAATAAATTTCTGTTTCTTATAAGTTACCCAGTATCAGGTATTATGTTACAGCAGCACCGAATGAACTAAGACATCTATTTTTTTCTTGTTTGCCTGTGCCCTTTGTGTCAAATAAATTATTGCCATCTCTATTGTCATGAAGCTTTTCTCTGTTTTCTTCTAAGAGTAGAAAATGCAGAATCTGAGTAGCTTTGGACTTCTAAAAATTAATATAGAATATAAATTAAGTCTTTTCAACATTTTAGGGATAAGTGATTAGCAACTATAAATATATATGAAAACACATTTGTAAGTATGAGAAAGAGTAAAATACATATTTATATAGTATAAAAAGTATATAGAGAGTTTATTAGGTGTACTCACATAATTATATTTGTAGAATATGATGTGTCCTTATATACAACCCCTTTCAAAGCCTACGGGAAGATATGTTTCATTAAGTGAGAATGGAAAAAAAAAGAAGGTAGAAGACATGGTATTCAGGAAACATGGAAAATAGTGAAGGGAATTCATAGGATGGTGGTGGGGGAACTCCCAGGATGAAAGCAAAGCAAGTAGCCATATAAATTTAGAGTGGTAAGGTTAGTGCTTTCAGAAAGTTATCTACAAACATATTAAGGGAACTGATCAAAGAGCTGATGAGATTAAAGACAGTGCAAGAGTGAGCACAATTTTGTCAGAGAGTTTGGGAGACATTGATAATAATTTTGGTAGCCATTTATAACTCAGGAGAAACAACACAAACTCTAGCCCAGGCTGGAGTAGAGTGTGAGAGTTCGTAACACACTGCAGCCCTGAACTCTTGTGTTCAAGTGCTCTTCCTGCCTCAGCCTCCCTAGTAGTTGGGACCACATTTGCAGCACCACACCTGGCTACATTTTTTAACATTTTTTGGAGACAGAATCTTGCTATGTTGCCCAGGATAGAAAATGTTTTTCTTTAAGCCTTAAAGAAGTATGTGAGATTTTAAAACCTGTGAATACTTTGCTTTTAATTTGACGTGAATAGTCCATCATACTTTTCTGACTTGCAACATCTGAAAAAGTTTTTTTTTACTTGTTTTAGTGGGTTTGCCCCCAAACAGCCCTGATCTTGCTAGTTATTATTTAAATATGCCTTTTAACACTAAATTAAAACCAATGGTGGTAGTAGACTTGAGTTTTACTTATATCGAATTATGTAATACTATTTCAGCATATGTGTCTATAACTACTGAATTTAGGTGATTTATATACTTTTGTGTATTATAGTTTTAAATATTCATCTTGAACCATATTCTAACATTTAAAAAGAATATTCAAATTTTCAAAATCCAAAATTTGTTCATATTGCCTCATTTAATATTATTTTAATACTTACTTATTATTAGGTTATCCCTTCTTCAATTTTTAGAAGAAAAGAAAATCCTAAAATATTGGTGGTGGGTATAACCCAGAAGAAAGATACCAAATTTCCCAGAGAGATATTACTTAATGACATCACTTTTTACTTTGTAATAAATTATTTTTCAAATCAATTCTAAATCTTCTATATAAGCAGATTCTGTGGTATTTAATTCTTTTCCTGATGTCAGGATTTGAAACAAAGTAAACAGTAAGGAAAAGTCAGTTTAAAAAAAAATTGGTTAACTTTTTGGTACCTAATGACTATCGAGTTATTTGTAATATTAGTTGTACAAACATGTTAAAACAATCATCCAATGATCCAAGGATTTGTTAGTATGCCTGGATTAATACATGCAATTGAAGACTGAAACATTTGTATTTGCTTAATTTTACAAATTAGAAAATATTATGGAAATGTTGTTGGAAACAGAAACATTCTTGACATTCCTATTTAGAAATTAAGATTTCTCACCTTGATTACTTTGACTCAGAAATAGAAGATGATTAATAAATTTGTTTCAACCTCAAAATCTTCAAAGTAGCAACTATTTCTATGTTCTTGAATTGATCACAGAAAATTTAGTTTATGTTTTTACTAATTTTTTTCAGTAAGATAGATTATTGGATTTATAAGTCATAGTCATCAGGAAACTTTCATTTCTAAGAGTAAATTTGTAAAAGAAACATAATCTCTATTTCTGCTATAACAATATGCAAGAATGTGAAGTGTAAGTCTCCTCTTCTACTATCTGCAGTTTGGCAGGAACAAAATAGAGATACTGAGTATTGGTCAGCAGGGTGTGTTTGCCATTGTGCATATTCAACAGCTAAGAAAGTCATTTTTAGGCCTAACTGAATGCTGTAGATTTCCTATAAGAAAAATACTTTGGATAGGATCCCAAATAACCAAGTCGTGGAATAGGGAAATTTACAAAATAATATGTATGACCAGTAACATACATCTTAAGGGAAAAGAAAACTGGAAATAAAAAGAGCTTAATGTACTTAAGAGACTTGAAAGGGATGAATGTTACTACTGCTATTTCTATTTTCTTAAAGTAACAATGGTCTATTCAAGCTTTAATGGGTGGTTTGAGAAGTGAAGTACGTTCACTTGTGAAGGGAAGTCCTTCTTCGCTTAATTTTTCTTGTTAGCTCAAAGACTCACTGCAAGATTTCATTTCATAACCCTGAGTAGCTCAATCTCTGAAAATGTTGGTCATTTCTAACACATTCTGTTTCTTAAATGAGTATGAGAGGATTGGAAACAGTGAGAATTTTGATTATAAAATTATTTATCTAGTGCATAAGACTGTGTTGTAAAAATTCTGGCATTTAGAGTGATTCAATGTGAGAATATTTGGATCACATATAGGCAAACATTTGCTTTAGTTTAGTTTTACTAAAGATCATTAATACTGTCAGGAATATCAAATAGTAAGGGCAAACCAAGGACAGAAATAAAATCTCCAGGATGATGATCATAAAGTTATGGTGCTACCCTTTCCAAAATAAATTGCAACACCTGTGTGTATCAATGGGCAAGAGAAATCAATACATGTTAGCATTCTCAGTGGGAAACAAGGTTTTGCTACTATTTATCTGTGAACACATATTGCATAATCATCAGTCATGGGACTGCTTCCTAATATATGTATGCTGGAGGTCTGGCTCTGTATCTGCATTTTCGAATTAGTCCCAGTGTGACAGAAAATCCCTGTAATTTGGGGGTAAGAAGCAAACAAACGCAGGTAGGGTAAACATTACTGGAATAAAAATATATCTCTTCCCCCAATGCTGAAAAAAATTAACATGCAACATTTAAATTACCCTGTACACTTGCCTATTGTGGTTATTTTTCTTTTTAACATCTATTGGGCGGTGTGGATGAGCAACAGTACCTGCAACTGTAGAGATATTCAAATCCTCACAGCTGTCAGTAAAGCCTACACTAATGTGTCCTGAAAGAGTGATTAATAGGTTTTGACAATATCATTGCATTGCATATTTAATCAGATTATACAT
Source organism: Homo sapiens (assembly GCF_000001405.40). Taxonomy (NCBI): domain Eukaryota; kingdom Metazoa; phylum Chordata; class Mammalia; order Primates; family Hominidae; genus Homo; species Homo sapiens. The sequence goes on from NC_000004.12 coordinate 65,925,049, forward strand.
CTGTTAGAAATGGTTTGCTTCTAACATCTGCAGTCAAAATTCACAATCGGTATTCAGATCATTTCCTCAGCAGACACATGAAACGACTATGTCAGTGTTCCTGGTGACAAGTTAAAACTGCATGCCAGAAAAAGATGAATCACGACATTTTCTTCATTTGTTTAGTTTTTTCCCAACATTTCCTAGAAGTTTATCTGTGCTTAAATTAATGCTCATTAACAAGAAGGAAGACAAATATATACATATAAGTTATTACATATACATACACACACACATGCACACACACACACATATGTACATATATATAATTGTAAACTATAATCTCAAGCAAGACACACACAGAGGCTTGATGCCATCCTAAAGGTGATACTACTTAGTTATAATTTCAAAACATATTTCAAGTGATAATGCTAGTCTAAGAAGACAGGTATTATGAGACAGATTTTCACATTATAAAGTTCAATATGACAACTTGTATTTTATTGTGATTGTTATATAAAATATGGAAGAAAGTTATTCAATTACCACAGTAAGATTTAGACTTAAATCCTATTTTCCTCTCAGTATTTATTCATTTCCTATATGTAGTTGGAAAATATCCCATTTACAAAAGACACCATCTCAACGCTAGTCATTTTATCTTAGTTCCAAAAGACACCTTGACATAAACAAGTGTCTTCCTCTATCTTCCACAACCTTGTCTCCAGCATTCCAACAGGTGAGCCACAAATCCTTCCTATATGCTATTATAAACATCCACTCTTCAAAATCTGCAATCTGCTTAGAAATGACCAGTGTAATAAAACTTCCCTTGACAAAGTTATCAATGGCAACTACTTAAAAACTCAAAAGATCACTTTCTAGACCTTATCTTACTTGATCTCACTTGTACAGTTTGGCAATGCTACCTCCATTCTCAACACTCTGTCCACGTTTTTTCTCTCTGTGATCTATGCATGCCTTGTTTTCTTTCAAGCTCTGGACATTTCTTCTTAGTTTGGAGACATTCTCTTCCTCTGACTTTCTTAATTATGACATTCTAAGTGCTTTCATTAATCGTCTTTTCAGTTATGAATGAGGCTGTTCAAATTTAAAATTTTTCATTCCCTTTCTCTTTTCTCTGTCTTTGAATCTGATTGCATATATGCTAGAATTTATATCCTAAGGCCATTGAAGCTCTTTTCATTGATTTTATTCTCTTTTTTTCTGTATCTTTCATATTAGATAGTCTCTATTGTCATATTTTCAAATTTTGTGATCCTTTCTTCTCCAATGGCTAATCAACTGTTAATTCCATCAAGTGAAAATTTCAAATCCTGTATTTTATTCTTTATGTGTAGAAGTTCTATTTCTCTTTTTAAAATGCATCTCCCATTTTTGTCTTTTAAATATTCATGCATTTCTTTATATTGCATGCATTTCTTATACTTCTATAATGTATAGAATAGCCCCCTTTAAAGTCCATGTTGATATTCTACCACCTGTATAATTCCCTGTTTTTTAAATCAATTTTTTCCTTTGATTTATGGGTTACATTTTTTCTAGTTCTCTGTATGTGTGGTAAACTTTAATTAGATACCAGGCATTCACAATTTACTCTCTTGAGGGATGGATATTATACTACTATAAAAGGTGTTGGATTTTGTATTTTGTACCAGTTACATTACTTGTGGCTGAACTAGATTCATTTGAGACATTCTTTTAAGTTTTGAAAGGATAGTCTCAGAGTATCATTTTCTATAGTTCTGGCTAGCTCCACTCTTAAGGCACAACACCTTGAGATCTGCATTGAAAGCTCAACTGTTCTACAAGATCTTTTCTCTTTAGCGGGTTTCCACCTGGAAACCATTTCTGTGAATAGTGTAGTGTAGATGAAATGGGGTCATGATTATTTCTATATTCTTTTTTTATTATTAGACTTTAAGTTCTAAGGTACATGTGCACAACGTGCAGGTTTGTTACATATGTATACATGTGCCATGTTGGTGTGCTGCACCCATTAACTCGTCATTTACACTAGGTATATCTCCTAATGCTATCCCTCCTGCTTCCCCTCATCCCATGACAGGCCCCAGTGTGAGATGTCCCCCTTCCTGTGTCCAAGTGTTCTCATTGTTCAATTCCCATCTATGAGTGAGAAAATGCGGTGTTTTGTTTTTTGTCCTTGCAATAGTTTGCTGAGAATGATGGTTTCCAGCTTCATCCATGTCCCTACAAAGGTCATGAAGTCATCCTTTTTTACAGATACATAGTATTCCATGACGTATATGTGCCACATCTTCTTAATCCAGTCTATCATTGATGGACATTTGGGTTGGTTCCAAGTCTTTGCTATTGTGAATAGTAATGCAATAAACATATGTGTGCATGTGTCTTTATAGCAGCATGATTTATAATCCTTTGGGTATATACCCAGTAATGGGATGGCTGGGTCAAATGGTATTTCTAGTTCTAGATCCCTGAGGAATTGCCACACTGACTTCCACAATGGTTGAACTAGTTTACACTCCCAACAACAGTGTAAAAGTGCTTCTATTTCTCCACATCCTCTCCAGCACCTGTTGTTTCCTGATCACCATTCTAACTGGCGTGAAATGTTATCTCATTGTGGTTTTGATTTGCATTTCTCTGATGGCCAGTGATGATGAGCATTTTATCATGTGTCTGTTGGCTGCATAAAAGTCTTCTTTTGAGAAGTGTCTGTTCATATCCTTCACCCACTTTTTGATGGGGTTGTTTGTTTTTTTTCTTGTAAATTTGTTTGAGTTCTTTGTAGATTCTAGATATTAGCCCTTTGTCAGATGAGTAGATTGCAAAAATTTTCTCCCATTCAGTAGGTTGTCTGTTCATTCTGATGGTAGTGTAGAAGTCTGCACTTTTCACTCTGATGGTAGTGCAGAAGTCTGTTCACTTTTGCTGTGCAGAAGCTCTTTGGTTTAATTAGATCCCATTTGTCAATTTTGGCTTTTGTTGCCATTGCTTTTGGTGTTTTAGACATGAAGTCCTTCCCCATGCTTATGTCCTGAATGGTATTGCCTAGGTTTTCTTCTAGGGTTTTTTATGGTTTTAGGTCTAACATTTAAGTCTTCAATCCATCTTGAATTAATTTTTGTATAAGGTGTAAGGAAAGGATCCAGTTTCAGCTTTCTACATGTGGCTAGCCAGTTTTCCCAGCACCATTTATTAAGGAATCCTTTCCCCATTTCTTGTTTTTGTCAGGTTTGTCAAAGATCAGATGGTTGTAGATGTGTGGTATTATTTCTGAGGGCTCTGTTTTGTTCCATTGGTCTATGTCTCTGTTATGGTACCAGTACCATGCTGTTTTGGCTACTGTAGCCTTGTAGCATAGTTTGAAGTCACAACAAAAAAAGAGAATTTTAGACCAATATCCCTAATGAACATCGATGCAAAAATCCTCAATAAAATACTGGCAAACTGAATCCAACAGCACATCAAAAAGCTTATCCACCATGATCAAGTGGGCTTCATCCCTGGGATGCAAGGCTGGTTCAACATACAAAAATCAATAAACGTAATCCAGCATATAAACACAACCAATGACAAAAACCACACGATTATCTCAATAGTTGCAGAAAAGGCCTTTGACAAAATTCAACAACCCTTCATGCTAAAAACTCTCAATAAATTAGGTATTGATGGGATGTATCTCAAAATAATAAGAGATATCTATGACAAACCCACAGCCAATATCATACTGAATGGGCAAAAACTGGAAGCATTCCATTTGAAAACTGGCACAAGACAGGGATGTCCTCTCTCACCACTCCTATTCAACACAGTGTTGGAAGTTCTGGCCAGGGCAATCAGGCAGGAGAAAGAAATAAAGGGTATTCACTTAAGAAAAGAGGGAATCAAATTGTCCCTCTTTGCAGATGACATGATTGTATATTTAGAAAACCCCATCATCTCAGCCCCAAATCTCCTTAAGCTGATAAGCAACTTCAGCAAAATCTCAGGATACAAAATCAATGTGCAAAAATCACAAGCACTCTTATACACCAATACAAGACAAACAGAGAGCTAAATCATGAGTGAACTCCCATTCACAATTGCTTCAAAGAGAATAAAATACCTAGGAATTTACAAGGGATGTGAAGGACCTCTTCGAGGAGAACAACAAACCACTGCTCAAAAAAATAAAAGAGGACACAAACAAATGGAAGAACATTCCATGCTCATGGATAGGAAGAATCAATATCGTGAAAATGGCCATAATGCCCAAGGTAATTTATAGATTCAATGCTATCCCCATCAAGCTACCAATGACTTTCTTCACAGAATTGGAAAAAAACAGCTTTAAAGTTCATATGGAACCAAAAAAGAGCCCGCATTGCCAAGTCAATTCCAAGGCAAAAGGACAAAGCTGGAGGCATCACGCTACCTGACTTCAAACTATACTACAAGATTATTTCTACATTGTATTACTTGGCAACTTTAATTAAAAGGACCACAGCACTGAAGGGGCACATTTGCCATAAACCACATATTCATAAATGGTCAGACCTGCTTCTGCACATTCTATTATATTCTACTCATTCATTTGTTTGTCTCTCAAAATAGTGAAGGTTTATTCCTGTATCTTGATAACTGATAATATGACACTTCTCATCTTTGTCTTTTATTTTCAACATTATCTGAAAGACTCTGTCTTTCTATATGTAGTTTTTAAATTAATTTTTAATTACATATAAACTATTGTTATTGTATTTATATTAAATTTAGGAGAACTTTAAAACTTACTGAATTTTCCAATTCATGCATAAATTTTATTCCTCTGATTATTTGGGTACAATTTAAGTTCTCCCAATATTTATTTCACAGATACATTCCCAAGTACTTTGCTACTTTGCATTTCTGGGCTTTTCTTAGCAGAACATGAAATAGGCTCTATAAAGCCTACAGGAAAGAGTTTGCACCAATATTTACTAGTTAGTGTATGAGAGGTAGTGCTAAACAGTCCATTGATCTTCAGATTGTTCCCCTAGGTGCTTCCTCTGAAAGGGGAGGGAATAACTTGTGGAGATCTTATTACTAGTCTCCCTTCCTGCTGCAATTATTGCCATCCTGATTTTATTAGAGCAACCATTTACACATCAGCTTCCACATACAAATCTTTTGAAACAAGACTATTTTAAAATTCCTCAGTAACATATAGTTTTTTAGTTTTGCAGTTCAGTTAACCTGAATTTGAATTCTAGTTGTTTTATTTACTATTATTGTGATGCAGAGCCACGCACTTTGCCCTTTTAAACTTTTGTTTGTTCGTATATCAAATGGGTACAATATAAAGTACTGGCAAATTTGATGTATTAAAAATATGAAAGTATATGACATGTGACAGATACTCAGTGAATGGTAGCTGCTATATTTTTATAATGTTATATATAGCAGGTACACTAGAAATCACCAATAGTAATATATTCACTATATAGCTGAAAAACTGAAGCTCATTCATAAACTCATTCAACAAGTATTTATGAGTTACTGGTGCTCATGGAGATAAAAAAGTGACAGGGATTGAAGGAGCTATTATGAAAATAAAACTCAGAGAAGTACTTTAGAAACAGTAAATATATATTTTAGCTGTGACTTCAATGAAATGCTACAGAGGCAAGTAGCTGAAGAAAAGTTGGAAACGGAAGCCTATGTGAAAATTATCTGGGTTAAAAAATGAACTTGATAGATTCAAAAATCAACAAGAAAGCCAGTGGACCAAGAGTGGAGTAAGCTATGCTTTTGGAGAGTGGTATGAAATTACTTTAGAAACACAAACTGATGGATATAATGACCATAGTCTCAGTTATGTAGGGGGACATCACTGGAGAGTTTTCATCAGGGAAGTGAAAAGATTTGATTTAGAATTTGTGTTGAGCCAAAGACCATTATAAGTTTCTAGATCACCTTTTAAATGTAACGTATAAAATATATCAATAATTTTTTATTGAACAATTATTTTTTGGAAACAGACTGAAATACAATGATATTCAGTGCAATGGAATGATGCTAAACACTTCCTGAAATCGACATTGTTATCAAAGTCCAAAAATCCCATCCTGTTTGTAAAATTAGTATATTCTCCTTTGCTAGTGTCATACTAAAATTTGTCTAATTTTTAATAATTTGTCTGAAAATATAAGGCTAAAATAATTTTAAATTATGTCTTATTTACTCAATAATTTGTGATGTTGATATATATAGGTCTTCCTGTACATATATACTCCTATTTTCTTACTGAGATATCAGTACACTCCATTTATCAATTTAAATTATTTTTGTAACCTCAAACATATTATTATTATTATTATATTTCTTTTGAGACAGGATCTCGCTCTTTCTCTCATTCTGGAATGCAGTGGTGTACCCTCAGCTCACTGCACTTGATCTCCTAGGCTCAAGCGATCCTCCCATCTCAGCCTCCTGAATAGCTGGGATTAAAGGTGCATGCCACCATGCCTGGCTAATTTTTGTATTTTTTGTAGAGATGGAGTTTGGTCATGTTGCCCACACTTGTCTTGAGCTTGTAGACTCAAGCATTCTGCATACTTGGTCTCAAAAAGTGCTAGAATTACAGGCATGAGCCACTGTGACGAGCTTAAACTTATTATTTTAATTGAAATAAAATTATTTGGATGAATCTATACTGATAATATATGGTAATCTAATTGGTAAAAATCCCATAATGGACATTATATGGACATCCTATAACTAACATTGTTTATTGGTTTCTGTGCTAACTAAATTGCTGCCCAGTTTCACACAGTTACATAACCTTCATCTCAGTCTCTTTTCAATAGAATAGGTTAATGACAATATCTAGCTTCAAACATGCATCTTACCAATAACGTATTAGAAGTTACAATGGTAGGCCGGGCGCGGTGACTCATGCCTGTAATCCCAGCACTTTGGGAGGCCGAGGCCGGTGGATCACGAGGTCAGTAGTTAGTTCAAGACCAGCCTGGCCAATATGGTGAACCCCTGTCTCCACTAAAAATAGAAAAATTAGACGGGCGTGGTGGCGCGCTCCTGCAGTTCCAGCTACTCTGGAGGCTGAGGCAAAAGAGTCGCTTTGACCTTGGAGGCGGAGGTTGCAGTGAGCCGAGATCGTGCCACTGCTCTTCAGCGTGGGTGACAGAGCGAGACTCCGTCTCAAATAAACAAACAAGCAAAAAGTTACAATGGCAAAATGTGCTTTAAAAACAGTAATCCAAAATGCTTATTAGAGTACAAATATTGACGATGGAGCCGATTCACAGCATGCCCTAATTTTGTAATTAACAATGAATCAAAAGAAGCTATTAAGCTTCTGTTGCATGTCTATTCTTAATAAACCTCATGCTGCTTAATGCTCAAAATTCTATTGTCCTCTTAATATGTTTATAGATTTTTGTAGAATCAAATATAATAGTATGTTTGAGGGATAATTATTTTCATAAGCATTTATAAAGAATTATTTCAACATTTACCTCTCCTTCTTGCCCATTATAACTGTTTAACTTTCTGAGTTTCTTGCATTTTTTATAGAACAAAAATATTGTACAGTAATCATGGAACAATTTCAATGTGTATCTTCCTTCTCAATATGCTGATCTATTCAATATATGTTCAAATTATCTAGGTTTTTGTTCACAGACATATCTGATCAATGTTTAATTTTGGCAAACTTCATTAGTTTTTCATTGTACTGACATTTTTGTTAGAAACATATACATTTCCAAGGTAAGCATTTTCAATCTTGTAATAAAAATACTGCTTTGTTAAATTCATTCTATCATTTATTGAAATACAAATGCTGACACCTCATAATGCAGTAACATTTTCTTGCTAAGAAAACGGTAGATATTTTGTTTAAAACATATTTTGTTAAAGTGGCATACTTTAAAAGAAGGAAAAAAAGATTATGCCCATTTCATTGTCCACTAAATTAGGGAAAAGAGATAACTCCAGATATATGCCATGCTTTAAATTGGTACATTCTTACACTGTTGATGGCTTTCACAAACATTACAAGAACAGAAAGCAATGTGAAATGCACAGAAATAAACATATATGTCACCTTATTTTTTAACAGAGGAGTTCTACTCTCAGAAATATACGTTAAAAGAATAACTTCTCCAAAACCAAAACAAAAAGAAAAAGACAGAAACAAGACCTTTCCCTTATAAAAATACATATGTGGCTTTTTTTTTTACCTTTAATTTAAAAACCTGAAAAGGAATACTGTGGTACACTTTAGATGTCACTAGTCAGCCATTATACTTTGTGATTATTTAGATTATTTAGTAACTGATTTTTAAATAATATAGTACTAAAGGAAAAGTAGTTAAAACAAAAAAGGCATGTGCAAATGAGCTCAAATAACTTCAATGGAGCAGTTACATAGATTAAGATTGGATAGCAATATACAAAGCTAGAAATAGATGTATTAAATTGAAAACATTATGGTAGTCTTAACTTATATGTTTAAAATTCTTATTAATATTTTGATACAGTATTATTTTTCAGTGGTTAAATAGGGTTTTTATGGAAATGCTGTGAACATACTCATTCATGGGAGTAATTTCTATGCTGTATATTTTATTTTATTTATTTATTTTCTTAAGATAGAGTCTCTCTCTGTTGCCCAGGCTGGAGTGCAGTGGCACGATCTCCGCTCACTGCAACCTCGGCCTCCAGAGGTCAAGCAATTCTCCTGCCTCAGCCTCCTAAGTAGCTAAGATTACAGGCATGTGCCACTGTGCCTGGCCACTTTTTGTATTTTTAGTAGAGACGGGGTTTCGCCATGTTGGCCAGGATATTCTAACAAGAGAGTGACATAACTACATATCACAAAAAAAATTATTGCTATAGTCACAGTACAAAAATTATAAATTATTCAAATCAAATTAATATAAAATATATTTCAAGTTATAATTTTCATATTTCAGAAAATATTTTAAGTAAAATTATACAATTTAAGGTACAAACTCCATATAAACAATATTTTTATAAATAACAATAAAACATTACAGTTTTTAATGCACATATTTTCATGTTTTTTCCATTTTGCTGTGTTTGAAGTTGTTCTAAGTTAAACATTCTTTTTTCTAATACCTTTCTATCAAAAAATGATTATAATTTTTATAATATTTTTCACAATAGCCAAGATGTGAAATCAAACATAATGTCTATCTTTGAATTAGTAGATTTAAAAATATGGTATATTCTCTAAAGATAATTTTAATCAGCTACAAAAATGAGGAAATCCTGCCATATGCAACACTATAGATAAATTTTGAAAATGTTAAGTGAAATAAGCCAGTCATAGAGGCCAAATATTGTATGATACCACTTATAGGAGGTACCTAAAATCATTGAATTTATAGAAACCTCTAGACAGTAGAATGTTGGTTGCCTGGGCCTAGGAGTAAGGGGGAAATAGGGAGTCACTGTTCAATAGATAGTTTGGCAAGATGAATACATTCTAGAGAGCTTCTGTACTACCTTGTGTCTATAGATACAATACAGCATTGTACACCTGAAAATTGGTAAGAGGGTAGATCTACACACCCACACACAGATATGCAGATACGCAGAGGATTGGTTATTGGTTGGGTGTTCCATATTGCAGTTGTACGGTTCAGGTGTTCAATTTTTGTACAATATTAAATCTTGCTTGAAATATTTCACACTATAATGAACTAATAATGATTTCATTAATTTTCCTCTCCACAGTACACTTCATATTTTTGATGATTAATATTAGTGCCTTTTTGAATATATAAATATATTTATCATGCTGTGGGTATAATTGATGGAAATTTGTAATAAAAGGCTATTTTTAATAATCCTTGTCTTACTTGGAGTCTCCTGCTCTAACTAATATTTGAATATTCCCAACACAAAGCGATAATAAATGTTTGAGGTAATGGATATGCTAATTGCTCTGATTTGATCATTATACATGTATACATGTATCCAAAATTCACACTGTACCTTACAAATATGTTATAATTATTATATGTCCATTAAAAAAATCACACTAAAAGCAGAAAAAAAATCAACAGCAACAACTCCAAGATTCAATACCACGACCATTACCACGAACACCACCAATGCCACCTCTTTCCTGCAGCAGATATTATAGCAAGCCAGTATGTGTATATGTTTCTTAAAACCCTTCCAATAACCATGTATTCAATAATATTATATCTATGCTCAAAGAAATGCTACCCCAAAATGAACACTGAAAAACATGGCAGTGGACACCATGAATAATTTCAGACTGCCCTGCAGAATGGGGCAAAGACTAAAGCACTAATTCAAATATTCTACTCTGGCTAGGCTGTTTGTTATAGATTTATTTGTATCTAAAAATTATTCACATTGAAATTAGATGATAAACATCCTAAACTAAGAAGATTTCCCTGTTATTCTTTGTGACTCCATGAATTTCATATAGTGTGATTGAGGGGTAAGAAATTCCCAAATTGCTGGTCAATGTGGTGCATACCTGTAGTCCCAGATATTCACAAAGATGAGGCAGGAGGGTTGCTTGATCTCAGAATTCAAGACCAGCCTGTGCTGCTCTAGCACAATCCCATCTCTTAAAAAAAAAAAAAAGAAAGAAAAAGAAAAACAATGATATATCTAAATATTATATGACATATTTATTGTATGACATATGCAAGAATAACATATTAGGTACATTTATAGAAAAGCCACTCTTATTGTTGTAAGAAAAATGTGTCTTATTGTAAGAGTATTACATAGTTTGTAAAACATGGTTGGATGTTAGACCTTTGTCAGATGGCTAGATCGCAAAAATTTTCTCCCTTTCTGTTGGTTGCCTGCTCACACTGATGACAGTTTCGTTTACTGAGCAGAAGCTATTTAGTTGAATTAGATCTCACTTGTCAATTTCGGCTTTTGTTGCAATTGCTTTTGGTGTTTTAGTCATGAAGTCTTTGCCCATACCTAAGTCCTGAATGGTATTGCCTAGGTTTTCTTCTAGGTTTCTTTTTTTTTTCTTTTTCTTTTTCTTTTTTTTGAGACGGTGTCTTGCTCTGTTACCCAGGCTGAAATGCAGTGGCCTGATCTCTGCTCACTGCAAGCTCCGCTTCCTGGATCCACGCCATTCTCCTGCCTCAGCCTCCCAAGTAGCTGGGACTACAGGCGCCCACCACCACGCCTGGCTAATTTTTTGTATTTTTAGTAGAGACGGGGTTTCTCCGTGTTAGCCAGGATGATCTCGATCTCCTGACCTCGTGATCCGCCCGCCTTGGCCTCCCAAAGTGCTGGGATTACAGGCGTGAGCCACCAAGCCCAGCCTCTTCTAGGGTTTTTATGCTTTAGGTTTTATGTATTAATCTTTAATCCATCTTGAGTTAATTTTTGTATAAGGTGTAAGGAAGGGGGCCAGTTTCTGTTTTCTGCATGTGCTAGACAGTTTTCTCAGCACCATTTATTAAATAGGGAATCCTTTCCTCATTGCTTATTGTTGTCACGTTTGTAGAAGATCAGATGGTTGTAGATGTGTGGTGTTATTTCTGAGGCCCCTGTTCTGTTCCTTTCCCTGTGTCCATGTGTTCTCATTTTTCTGCTCCAACATATGAGTGAGAATATGCCCAGGTCTATATATCTGTTTTGGTACCAGTACCATGCTGTTTTGATTACTGTAGCCTTGGTAGCCTTGTAGTATAGTTTGAAGTCCAGTAGAATCTACAAAACATCATTTGCTAGGGAAATATTTGAGCTGATGACTGAAAAATGAATACAAAATAAGCATTGGAAAAATCAAAGAAATGTAAAGTGCATTACATTTCTGTCTTGTGAAAGGCAGAGAAAAATAATAATCTGATAAACAGAAAAAGACATAAAGTTAGATGTCTCCCTAGGGTCAAAGAAAACTATATGAATGAAATTATTATAAAATGTTCCAAATATTTAATTAATATAATTGTTATTACTATTTATTTCCACATAATTAATGAAACACTACTGACTTCAACTTCAAGACTACAAGGTTTTTGTAGTTTAATAATATATGATAAATATTCATAGTTTAAAGTAAAAGAGAGGAAGTGGATTTTTTCTAACACAAGGATACCCAAATTACCCTGGTTGATCATTACACATTGTATGCTTGTATCAAAACATTACATGTACCCCATAAATATGTGCCATATATGTAATGGCTATATGTACCCATAATAATGAAAAATAAACAACTAAACAAAAATAATAATATACTTTACAAAATAAGATTTCACTTTAAATCTTAAATTGGAAGTTTATGATACAAAGAATCAGATTTAGATTCTTAAATTGCCTTTCACCAAAAAAGGATATTTGGATTCCAGACCACTAAGACTCAGCTATAATCTCATTTAATGCAATAATATGGCTAGAAGTTTTGTTGAAATTAAAAATTTAAAAGAAAGGACAGTTACCCAGAAAGGAACTAATAATTCACCTTGAAGCATTGTTCAGTAGAGCAGTGGTTCTTTTGCAGAGTGAATTTTTATTCTTTTACCCCATCAGCAAGGCGATGACCATTGAGAAGCATTATGTGCCTTTAAACCTCTAGATTTTTACATAACATTATGTTCTGTTTGGAAAACAATGCTTTCTTCTCTCTTCCAGTAACTTTTCCTTACTCACATTCATTTCTTTCAAGAATATAATACATTGTTATTAACTATAATCCCTGTGATGTATGTAGATCTCTTGAAATTTTTCCTTCTAACTGAAATTTTGTAACCTTTGACAAATATCCTTACCCACAACTTCAGCCTCAGGTAATCATCATTTTACTCTCTGTTTTCATGAGTTTAACTTTTAAGATTTCACATATAAGAGTGAGATCACGCAGTATTTGTCTTCTGTGCCAGGCTTGTTTCACTTCACATAATATTCTTCAGGTTTATTCATGTCATCACAAATAATTGGCTGCTTTTTTAATGGCTGAATAGTATTCTATTGTGTATATATAACACATTATTTTACATCCATTTTCAGATCTATCTTTGAAGACACATATCTAAAATATTTCTAGATATCCTTTTTGTGGGTTCTGTTTCCCTTATGTTGTTATAATACCTCCCTCTACCTCTCTAATCAACACATTAATTCTTATTAGTGTGGCCTTCATATTTGTCTTTCTTTCTTTCCCTATAATATACAGTTTATGAAGACAATAATCTAGTGTAGCTTGATCATTATTTTTTTCTCTAGTATGCCAAATGCAATTGTGACATATATATAATATACACAGTGCTGGCCAAATGGCCGAATATTTGCTGAAAGAGAGGGGCGCATATATATATACTAACTTACGAATGAATATTGTATGGTTGGCTCCTGAGAAATGGTGACACACATGAAAGAAAAAGTAAAAAGAGACAGGGTTTGGCAACAGTGTTGGACTAAATGTTTTGTGCCCCCAAAATTACACACTGATACTGTAATCCCCAATGTGGTGATATTAGGGAGTGGAATCTTTGGGAAGTATTTAGGTCATAAAGGTGGGGCCCTCATAAATGGCTTTTGTGACATGACATTATAAAAAGGCACAAGGAAGCTTTTATTTTCTCTCTCTCTGATCTCTACCATGTGACAATATACTGAGAAGACAGTCATTTGAAAATCAGGAAGTAGGCCCTCCCCAGACGACTGATCTGCCTGGGCCTTGATCTTGGACTTCGTAGCCTCCAGAATTGGAAGAAATAAACTTACGTTGTTTCAGCCAACCCAGTCTACGGTTTTCTGTTTTATCACCCTGAATTGACTAAGACACCGATCAATGAGGCAGATATCAAGACTACAAACCATGGTACATGCAACAATGGAATGAGGCTGTCTTGAGTTAATACACAGCCATTTACCTTACTCAATGCCCTAGCATAACTATAAGCCATAGGCACAAACATTTTTAGACTTCTATATAGTAAAATTAAATTCTGTGCTAATATTTTCTAATAGTTGGGTTTTGAAACCAATATTATACACTTTTGTAAGTTTAGAAATAGTTTGGAAAGTTATGGCAAAGTTTTAGGCATTGTTTAATACCTGGATACACAGAACAACAAAAAGGACAAAAATGATAATGATCTTTGCATAGACACATAACATTTTTTAATTCTAAGTCAAAGAGTTTCTTAATGGTATATAGATATCTTGTTTACTGCTTCATCCAAGATAATAACCTAAGTTGCTAGCATTTTAGAGGAGAAATGTGTGGACAAACAAGTCTAAAGCTAAAAACAATAAGAAAGTTTAAATTACTTATGGATGCTAACTGAAATGAATATGGTCTCGAGGCAAATTACATTCTTAAAAATTTAAAGTATCATGCCTAGTCTTTTCTTAATGCTTACTTTAAGATTTGAGGTTTTTGGATGACCATACCTTTTATTACCCTATTACTTTCAATAAAACCATATATTATGTTATGCATTACATGTTTCACTATCATACAAGAGATAATAATAATATATGACTAAAACATTCAAATTCAGAAAGAATACATCTGTACTAAATTATATAATGAGTTTTCCAAGATGCTGCTATTAAAAAAATTTCTTTTTATTATTCAGTTAGGACTTGAGTTAGAATATTTGAAAAAGAATATGAAATAGATTTGACCTTAGTGAGGGGTATGGTGAACTATAATTTTGTTTAAAAATTCAAATTAGTTTCACAGAATGTTTAAGTTTATAATGAGTAAAAGTGAGTTAGTAGTTTGGGGAAAATATAGAAGTAAGACATAAATGTAAGGGTTGAATATTGGAAAAAAATTTAAAATATTCTCAGAAGAATTATATATATGTGTAATATTTATGCCTTTTTAATATATGGCATAAAATATATCAGTAAGTTTGTTTTTCTTGTTAAAAGTGAGAGAACTTTATAGTTTAGTGTTATTTGTTATATAATTCAAAGACATTTTGAAGAAAAATAGGATGCAAGATTTTTATCACTAAATTAAAAAAATATTTTTGGTAATGCATGTTAAACAAGAAAAGATTCTTAAAAATTGGCTTTTAAGGATTCTAAAGGTCATGCAATATTGTAGGTGCTAGTAAGAATCTGATTGAGCTAAGTTGTATTTTTCACTTATTTATATTTCCCCCGTGTTTTCTTTTTTCTGGCTTAAAGCCATTTTTTATTTTTTATCCTCCTTGCTATCTTTATTCTACCAATATTTCAAAACCAAAACCCAATATTTCTTCTCACCTATGAAATGTTTCTGAGTGTATATACATACATATGTATGTGTATGCATGTGAAACTGATTATGTGTATGTATATATATATATATATATATATATATATATATATATACATCACTCCATATCCTTGACCTTCCAAGAATAGGAGGAACTTCCAAGAATGACATAATTCACAGATGCTCAAATCCCTTAAATAAAATGGCATAGTATCTGCATGTAACCTATGCATATTCTCCTGTATACTTCAAATTATCTTTAGATTATCTATAATCCCTAATAATGTAAATTCTATGTAAATAATTGTTATATTGTATTTAGAGAATAATGACAGGAAAAAAGTGGGAATATGTTCAGTAAAGATGCAATTTTTACAATATTTTTTATTCGTAGTTGGTTGAACTCACGGATGTGAAACTTATGGTTACCGGCTGGGCGTGGTGGCTCATGCCTGTAATCACAGCCCTTTGGGAGGCTGAGGCGGGCCGATCACTTGAGGTACGCGGTTTGAGACCAGCCTGGCCAACATGGTGAAACCCGTCTCTACTAAAAATACAAAAATTAGTAGGGAGTGGTGGTGGGCACCTGTAATCCCAGCTACTCAGGAGGCTGAGACAGGAGAACTGCTTGAACCTGGGAGGCGGAGGTTGCAGTGAGCGCCACTGCATTCCATCCTGAGCAACAGAGTAAGACTCCGCCCCACAAAAAAAAAAAAAAAAAAAAAAAGAGAGAGAGATTTATAGTTAGATAGGAGGGCCAACTTTATACTGTATCTACTAACCTGGGTTTTCTTATCACAGAGCTACCATTTTAATGGGAAATAAAAGACTAAGACTTGAAAATAAGTTAACAATATAACTTCAGATAGCGATTAAAATATACAAAACTTAAGCAACGTAATAGGAAAGAATAGAAGAATTGGTTGAGGTAGGAGTGTTTCTACTTTAGAATCTACAAAACATCATTTGCTAGGGAAATATTTGAGCTGATGACTGAAAAATGAATACAAAATAAGCATTGGAAAAATCAAAGAAATGTAAAGTGCATTACATTTCTGTCTTGTGAAAGGCAGAGAAAAATAATAATCTGATAAACAGAAAAAGACATAAAGTTAGATGTCTCCCTAGGGTCAAAGAAAACTATATGAATGAAATTATTATAAAATGTTCCAAATATTTAATTAATATAATTGTTATTACTATTTATTTCCACATAATTAATGAAACACTACTGACTTCAACTTCAAGACTACAAGGTTTTTGTAGTTTAATAATATATGATAAATATTCATAGTTTAAGTTGTTAACATCCTTAAATCTCTCTAGCAATTTCTCCGATATACACAGAAAAAAAGAGAACATTCCATCTCTGACTTCAAGTGGCTTAAAATGTTTCAGAGAAAAAAGATACTTCTATAAATGTATTATCAGTAAAATATTAGATATTATGATAAGAATGAGGTCACATTACCATATACTACTAGCAACTCAGTTATAAAGACTGAAAATGCTGTAGTAGTTCTGAGAAGAATTTTGAATTTTGAAATTTTGAATATTTTGAATATTGAAGACTTATTCTGGTTCAATCACATACTGACTTATTTAATTCTAACAATACCTCTATGGGCTAGGTACTATTGCTGATATTTTAAATTTAAAAATTAGGAAACTAAGTTATAGACAGATATTAATAATGTTCCAAGGTTATATAGTTTTAGTTAAGAGTTAGAACTGGCTTTAGAAACTTCTTTCTTTCTCTCTCTCTCTCTCTCTGTCTCTCTCTACAAACACACACACACTAATTTTTTACCTCTCATTCTTGTGATTTCTCTCTCTTCATATACATATATGTAATGTTATATATAAAAGATACATTATATATTAAACAGGAAATATTTGATTAAAATGTAGACAAAAATATTCCAAATTAATAGAAATAATAACTTGCATATCCAAGGATCTCAGAAAATCTTAAACTGATCAAGCAAAAAGCCAGTCATACCTATGTACATCATAGACAAGTTGCTTAAGGTAAAAGATAAATAGAAATTCTTAAAAATTTCCAAGAAATAAGATTGAGTGCATGCAATGAAACAACAATACGAATATGACTTTAAAAAGTAAAACCAATTGAGAAGAGGATAACAATTTTAACGTATTAAAAGAGAAAAAGTTTGTCCATCTAAATTTCACATTCTACAAAAATATCCTCCACAAGTTAGATAAAATATAGACAAATTAAACTAAGTAAAAATTGGAATAATTTGTCTCCAGCAGACTCTAGTACATTAAATGCTAAAGGAAGATCTTAACCCAGAGAAAAAATATACTATGTGGAAAGTTACATAATTTTTCAAGGTTTTAAAGCACCAGACATGATAAATTTGTGAGAAAATATGGGAAAACCCACCTAAATTTAATAATCATGTATTTTCTTTAAATGATTACTATGTAAGACAGAAACATGTTAAAGTTTAGCTTATATAATGTATGTAGAATTAAAATTACAAAATTAGATTTTATAATGTATGTAGAAGTAAAATTTCTGACTTCAAGAGTACAGTTTTGCAGCATAAATGAAATTATAATACAGTATTCTTATAATTTACATGAATATTTACACAGTATTACATCTAATTAGACTGTGAAAAAATAATATTGCAGTTAATGCATTCACTAAACAAATAGAAAACAATAAAACAGCCAAAATGAGTTGCCCAACTATACTTTATTAATACAAAAAAGGCAGAAAACGAAAAACAGCAGAAAAATCACCATAAAGCAAAACAAAACAAGACAGTAGTCTTCATCGCAATTGCATTAGTTTTCTTGAATGGCTGGGTGGCTTAAAACAACAGAAATTTATTTTCTCATACTTCTAGACACTAGAAGTCTGAAATCAAGGTTGTGGTTAAGTTGGAACATTCTGGAGACTGATGGAGAATCTCATCCATGCCTTTCCCCTAGTGTCTGGTATTTGCTAGGGATACTTGGCATTCCTTGGCTTCTCTCCAAAATCTGCGTCTATTGTCATGTGGCATTCTCCTGGTTTTTTTTTCTGTGTTCCTGTGGCTATTACTGACTTTCTTATAAGGACAACAGACATTGGAATTAGGGCCTATCCTAATCCAGTAGAACTTCATCTTAACTTACACCTGTAAAGGCTTTGTTTCTAATTAAGGTGAAATTTACAAGTGAGGACTGCAGCATATCTTTTAATGTACAGAATGCAACTAATAACTCTATCTATATTAGTAATTACATTAATTATTGATAAACATACAAATTAAAAGGCAGAGATTTTAATATTGGACAAAAACATCACGACTCAAGTGTATCCTGTCTATAATAGTTGTACACTAAATATTAAAGACTCAAGATGAGAATCAAAGCATGAAATATCATAATTATAAAATATAGTCATATGAAAAATAAAATATCTATAATAATATCAAAAGCAGTAGAGTTCATAACAATCATTATTGTTGGTAAGAAAAAGGAATATTTTGTAAAATGACCAAATGTTAAGACACAGTTAAAAAATACATTTGCGCATAATAATATATCTTCAAAACATAGAACTGAAAAACTAATAGAATTAAAGGAAGAATAAACAATTCCACAGTCAAGGTTAAAATACATGTAATTGAAATAAAAAATACAAAATAAATCAGCAAGACTATAAACTATTTGAACAGCGTTTTATCCATATTTACCTAATTGATACTTATAGAAGATTAAACCTAACAAATTTAGAGCACCTGTTGTCTCAAGTGTGCAAAGAATTTTTACCAGGATATACTATATGCTTGACAATAAAAATAACTCTCAATGATTTAAAAAATTGATATTTCATGTAGCCCAAAATAAAATTTAATTAGAAAGCAATAGTGGTAAGATATTTAAAAATTTCACAAATATTTTAAATTATGCCACAGGTTTCTAAAGAAGCAATACATTTAAAATAATAAAAATAAAATAAAAATAAAAAACGAAATGTTGAAATTTATGGGTTCCACCAAAAATTATGGGTTCAAGAATATGTATTGCAACCTGATCTCATAGCAAGAAATATATCTTTAACTGAAAGATACAGCATTTCCACATGGTTATGATATTGTGAAAAAGTGATGGCCATGAGAATTTCATTCTAGTGAAGAATTAAGTAACCTGTTTTCTGTGATCCACCAGAAACACCGATCACGTGTACAAAAGATGAGAAAATCTGGGTTCATGGTTGTAAGTGAGATAAGAAAAATGGGCTGGATGATTCCTTACCCAGCTTTAAATATAATGGAAAGACAAATTCTGATACTATATTTTCTAGTTCACAGAGCACAAGGGTATTCTGTGAGGCTGTAACAACCATACTGAAGGATGACATTTCAGTGACCTCAGACTGATGGAAACAAGATTGTGAAACACGTTGTCCATGATATTGCAATTCAACACCATCTAAATTTTCAACTGACTTTATTTTCATGGTTATAATTGGAGTGGTTATCACAAAAATTGGAGCTATATCAGTGGAAAGGATGTATATGGGAAGTCTAAGTGGCTCACCATCACTATCACTATCTTATACTGTTTTATTGCATTCACTGTGCTTATTTTCTGAAATTATCAAAGCCTAAGAAGATGGATATTTGGTTTCTTTTTTCTGCTTATTTTCACTATATCCACAGCAGTGCTCTATCTACAGCAGTAGGAGCCATGCCAATCAATACCTGGTAAGAGCTGAATAACAATTGAATAGATAAACATATGAAAGACTAGAAACAAACCAGGTTCTTGCTGTAAAAAGTACAAAACATGTCCCATTGGATTATGTTTCATTGGAAACACTTCTCACTGCTTTTATTTCTTTTCTTCATCAACTTCTTTTTTATTATTTTAACACACTGAATCTTTAAAAAGCTTGTTCATGACTAGGGTCCAAATATTCCATGATCCATGACTGGAGTCCAAGTATTCCATGTCCCTGATGGAGCTAAGCTTAATCAATTCACATTAAAACATCCAAGAATCGCATAGGTAATATTGACAAATGTCAGGAGATATTATATCAATATGTATTTATAGATGATTATCCAGAGGGCACAAAGTATAATTGTAATTCTTGCTGAATTGGTTGCTTAGGGAACACCTCATAATATGTCGATATAATAATATGTTTAAAAATATCTGGGTAGCTGACTTTTGCTCCAGTAGTAGGCTGAGGCAAACTTAGACACAGAATTTACCCATTCAAGCTGACATTTAAAATGTATAGGAAGACATTCAAAGATTGTAGCATGAAGACTTAGGCAAGGTATGTATTTCATGTCCAAATTTTGTCTCTGATATTCCTGTCAGTACTTGAAAGCCTATTCCTTTGTCCAGTGACAGTTGATAAAGAAGGCCCCTTATTGGTTAAAATGGGCAATACCACACTTTCCCAAAAGAGATAAGGACCTCGATAATGGAGGATAAATCAAGGGTGGCCTAGCCCAACTGGCAGCTACTTACGGATTCAGAATTCCTGACAAATAACATTCTGTATAATTTATATTCATTGGCTTTACACTTTTTATCATCTATTTAGATTAGTAACAAAAATCCCTTTGTTTTGTAGTTTATGACCAAAATATAAATGCTAAAATCAGTTAACTTCTTCCACCGATGAAAATGCCCTTGTGTCTTAGAGCCACTATTTCTTCAAAATATTACAATTGATAAGGACATGTTAATGTTTACATCATTTTAAAATAGATAATCAAAAGCTTATCAGAAAACTATATTGGTCATTGTTCAACCAATACTCAATAAAAGAGGTAACTTTCATCTTTATGGTGAAAAGATGTTTGTAGTGTAACTTGGGCTCTGAGACAGATCCTTCTCAAATAAATCTCTTTAATGTCTAAAATTCGATAAGCAAAAATTTATCTCTGAACTTTAAAAATTGTTTTTTTCCCTTATGATCCTTTATTGCAATGCAAATACCTCTAAAATGGTAAAGGCACTACATTTATTACACTTTGGTATACAATGATTTTTAAGTAAAGTGAAGCAAATTAAACTGGGTAGAAATCAACTTAGCAAAAAAAATTACAGGGCTCTCCATCCAAACCTATGTGTTTTATACTTATTGGATTAATTTAATCTTGGATGAAAGGTCTAGAACAACATGAGAAGCCTTAGACACATGAGGAGAGTGTGTCCTGATGAGAACGGAGGGAGAAAGACACATGGGATGATGTTACAGAAAATTTACTCCATTTTTTTTCTCTGTTTTCCCACATTACAGTTTTGCCTGAATTGAAATTTGTCGTTAGACACAATTGAAATCTACAGATATCTTTTTATTTTTTTATTTTTTTAATTTTTGAGATGGGCTCTTGCTCAGTCGCCCAGGCTGGAGTGCAGTGGCGTGATCTCGGCTCACTGCAAGCTCCACCTCCCGGGTTCACGCCATTCTCCTGCTTCAGCCTCCCGAGTAGCTGGGACTACAGGCGTCCGCCACCACACCCGGCTAATTTTTTGTATTTTTTTAGTAGAGACGAGGTTTCACCGTATTAGTCAGGATGATCTCGATCGATCTCCTGACCTCGTGATCCGCCCGCCTCGGCCTCCCAAAGTGCTGGGATTTACAGGCATGAGCCACTGCACCCGGCCATATCTTTTTATTTTTAAAAGTTGAGTGGATAGGAGAGAAGTGAAATGAGAAATGGCAGTATTAAAGATACAATATGCGTTTACAAGGGTGTTGTAAAATTATTTTTTACTGAAAAAATGGCAAAGTTTTTAATTACCAAAAGGACATTAGAAAATCCTCAATTATTGGAGAAAGTTCCACTTGGTGACAGTTCAGCGAGAAAAAGAAATGCGTCAAATATCACATTATTTCATAAGGACCAAACGACTTGAAATAAATTTTTCTTCCAAACGTAGCATTTTTAATTATTTGCATGATCGTCTATTCTTAATGTCAATTAGGAGTCGCAATACATACTCATATCTGATTTAGAGATCAGACTAAATGTTGTTACTTGCTAACAGTAGGCACACTATTGAGATATTAAGTTTTGACACTTAACATGTATTTGATGTGTTATTACAACTCAAAATGAGCCAGTGTTTTACTCTATGCAACTGAGAGGCAATTCTAAATGACCAATTTTATAAATAAAATTTTATTTGAAAATTTTAGAGGAGTTCATAGTCCCATTTAAAATTTAAAATGCTGTCATTACTATAGCTTTTCTGTGACTTGCTAATAAAACAAACAATAATTAAATGTGTAGAAATTATATAACTGTAATGGCTTTTTGCTCTGTTTAATACTTTGATATGATTTTATTTTATGCTGTGTTCCCTGGAAACAGACTGAAAGGAGAAATTTTGTATGGGTTTATTAGAGACTTTTCTCTGGAGACACACTTGTGAAGAAATGGAGTCAATATTTGGAAAAGGGAGAAGCTGACCTGAATGTAGCGGGAACTGAGCCTTCAACTAACCTCAGCCTGGGGATCTTTTTGCCAGCAGTTGATACCATTCCGAAGAGTGACCAAGAGGAGTACGACCAGTGGTAAGGAAAATTGCCAGGGTGTCTCTTGAGGCTCCTAGTTTAAACAGTAAATAGGCATGAAAGAGTGTGGTTTGAAAAAGACTTAGTAACCAGTCGCTCATTAGTCTTGGTCATCCTATCAGTTCCTTGTTGAGCACCAGAAGAATCTGAATGGATGGTGAACAATGGAGAAGAAATAGTATTTGTTTCAGCTTTCAGGCCAACTGCAGCAGAGAAGGCTTTAATTCATTCCAGTAACCTTTCACTTTTAAGTTTCCCCAGGAAGCATGAACAAACAAGATCCTGAGAGAAGCTACAGTTCTGCTATAAGAAGCAAGTCAATCGTGGCAAATCAAATAGGAGACCAGAAGACTTTGGTGGGTTATCTTGTGCTCCACCAAAACCTGAAATGCATACACCTCTCTCCAGGTCAGAATCACTTATGAGCTCCTCTTCCAGCATATAATCCTTTGGTTGGAGACTGTAACAAAGAACAGTTTGCTGCAGTAATAGAAAAATAATGCTAGTCTATTGACAAGATAGGAGAATCTTATTTCTTGGTTTAGCTTGTAAATTTGCAGTTCTCCTTTTTTTTTTTCTTTTCTTTTTTTTTTTCTTTTTTTAATAGACATAGTTCTTGCTCTGTCACCCAGCCTGGAGTGCAGTGGCATGATCTTGGCTCACTGCAACCTTCACTTCCTGGGTTTAAGCAGTTCTCTGTCTCAGCCTCCTGAGTAGCTGGGGTTACAGGCACGGTGCCACTACACCCGGCAAATTTTTTTTTATTTATTTTTATTTTTATTGTTTTATTTTTAGGAGAGACGGGGTTTCACCATTTTTGTGAGGCTGGTCTTGAACTCCTGACCTCGTGATCCACTTGCCTCAGCCTCCCAAAGTGCTGGGACTACAGGCATGAGCCACCGTGCCCGACCTCTCCTTCTTATTTTATAAATATCAAACTCCTTTTTATTGATGTGATAGAAGTTGAGATGTTTTATTTTTGTTTCACACCTGGTAAAAATGAAAAGTTGCCATGCATGTTTTGCAAAGAAGCACATATACCAAATACTGAACCAGTAACCAAATTCCCTAGGTATACAGGAATTATAAGAAGAAACCAGTAAGTTTTGAATTTCATCCCTCCAGGTATTTTGAGTAGATACAAGCTCTCATTCACTGCTTGTTATATGGCAATTTCTATACTGGCACTTTAAGTGTGTTACTGTGAAATAGTCTCGTAACAAACCGATGAAATAGGTACTGAAAATTTGTGTCTTCTGAAATTTTAATAGGTAAGGAGTGTTAGATGTCATTCAGATAATTGTTACAGTCTCTGTACCAATCTCCTTTACATCCAATTGTACTTCCTGGCATCATTGTTTATCAATCATTGCATTGAAAGTTTTAGTATGTTCTCTATTATAATAATCCCACCTATTAATATGTTATTTCATGGGAAAATAAAAATGAATACTTTCAATTAAGGAAATGAAACAGTTTAAGTATAAAATAATTATATAACATTCTGGTACGTAGAAAATAAAAAAGCTAGTAGAGATTTGTGTGTTTATTTGATTCAACCCTCTTTTATAAGAAGTGAGGACACTGGATGTAGGAAAATGAAATGACAAGGGCATACTAAAATTTGCAGAACTTAGGCAAGAATCTAGATTTTTGCTTCGTAACCCAGTGTCCCTGCCTCCAAATATTCCCAAGAAAGAGAGTCTATTCAAAATAATGGAAAATTACTATAATAGTAAAGTGTTAAAAGGGAAAAAAATCAAGTTAAAATTCAGTAAAATTGTATTATTTTCCTATCTACACATTTCTTATATTATAACTTCAATGAATGTATTTTTATTGGCTTTCTTTTTTCTTTTTCTGTATATTTATAATATCAATTGACACATTCTCATAATAGAAAGATTACATGTAGAACTCATTCCTTATATATTACATTTGACTGCTTTATATTGGACAATATTAGAAATAACAATAATTTTAATCTCTTAGAAATTATCAGCCTTTATAGTTACAGTGATAACATAGCTATTGCCTTTCTCATAATTTAACATTAAATGACTGTTCTCATAGAAACCTAAACAAGTTAAATCAAAATGCAAAGAAAGGTGTTGGTTTTTTAAATGTAGTCATGCATCGTGTAGTGATGTTTTGTTCAACAAAGCATATACAAAGCCAGTCTCATAAGCTTGCAATGGAGCTAAAAAATTCCTATTACTTAGTAATGTCCTGACGAGACTAACACTGTATAGATAGGCCTAGGTGAATGTGTATGCACAAATATATGTGTCTTAGTTTTTAACAAAAAAAAATCTTAAAATATGAAAATCATAAAATAAGAAAAAGCTTATAAAATAAGAATATAAAGAAAAATATATTTTGTACACCTCTGCAATGTGTGTTTTACGCTGTGTTATTACAAAATAGTAAATAAGTTAAAAAGTTAAAAGTTTTTAAAAGGAAACAAATTATATAAGCTAAGGTTGAGGAAAGAAATAATTTTTATAAATTTAATATAGCCTGTTTACTGTGTTTATAAAGTTTACAGCAGTGTGCAGTAATGTCTTAGGCCTTTATATTCACTCAGTACTACTCACTGACTCATCCAGAGCAACTTCCAATCTTGCAAGATATACTCATGAGAAGTGCCCTATATAGGTATACCATTTTTAATCCTTTATACGATATTTTTACTCTACCTTTTCTATGTTTAGATACGCAAATATCATCATGTTACACTTGCCAACAATATTTGTGCTGTATAGGTTTGTAATCTAGGAGCAATAGGCTATGTCATATAGCCTAAGTATATTAGGCTATACTCTCTGTGTAAGTACACTCTATGATGTTCACACAATAAACACATTTCTCAGAACCTACCACCATGTTAAGTGACACATGACTATATGTTAAATTGCAAAACACACATAAAATAACAAACACTTCATATTTCTTCTCAACCTCCATTTTCAATCCCCAATATCAAGTGAAACTTTCATTGCCGTATTTCTCTTTTATTATCTTGAGGGTGACTCTTCCCTACTAAATCCTTTGTCTTGGAAACATATTTTGTGATTTCTGAAAATTTGCATTGGTTTCTGAAAGGTGAGTTGCTGTAAGCAGCAATTCTAACATTCATCCCTTTTTTCTCTGTGCATCCGAATCTTTCTGTAGAGCAGACTGTCTTGCAATGTACAAGGTTTACTAAGTTGCCCACTTTGGTACTGCATTATTCCAGTGCTGTGATTTTCTTTCTGGGTTTTAATAATAGACAGCTGGCTAATAATTTGTCAAGATATGGATCAATAACCTAATTTTGAATTCAAGGCTAAAATACAGTTTGTTTTTACTTATTAAAAAATACACTCATTAAATTAAATTAAATTAAATATGTCCTAAAGCTGTCTCCATACCTTGAGTTTATCTGCAGCAAACTGCAGCCGACTTAAGAGTACATTCTCCTAGCAAGTAGCTGAGTCTCAGACATACACAGCAGCCAAGCTTTAGCCAATCACAGACTGCCAACTGATCAGACCATGCCCAAAGAAGGCAAATGCTCACCTGTCAATCAAGCTGTTTCTGCATGTCATTTCATTTTTCTGTCTATAAATACTATGTGCTCACTTTGCTGCACTGAGCTCTCAGACCTCTCTGGGTTCTGAGTGATGCTTAATTCATGAATCATTCTTTGCTCAGGTAAACTCTATTAAATTTAATTTATCAGAAGTTTTTCTTTTAACATACGCATTACAAAAGTGTTGCTTGGTTGAATCTTTGCTCAGCTAGCTAAGAAATTCCTAGCTAGTTGTATTGTCAAAGAAGAATGTTCACCTTACTCAGGATTCCAGAATCCTAAATCATTAAGGCATTTGTTACTAAAAAGACTAAACTGGTGAAAATAGCAATTCAGTACCTTATTGTTTATCAATTAGCAAAGGTGTCATATGTCAGTCACACACACACAAAGAGAGAGAAAGAGGGAGATAAATTGAGAAAAATATTTGTGCCACTGTACAATAAAAGTGAAGAACTTTCAAATTTCCCCAACTAACATTTGAATTGTGTATCATTGTCCAGCATTCTACAGAGAGAGAGAACCAACAGAATAGATAAGATATATAAGAGGGAATTTATTAGGGGAATTAGCTCATGCAATTATGGAGGCTGAGAAGTCCCACAATAGACCGTATGCAAGCTTCAGACCCTGGGATGCCAGTAGCATGGCTCTGTCCAAGTCCAAAAGCCTCAGAACCAGGGAAGTCAATGGTGTAATTCTCAGTCCAAGGCCAAAGGCCTGAAAACCCTGGGGACCACTGGTGTTAAGTCCTGGAGTCTAAAGGCTAGAAAGCCTGGATTTCTGATGTCCAAGGGAAGGAAAAGAAGAGTGTCTCAACCCCAAGAGAAAGAAAATCACCTTTTCTCTGCCTTTTTCTATTCAGGCCCCTGGCTAATTGGATGGGATCTTTTCACATTGAAGGTGAATCTTCCCCACTAAGTCCCCTGACTCCCATGCCAATCTCCTTTGGAAACACCCTCACAGACACACCCAGAAGTCATGCTGCTTTACCCGTTCCCTGGGTTTTCTTTCAGCCAGTCAAGTTGACACCTAAAATTAACCATCACGGTCACTTTGTGAGATATGCTGTTGAAAGCAATAATAAAATGTGTAGATACCACAAAGGTAACTGTTCTGCGTATGTCTTTGCAGAAAGCATATTTTTCTCCAGAGGTTTTTGCAAATAAAAATTTTCACTTTGCCAGCAAAGTAACAGCTTCAATCAATTTCTCTTTTAGCTTATGTAGGAGATACTGATTAAAATAAAGATGATAAAATAAAGATGATTCACAGATGGAACATGAAGCATGCTGCTCCCTTGGATATTAAAGGACAAACAAACAAGGTCTCTTCAGACTTCAATTTTCTGTCAGAATGATCAGAGAACAGTAACTGAATGGCATCCATTAGGGAGAATTCAAGGCCAATACGGCAATAGGTTTTGGTAACTGCCTGAAAGTATCTCATGGGAGCTATAAGACTCTGACAAAACAAGGCTCTCTTCCTGTCATGTCAGGCGTCTAAATGATGCCCTTTATTTAGGACTGACATTTGGGTGATTAACTGTATTTTGCACTTTTGTACTTGTTCTTTTGTCATATTCTCATTCTTAGTCAAAGAGTGGTACTACCTTGCCTCTTTGATGTGATGTGCAGCAATTTGAACATCTGTTTCAGACTTTCTTGACTACACCTGATTCGGGTTGATCCAATATTCTAGAAATTTTATCCAATTTCTGACTTTCAGTGTTGATCAATTGCCAAGTCTTATTGCCACTACATTCTAAAACTTTTCAAATCCGTCTCTCTGTCTTTCTACCTCTCATTCCCATGGAATGATTTTAGTCAATAATCACATGTGACCTGAATTGCCTCAGGGTGCTTCCCCTGTACAATATTTCCACATTACAGAGAGTTGTCACTCAGAATTTCCACTTTGGTTGCGTGACCCCAATACTTGAAAAGCTTCGATGACTTTGCATTATTTTTAACTTATAGACTTAATTCATTCAAATAATGTAAAATTTGTCCATTTATTGGCTCATGCTTGCATCTCCAATTTTATGTTTTATTAATCTCCCTGCTTTACCTGTTGCCCTATTTACTGATATGCAATTCCTCAAACATAACACAACCTCTGTCATCATCCTTCATTTACCTATGGCAGTACCTCTAATTTCAATTTCTTTCTGCTGGGATAACTCTCTTCACTTCAGTTTTATTTTTATATATTATTTTCTTAGGGATGTTGTTGCTTATTTCCCTAATGCTAGATGGGGTGGCTCTGATCTGGCTACCCAAGCCTGTGTTTATCCCTATAGTGGCACTTATCAAATTGTGTTGTAATTACTTGCTTTCTTGCCTCATCTTCTATACAACAAGTGTCACAACAGGAACCTACTATTGTTACCTGTTGCATACTAAATCCTTGAATAGTTAGTGGATACATAATATTTATTGAATAAGTAGGTGAATAAAGTTAATATGCTATCACAAACATCTGCATTGAGATGATATTTTCCAATAAGTGATTTTTTTCTATTATTTGACATTTGTAAGTGTAAAAGAGTTTAGATACAATCTTGAGAAGATTGGGGAATAAGGGACCTCTCATTAACTAGAATAGTCAGAAAAAGAGCTTTTGCAATCCTAAAATAAGCTGCAATCTTGAAAATGTACTAAACCGTAGAGAAAATTTAAGTTTCTGGCACACACAAAGGAAAGGCAAAAGTGAATGACAATAAATGTACAACCTGATCTATTTGGTTCATTTCTGACAGAATTCAGAAATGAGTACTGATGAAACCTCAGATTATTTCATAAGGCAACTCTGTAAATATGTGAAATCAATTCATATATGATGTATGTGAGACATGTTAATTGTCAAGTGCTTGAATAATGTAAAAATGCTTTTTTTTTTTTAAACCACCATCCCTAGATAGTGAGAATCTCCTTTTACTAAGAAGTTGTGAGAGAATGGGAAACTGGTCAGATATGTTTTTAGGGCCTCTCCAGGAAGGCAGTTATGGAATCCTTTTGTAAACTATATACCTGGAATCAACTATTTAACTATTTCAGGTGAAATTATAGCAGTCACTCCTGAAATCTATTCCTATACATTTAGATCAACCTGTCTAGGGATTACCAGGTTTTCACTGAAGGAAAAGGAAATGTGATAAGAGAAAGATGAATCATTCCTATGATTTAAGTAGTTGCGTAAATATTACAAACTTGTGACACAGTGGAAATAAAGCTGAGCTTGAATAGGGGAGACTTATATTGGAGAGGCACAATTTCTTCTACAGGATTTGCTATTTAGCTATTGCTCTTTAGAATTACAAAAACATAAATAAAATGGTGGATATGAACATTTTGATCACTAAATTAAAAAAAGAAGCAAATTAGCAGAATGGGCAGCAGGATAGAGAATGCTTAAGGGCAACTTAGTAGTGAGCCAATGAGGTCCAAAAAGCCAGTTCTCTGTTTGAAATTCCAGAAGATAACAGAAAGCATGTGGGGTGGGAAATTACCTCCAAAATAATGATGAAAACTTTCTCCAATAGCAATTAGACATGATTGTTCAGAACTGAACCACGTGACCTATATTAAGCCTCTACCCGTCATCAGGTACCAAGGTTTGTTCTAGATCACAGATTTAAAACACAACAAAACAAAACAAAACAAAAAGTAACATCCCTGTCATTTTGGAATTTAACATAGTGGAAAAGGAGTCTAAAATAAAAATTCATAAGCATGCAATAAATTAGGTAATAATAACTATGAAGAAAACATGGTACAGTAAGATTAATAATGAAAATGGGAACTGTGAACTTGATAGTCCAAGGGGAAAGGTTTCAGGTAAACATGTGCAAAGCTCTAAAAGGAGGTTACTAGCAATGAGGTTGCTCCAACTCTGTTGGAGCTGAGTGACAGGGAGTATGACTGAAAATGGGGTTGGATTTGTAGCAGGTGGACATTCATAAGGGGTATTGTAGGCTGTGAAGATTATTTCAGGTGTTATGGAAGCCATTGCAGGGTTTCAAGTAGGAGAGAACATTGAAACAATAGATGTGCATCTGGGAGTCAGCAATGTAGAAAACAGTAACATTAATAAATTAACTAATTAAAATATTTTATTACCACTAAATTTTTCCTTTTCTTTGGATCCATGTAACTTACATTATTTTGAAATATTTTTCCTAATGTCCAAAAATACTTTATCATAGAACATGTTCTATATAAGGTAATTTTATTTTATTTTAAAATATGGTATCTATGCTTGAAAATGTAAATTCTATAGTTATTGAGTATAGGGTTCTGTAACATGGGAATTATGTCCTGTTAATTATTTATTGGAATTCTATTAAAATGAAATTTTTTCTGTTTCTTCTAGTAATTCCTGAAAAAAGTTAACTTTTGCCATGAGTGTACAAAATTTGTCAGTATTTATTTTTGGGGGTGGTATTGTTAGAGTTATTGAAAGATTTATCTTTTGAAATTACACTTTTAAACTTTTTATGATCTATGTTTTTAAATGCACATAAGTAATTGTATTTATACTACCTTTCATTACTTTTAATTTTCTAAATTCTCATGATGTATGTAAGATTTTTGTATACATATGTAGTGTGAATATTTTTAATACAATATGACAATTTTTATTCTATTACTAGAACATTTAGACCACTCATATTTAGGAAAACAACACATTCCTTTTTAAATCTATAAATTTAATTTGTGATGTTTTGTGTGCTATCTGTAATTTTAATATTGGCTATCATTGCCTTGTTTTATAATTACAGAATTTTTGAACTATTCTCTTTATGACCTTTATATTCTTCAGAAGGTATGCACATCCTTTCAGTTTCTTTTTCTTATATTGATTTCCTTTTAACTTTCAAAATTCATCTTTGAATTCCTAAGTCTAATGCTACTTGTCTCTTTTACTTTTCTCATGGGTGGTGATATAAAGTTAGAAAAGTTTATTACCCTTTATGTCCTTTTGATTTATGCATCATTGTTTTTACAGGCTGTATATTAATTATAAAATTATAGATTTTAATTACTACTGATTAAAATGAATTCATATTATAACTTATTTAGAACATTGTTACATCTAAATGTTATATAGATATTATGTAAAATAATAAATAAATAAATATAAAAAATAAACATTATGCCCAATATTATTGTTTTATACAATCAATTAGTGGAATCACCCACATATTTAATATGTGCTCTTAATCCTCTTAATCCTTACTGCGTATGTAAAGATCATTTTGTTTCCCCTATTTCCTTGAAAAATATTTTTGCTAGTTAGAAACTTCTAGGTTGGCAGTTATATTATTTTGACACATTGGCTATGTCATTTCACCATTATCTTTCTTCCTATATTTGTGTTGAAAACCTAGCTGTACATGTAATAGAGAATCTTTGTAATTATTTATTTTTTTAAGATTTTTCTCTTGCCTGTCCAATTCTGAAGTTTCACTTTAACATGTCAGCTTTTGATATTTTTAAGAAATTTTAGATTAAAATTGAAATTAAATTCTGGGCAGTAGCTTCCGGCATAATTTCTAGTTTACTAGTCCACTTTTCATCTTCTTATAAAACCATCCACTGAGAAAATGTAACATTCTGGTTTTTAGCTTGAGAATTTCAATGTTTAAAATTTTATTTATTATTTAATTGGCATATAACAATTGTACATATATATGAAGCACACTGTGAAGTTTTGATACATACAACATTATAGTGATCAGATCAGGGTAATTAGTATATCCATTATCTCAAACGTTTAAGATTTCTTTGTGTTTGGAACATTCAACATCCTATCTTCTAGCTTTTTGAAAATATATAACATATTATTTTTGACTATATTCATCCTACACTGCTATAGAACACTAGAATTTATTTTACCTTCCTAGCTTCCATGTTTTATTCCTTAATAAATCTCTCCCTATGCTCCCTTCCCCTGACCCTTCCCAACCTCTGGTAACCTCTGTCTACTATAATTCTATGAAATCAGATTTTTTAGCTTCCACATATGAATGAGAATATGTTGTGTATGCTGTGTTTAACTTTCTGTTCATGGTTTATTTCACTTAACATAAATTCCTCCAGCCTTATCCATGTTGCTGAAAATAACAGGATTTCATTCTTTTTATGGCTAAATAGTACTCCATTGTGTATATGTACCTCATTTTCTTTATTATTTTATTTGTTGTTGGACACTTGGGTTAACTTAGTATTGAAGCAATTGTGCATACTGCTGACAGATACCAAAACCAGACAAGGACACAACGACCATAAATAGAGCTGCAGAATAATATCCCTGATGAACATAGATTCTAACATTCTTAATAAAATACTGGCTAACAAAATCCAACAGCACATCAAAAAGACCATACACCATGATCAAGTGGAATTTCTCTCAAGTATGCAAGACATTTCAACATATTCAAATCAAAACATGATACATCACATCAACAGAATAAAGAACAAAAAGCATGATAATCTCAAAAGATACAGAAATGGTATTTGATAATATTCAACACTTCTTCATGATAAAGACTCTCAATAAATTAGGTATAAAAGGAAAGTAGCTCAACACAATAAAAGTTATATATGACAAATCCACAGCTAACATCATATTACATGGGGAAAAGCTTTGGTTTTCCTCTGGGAACTGGAATATAAGGAAGCCCACTCTTACCACTTCTGTTCAACGTAGCATTGAAGTCGTGGTCAGAGTATTTAGGCAAGAAAAAGAAATAAGGGCATCCAAACTGAATAACAGACAAATCGTCCTTGTTTTCAGATCATGTTGCCTTATATATAGAAAAACCTAAAGACACTGCTAAGAAATCTCTTAGAACTGATAAACGAATTCACTAAAGTTGCTGGATAGAAAATCAACATAAAACATTCAGTAGCATTTCTATACAAGAACAATGAACTAGCTGAAAAAGAACTCAAGAAAGGAATCCCATTTACAATTGCTGCGAAAAATAAAAATACCTAGGAATAAATTTAACCAGTGGGGTGACAGTGTGTTCTACAAGGAAAACTATAAAACGCTGATGAAAGAAATTGAGTAAGACACATAGAAAATGGAACACAATCCCAAGTTTATGGACTGGAAATATTAATATTGTTAAAATGACCATACTACCCAAAACGATCTACAGACTCAACACAATCCCTCTTAAAATACAAATACCATTTTTCACATAAATAGAAGAACAATTCTAAAATTCATATGGAACCACAAAAGATGCTGAATAGCCAAAGGTATCCTGAGCAAAAAGAACAAAACTAGAAGCATTATATTACCTGACTTCTAATTATACTACAGAGCTATAGTAGCCAAAACAGCATGGTACTGGCCTTAAAACAGACCCATAGACAAATGGAACAGAATAGATAACCCATAAATTATTTTATGCATCTACAGCCAACTGATTTTTAACAAAGGCATCAAGAACATCTATTGGGGAAAAGAACAGTCTCTTCAATTAATGGTGCCAAGAAAACTGGATATCCGTATGAAGAACAAAACTAGGCTCCCATCTCTCACTCTATACAAAACCCAAAGTTAAGAGTTAAATCCAGAAACAATTTATTTAAATATCTGTAATCCTAAGTTTTTATTTAAATATTTGATTCTTTTTTCTGCTAGTTCTGCTCATATCATATTTTGCCTATGTTTTTGTTATGTGTACTTTCTTCTAGAAGTTGTACTTGAAATAATATTTATAGAAATAATTGGGAAACCAATATGTTGTCTTCCTCCAAAGAATCTTTCTATGTGTGTTTTTATTCTTGGGCAAGACAGTTCAGGTATAGGAGACAGGATCCAAAATCTGCCCTGGCTTAAAACTCCTATGCTACTCAGGAACAAATATTAATAATAATGTCATATACATATGCAGGACACCTGTAAGTCATGTCAGTTTCAAGAGTCACTGGATTTAGGGAAACCCAAGATTCAGAGTTCCTCTTACAATCCAGAAACAATTTATAAATAATGGACCATTTTTTATATAAATAATCTTGCTTGATAATATAATTGACATTTTATGTATCTCAGGTGTTTTGGGGAACAATGCAAGAAAGTTGACCAAATGTTGAATACTCTTTCATCAGAAGCAAAATTTTGTTACTTCCTCCAGGGCTACTAGCTCACCTTGTTTAGATCTTAAAAGCCCATAAGCAGTAGAAGTGTATCTTATCCAGAGCTTTCAGAATTCCATTTGCTCATTTTATTCAAACATATTTTTGAGCACCTGCTATTTGCCAGGACCTGTTCTAGGTTAGCGGAATAGTCAAGGATTAAAATGTCAGATTCTTTAGGAACAAAAAATAGAAGAATGTTGAGAGATAAATAAGGTGAGATGTCTAGAATAGATAATTTGTACTTGCTAATTAAACACAAAGGTCTTATGTCGATTTTCAGCAGAAAGATGTAAAACTGGAGTTTATGGAAATTAATAAAAGAAGGAAATAGTATGTCCTATGAGCAGAAAAGAGAATGATCTCGCTGATTACGAGGTGCTAATGGGGGATTTCTTATATTTTGATCCCTACTGTAAGAATTAGGGCAGGTCAATCCTGACTGAAGAGCTGCAAACCGGATGACAGACACACAAGCACCATTCATACAAGGCTAGATGTAAGCAATCTTCCTCAGCTAACAACTTATACATAAATGGACTTGAATAGTAAATTCATTACACTCCAGGCAAAAAATACAATTTCTCCCTCAAAGAAGTACAATTCAAGATTCTAAAGTTCCAAATTATTTGATTAAGGAAAATAATAAATACATATATATATACATATATATGAAAAATTGCTCCTAAGTAATAATGGACTCTCAAAGAAAATTAAAGTAAAACATAATTTTCATTTTCTGCAAAATCCACTGTCATTAAATATGTAGAAGGAATCTATAAGCATGTGATTTCTTTCTAAGGAAGTCAATGGAATTCTGCAAAGGAAATGCTTACATATCAATAAGACTACATATTGTATATTTTTGCAGTTTTCACAGATTTCTATAAAAGGAACAAGCACTGCTGAACTATTAGAAAAACTAAGAAAGTTGGTATAATTGAGACAGGAGGTCTTTATATTCTAAAGATACAGAGCAAATCAATGTTATACACAGAAACTGACTTCTGTTGTAGTTACAACTTGAATGACAGTTCAGAACATGAAATGGGTGTTAAAAGATTTGACCTTCATTCTATAGGCCACGGACAACCACAAGATGTTTCAAGCTATTGAATAAACAAACGCATTTTTGAAAGATCACTCTGTCAGCAGTGTGAAAGAAGAGGAGGGGACAAGACTAAAGAATAGGACACCAATTCTGTATGTTTAGCAATCCGTTGGGAAATGTGGAGTGAGGTTTTGAGCTAAGATGCAAACTATCTAGACAAAATTGCTTGTGAGGTAATAAGATGATTTTTTATAAAGGAAAATCAATTAGAGTTTCATGCAGGACTCAGTCATCCATTGGATCTGGCAAGGGAGTAAGTTTGGCACCCAAAAGTGGAAAATAAAAAGATGATTTTTGGATTGCTTCAATAGTGAGATTTGGCAGTGTAGGTGCAGAATAAGTGCAATGGGACTAGAATGAAGTGACTGAAATGGAATAGCTGAAGAACAGTACCATTAGGGATTTAACAAAATTGTTAAAAATGAAAATAAAACCCAAGAGTGGTAGGAGATTTGGGCTCAAGGAAAGGTCATATAACTGAAGGTCTCCAAGATGTTGAAAAAAAAGATGTTCACTAAATAAGAGAATGAAATATTTAGAAAGATGGAAAAAAAGATGACAAACTCAAGTGTTAACAGTGGCCTCCTAATAATATAAAACAAGTATTTACTTATATTGTTAGTAATAATGTTCTTTACATCCACAAAGAACAATGTAGGCTCACTACCATTCTTTAAAAATGCACTCAATCTTTTCATTTATATTTTAGTAAGCTGTATTTGAAAAAAATATATATATACACATACATATATATGTATATATGTTGCACTATATGTATGATATATAGTGTGAATACACACACGTGCACACACACACACTATAGGAAAAGTAGAAATGCAAGTATACTGATGGACACTTTATTCTGACCCCTGTGAGGAAACGACAAGTAGAAGTGGAGGGACGATGGTGGGCTGCACAGGGGGTGCCATAACTAAAGGATGCAACATGTACTTAGATTCAGTCCATTGCTGCCATTGAAACATCATATAGTGCAGAGACTCAGAGTATGGACTCTGCATCCAGCAACTTAGCTCTGTCACTTATCAGGACCATAACCTCAGGCAAATCACTGAACTCCTCTGTCTCAGTTTCTTTGTCTTTAAAAAGAAAATTACAATAATATTTCTTCCCTCATAGCGTATGACTACTAAACTTCTTAATTCATTGCAAGCTCTTTGAAATGAACCTGGTACATAGTGGATACTTATTAAAGGTTAGCCATCATTACTGGTAAGGCAAATACAGTGTTTCTGTTGTGATTTTCCATTGAAATCCAATAAAATATCAATTTTTGTTAGTGTTTATTCATTTTTTTATTCTTATATATCAGATTCCCCCTTTAGCTATCTTCTGGCCATCAGTTTGAGACTCTGAGGCAGAGATTGTTATAATAGGATAAATAGCTTTGTTGGTAAATGGTACCTTCTTGTGAGCCAACTCTGAAATGCTTGTAGGGGTTGCTTGAATTACTGTAGTGGGAAAGATAGCATACTAACTCAGAAGATGCAAAAAAGTGTTTGAAAACCATCATATAAAATTTTAAAAGTTATTGAAGATCAGTTAATGGTAGGTATGTCTGGATTTATTTCTGGGTTCTCTATTATGTTCCATTGATCTATAGGTCTACTTTTATAACACTACTATGCTGTTTTGGTTACTATAGACTTGTGGTATAATATACACTGGGGAAATCACACCCTATTCAATAAATGGTGCTGGAAAAATTGGATAGTCATATGCAGAAGAATGAAACTGGACGCATATCTCTCACCATATAAAAAATTAACTCAATATCAATGAAAGACTTAAATATAAGACCCAGAAGTATAAAACTCTAGAATAAAACCTATGAAAAACTCTTCCAGACATTGGCCTCAGCAAATAATTTATGAGAAAGTTCTCAAAAGCAAATGCAACAAAAACAAATAAAAACAAATGGAACTTAAACTGAAAAGCTTTCGCAGAGTAAAATAAATAATCAACAAAATAAACAGATAACCTACAAAATTGGAGAAAATATTTGCAAATTATGCATCTGATAAATGGCCAATATATACAATCTACAAGAAACTGAAACAACTCAACAAAGAAAAAAAAACAAATAATCCCATTAAAAAGTGGGCAAAGAACATAAAAAGATATTACACGAAAGAAGACATGCAATCAGCCAACAAAAATGAAAGTATGCTTAAATCACTAATCATCAGAAAAATTAAAAATTAAAACCACAGTACTATCTTACACGAGAAGGAATTGCTATTACTAAAAAGTCAAAAATCAACAGATGTTGGTGAAGATGTGGAGAAAAGGCAATTCTTATACACTGTTGGTGGTAATGTGAATTAGTGCAATCTTTATAAGAAACAGTACGGAGATTTCTCAAAAAACTAATAATAGAAGTACTATTCAATCTAGCAATCCCACTACTGAGTACCTACCCCATTGAAAATAAATCACTATATCAAAATGACATCTGCACCTGTATGCTTATCACAGCACTATTCAAAAAAGGTAAGACATGAAATCCCCTAAGTGTTCATCAACAGAAACAGAGGGTTGGATAAATAAAATGTGACATATATATGTGTTGTATCCATATATAAAGTATATATATACACACACACATATATGTGTGTATATATACATATCACATTGTATGTATATATGTATGTATATATACATATCACATTGTATGTATATATGTATATGTATACATGATACATACATATATACCACATTTTATTTATCCAATCCTCTGTTGATGATTGGATAAATAAAAAGTAGTATCCCATGGTGTGTGTGTGTGTGTGTGTGTGTATATGCATGTGCATATATGTGTGTGTATGCTACTCAACCATAAAAAAGAACAAAATTATGTATTTTGCAGCAACATGGATGGAACTGGAGGCCATTATCCTCATTGAAATAACTCTGAAACAGAAGTTGAATATTACATGTTCTCACTTATAAGTTGGACTTAATCAATGCGTACACATGGACATACAAGTAAACTAATAGATACTGTAGGCTCGAAAAGGGTGGGGGAGGTGAGTAGGATGAGGGAAGAAAATTTATCTGTTGGGTACATTGTAAATTATTTGGGTAATAGGTACCCTAAAAATGCAGACTTCACCACTATGCAATATATGCTTGTAACAAAACTGCACTTATATTTACTAAATCTATAAAATTAAAAATAAATAAATGTTAGAATTTGAAGTTTTGTAGTTACAATAAAGTTCAGATTTTAGCAATTGGAGTCATCTGATGAAGTTACCTATGAGTAATATTTCAATGAATTTTGGGACCAAATTTTATTCATCTTCTATCTGGAAGTAGAAGTTACACATGATACTGAGTTATCTTTTGTTATCAGCATTTTTGCCTGTATATGCATGTATGAGTCCAAATGTGTGGGGGGATGATGTTTGTGTTATAGGGTAAATTGTAAAAGACTGTTAAAAAGTAAATAAATTTGACTTCCAGAATGATGCATATTTAATAGCAATATTACACATATAACATAGAAACACATGTACTGTAAAAACAGTAACTTCTGGTTAGTAAACTGATTGGCGAATGTGGTGGAATTGGGGAGGAAGGAAAGTCTTCAGTTTGTTTTTCCCTTACTGCTGTATGCACTGGTCAACTACGATGACCAACAGTGATCATGTTTCCAATGATCTTCAGAAAGGTTTCTCCCATCCAGGCTGTAAATTATTTGAAAAACATATTACAAATATACTGGAACATGTAATCAGGAGGAAATTACTTAAGATTTACAGTCATCTGATACATAAGTTGACTTTAAGGAGATTAATGATTATTTATCTTTATTTGAGATAGTTTATATTTTCTCTGGATATTTGTCCCATTTTTTAATAAATTCAAGTCACTACCAATATGGTACTCTAATATTGCAATTACAACTGTCCAGAATCTAAAATAATATATAAAATTATTTTAATCCACTCAAATCAATATGATTTCTTCATTAAATATTTAAGTGTGTTCAGCTAATATGTCTTTAAAAGTATACATTTTTGTAACACATTTTTCAACCATCGTTGAAGCATTATAGGGATTTTGAAGTTTAGTGTGCTGTATACCACTAACTGGCCATATTTATTGAAGTGCCAAGTAATATAATACCTTTTCTTTAACTTAAATATCAAATTACTACTGGAGACCCGCTATGTCAAAGCAATAATATAAGCATTGCTATTTTAATTTGATTTTCTTTTACTTTAAACTTTAATGCAGAAAATAGGAATTTGTTAACTTACATTGGAAAAAATATTTTGTGGTATTCATTTTTTTCTAAATTAAATGCAAATTAAATTATCCAAAATTCTTTCTATTTTTTCTTCTGTAGATTAAATTCATTCTCTTAACCCTGCTTTGCAACAAAACTTGTCTTTTTAGAAATTATGATTGCTTATTAAATTGAAGTCACCTACCTGTACAATAGCAACACAAACATAGCACAAATATTCAAACCTAAAAATAATATTTCTATCATAAGAACATCTGATACATACTGAATTTTTTTTCATGATTTGAATAGTGTGTAGATTTCTATTGTACCCTTTTTATGTATGTTTCAAAATGTTAGAATGAAAATTTATTTCTATTTTGAGGGAACTTAGCCTTACATGAGGAAGCAAGAAAGTACATATTTACGGCGAAGGTAAAGTTTTCCACAAAACAAATGTTTTCCATGCAGCTAGGAATCAAGTGGGAGCTGCGTTACCAAGCATGAGTTACGTAGTTGTTAGGTGATGATTAATAGACAGTAGTTGGTGCCAGACTCCAACTGCTACATCTTGAAGACCAGCTATGGTAAAAAGATGGAATGGGTTTTGTCTGGAGGAAGTATGGCAAAATAGACATAGTTTTTATTTAAAAGAAACTCATTCATGAGTACCAATGAGACACTTTCATGGGCCAACAGAAATGCTGAAAAGTATTTCGTTAAGAAGGGAGGATGCAGTATGAAATATTAAGTATATTTTAATATTAGGTTAATATGGCCTCATTTGAGCCTGGAGAATATCAGTTATGAATGGCATAATCTTTTTTTCTTTAAGTTTGTCATCTTACTTCAGGTAATGCTATCAATGTTTCCTACTAAATTCAGAATGCATTTTGGGCATTTTTTCCCATTTAATTAAGTGTTCTTCTGAAACATTGTGTAAGGATTGTATTATGCTCTATTGAATACTCAAAACGAACTTCAAGTATTCTTGACAGTAAAGTCAGAAATTAGATTGTTCTGCGTCTTAATATACCATAAGCCAACATCATGAAAAAATCCTTCAGAATGTATTTGTAGAAGTGTAATTACTGTTCCAAATGTTAGTATGTATCTAATGCCTTTTGATTCATGTTAATTTGTTTCTTTCTATATATATATTGGACAATTTATACTCCCACACATAGTAAATCAAAATGACTTTGCTACCATTCTACCACTGATAATGGAGTATTTTGTTTATATGTGTGTGAGTGTGGGTGTGTGTGTATTGTTAATGTATTAAATTTTAAAAATTATCTCATTTGTTTTTATTTGTGAATAAAATTGATGTGAATTTTTTATATTGCTGGTCTTTGGTATTTTCTTTTGCACACTTATAGATCCAACTTTTGTTCATTTTGATTGGGTTGTTGAAAATGTGTTTATTAAAACTATTAATTGTTTGCATGACATGTGTTTGGTATTTTTTCTTCCTCTTTGCCCTTTAATTTTAAATCTATATAGAAACTTGCTACTTTATATAATTAAACATACATTTTATTCTTTTATACTTTATGTTTTAAAAAGTAGTTACCTAAGTTATATTGTAAAGCACTTTGTACTTCATTTTAATCTATAATACATCTGAAATTTAATTTTGTGTGTGGTTTAAAATAGGCATTAATTTTATTTATAATTTTTCAGAGCTAACCACTTTCTTAGAGCTACAAGGTGTCTGTAAGTCTGCCTTTCCTATATACCTGGAAAATGGAGAAAAGGATAAGGGTGAATGGTATTAGTTTCTCAAACATTCATTCATTCATTAAAACATCTTTTCACCTGTTCTTGGAGAGCAGAGAATAATTCCAAAGTTTGGTTTATGTGAAAATCAATACAGCTGTCTTGTTATTCTGACACAGCCACTATTGAGGTCAAGGCCAAAATCTTGTGACTATATAGTGAGCACACTCACATAAAAAAGAGAAAATGTGTGGAAATAAGAGAGACATGCATGATTTGCATATATATGTGCATTATATATAACATATATATATGCATATAAAACTACATTTCACATCAATCAGGAAAAGGCCCATTTAGCATTTCTGACATGCCTTTAGCATAGCTGAAATATATGAATTTTATATTAATATTATTATTTTTATTCAAGGTAATCATAAAAGTTATTTTAAAATAATAATTTGCTTGCAGACTGAAATATTATCACTTTAGAAGAATCTCGAATCTAAAGTTATGCATCTGATTTCTCTAATTTTTACTGCTATGTTGATAACAGCTTATTTATAAGAAAAAGCATCATTTTTTGAAACATTAACAGTTGTGTCCTTTGATAGAGAATATCACATTAATATTTGGACATGCTGTGTATTGCATGTAATCTTCAGTTGCCTGATGATTTCCTGGAGGGAACTGGGCCACTAAAATATTTGTTTTAAAATGCATGTACAATGGATTGCAAAACAAATATATATGCATACGTATATAAGCA
This sequence comes from Homo sapiens, assembly GCF_000001405.40. NCBI lineage: Eukaryota > Metazoa > Chordata > Mammalia > Primates > Hominidae > Homo > Homo sapiens. Next base: position 65,967,429 of record NC_000004.12, read on the forward strand.
AATACATGTTCATGTATGCACACAGACACACAAATACAAATATTTCAATAATGTTAATCTGGGCAACATTTTTCTGTCTGAGTAATGTATTGTGACTACTAATCTAATATGTGCACAAAGACATATATACATTTATATTATTTTTATATTGCATATATATGTTAATTAGAGACTTTAGAAAAAATTTGCAATTTGTGACCATTAATCATTAACTGGTTATTTTGAAGACCATGAAGTGAGGTAAAAGTCTAGTTAATTTTTCCATTACCAAATATTTATAATATTGAAACATTTAAATACATTTAAAATGGTGTTAGAAAGGAGAGAGATGGGGATAAGCAAATACACAAAAACAGATTGCACAAAATAAATAAGGACAATACGGGAATTTTCATAGAACACTAAGAAGACGTGACACTAATCCATACATTTATATATGGTAGATTAAATATCTTAGTTTTTGAAACTTCTTAATAATTCACACTTTTTAACTTTTGTGTACATTTGTACATTAAAAGAGTTTTTTAGTATAAAGATAAGAAGCAGGAGACCCGAATGTGGGCTGCCCAGCTATCTGATTTTAGAAATTAATTTCAGAAAGCTAACACCTTGTATTTTTCGATAAGCCCAGATATAAATGAACTACAACAAAAGTAGTAGCTTATTATAGAATGCATATTACGAGACTAAATACTAAGTGAAAATATATTCAAAATATTATGGACTATAGAAAAATGTTGAAATTATGATGATAAAGGAAGGCCTTCTTAGAATACTTAGGCTAATAATTGGTATAGGAAGAACACATAATTTCTGGCCAGATATTTCTAAAAACTAAAGTAATGCAAATAAATGAATATCAGTAATATCATTTTATATTTTAACTAAACTTATTTAAAGAAAAATATTAGCACAATGCTATGCTGTATTACTAATAACAGAATATATAAATACAAAATTAAAATAATTTCAAACTAATGTCTTGTGGCATGCTCCCATACTTAGCGTTACATGATTTTAAAAAGGCCTCTCTACATCATTTGCCCATTGCTAAATTATACTCTGGTATTTTACTTAAGTTACTTTAATAAAATGTATTCATGATGTATTGTAATAGTACTGTAGATGCAGGAAACTGCATGAATTAGCATTATGGTTTTGTCTCTATTCATCACCAATTTCGTCTTTTATAAACTAAAGAAAAATAGGAAAATGAGAGAGAAAGCTCTTAGGCCTGTCAAGATTAATTGCACTGCCAGTGTTGTTAATCTTTCTATATTCAAAAGAGTACAAAAAGAAAGCTCCTAAAACAAAATGCAGATGAAAATGTCATCAAGAATCCCAAAAGTACTCATAGAATTATTGATGAAACCCTAATACCCACTCTTCAGGGACAATTTTTTAACATTTAAACTTCAGAGTTCCCTGAGAGGAGGCTTTTTTGGAAGCAAGCTGTGGACATCTGGAGTCAGTGTTTTGCATTAACAGTGTTTGGTGAAGTGTGGGTGGATGTTAGCATCTCTTTTCTTTAGAAACGTTTTGGAACGCTACTGTACAATACTCTGCAGAACAGGCAGATTCCTGTAATTACATCGCGTAAGCCCTCCCATTGCAGGCAGCAGAGATTTTACACACAGAGCAAGTGAAAGGCTCTATTTTCAGGGACCATTTCTTTAATGAGTAACAAGAGTGGTGAAATAATAGCGTCTTTTATTTATAGAGTTCCTTAGTTCAAAGAACTCAAAGGAAGCAGTAGTCATGATCTCATAAACACGCAAAGCAGCTCTGTGAGAAAACATAGAACCAATAACCACATTCTGCATACAGAGGAACTTGGGCCTAGAAAGTTCTGTGTAAGACCCAATTATCTTTATGGTCTTATGTGATGGGAAGAGTGCTGGGAATACAGCACTGTGAGGCCACCACTGCACAAAGCAGTAATGCTCAACTGCCTCCCAGGCAGCCCTCTGGAGGTTGCTGATTACACAAGGTGGCTGAAGTTGGTTTTTGATTCCATAGCCAATTCCCCAACCCCTACAAACCCATAGAGGTTTTCTTACATAAGACAAAAGTCATAATCATGATAAATTTTCTAAACGTGATTTCCAGAAAGGCTTAAATATCATCTTTCTATTAAGGTGATGTTTCATTTGTTTTATGTATTGCCTAAGATAAGGTAATGTCATGATTTGATTGGGTCTAAAAGAGTGGTAGTATTTTGCTATAGTTATAATAATTTTTAGGTTAATATAAAATCTATGTGCTGGGGAAAAGATTTAGAGAGGTATTTAGTAAAGGTTGTAGGATGTACTTAATTGCAAATGCCAAGTTCATTCATTTTCTCTGTTTTTGACCAAAAAAAAAAAAGTGAAATCCTAAGTTAGTGGTACCCATGAAGTCCTAGAGATAAGAATCAAAGATAAAGAGTATGGATAGGCAATTACATTTTATTAGCCTTAGAAAGGAATTAGATAATGCCTCCAGAATAGATTACCCCATGTCAGATTTTCCTATGTTTTCATATACATTCTCCTGAATTGATTTTCACAAAGTACTAATGATTGGGTCCTGCTCCTTCAACGTCCATGGATGTGCTTCTGGAGAATCCTGAAGCCTATAACTATTTAAGCATTCTAAATGCCTGATTCTCACACCTAAGAGATATGTTCACTGACTTGAAGATCTCTATTTAAATAATATTATTTTTCACTTAGAATGCTTAAGAATAATTTCTATATTTATGATTCAAAATTTAGTTTTCAAAATTTAAGATTTAAAAATGTTTAAGACAAGAGCACTTTAACTTAAAATAAACATATATTAATAGGTATCATTAAGCATGAATGTTTAGATGCCACAGCTAAGTTATGACACTAATTTTAGGGCCCTCTATTCCTAGAAAACTCACAGCATTTCTGAAATTTTCTAAAGCTGTAAAATGAAGATATTTATTAAGGTTATTTCATTAAGCTAGTGGAGTGACCATTTAAATACTAGCACTCAATGCTTCAATAATTTCCAGTTTCCATGGAGAAAGCAGAACAACGATTGGTTCACAACAAGTTTGGGAAGGAAAATATTTAAGTAACTTCTATCAGTGATGTGAATAAAATTCAGATCATCAATTGTATTCTAAGCTAAAAATGGCCTAAACGATGAACTTGTCTAACCCCTTTCTATTTTATTATACTTGCAAACCACTGAACCAGATACCAGAGTGTCATACAGCACAGAGGTCAAATGATTCATTCGTGGCCACATGCTTCCAGATATCAGAATGTGGAATTCGATTCAATCCACTGCGGTACCCATCCAGAACTGTATAATTAATGTGCCATATAAAGTTTAGAAAATTATTTAAATTGTATTGCAAATAAGAATCTTAAGCATTGCCTAAAGTCTAGCTACTTTATTTTTCCTCCTTTTGGGAGATGTCAGAATTATGTCTTTTTGTTTTGTTTTGTTTTTGCTTTTCACTTTCATAAAATAACTTAAGGTCTCTACATCACAAAATCTGTTTATAGGTTACTGTATGTTATTACTGTCAGTAGTCACTTGAATCCTCTAGAAATAAAAATATTGCACAAAGTGGTAGAATGATGACCCTGATTCTCCATTTATTCTCTCAAGCCAAATAATGATAGGTTTGAAAGTCGGAACTGTATGATGCAATGTATCCTTAAATTCAAACTTACTTTTGCTCAAAAAATATTCTTAATATTAAATGAGATGATTTATGTAAATGTCTAACACACAATAAATACTAAAATAGTTAGGTTGCCTTCTCTTTTACTTATGTGTAGGAAAACCTGGCATAGTGAATAACAGCCTGACTTTTGTAGTTTATTTTTAAAATTACAATCCCCATAAAATAACAAATTTTATTACTGAAGTGTGTTTGTGTACAAGACTTTGACTGGAATTTGAATTAATTATGTTTAGTTAGAAGATATGAATGGAGGTATAACCTAGGTTGTTTCATATAAAGTAAAACCTAATATTTATACCCTACGATTTTAAGTGAAGTACACAGTGAAAGTTATGCTACCCAAAGTGATTACATTTTGGGCTGAATTAAATTGAAAAGGCTTAAATATACACACATCCTTAATATAAAATATTTCTAGGAGCTATTGGTCTTAGCATTGAGCAACCACACCAGATCCCTGCAGGAAACAATTTCATGTGTCTGTGTACACAAATTTGAGTGAATACCCTCTTACATTTGTTATCTATTGCTGTATAACAAACTGCCACATGATCACTTAAGGCAACGCACATACACACATTTGTTATCCCATAACTTCTTTCTGTGGTTCAGGAATCTGCACATTGTTAAGCTGGGCCCTCTACTTTGCAATCACTCACAAGGCTGCAATAAAGGTATTGGCCTACGGTCTGTACTTTCATCTGAAGCCTCAAGTGTTGAAGGCTGTACTTTTTAAGCTCACTCAATAGTGGTTGGCAGCATTCACTTCCTCACAGTTCTTTATCATGTGGACCTCTGCAAACTGGCAGAGGGCTTTATCAAAGTCAGCAAGAAAGAGTCTTCTAAAGAGAGGAAGTCAAAATGTTTTGTGATCTTATCAGAGAAGAGGCATTCAATCACCTTTGTTGTATTCTATTGGTTAGTAGTAACTAGATTTAGCCCCACACAAGGGCATGAAAACCAGGTCGTAGGGATCATGGAGAGGCAACTTTGAAACCTGCTTACCAGGCTTCTTTAATGTGATACTTGAAACATTGACTTTATATCCAGAAAGTTAGGTGAGACTTAAGAATTTGTGTTAGGTTTAAGAGATAATGTAGAAAACTGAGGAGTAAATTATTCCACTGTGTTAAGTAAGTAGCTAAGGCATTTGTGACTTTATTCAGATTCGTATGAATTAAAAACTAGCTAAATCAGATAAAGAGTATAAGATAATTGGAATGCTTTAGTGCCTGTTGAAATTTACACATTGAGGACGTTTTTTAAAAAAGGGGAAAATGTATGATTAAAATTTATTTCGGTTCTTTTCTTTCTAATTTCTGTAGAGAAATCCATATATTTAACCATATCTGTCTGTGCATGCTTTGCTATCTTCTCGTATTTATATTCCAGCTTACTTTTCTACCTTTTATATGCCTTAACCAAGAGTTTAATATCACTTTGCCTCAGTTTCCTCATCTTTCGAATTAGATTATAAGGATGTTTAAAACTAGATAATACACAAAATCCATATTTTGTAAATAACAGCTTTTATATTTTTCATATCTCAGATACTTCTTATGTTGGTGGACTAATTTGTTTATGTATATCCAGTCAACAGCAAAGATTTACTAACTATTGATGTGATGCACAGTTGCTTCAATGCTTGTATGTACTGTGGATATTAGAGACAACAACATTAACATTTTTAGCATCATTGTGCTTGCTATTCTGGTGGTAGAAACGGGATGCTGTGGGAGCACAGAAAAGGGCATCTAATAGGCTAGCGTGTTAGCAAAGGTAACTTATCTAAAATGATGAGCAATCCAGTGAATTTTTAAAAAAGTGGTATTTCCAAAAGAGAAAATTGCACATGAAATGGTTTCAAGGTATGTGACGTATAGTGAATGCTTCCAATTTCATGTTGCCTTGGCATTCATTTTAACTGTTGGTTTAGCTTTCTCCTGCCAGAGGCAGGACTCAGTCACCCTTGACACAGTTTGCAGTTCTACATCACATCCAAATGGCGTTAGCTGGTGGCCAGAGATAAGAACTTGGAGACATCTCTCTTGCCTAGCAGACTGGGCTCCTCTCTTTCCTGATGTTTCCTTTAAACGGACGATTCCGGCATCTAACTGTGAACTTAATGTAACCCACACCCTATTTCTGCAGTATATACTGAGAATTGCCACGCTCTCCTCTTTTTTTCTCTGCCTGTGCTCCCTGACCTTTCTGTGGCCTCCCGGAACGCCATGTACCTCTCAAGGTCTGCAAGTACTAAAGCTCTTAATCATTCACATTGTAGTGGTGTCGTGGAAGTCCTGCCACAATCTGATCCCTGATGGGGAGGCTGCTTGATGGGATCTATGGAAGGGGGTTCCTTGCTGGTATGTTTTGTCTGGGCCTCGGCTGGATGCTGTTAACGGTAACTACCAGCTAAGTTGATGGAGAAGCTGAAAAGTTTTATTCAATACAAGAGCTATAATTCATTCAGTAAAAGTAAATTGCTTCTTAAAACTCATAAAGGAGTATATGTGGAGAGCTCATAGCAGGTGAATCCAGAAGGGTAGGAAGAATGAAACTCATGAAGGGCTTTGTGTGCTTATCAAGGAATTACAGATTTCATCCAAAGAAAAGATAGTAAAAATTCATGTTTTCTTTAAGAATAAAAAAAACACATTATCATATTTGATTGATTTAAAATAAAATCTTGAATATTATAGTATGTGTGTTTAAGAATTTTTTAACTATTCTGAATTGAGACTGGCTCTAGTCAGACTGAGGTTTGTATATTTAAAATAGAAGTTTTAGATATATAAGAGGTAGTTATATAGGATGGATAGAGGAAATGAGAAATGCTGGGTATTCCTAACCTTTTGCAATTTTTTGGAATGTATGTTGAGCTAGTTTTTGATCTATAAAAAGTGATAAATTGAAAGAAGATAATTCTAAATATTTTCAATTATTTTTAAATAATCCAAAGCATAACAAAAAAATCATTGAGAGGAAAAAATGAACTCTAGTCTTAGCAGTAAATGATAAACCAATGTGAATCAGAAGAGATTCTAATTTACAGAGAAGCAAGAAATAAGTAAATATAAAAAACAAATTTACTTTTGTAATAAAAGTGGTATAAAAACTCTATAATAAGTATAATGTCTACACAAAATCTATAGGGTACTCAGAAGTATCTAGGAGTTCTGGTAATTAACTTTTCAAAGCAGTATATTTTATAATATGTAAATTAGATTTTAATAAATTTTTTCAAAAATATGTTTAAAAATGAATAAAATTCATACACATTACTCCTCTTTCCCCACATGTTCAAAAGGGGACAAGGATATACTTTCATAAAATGACTAGAAATTAAAAATAAGAGTGGGGAGACTGTCACCTTACCAATCAATATGGGATCTATAGATCTTGGAAAATCAGAGAGATAGCAAGAGAGTAAGAGAGAGATAGAGAACGAAAATATGCAAAATATGGCAACAGTTTCAATGTGAATACATTCTGATGCCATCAGTTTAATTTTTCCATCCTGCTGAATGTTATCATTTAGTTGGATATATTTTTTCCTTTATATTTAACTAATATGCTTTCAATTCTCTTCTATTTTCCAAAGATACTCATTCACAACAACAGAAATTTCTGTAATGACTTACAGACCTTATGATTGCTACTAATGTACATTATATAATTTATATTTAATAATTTAAGAACTTGTGACAATAGAGATAATTCAACTGTTTTGAGAAAAAAATAATTCCAAGCCATAATATAAATAGATATATTCTGTAATTAATACTATTCCTGTTTTACTTCATCGCTAATCAAATAAAGAGCATATGAATTCTAGAATTATCCACTCTTCCTTACTTTCAGCATCAGCCTTCCAGAGCCCAAAGAATGGTTAAAATTTTGAAGAAAAGAGATACTAGGTACTAATGTCAGAGAACTGTGATTTTGCCTTAGGCAACATTCCCTCTTAGGTAAAAACATGAAACATCATAGACATTGGCTTCCCAGACATTTCCATGACAGTGTCACTAATGGTAACGTAGATAAATCCATATTTTTAGGATTCTGAAGAAATAAATTAAAGGGGCTTTTTAAAAATTAATAATAATGCAAACTTTTTATTCTATTAACTCTGTTACTGTAACACAACATACTCAAATGTGAAAACATAACATGACATAGCAAAACCTAACCTATTTTAAATTACTCAATCTTAGACATGAGTAATTTTCTTGCTGTTTATTAGATTGATATTAAATTCTATTATGTTTCTAGATTTTAGACTGTTTGGTTCAATTAAAAAGAATTGATACTCTATCAAGGCCAACAATTGGGAAATTTCTCAGTCTTGCTATCATATTTCAGAGATACAAACTCACCAAATAAGTAGACACAAATGACAAGTATTTCTCCCACTACTTTTTGATCTGTATCAAGAGAATTTCTAAGAAGAGATGCACAGAGTGTTGCTGAAGAGTTGGCATTTGGGCATACTTTCATACTACTTTTGATAGAAATCTCAAAAAGTATATTTTCTTGCTGTAAGGCAAAAAACCTCTCAGTCACAGCTTGGTCTCTCAAGGAAATAGTTCCTAAATTTTTTTTCGAAGAAGAAAATTAACTACTAATGGGATGTATTTAACTACAGATTAAAAAATTTTTCAGCTCAAAAAATGAACAAATTTCTTTCTGTTTTTATAATGTGGTTATATGAAGATGCATTACCAGAAAATACCTTGCATCCTATTGACAGATAAACCTGCCTAACCTGGATTAAAGTATTCTTATTTGTTATCTTCATATTCAATATTGTGAGGTTTACTTGTATTCAGAGATACCATTATCCTAAATACATGCAAGACCAATAAAATGGCTATGTTACTTGATCTCATTAAACTCAAAGGAACAGGTTGAATATAGTCTACTCAGTCAATTGGTTAAGCCTACTATTGGCCATACTAAAGTGCAGATTTTTTCAACATAGCCAAAATATCTTTATTAATTTGAAATAGATTTTTTTAACTATTAAGTTGTGGAGTACATGCACAGGATATGCAGTTTTGTTACATAGGTAAACGTGTCATGGGAGTTGGTTGTATTAATTATTTCCTCACCCAGGTATTTAGCCTAGTATCCACTAGTTTTTTCCTGACCCTCCTAAAGTCAGAAATACTATTCAATCCAGTAATCCCTTTACTGGGTATATACCTAAAGGAATCAAAGGAATATATATCATTCTGTTCTAAAGACACATGCACATGAATGTTCATTGCAGCACTATTCTCAATAGCAAAGACATAGATTCAACCTAAATGCACATCAATGATACACTGGACAAAGAAAATGTGGTATATCTACAAAATGGAATACTATGCAGCCATTAAAAGGAATGAGATCATGTCTTTTTCAGGGACATGGATGGAGCTGGAGGCCATTGTCCTTAGCAAACTAACTCAGGAACATAACACCAAATACCGCATGCTCTCACTTATAAATGGGAGTTAAATGATGAGAACACATGAACACATACGGGGGAACAACACACAGGGGCCTATCAGAGGGTGGAGAGTGGGAGGAGGGAGAGGATCAGGAAAAATAACTAATGGATAAAGTGTATATTTTAATGCTGTGATTGTCTTGACAGAGGATGTGCAGTTAAGGACACTGGTGAAATTAGGATAAACTTAGTGTGTGACTTGCCATTTTACTCCTCACTTCTAATATTTTTCAATGGTAATTTTATCAGATTTTGTGATGCTTAATATTGAGTGTCAACTTGATTGTGTCGAACGATGCAAAGTATTGTTCCTGGGTGTGTCTGTGAGGGTGTTGCAAACAGAGATTAACATTTGAGTCAGTGGACTTGGAAAGGCAGACCCACCCTTAATCTGGGTGGGCACAATCTAATCAGCTGCTAGCCTGGCTAGAATAAAAGCAGGCAGAAAAGCATGGAAAGACTAGACCAGTTTAGTCTTCTAGTCTATGTCTTTCTCCTGTGCTGGATGTTTCTTGCCCTCGAACATCAGACTCCAAGTTATTCAGCTTTGGCACTCGGACTGTCTTCCTTTCTCCTCTACTTGCAGATGGCCCATTGTGGGACCTCACCTTGTGATTGCATGAGTCAATACTCCTTTACAAACTCCCCTTTAGGCTGAGTGCAGTGGCTTGTGCTTGTAATCCCAGCACTTTGGGAGGCCAAGGCAAATGGATTACCTGAGGTCAGGAGTTCGAGACCAGCCTTACCAATATGATGCAATCCTATCTCCACTAAAATTACAAAAATTAGCTGGGCATGGTGGCACACACCTGTAGTCCCAGCTATTTGGGATGCTCAGGCAAGAGAATTGCTTGAACATGGGAGGCAGAGGTTGCAGTGAGCCAAGATTACGCCACTTCACTCCAGCTTGGGCTACAGAGCAAAACTCCATCTCAAAAAATAAAAAAATAATAATAAATAAACTCCCCTTTATGTATACATCTATCCTATTAGTTCTACCCCTATAGAGAACTCTGCCTAACACAGATTTCCAAATAGAAAAAAAAAGTATTGAAATGTTCTGTCACTTCAGTTGTGTAAATTTTTAAAAAATTATTTTATATCCACATAAAACATAATACTATCTGACACAGTATGTGGTTTTCACCCTGCCCATTCTTGTTATATATATACATATATACACATATGCAAGATATATATATACAATATATATATGCGAGATATATATATACAATATATATATGCGAGATATATATATGCAATATATATGCGAGATATATATATGCAATATATATATATGTGAGATATATATGTGTGTGTGTGTGTTTGACGGAGTTTTGCTCTCATTGCCTAGGCTAGAGTGCAATGGTGCAATCGTGGCTCACTGCAACCTCTGACTCCCAGGTTCAAGCAATTCTCCTGCCACAGCCTCCCGAGTAGCTGGGATTACAGGCATGTGCCACCACACACGGCTATTTGTTTGTGTTTAGTAGAGACAGGGTTTCACCATTTTGGTCAGGCTTGTCTTGAACTCCTGACCTCAGGTGATCCACCTGCCTCGGCCTCCCAAAGTGCTGGGATTACAGGCTTGAGACATCGCACCCAGCGGGGATGTTTTTTAAGAGGATAAAAGTTCAGATATTTTAACTGAATTTCGGGGTACAATCAGTGTTCCAAGAAGACACATCATTTTTATTCTTTGGCTTTGGACACTCACTGGCAAATCATTGTCTTCCTCCAGTTAAGATGCACAGCCTGAGGTTACATTGAACTTTTTATTTTTGGAAAAGCATGTATTAACAGAGTTCCCATGACAAAGGGATTTATTTTAGTTATACATTAGCAAATATTTAGGGACTAGAAACAACTTAGCAATTATGAATGATACTAATGCAAGTTTTGAAGTGGAAAATACACAGTTATAAAATAGAATTGCCAATTCCAGAATTATTTGTTGGTCAATAATTGCAATAAAAACAGAAATTTGTTTTGGTGTCTGTAGTTATTGAGCTATATTGGGAAGAGTGCCAACAGTGTCATAAATTGCTCTAAACATAACTCTAGAATTGCTGTTAAGTCATTGAGCCGATTGACCTGCCTTTTAATCGGTGAGTGAATTATCTTGTGGGTTTGGAATATCTATCATTACATACATAGGGAGGTTTCAGTAGAGAAGAAATATTATATAATAAAATTTAGTACAAAATGTCAGTCAGCTAAAGGTTACAAAGCCACATTCCTTAAAATATCATAACCCATGACCTTTTTGGTTGTTAGTTTACTGAGTTTTTTTTTCTTTTTAATTTCAGCTTTTATTTTAGATACAGGTGGTATATGTGTAGAGTCACTACATGAGTATATTGGACCCAGGTAGTGAGCACAGTACCTAACAGGTAGTTTTTCAACTCATGATCCCCCTTCCTTCTTCCCCCATCTAGTAAGTAAGTCCACAGTGTCTATTGTTTCTATGTCCATGTCCATGTGTGCTCAATGTTTAGGTCCCACTTATAAGTGAGTACATGTGGTATTTGGTTTTCTGTTCTTGAGTTAATTCACTTAGCCTAATGTCCTGCAGTTCCATCTCAGTTGCTGCAAAGGACATGATTTCATATCTTATGGCTGCATAATATTCCACGGTATATATGCATCACATGCACCACATTTTCTCTATCCAGTCTGCCACTGATGGGCAACTAGGTTGATTCCATGTCTTTCATATTGTGAATAGCATGGCAGTGAACATTCAAGCAAGTGTTCTTTTGATATAATGATCTATATTTCTTAGAGTATATAACCAGTAATGAGATTACTGGGTAGAATGGTAGCTGTGTTTTAAGGTCTTTGAGAAATCTCTAAACTGCTTTCCATAATGGCTGAACTAATTTATTAAAACATTCCTACCAGCATTGTGTAAGTGGTCCCTTTTCTCTGCAGCCTCAGCCGCTGTTTTTTGTCTTTTTAATAATAGCCATTCTACTGGTGTGAGATGATGTATCGTTGTAGTTTTGATATGCATTTATCTGATGATTAGCGATGACAAGCAATTTTTCATATGTTTGATGGCCACACGTACACCTGTTTTTGAGAAGTGTCTGTTCATTTATTTTGCCCACTTTTTAATGGGGTTGTTTTCTGTTTGTTGATTTGTTTAAGTTCCTTGTAGATTCTGGATATGACATCTTTGTCAGACACATAGTTTGTAAATACTTTTTCCCATTCTGTAGGCAGTTTACTCTTTTGCTGGTTTCTTTTGCTTTTGTTTAGTTTAATTAGGTTATATTTTTTAATTTTTGTTTTTGTTGAAATTGCTTTTTGTAACTTGGCCATAAATTATTTGCCAAGGTTGATGTTGAGAATGGTATTTCCTAGGTTTTCTTGTAGAACTTTTATAGTTTGAGGTCTTACATTTAAATTCTTAATCTATCTTGATTTAGTTTTTGTATATGGTGAAAGGTAGGGATCTAGTTTCATTTTTCTGCATAAGGCTAGCCAGTTATTCCAACACCATTTACTGTTTTTTCCCCTTGCTTGTTTTTGTTGGCCTTGTGGAAAACCAGATGGTTATAGGTGTGCAGTTGTATTTCTGCATTTTCTGTTCTGTTCCATTGATCTGTGTGTCTGTTTTTGTACTAGTACCATGTTGTTTTGGCTACTATACCCTTATAATACAGTTTTTTTTTTTTTTTTTTTTTTTTTTTGAGATGGAGTCTCGCTCTGTCGCCCAGGCTGGAGTGCAGTGGCGGGATCTCGGCTCACTGCAAGCTCCGCCTCCCGGGTTCACGCCATTCTCCTGCCTCAGCCTCCCAAGTAGCTGGGACTACAGGCGCCCGCCACTACGCCCGGCTAATTTTTTGTATTTTTAGTAGAGACGGGGTTTCACCGTTTTAGCCGGGATGGTCTCGATCTCCTGACCTCGTGATCCGCCCGCCTCGGCCTCCCAAAGTGCTATAATACAGTTTTGAATTTGGGTAGTGTGATGCCTCTGGCTTTGTTCTTTTTGCTTAAGATTGCTTTGGCTATTCAAGCTCTTTTTCGGTTCCATATGAATTTTAGAATAGCTTTTTTCTAAGTATCTGAAGAATGATATTGGTAGTTTGATAGGAATAGTGTTGAATCTGTAAATTGCATTGGGTAGTATGGCCATTTTAGTGATATTAATAATTTCAATACATGAACATGGATTTTTTTTGTTTATTTGTGTCATCTCTAATTTCTTTCAGCAGTGTTTTGTAGTTTTTCTTGTAGAGATCTTTCACCTCTTTGGTTAGCTGTATTGCTAGATATTTCCTTTTTGTGTGTGTGCCTATTGTAAACGGAATTGTGTTCTTGATTTTACTCTCAGCTTTGATGTTATTGGTGTATAGAAATGCTATGGATTTTTATACATTGATTTTGTATTTTTAAACTTCGCTAAAGTTGTTTGTCAGTTCTAGTAGCCTTTTGTCAAAGTCTTTAGGGTTTTCTAAGTATAGAATCATATCGTCAGTGAAGAGAGATAGTTTGACTTCTTCTTTTCCTATTTGGATGCCTTTTGCTTCTTTCCCTTGCCTGATTGCTCGGGCTGGGATTTACTGGATTACGTTGAACCGGAGTGGTGAGAGTGGGCATTCTTGCCTTGTTCCAGTTCTCAAGCCTAACCCATTGCTTTTCATACTTTCACGTGATTCTGATTTCCTTCAACAGCTATTAGACTTATAACTTTCAGGTTTTTAGAAGTGACTGCCAGATAGAAAGAGGAAAAATGAAAAGCAGTTAAAAAAAATTCCTGGATGAAAGCTGGGTTGATATTTTTTCCATACATTTGGAAATTAGTTTTTTTTTTTTTCTTGGAAATTACAGGCAAAAACATGGGCAAATTTATGGACAAAATCATTTGAAAGCTAATGTTACATATTTTTCCTCTCTAGTGGAAAAAGCTCTTGTTTTAAATTAATCTCATACCTAACTAGATGAATGCATGTTCAAATAAAGTAAAACTACACTTAATGCACATATTGAAAATATCCAATAACTCTTATCATACCTTCTTCCCATTAATTGACCTCTTATCAGATTCAATTTCTAGATTTAACTACCAACTTAGAGAAATTGAGAAGACCAAAGAAAATGTAAATAAAAAAGTCAGTGAGTAAAATTAGTAAAATCTGGACTATAGAAAATGCTACAGGGAAATCAAATAAAGGAAAATAATTGTAAGAAGAAAAAAAAGAGATGGAAATAAAAACTATAGGTTAAAAAACCTAGTAAATGGAAAAAAATTGTAATGCATGGGTCTTACTTTGTTTCTGATTTGTACAAATAAATGCTTAAAGAAAAACACGATCAAAGTCCCATGAAAACCAACTAGGCATTTTTAAATTTTATTTATTTATTTATTTATTTTTATTTTTCTCCAATATCAGAATCTTTATTATTATTATTATTATTATACTTTAAGTTTTAGGGTACACATATACACCATGGAATACTATGCAGCCATAAAAAATGATGAGTTCATGTCCTTTGTAGGGACATGGATGAAGCTGGAAACCATCATTCTCAGCAAACTATCGCAAGGACAAAAAACCAAACACTGCATATTGTCACTTATAGGTGGGAATTGAACAATGAGAACACATGGACACAGGAAGCGGCATTTTTAAATTTTAAAATACTGTTTTTAATGTTGTGTTTATGCTTTTAAGTAGTTATTATGTAGTGGTATATATACAAATATTTATGGATGCAATAATGTGCTGTCTGAAACTTACTTAGGCAAAAATCCGAGTATTCGGGGGGTACACTTAACAGACCATACAAAAGTGAAACTGATACATCAGAGTTCACTATACTAGTTTCTCTACTTTGTTATGTCTGCAACATTTTCCATAACAAAAATTAGAAAAAAAAAATGGAAAAAAAAACTGAGTTTTGGGGGTAGACACTGAATTCAGCCAATTTTCCAGGAATCAAAATTTTTGAGGGTCACAGGTAATTTATTTTTGATAAAAATATAGTGAGTGGAGAAATGACTAATTTTTGAGGCATACTGTAAAAAATTTAGGTAAAGTAACTTTTTCAGTATATATATATATATATATATATATATATAATATATATAATGCAATATTATAATAAAAATATTTGTAGGGCCAGGCGCGGTGGCTCATGCATGTAATTCAAGCACTTTGGGAGGCCGAGGCAGGCGGATCACAAGGTCACAAGTTTGAGATCAGCCTGGCCAACATGGTGAAACCTCGTCTCTACCAAAAATACAAAAATTAGGAGGGCGTAGTGCTGGGTGCCTGGAATCCCAGCTACTCGGGAGGCTGAGGCTGGAGAATTGCTTTACACCAAAAGGCAGAGGTTGCAGTGAGCGGAGATCGCGCCACTGCACTCCAGCCGGACTGTGCTGAAGAGCGAGACTCCGTCTCAAAAAAAAAAAAATTGTATCTTCTATAACAAAAATATATGAAAATCTTTTGGTAGAAGTGGTAGTTAAGGGTTGTGGGAAACTTCTGAAAGGTTCTGTAGAACATAATCTAGCATTTCTGCTTGTTTCTCACTCAGTAGGCGTGTTGCTCCCCAACGGATTAGAAGATTGCACTCTGTCTGACCCCAAACATACTTTCCTCAGTGAACAAACCAACACTTGGCCAATCTTTTACTTTCCAAAAGAAGTTGGCTGTCTTATTGTTTCCAGACATGTGTCTTGTGGGCAGTTTTTATTTACATAAGTCCCTTATGTTCAGTATTGAAAAAGCAATAGTTACAGAACTTTATCATAAAGAGTCTATTTTAAATACATTGTGGGCCAGCAAAAATTGCTATAATCATTGCTGTGATGTCTTAGTTTTATAACTAAATTAGAAAATCCCTTCTGACTCTAGCTGTAATATCTGCAGCATCAGAATCATAGGAATATTGTCTTTTTAAATTTAGTCTCAAGCTTTTGGTGATGCCAGATTTCACTCCCTAAGAAGTGATCAAAGTCCCAGGATCTGACTTATTTTATTACTGAATAAATCACCAAAGATGAGGCTAATTATGAAAGAGATTGCTACTATTTATGGCCAAATATATTTGTGATCTCAGCAGACAGGATATAAAGAAGTTTTAATCAGGGAGTACTAAAAATATGTGACAAATAAATAGACATTTTCTTAATGCATTTTCTCCTGGGGTTTCCTCCGAATGTTTTTAAAGTTGTGTAAAGGAAAATTCATATATTTCCTAAGGGATACAATTCCAAAATTTAGGACTAATCTTATTATTAGTAGTGTGATCATTGCATTTCATATTAAGATAGGTTTAAGTCATTTTGCTTTAATGTCAGCCCATCTATTTCTTTAGTACCATATAAGCATTATGTAATTACAGCGAATTATGCAATTATGTGATATGAGATGGCTTGGTGGTTTTACATCTAAAAATGGAATGATTTAATTTGAATTGATTGTTGTTTATGTACCATTTAACTACATGCATGAGCTGTTCACATCATAAAGAAGAAGTGCTTGTCACAGTGGCAATAAATGAAGGACATTTAGTTTGATATCCAAGGAATAGTATGCCAAATTTTAAATTCTGTCCTTTAGTCTAATATTTGTAAACTGTATCTTGACTCCATGCCTCAGTTTCTCTAATTAAATGAGGACAAAAGGTTAATGATACTGATATGCCATATAAAACATGAATGAGCATATATAGAAGAGATAAATTTTGCTGGTACAGATATAAATTCTAGAAATGCTATTTTTCTGCTACTTTGCTGCATTTGAATATACTCACACGGTTGTCTGAAAGGTCACTAATCACATTCTCATCACCAAATTCAATGATATTTTCATGTTGATTTTCTTAACATCCTCTCTGCCAGAATTTGCAATGTAGGGTTTCACTCTTGGAATTATTTTTCCTACAGATCTGCATTTATTTCTGTTTTTAACTTTCTGTTTGCCTCTTCATTTTATTTCAACTGAAGTGTCTTAAACATGTATGACAAAGCTCCACAGATTCACACATTCAGTGTATTGTATGAAATTCGAAATAATGTTCCTTAAGTCTCTACACAGAGTAAGAGACAGAGTGAAGAACAGATCTTGGTGGAAAATATTGCCTTCACTCTTTCCTTTCTTGCTTTCACTCTTTCCTTTGTTGCTTTCACTCTTTAGGTGTGTGCCTTCCCGAGGTTTATGTTTTTGACTCCACTCTTTGCTTTCTAGGACTTCCGTATAATCTTACAATATTGACTATTACATCCACAAAAATGAGTCCCTAAAGTTCTATCTTTAAACTTGACTTTTCATCAAACTTTTACTTCATTTTCAATCACGTATAAGACATTTCCAGCTGAACATTTTTCTAGTACCCTCAAGTGCAGCACATCCACAATAAAATTCATCATGTACTTCCAAACTCATACCTATTCTGATATTTCAAATGTACTACATATGAGTCAGTCATTCAGACTTGAAAACTTTAAATAGTCCAAATCATTACCTTTTCTTCATCTTCCATAGCAAATAAAATATAAAAACTTGAGTATTCTCTTTTTTGTCATTCATAATTATTTCTGACTTTCAATTCTTGGTGCCACAAATTTGGCTCAGGACTCTCACACTTTATGCATTCAGCTTATTGCAGTAGCTCTCAAGGTTATCTTCTTGTTCTGATACTACTTTTTGATCAACCCATTGTGAAGATAGTTTTTAGAAAATGACTTTGTGAGATGGGCAGATTGCAAAACTTCTCTTGGATTATGTAGGTCACCTGTTCATTCTGATGATAGTTTCTTTTGCTGTGCAAAATTATTTAGTTTAATTAGATCCCATTTGTCAATTTTGGCTTTTGTTGAAATTGCTTTTGGTGTTTCTGTCATAAAGTCTTTGCCTATGCCTATGTCCTGAATGGTATTGCCTAAGTTTTCTTATAGAGTTTTTATGGTTTTGGGTTTTACATATAAGTCTTTAATCTATTTTGAGATAGTTTTTTGTATAAGGTGTAAGCAAGGGGTCCAGTTTGAGTTTTCCGCATAAGGCTAGCCAGTTTTCCCAGCACCATTTACTGAATAGGAGATATTCTCCCCATTGTTCATTTTTGTCAGGCTTGTCGATGATCAGATGGTTATAGATGTGTGGTGTTATTTCTGAGCTCTCCGTTCTGCTCCTTTGGTCTATATGTCTGTTTTAGTACCAGTACCATGCTGTTTAGGTTACTATAGCCTTGTAGTATAGTTTGAAGTCAGGTAGCGTGATGCCTCCAGATTTGTTCTTTTTGCTTAGGATTGTCTTGGCTATATGGGGTCTTCTTTGATCCCATATGAAATTAAAAATAGTTTTTTCTAATTTTGTGGAGAATGTTAATGGTAATTTGATGGAAATAGCACTGAATCTATAAATTACTTTGGGCAGTATGGCCATTTTCATGACATTGATTCTCCCTATCCATGAGGATAGAATGTGTTTCCATATGCTTGTGTCCTTTCTTATTTCCTTGAGCAGTGGTTTGTAGCTCTCCTTGAAAAGGTCTTTCACATCCCTTTTAGCTGTATTCTTAGGTATTTTATTCTCTTTGTAGCAATTGTGAATGGGAGTTCATTCATGATTTGGCTCTCTACTTGTCTATTGTTGGCATAAGGAATGCTTGTGATTTTTGCACATTGATTTTGTTTCCTGAGACTCTGCTGAAGTTGCTTATCAGTTCAAGAAGTTTTGGGGCTGATATCATGGGGTTTTCTAAATATAAAATCATGTCATCTGCAGAGACGACTTCCTCTCTTCTTATTTGAATACGCTTTATTTCATTTTCTTCCCTGACTGCCCTCACCAGAACTTCCAATACTATGTTGAATACAGGTGGTGAGAGAGGGCATCCTTTTCTTGTACCGGTTTTCATTCAATATGATATTGGCTTTGTGTTTGTCTTACATAGCTCTTATTATTTTGAGATATGTTCCATCAATAACTAGTATATTGAGAGTTTTTAACATGAATATATGTTGAATTTTATATCAAAGGCTATTTCTGCATCTATTGAGATAATTGCGTGGTTTTTGTCTTTGGTTTGTTTATGTGATGGATTACATTTATTGATTTGCGTATGTTGAACATGGTGTAATATCCAGAATTTACAGTGAACTTATTCATATTACAAGAAAAAAAAATCAAAAAGCAGGCAAAGGATATGAACAGATACTTCCCAGAAGAAGACATTTACGTGGCCAAGAAGCATGAAAAAAAGATCAACATCACTGATCATCAGAGAAATGCAAATCAAAACCACAATGAGATACGATCTCACACCAGTGAAAATGGCGATTATTAAAAAGTCAGGAAACAATAGATGCTGGCGAGGCTGTGGAGAAATAGGATTGCTTTTACACTGTTGGTGGGAGTGTAAATTAGTTCAACCATTGTGGAAGACAGTGTGGTGATACCTCAAGGATCTAGAACCAGAAATACCATATAACCCAGCAATCCCATTACTGAGTATATACCCAAAGGAATATAAATTTTTCTACTATAAAGACACATGCACTTATATGTTTATTGCAGAACTATTTGCAACAGCAAATACATAGAACAAACCTAGATGCCCCTCAATGATAGACTGGATAAAGAAAATGTGGTACATAAACACCAGGGGATACTATGCAGCCATAAAAAGGAATGAGATCATGTCCTTTGCAGGGATGTGGATGAACCTGGAAACCATCATCCTCAGCAAACTAGCACAGGAACAGAAAACCAAACACCGCATGTTCTTACTTATAAATGGGAGTTGAACATTGAGAACACATGGCCACAGACATGGACACAACACACACCAGGGAATGTTGTGGGGTGGGTGGGGGGAGGAGAGGGAACTTAGAGGACAGGTCAATAGGTGCAGGAAACCACCATGGAACACATATACCTATGTAAAAAACCTGCACATTCTGCACATGTATCCCATTTTTTTTTTGAAGAAATCAAAAATAAAAGGAAAATGACTTTGTATTGCTTTCGTATGTTTAAAAGCTTCAGTAGACATTCCATTGCTTTAATAATAAACTTGTCTCCTACACTCTTAAAATTCTACCCTTGCTTATAGAAAACCTCTCCCTTTAAAATATCATAACCACTCCCAACATAAATCCATTAATCCTAACTAGATAAAAGAAAATGTTTAAGCAAAAAGAGCAAAGGTCTACATATTGTATAAACCATGGATCAAAGTGGTCATATGGTAACTAAGGGATAAATATGAAAATGTATATGAGAAATAATCTATACAAGGCTTTGAATGCAAGTACACATTTCATTAATAATATTTACAGACCAAGAATTTGGACCTGACAAATACTCAGAGCAAGAGAAACCCAACCTCTAAAGGTAATGCCCTTAAACAATAGCTAGAAATTCTAGTTGTGGTAGACACAGCTTGATTGAATAACACTTGTCAAAAATAAATCTAAAATTTTAGTCAAGTAGTTACAGAGAAGTGAGGATATCATGAAACAAGAACATGACCAGGGTAGATTAAAGAAAAAGAAATCACGAGTGAGTCAGGTTGATATGGCTGAATATAGACATGGAAGTGTGCCTGAAAATTAGGACCTAAGCTAGTCAATGAACTAGACAAAATGAAGAGATGAATAGAAACAATAATGTAAACTTACATAAGTTAAAAAATATAATATTTAGGCAGGTGTGCGGTGGCTCACGCCTGTAATCCAAGCACTTTGGAAGACCTGGGCGGATGGATCATGAGGTCAGGAGGTCAAGACCATCCTGGCTAACACGGTGAAACCCTGTCTCTACTAAAAATACAAAAATTAGCCAGGTGTGGTGGCGGGTGCCTGTAGTCCCAGCTACTCGGGAGGCTGAGGCAGGAGAATGGCATGAACCTGGGAGGCAGAGCTTGCAGTGACCTGAGATCATGCCACTGCACTCCAGCCTGGGTGACAGAACAAGACTCCATCTCAACAAAATAAAATAAAATAAAATAAAACAATAATGATAATATTTAAATGAGAGAGAACATATTTAAGTGTGCTTATACTACTGATATTGTGTCATACATTGCTTTTAGCATCAATAAAAGTTTGGTTTTAAATTCAATTTATCCTATTTACTATTCATAGAAGCTTTGTGCCCTGCATGTAAAGTGCTTATCAGAGTACTTGGCACATGCTAAGCAGTCAGTAAGTTGGAGTTATAAACATTATTTTTTCCTATATTTCCTCATAGGAAAATTTTAATTTTAATGTACAATTTTATCTTCCAGCTATATCATTTTGCCCCACAGAAACAGTCATAAAACTATGGGTCAAACATTTTAAATTAAAATTAAGTGAAAGTAATGTTATCTATAATTTTGTTTCTATTTTAAATAAATGATGACATAATATGATTGTCCTTCAACTATGAAAACTTCTTGCATTATGAAAGATAAGTTCCTTCGTTCTACCTCACCCGAAATGATAAATTCTTCAATGTCTGTAAGTGTGTGTGAACTGATTGATTGTGTGAAAAAAGTCACAGGACTTGTCTCTTGGGCCTTATCAAATTCAGTTGTGGTGACTGCCAGTTAGAAGACCATGGATGTGGTCAGCTCATTATAGTTTAATTAGAAATTACTTTATTCTTAACAAAGTTTTTAAATAAATAAAGTATTTTTTCTTTTAAGCTTTATAATGTATTACAAATAGAACATAGGCAAGCAAAGTATAAATGGAAATGAGCCCAGTGTTTAAAGATGTATACTTAAAATAGCTTGATGCTATGTTCTAAAATTTAAAACTGAGCCGTAACTTAAGTTTATGCAGAATCTTCCCTTATTTTCCTTTTTACATAATCATCTATTTTTATCTGATAAGAGAAGATCTGATTTGGAAACAGTATATTTAAAAGATATACTTTTTTATTTTTTTCATATGTTGTAGGTCAATTAAATGACATGTTTACTAATGAAGCTATCACAAGTCTTCTTTCTTGTTTTTCAATATTCCTGAATAAATGAATATCCAAGATATGAAAGAAAAAGTATTTCAATTGTCACAAAGAGTAAAATAACACAAGACTTATTGCCCTTCTTTCCCAATAAAAAGAATTTCCAAACTGACCACCCATAAGCTGATTCTGTTTCACATCCATTATTTTTCATTCATTTCTTCAGTGATTGATTCATTCTTTCATTCATTTAATTTTATCTAAATGTTTTAAACATATCATTACAATGTTTGGTTATTTCTGGCTTATCTTGAAATTTTGTTCAATATGCACATAATTTAAAAATAGCAATGAAATATGTAACTATCAGACAAATAGATACAAAAGAATAAAAATCTAAACCTCTAATTACTCCAACCTCACAAAAAATTTAAGGAGAAAAGAAAATATAATTGAAGAACACAAGTTAAATAGAAAAAGAGAAAGTATAATATGTATTAAAATATTCACTGTGAAACTGTAGAGTTAGTAATTCTGCCAAATTTTACTTTACATACTTTATATAATTTTATTTTATATACTTACATAATACAAATATGGAGAGATAGGTAAATAGATGACAAATACAATCCAGAGAGATATAAATATAATTTATATCATAACAATAAATATATTTTATACTGGCAATCATAATTAAAATAAAAGTGAACTAATATTACTAATTTAAATATCTTGATTTGCAGATGAGATAAATTAAAAATAATGAATATAAGCTCTTTACGACACAACTAAAATATAAGTTATAAGAAACAAATATAAGAAACTTTGAAGGTAAAAGATGGGCAAAATTAATCCAGTAAAATAGAAAAATTCTACCCAAAGAATGCTTATTTATATGGATTTATACCATAACATTCTATCTATCTGGAGTATATTTATCATCTACTTACCATTCTATCCACATTTGTATTATTTGTAATTTTATAAAAATATCCTCTGTATAATAATGAGAGAATACAACAAGAAGATTAAGAATTCTAAACTTGTCTACTATTTACAAAGTAACCCCAAAGTATATAAAGTAAAATTTGGCAGAATCACTACTCTACAGTTTCATGGGGATATTTTAACACACATCTCTTAGTAATTGATAACATCATGAAATGATTATGTAATGATTTAAGCACCATAATAAATTAGCTTTGTTAAAAATCATACAGAGAATTCTATATCTTACAATTAAAAAATTCATTTTCACAAATGGACTTGAAAAATTTAAAAAGTTGACATTTGCCAAGCCAAACTGAGCAAGTTTGAACAAATTTGATATCCAGTATTACGTAGAATATTTTCTTTAAGAAGTTAGGAATAAATAAGCATAAAAACTGAAACACAAGAATATTTAAGAACACCCTTATCAATAACATACCAATTATAAATAAAATTCTCCACCTGGAACACGCAATTTATAAAGATAGGACTAAGATATTCTGCTTAACCAGAAGGTAAGTTATGATAAACTACTGGAATTTTTTAAAAAGCCACAGGATAAAAATTATTACTGGCTAAAGATGAGGGAAATTAAACGTAAAGGTAATAACTAAGATGTATTGAAGTATATTAGCAACACTAAAATCATGTGTTTAGGATGATACTAAAAATCCATTTGGTGACTTTTAGAGGGCACTAACAACAAACTGATACAAAGACTATATCAAGCATATTTACTGTAAGTTTATGATGAAATTTATTTTTTAAATAAATAGCTGAAGAAGAGTACTTTGTAAAACAATTTCAAGTAATAAATACGGAGGAAATAACATAATTAGCAAATTAATCTTTATGCAGTGTATCATTAAAAATGGATTCAACTACAAAATCTTCTGTTGATTCAAAACCAATAGGAAACAGCTTCAGGGAGAACTTCATAACTAATGAGTCAAGCAGATAAAACCTAAACTTACTAATAGAAGTTAATATCTCTATATTTGGAACACATAAACATTATTGCCTTCTGTTGAAGCTACTAAGACATATACAGAATGGCCTATGGAGCATTTTTTGCCTAAAATATAAACTTATCTAAAAGTTAACCCAGTCTCCAGATGCAACAAATAGCTTAGAAAAAAACATGAGCAAAGAATAAGTTGACTGATAACATGAGGAAGCAGTCAAATATGGAACAGAAATTTTAGAGGTAAAGACACTGTTTTCCTCCACAGATAAATAGTGTAAAACTGTGAGGGGACAGTATAGATTGCATAAGCCTTGATTATACCAACCAAATGAAATATGTGAACCATACTGAGATTCTACTTTGGACAAATTAAAAACTTTTGAAAGAATTTAGAAAATTTATACCTGGATTCAGTATTAGACATTAATAAATTACTATTATTTCATTAGATATGAATATAACATCACATGTTTATAAAAACATAACCCATATATTATATAATTATTTATTTAAAAATTATATAGAATTTTTTTAATCAACAAACAGAAAAAAAAAAAAAATGGAGAGAAGATAGAGTAGACCACATTATTTTCAAAGCTAGAGATAGCTACCTGAGAGGGTTCTTGATGTTATACTTTAATATGTAAATAATCTTTTGAAAGAGAGATCAACAATATGTAAAAAAAGACTCAATTTTACTTATAGCATTTACCATTTGAATAATCAACTATATAAACCTAATCAGTTGAGCTGTTGGCTTGAAATTAGGAGTAATATTCATTTTCAAATTTTCTATTTCTTGCCTTTTGGCATATGACTTGGTTTTAAACTGACATGGTAATTATTTTTAGAGATTTGTAAAAGTCTATGTTGTGGATTCCAAGGAGATATGGAAATATGCTTAATAAAGACAATTAACCCTAAAATGTTTCAGGAGGCAATCAAAGCATATCAAGGGAGTATGAAATACACCCATGATGTCCTGGTGATAAAACTTCTGTTAAATTGTTATTGAGCACTGTGATAATGAAAGCAGGAGAAATGTTTTTATAAGGTTGGACAGAAATACAGATGGCATCTCACCAGGTCATTTTGTACTTCTCACTAGTCTATCTAGTCAACCAGTACTTCATGTAGAGCTAACACAAGTAATTAATCATTTTTTATATTTGAATTTATTACCACTTAGAGACAGTGGAGCTAATGATGCAATAATAACAAAACTGATTGCTTTTACTTATAAAATTTTTCAAAACATAAATTTAAAGTCACTTAATACCATTTTTGCTACAAAAATATTTCATGAAGTTGTAACAGCCTGGTAACATGACCAGCCTAGAAGATACCGTAGGTTACCTGAAAGCCTAAAATCTTTTTATCTGAATTTGAATCATGCAGATTAGCTTTTTTCCCCCAAAATGATCAGCTTCGTGCCTATAAACTTATACAATATATGACCATGAAATATTTTAGGACAAATTAGCAAAGTTCCCAAGTAAACAATGATGACTCTTGATATCTTTCCTTTTAAAAGTCTTATAATAATTTCATTTACTTACATGGATGCAAACATACATAGTACCTTAAAAATAATAGTGCTATACTGATCATTTATCATTTTATTCTACTAATCAATATATTATCAATATTGTTCTATATTACTATGTAGCCTATTCTACATAATTTTGATGGCTATTGCATATTTTCCTAGTAAATAGCATTTTCTATATTTGCAATTAAAAATAAATACTGTTATGTCCAACCCATACTTTGTGTAACTCAGCGGTAATATCTTTTTTTTTTTTTTATTATACTTTAAGTTTTAGGGTACATGTGCACATTGTGCAGGTTAGTTACATATGTATACATGTGCCATGCTGGTGCACTGCACCCACTAACTCGTCATCTAGCATTAGGTATATCTCCCAATGCTATCCCTCCCACCTCCCCCCACTCCACAACAGTCCCCAGAGTGTGATATTCCCCTTCCTGTGTCCATGTGAATTCATTGTTCAATTCCCACCTATGAGTGAGAATATGCGGTGTTCGGTTTTTTGTTCTTGTGATAGTTTACTGACAATGATGTTTTCCAATTTCATCCATGTCCCTACAAAGGACATGAACTCATCATTTTTTATGGCTGCATAGTATTCCATGGTCTATATGTGCCACATTTTCTTAATCCAGTCCATCATTGTTGGACATTTGGGTTGGTTCCAAGTCTTTGCTATTGTGAATAATGCCGCAATAAACATACATGTTCATGTGTCTTTATAGCAGCATGATTTATAGTCCTTTGGGTATATCCCCAGTAATGGGATGGCTGGGTCAAATGGTATTTCAAGTTCTAGATCCCTGAGGAATCGCCACACTGACTTCCACAATGGTTGAACTAGTTTACAGTCCCACCAACAGTGTAAAAGTGTTCCTATTTCTCCACATCCTCTCCAGCACCTGTTGTTTCCTGACTTTTTAATGATTGCCATTCTAACTGGTGTGAGATGGTATCTCATTGTGGTTTTGATTTGCATTTCTCTGATGGCCAGTGATGATGAGCATTTTTTCATGTGTTTTTTGGCTGCATAAATGTCTTCTTTTGAGAACTGTCTGTTCATGTCCTTTGCCCACTTTTTGATGGGGTTGTTTTTTTCTTGTAAATTTGTTTGAGTTCATTGTAGATTCTGGATATTAGCCCTTTGTCAGATGAGTAGGTTGCAAAAATTTTCTCCCATTTTGTAGGTTGCCTGTTCACTCTGATGGTAGTTTCTTTTGCTGTGCAGAAGCTCTTTAGTTTAATTAGATCCCATTTGTCAATTTTGTCTTTTGTTGCCATTGCTTTTGGTGTTTTAGACATGAAGTCCTTGCCCATGCCTATGTCCTGAATGGTAATGCCTAGGTTTTCTTCTAGGGTTTCTATGGTTTTAGGTCTAATGTTTAAGTCTTTAATCCATCTTGAATTGATTTTTGTATAAGGTGTAAGGAAGGGATCCAGTTTCAGCTTTCTACATATGGCTAGCCAGTTTGCCCAGCACCATTTACTAAATAGGGAATCCTTTCCCCATTGCTTGTTTTTCTCAGGTTTGTCAAAGATCAGATAGTTGTAGATATGCGGCGTTATTTCTGAGGGCTCTGTTCTGTTCCATTGATCTATATATCTCTGTTTTGGTACCAGTACCATGCTGTTTTGGTTACTGTAGCATTGTAGTATAGTTTGAAGTCAGGTAGTGTGATGCCTCCAGCTTTGTTCTTTTGGCTTAGGATTGACTTGGTGATGCGGGCTCTTTTTTGGTTCCATATGAACTTTAAAGTAGTTTTTTCCAATTCTGTGAAGAAAGGCATTGGTAGCTTGATGGGGATGGCATTGAATCTGTAAATTACCTTGGGCAGTATGGCCATTTTCATGATACTGATTCTTCCTACCCATGAGCATAGAATGTTCTTCCATTTGTTTGTATCCTCTTTTATTTCCTTGAGCAGTGGTTTGTAGTTCTCCTTGAAGAGGTCCTTCACATCCCTTGTCAGTTGGATTCCTAGGTATTTTATTCTCTTTGAAGCAATTGTGAATGGGAGTTCACTCATGATTTGGCTCTCTGTTTGTCTGTTTTTGGTGTATAAGAATGCTTGTGATTTTTGTACATTGATTTTGTATCCTGAGACTTTGCTGAAGTTGCTTATCAGCTTTAGGAGATTTTGGGCTGAGACAATTGGGTTTTCTAGATATACAATCATGTCATCTGCAAACAGGGACAATTTGACTTCCTCTTTTCCTAATTGAATACCCTTTATTTCCTTCTCCTGCCTAATTGCCCTGGCCAGAACTTCCAACACTATGTTGAATAGGAGTGGTGAGAGAGGGCATCCCTGTCTTGTGCCAGTTTTCAAAGGGAATGCTTCCAGTTTTTTCCCATTCAGTATGATATTGGCTGTGGGTTTGTTATAGATAGCTCTTATTATTTTGAAATACGTCCCATCAATACCTAATTTATTGAGAGTTTTTAGCATGAAGGGTTGTTGAATTTTGTCAAAGGCTTTTTCTGCCTCTATTGAGATAATCATGTGGTTTTTGTCTTTGGCTCTGTTTATATGCTGGATTACATTTATTGATTTGCGTATATTGAACCAGCCTTGCATCCCAGGGATGAAACCCACTTGATCATGGTGGATAAGCTTTTTGATGTGCTGCTGGATTCGTTTTGCCAGTATTTTATTGAGGATTTTTGCATCAATGTTCATCAAGGATATTGGTCTAAAATTCTCTTTTTTGGTTGTGTCTCTGCCAGGCTTTGGTATCAGAATGATGCTGGCCTCATAAAATGAGTTAGGGAGGATTCCCTCTTTTTCTATTGATTGGAATAGTTTCAGAAGGAATGGTACCAGTTCCTCCTTGTACCTCTGGTAGAATTTGGCTGTGATTCCATCTGGTCCTGGACTCTTTTTGGTTGGTAAGCTATTGATTATTGCCACAATTTCAGATCCTGTTATTGGTCTATTCAGAGACTGAAATTCTTCCTGGTTTAGTCTTGGGAGAGTGTATGTGTCGAGGAATTTATCCATTTCTTCTAGATTTTCTAGTTTATTTGCGTAGAGGTGTTTGTAGTATTCTCTGATGGTAGTTTGTATTTCTGTGGGATTGGTGGTGATATCCCCTTTATCATTTTTTATTGCGTCTATTAGATTCATCTTTTTTTCTTTATTAGTCTTGCTAGTGGTCTATCAATTTTGTTGATCCTTTCAAAAAACCAGCTCCTGGATTCATTAATTTTCTGAAGGGTTTTTTGTGTCTCTATTTCCTTCAGTTCTGCTCTGATTTTAGTTATTTCTTGCCTTCTGCTAGCTTTTGAATGTGTTTGCTCTTGCTTTTCTAGTTCTTTTAATTGTGATTTTAGGGTGTCAATTTTGGATCTTTCCTGCTTTCTCTTGTGGGCATTTAGTGCTATAAATTTCCCTCTACACACTACTTTGAATGTGTCCCAGGTATTCTGGTATGTTGTGTCTTTGTTCTCGTTCGTTTCAAAGAACATCTTTATTGCTGCCTTCATTTCATTATGTACCCAGTAGTCATTCAGGAGCAGGTTGTTCAGTTTCCATGTAGTTGAGTGGTTTTGAGTGAGATTCTTAATCCTGAGTTCTAGTTTGATTGCACTGTGGTCTGAGAGAGAGTTTGTTATAATTTCTGTTCTTTTACATTTGCTGAGAAGAGCTTTACTTCCAACTATGTGGTCAATTTTGGAATAGGTGTGGTGTGGTGCTGAAAAAAATGTATATTCTGTTGATTTGGGGTGGAGAGTTCTGTAGATGTCTATTAGGTCTGCTTGGTGCAAGCTGAGTTCAATTCCTGGGTATCCTTGTTGACTCTCTGTCTCGTTGATCTGTCTAATGTTGACAGTGGGGTGTTAAAGTCTCCCATTATTAATGTGTGGGAGTCTAAGTCTCTTTGTAGGTCACTCAGGACTTGTTTTATGAGTCCTGGTGCTCCTGTATTGGGTGCATATATATTTAGGATAGTTAGCTCTTCTTGTTGAATTGATCCCTTTACCATTATGCAATGGCCTTCTTTGTCTCTTTTCATCTTTGTTGGTTTAAAGTCTGTTTTATCAGAGACTAGTGTTGCAACCCCTGCCTTTTTTTGTTTTCCATTTGCTTGGTAGATCTTCCTCCATCCTTTTATTTTGAGCCTATGTGTGTCTCTGCACGTGAGATGGTTTTCCTGAATACAGCACACTGATGGGTCTTGACTCTTTATCCAATTTGCCAGTCTGTGTCTTTTAATTGGAGCATTTAGTCCATTTACATTTAAAGTTAATATTGTTATGTGTGAATTTGATCCTGTCATTATGATGTTAGCTGGCTATTTTGCTCGTTAGTTGATGCAGTTTCTTCCTAGTCTTGATGGTCTTTACATTTTGGCATGATTTTGCAGCGGCTGGTACCGGTTGTTGCTTTCCATGTTTAGCGCTTCCTTCAGGAGCTCTTTTAGGGCAGGCCTGGTGGTGACAAAATCTCTCAGCATTTGCTTGTCTGTAAAGTATTTTATTTCTCCTTCACTTACGAAGCTTAGTTTGGCTGGATATGAAATTCTGGGTTGAAAATTCTTGTCTTTAAGAATGTTGAATATTGGCCCCCACTCTCTTCTGGCTTGTAGGGTTTCTGCCGAGAGATCCGCTGTTAGTCTGATAGGCTTCCCTTTGAGGGTAACCCGACCTTTCTCTCTGGCTGCCCTTAACATTTTTTCCTTCATTTCAACTTTGGTGAATCTGACAATTATGTGTCTTGGAGTTGCTCTTCTTGAGGAGTATCTTTGTGGCGTTCTCTGTATTTCCTGAATCTGAACGTTGGCCTGCCTTGCTAGATTGGGGAAGTTTTCCTGGATAATATCCTGCAGAGTGTTTTCCAACTTGGTTCCATTCTCCCTGTCACTTTCAGGTACACCAATCAGACGTAGATGTGGTCTTTTGACATAGTCCCATATTTCTTGGAGGCTTTGCTCATTTCTTTTTATTCTTTTTTCTCTAAACTTCCCTTCTCGCTTCATTTCATTCATTTCATCTTCCATCGCTGATACGCTTTCTTCCAGTTGATCACATCGGCTCCTGAGGCTTCTGCATTCTTCACGTAGTTCTCGAGCCTTGGTTTTCTGCTCCATCAGCTCCTTTAAGCACTTCTCTGTATTGGTTATTCTAGTTATACATTCTTCTAAATTTTTTTCAAAGTTTTCAACTTCTTTGTCTTTGGTTTGAATGTCCTCCCATAGCTCAGAGTAATTTGATCATCTGAAGCCTTCTTCTCTCAGCTCGTCAAAGTAATTCTCCATCCAGCTTTGTTCCGTTGCTGGTGAGGAACTGCGTTCCTTTGGAGGAGGAGAGGTGCTCTGCTTTTTAGAGTTTCCAGTTTTTCTGTTCTGTTTTTTCCCCATCTTTGTGGTTTTATCTACTTTTGGTCTTTGATGATGGTGATGTACAGATGTGTTTTTGGTGTGGATGTCCTTTCTGTTAGTTTTCCTTCTAACAGACAGGACTCTCAGCTGCAGGTCTGTTGGAATACCCTGCTGTGTGAGGTGTCAGTGTGCCCCTGCTGGGGGGTGCCTCCCAGTTAGGCTGCTCAGGGGTCAGGGACCCACTTGAGGAGGCAGTCTGCCCGTTCTCAGATCTCCAGCTGCGTGCTGGGAGAACCCCTGCTCTCTTCAAAGCTGTCAGACAGGGACATTTAAGTCTGCAGAGGTTACTGCTGTCTTTTTGTTTGTCTGTGCCCTGCCCGCAGAGGTGGAGCCTACAGAGGCAGGCAGGCCTCCTTGAGCTGTGGTGGGCTCCGCCCAGTTGGAGCTTCCCGGCTGCTTTGTTTACCTAAGCAAGCCTGGGCAATGGCGGGCGCCCCTCCCCCAGCCTTGCTGCTGCCTTGCACTTTGATCTCAGACTGCTGTGCTAGCAATCAGGGAGACTCCATGGGCGTAGGACCCTCCAAGCCATGTGTGGGATATAATCTCGTGGTGTGCCGTTTTTTAAGCCCTTCGGAAAAGTGCAGTATTCGGGTGGGAGTGACCTGATTTTACAGATGCCGTCCGTCACCCCTTTCTTTGATTTGGAAAGGGAACTCCCTGACCCCTTGCACTTCCCAAGTGAGGTAATGCCTCGCCCTGCTTCGGCTCACGCACGGTGCGCGCACCCACTGACCTGCACCCACTGTCTGGCGAGATGAACCCGGTACCTCAGATGGAAATGCAGAAATCACCGTCTTCTGCGTCGCTCACGCTGGGAGCTGTAGACCGGAGCTGTTCCTATTCGGCCATCTTGGCTCCTCTCCTCAGCGGTAATATCTTTTAACTCTTTCTCCATAACGTTATTTTAGTGTCTTGTGGAGACCGCTTGCTGCTTACCCCAATATGTGTTCTCACCATCTTGTGGCTTACCCTTAGTTATGTCTACTGCCAAAAGAACTAAAACAATACTTTGTAACCTATCTTGCCTAGAAGACATCATTTAGCTACAATTTGGTTTATGAGACATAAACAGAAACGTATGTTCTAATTTAGAGAGAAGTTTTTAATGAGAAAAGAGACACCTATCTTCTGCATGTTTCATTTTCTTGTAGTTAGCTCTTGAATATTAGCAGCTATCTTATATCCTAATTTGAAAGTGTCAGACCTAGGCTCACAGAACAGCATAGAGCAGGGGCCTGCAGAAGCAGAAAATAAAAGGAGCCGTGCTGTAACACAAAAAAATGTCTGTCCATAAACATTATCATGTGAGAGGGAAAAAATCCTCTGTTTCCATTGTCTCCATAACTTTCCCCCATTCTTCAAAGTTGACTCAAATGTTAGCTGATACATTATGGTTACCAAAAGAACAGGAAATAATATATTAATACTACTCTTTCTTGATTATCAAATTTGGCACTCCCATATGAGAAATTTAGCTGATACATTTAAATAATAAAAATACCATTTCCACTTTTCAACTCTTCAGATTTTGTCAGAAATTTCTGAAATCTTAGTTTTTTCAGTAATTATGATTTTTAAGAATATACTTAATCTTCTTTTGAATAATTTAGCAACTGAAAATGTATCTAGATAATCTCACATAAAATGGTAAAGCAATGAGTACTTCCATTTCTATTTTACTCCTCATCACATAGTTCTTTAATTTGCTGCTAAATAACATTTTTATTCTTGCATTTTACTTTGTAACTATACGAAATTTTGTATTATTTGTATTTAATTTGTATAAAGATGAAAAACCTAAATGAATAATAAATATAAATGCAGATATTAATAAAATAAATATAAATCATAAGACAAGAGCCAAAATTTGACACGTTAATAACATTAACACAATTGATAAACACTAAAAAGACTGATTGATACAATAAGAGAAGAAAATTAATATTATGGGTGCTATTAATATCATATCACTACAAATCTTCACAGATCAAAAGATATTTAGACGTGACATTCTGAAAAACTGTATGACAAAAATTTGACAATGTGAATAAAATAGACAAATTCCTGGGACAATATAACTTAGTAAAGATGACAAAAGAAGAAGTTAAATATTAGAATTGTCTGATATCTATTAAGGAATCAAATTTGTCACTTAAAACCCTTCACTGAAAGAAAAGGGAAAATAAACTGAAACCCACAGGCACAGATGGATTCAATTATAGATTTTTCCAGACAAATGAACAGTTCACATTTTCTTGGAGTGATAGGAGAAGAGTTTAACTTGCTTACTTTATGAGTTGGAAAACAGTTACATGAGTAATCACCAAAGGAGGAAGTATTCTGTAGTCTTTCTATATTCAATTTTGTTGTGAGAATTTTCCATAAATTCTTACTACATTGCAATATAGCCTCTAAAAAATAGAGGAAGCTAGTCTTTCCATGTTCAAAATGAGAAAGTAAAACTGTAATATGATATCTCTGTTGAGCATTCAGTTGAAGCAGGCTGGTCACCTCAAGGGAGAAACAGGGGTAACCAGACTGTTTCCAGAAAATGTGACAATAGATGAATTTATTTCTCCTGCTTTCTATATGTAGAAGAGAGCGGGAGATGAAGAGCCTTTTACAATTCTACTACAACTTCAAGGCCTGAAAAAAAAAAAAAGAAAGAAAAAAACAGAGGTCTGAAAATCCATTGCAGTGAATGTCTGGTTAAAATCCAATGCTATCTTAAGTAGAAAATAGTTTTTGCAAAAGCTTTCTAATTGATAACTCTCCTTTGGTTTTCTAAACCTTTTAGCCACTGGCTTATGAGAAGCTTAAATTAATTTGGGACCTAGAGAGGATATTTACATAAAATTTTGCTTAACATAGGAAAGAGATGTGGCTTCAACAGGGTCATAGTAATGGAGATGGACAATAAATACAGGAAGATATGTTTTGGAGAATAAAACAGTAGATTTAGCTAGAAGTTTCGATGTAGTGGTTGTAGGCAACAGAAAAATCGAGAATTCTAAATTTTTGACTTTTCTATTCTGTTTTACCTCATCCATCTGTGTGTGTTCATGCATCATCTCTCTGTATCAGCTGGTGTTTTTTGAAGCAAGCAACAGAAAACAACACTGTCTCATTTACACAGAATATAAATGTATTGAATAAGTATTTAGTAGCTAGTGGTGTGAAAGGAAAAATTGTGAACCAAGTTCGAGAATGGTCAGACACAAGGGAGGCCAGGCAGCAGCCAACTGGTAAATATCAAGTTCCAGAGCCAGGCCCATGAGGACAGAGCTGCCCTGCTAAGCTGGCGCTATTTTAGTTGCTGCTGCAGGACAATTGATGCTTCTACTGCTGAGCCTGGAACCTGGATGCTACACTACCACTTCACCATCAACACCGAGATGTTTTCTCTACTGTCCCTTTTCTTTTGAAATGAACTGATTCAAAGTTCAGAAGTAGGATGGGTGGAATCTGACCAGTAAATCTAGGTCATGTAGTAGTACCCTTTCTCTAAGGAAGGCTACAGAAATCTATATCTGTATCTTTGACGTCTACCATGGTAGATGGGCTCTGCCTCCTTTCAAGACTCATAGGATGAAAATTTTCACAGTAATAGATACTACATCCTCTATGATGCCTGCATTCCTCAAAGAAAACAATGGCTTGCTTATCTAAATGCTCACTAGAACTAGAAATACCATTTGACCCAGCCATCCCATTACTGGGTATATACCCAATGGATTATAAATCATGCTGCTTATAAAGACACATGCACACATATGTTTATTGTGGCACTATTCACAATAGCAAAGACTTGGAACTAACCCAAATGTCCAACAATGATAGACTGGATTAAGAAAATGTGGCACATATAGATCATGGAATACTATGCAGCCATAAAAAATGATGAGTTCATGTCCTTTGTAGGGACATGGATGAAGCTAGAAACCATCATTCTCAGCAAACTATCGCAAGGACAAAAAACCAAACACCTCATGTTCTCACTCATAGGTGGGAATTGAACAATGAGAACACATGGACACAGGAAGGGGAACATCACACACAGGGGCCTGTTGTGGGGTGGGGGGAGCGGGGAGGGATAGCATTAGGAGATATACCTAATGTAAATGATGAGTTAATGGGTGTAGCACACTAACATAGCACATGTATACATATGTAACAAACCTGCACGTTGTGCACATGTACCCTAAAACTTAAAGTATGAAAAAAAAAATGCTCACAGTGCTTATTTCTTGAAAGTTTGCTTAATAACAATAAATACCATATTTTTATCTATGAATGTATCTCATTATTTGTATTATTCTGTGAATTCCTTTTTGTTGACAAATTATATGTATGGTGATGTATGTATGTTTTGCATACAGGGTGATATTATAATTTCTGAAAACAATGTGTAATGGTTAAATAAAGCTTAACATATTTGTTATCCCAAATATTTAATAATTTTTTGATAAGGGCATTTGAAATTTACTTTCTTAATAAAATTTAACTGTACAATATTCAGTTATAGCTATATTCACCATGCTGTGTAATTGTTCTAAAAAATGTGCATATTCCTACTGTCTGAGGCTTTGTACCTTTATGCCCTTTGACTATTCCTGTTTCCCTCACATCCCAGTTTCTGGATACCACCCTTCTACTCTCTGCTTCCATTAATTCAATTGGTTTAGATTCTACATATAAGTGAGAACATTTGGTATTTGTCTGTGTTTGACATGTTTCATTTCATGAATGGAATTGGAGAACATTTTGCTAATGTTCTATGATGTCACAAATGACAGAATTTTTTTATCATCCGTCCCTTGAAGAAAACTTATGTTGAATTCATAGGTTAGCCATTATACACAGTACTGCAATGAACATGGGAGTGTAAACATCTCTTTGACACACTGATTTCAAATCTTTCAGGTAAATGCCCAGAAGTAGGATTGCTAGATCATAGAGTAATTCTACTTTTTATTTTTATTTTTTGGAAACTTTAGAGACTATTTTCTATATGATTATACTAATTTATATTCCTACAAGCAATGTACAAGAAATCTGTTTTCTTCATATCCTTACCAGAATTGGTTATCTTTTGCCTTTTTAATAATAGCCATTGTAATTGGTGTGAGGTAATATCTCATGTGGTTTTAATTTGCATCTCCTTAATGATTAGCGGTGTTGAGCATTTTTCATATATCTGTTAGCCATTTGGATGTCTTAAGTTTCATTCATTAATGTTTCCTAGTTTTTAGTGTAAAACTCATTTTAATTTTTTTGTAGCTATTGTAAATGTGATTATTCCCTTGGTTATATTTTTCAGAAATTTTATTGTTGGGGTAGAGAAACACTGCTGATTTTTACATGTTGATTTAGTGTCCTGCAACTTTGCTGAAATCATTTACCAGTTCTATTATTTTTGTTGAAATCTTTAGTGTTTTCTATACATAAAATTATATAGTCTGGAAACAGACAACTTAACTTGTCTCTTTCCAAGTTGCATGTCTTTCCTGTCACTCTCCTGCCTAATTGTTCTGGCTAGGACCTCCTGTACTACATTGAATAGGACTGTTGAGAGTGGGCATCCTTGTCCTGTTCCTGATCTTAGAAGAAAAGCTTTCAACTTTTCTCCTTTGTGTGTTATCTGTGTGTTTGTAATACATTTTTTTATTGTGTTGATGTACATTTCTTGTATATCTAATTTGTTGAGAGAGTTTTTATAAGAAAGGATATTGAACTTTGTCAAATGTTTTATAAGCATCTTATGAGATGGTCATATAATTTTTGTCCTTCATTTTGTTTATGCTGTGAATCACATTTATTGATTCGCAAATGTCGAACCATCCTTGAATCCCAGAGATAAATCTCACTTCATCATAATAAATGATTCTTTTGTTATTGCATTTAGTTTGCCTGTGTTTTGTTCATGATTTTTGTATCTCTGTTTCCCAAAAATATTGGCTTGTAGTTTTCTTTTCTAGTGATGTCCTTGTCTGGCTTTGGTATCAGGTTAATGCTAGCCTAGTGAAACGGGTTTGACTGTTCCCACCCCTTCAATTCTTTGAAGTCATTTTTGAGAAATTGGTATCAGTTTTTTAAATGTTTGGTAGAATTCAGCAGTGAAGTCATCAGGTCCTGGGCCTTTTATGATGGAATACATTTTATTACTGATTCAATCTTTTCACTCAGTATTGGTCCGTCTAGATTTTCTATTTCTTCGTAATTCAGGCTTGGTAGGTTATGTCAAATAATTTATCAATTTCTTTTAGGTTATCCACACTTTGGCATATAATTATTCATGATAGTCTGTTATGACTGTTTGTATTTCTGAGGTGTCAGTTCTAATGTTCCTTCTTTCATTTCTGATTTTATTCCTTTGAGTCTTTTCTCTTATACTCTTGGTTAATCTTCCTAAACGTTTGTCAATTTTGTTACTCTTTTCAGAAAACCAACTCTTAGTTTTTTTGCTCTTTTGCATTATTTATCTAGTTGCTGTTTTATTCTTTTCTGTTTTGATCTCTTTTTCCCCCTTTTGCTAACATTGATTGTATTTTTTTCCTTTTCTATTATCTTGGGTTGTAACATCAAGTTGTTTGCAATCTTTCTTCTTTTCAGATGTAGGCATTTCTTGCTATAAAGTTTCCTTGGAAAACTTCTTTGCTTCTTTCCATACATTTTAGTAGATTTTGTTTCCATTTTATTTGTCTCAAGCTATTTGTACATTTTATTTTAATTTCTTCATTGATTTATTGATTGTGGGTATGTTGATTCATTTTCATGCATTTGTCAATTTTCTGAAATTCCTATAGTTATTGATTTCTGATTTTATACCTTTAGGGTTTAAAAAGGTACTTGATATAATTTCAACATTTTTCAATTTGCTAATACTTGTTTTGTGACCAAAATATGATCTATCCTGAAAATTATGCCAGGTATGTTTGAGAAGAATATGCGTTCTTCTGTAAAGCATTGTTCAAGTTCAGTATTTTCTTATTAATTTTTGGTCTCAATTAACTGTTCAATATTAAAAGTGGTGTATTGAAGTCTTCTACTATTGTTGTATTGCAACTTATCTCTCTTTTCATATCCTTTAATATGCCTTATATATTTAGATGCTCCACTGTTGAGTTCATACAAATTTATAATTGTTATATTATCTTGATGAATTAACTCTTTTATCAATTTTTAAATGTCCTTCTTTTTCTCCTTTATTCTTCTCTATTTAAAATCTAGTTTGTCTAAATTTTTGCACCTGCTCCTTTATGATTTCCATTTGTGTGAAATATCTTATTTCCATCCTTCAATTTCAGACTATGTGTGCCCATAAAAGCAAACTTCATCTCTTGTAAGAAGCGTATAGTTGGGTCTGATTTTTCTTAATTCATTTACTCATTATATATATTTTTATTTTATAATATAATCCATTTACATCTAAGGTAATTATTGATAGGTAAGGACTTAATTCTGCCATTTTGTTGTTTTCTGGAATTTTTGTAAGTAACCTTTTTGTTCTTTCTTCCTCTCTTACTCTCTTCCTTTGTGGCTTGATGGTTTTCTGTAGCAATATGTTTTGAATGTTTTTATTTTTGTTTTGTGCATATCATGTAGATTTTTGCTTTCTGGTTACCATGAGGCTTACAAAGAACATCTTGCATTTAGAATAGTCTATTTGAAGCTGATAATGTTGATTTAAAGCTGATAATCTTGATTGCATACAATAAGTACACACTTCTTTCTCCTCTTTCCATTTATGTTTTAGCTGTCCAAATTTGCCTGAGATCTTCTATTTTGCTATCTTGTTGATGTTAATTTCTATAAGGCCAGATTTTTGTGGGAATAACCAAGGTATCCAACATACAGCTTTGGACAGAATCCAGATCCTCAGATTCTGAAAAAAACGTATTTAGATACTTATAGAACAAAAGGAACAAATTAATTAATGATAACACCTTGACAACCCTATAAAAATAATGAAAACATACCAATTTATTATAGCAGACCATTGAAATTAGGTTTTATTGAGAAGCTGATGGTAAGATAAAATTAATAGGGCAAAAGGATTATTAAGGCTGAAGCTTCTAAAAGAAGAAAGGGATGCAGTATGATCAGAGGGTATTGTCAGACCAAGATATAGACCTAACAGAGTAGCAACTCAATCATGAACTCTAAAGAAATATCCTGTTAAAAGAGTTATATATTGGATAGAATGGCTATGTCACTACCACCTACCTGCTCAGCTACTATATGGGTGCCAACTTAAGAAGAGCTTGACTTTACCTACCACTGACTTGCTCTGTCATTGGCTAGAAGCTTTTCCTGAAGAAGCTTAGCCTCATCTTGAGTACTGAAGCAGATCCTGAAAAGGAACTAAAACCTAGTGGCTGTTAGCTAAGCACATTCATTGTAGCTGAGCAGCAAGCTCTTAATTATACAACATAGATCCAATTTTTAAGCAGCCCCTTCAAAATGGGTTATTTTCCCTGAAGGAAGAATTAGAAGGGGGTATTTTTAGTGGGGTAAACTTCAGTACTCATCACTAAAGTTGATTTTAGGGTCTTAAATGCTATTCATCGTCTGTCTATTATTTATTTTATATTTTGTTTACCCTCAGATACCATATTTGGTTTACTTGGTGGTGTGAAATAAATCTTTATTCCTGAGGGTTTTAAACTACTGACTACTGCCAATGTGTCCATATATATTCTATTCTCAAAGTACTTTGCCTACTACACAAAGTAGAAGAATAGGTGCACTTTCTAAAGCATCACCTATTGGTAAAAACTTTGTCCTTCAAGGCCATTTATGTGCAAAGCTGTAGTACAGTCATTCTGTATTTTTAGCTTACATTTACTTCCTGGGAAACTCATCCATAAGCCAAGCTCAGGATTTTTTTATCCTATGCATGTGATCATTTGGAAAAATATCCTTCTTGTGCGCTGAAGAAGGAAAACAAGTAAAACTCCATTGAACAAGGAGGGATCAGACGGAGTACATGGAGCATGGGGCAATACCTGCTCATGTGTCTTACTTATAACCCCTCTTTCTGCTTATACTTAGTATTAAACATGCAATTTGCATCTTACAAAGGATTATTGCAGGATAACCCAGACTTATTTATGACTTGATGGGTGTCAAAGGTCTGAGCTCATGTTAGGCAGTTCCACATCCATGCTCGCATGGTGTCCAATGGTTAAAAATTCCATCTCTATCAGGGTTTGGTGACAGATGAGTAATTTTTTTTAATAAACACATAGTTATTTGCTACAGATAGCATAGTCTTGTTCTAGGACTCAGTGGGCTATGTTCTGAATTTTCCTCTAGGACTCACCACAAACACCTCGCAACATGTTTTTTTTTACTAATAACCCTTTCAGCATAATACTATGTTCTATTGGAGCATATGGCCCATAGGGGAATAATACTTACCTCACAACATGTACACCCCACAAAGCCTCTCAGGTTACCTTTTTATGGGTCACAGAAGCATCCTATGTGTGAAATTGTACTTTAGTAGTGAGCATAGGTCTATTAGGCATTGTACCTATTTTGTAGTAAAACATATAAGATACTTAAATTTATTTGTTAATTTAGAAACAATATCTAGTATGCTTCTAATAGGTCTGTAAATATTTTTACTGAACTGGTCTCTGAATCTTCATAGGGCTTAGTCTTCATCCTCTGAATTGAATGTCTCACAAGTTTTCCAATAGTGTAGCTACTTCTTGATCTTTCAATAAAATGAGTAGAGGACATTAATAAAGTGGAGCAATGTGATGTTTTCTGCAATGTCCACATGATCCAGATTTTTTTAATGCTAAAGTAATTTCTTCTTTATTTGATCATCAAATTACTAATGACTGTGTGACTGTGTAAACAACAGAAATTAATTTTCTCACAGTGCTAAAGACTGCAGGTCCAAGTTCAAAATGGTTTTTTCTGAGGTCTATTTCTT
This sequence comes from Homo sapiens, assembly GCF_000001405.40. Lineage (NCBI taxonomy): Eukaryota > Metazoa > Chordata > Mammalia > Primates > Hominidae > Homo > Homo sapiens. Next base: position 66,008,389 of record NC_000004.12, read on the forward strand.
TGACTGCCTTCATATTCAAATGGTCACTCTCTATGAGTGTCTGTGTCTTAATCTCCTCTTCTTATATGGGCACCAGCCATATTAGATTAGGGTTCATCTGAATAACTAATTTTAACTTCACTATCTTTTTTGAAGGGGGATATTATGGGATCCTTGAATTTTTGTGTGTGTGTGTGTGTGTGTGTGTGTGTTTTATTTCTCCTAAAAAAAAAACAAAACGGGATACATGTGCTGAATGTGCAGGTTTGTTACATAGGTATAAATGTGCTATGGTGGTTTGCTGCACCTATTGACCTGACTCCTAAGTTCTCTCCCCTCACCCCCAACCCCACAACAAGCCCTGGTGTGTTGTTCCCCTCTCTGTGTCCATGTATTCTCAATGTTCAACTCCCATTTATAAGTGAGAACATGCAGTGTTTGGTTTTCTGTCCCTATGTTAGTTTGCCGAGGATGGTGGCTTCCAGCTTCATTCATGTCCCTACAAAGGACATGATCTCATTCCTTTTTATGGCTGCATAGTATTCCACGGGGTATGTGTACCACATTTTCTTTATCTAGTCTATCATTGATGGGCATTTGGGTTGGTTCCATGTCTTTGCTATTATAAATAGTTCTGCAATAAACATACGAGTGCATGTGTCTTTACAGTATAACAATTTACTATTTTCCTTTGGGTATATACTAATAATGGGATTGCTGGGTCAAATGGTATTTCTGGTTCTAGATCCTTGAGGAATTGCCATGCTGTCTTCCACAATGGTTGAACTAATTTACACTCCCACCAACAGTGCAAAAGTGTTCCTATTTCTCCACACCCTCACCAGCATCTGTTGTTTCCTGACTTTTTAATAATCGCCATTTTGACTGGCATGAGATGGTATCTCATTGTGTTTTTGATTTGCATTTCTCAGATGATCACTGATGTTGAGCTTTTTTTTTTCATATGTTTTTTGGCTGTGTAAATGTCTTCTTTTGAGAAGTGTCTGTTCATATCCTTTGTCTGCTTTCTGATGTGCCTGTTTATTTTTTTCTTGCAATATGTTTAAGTTCCTTATAAATTCTGGATAATAGACTTTTGTCAGTTGGGTAGATTGCAAAAATTTTCTCCCAGTCTGTAGATTGCCTGTTCATTCTTATGATAGTTTATTTTGCTCTGCAGAAGTTCCTTAGTTTAATTAGATCCCATCTGTCAATTTTGGCTTTTGTTGCAATTGCTTTTGGAATTTTTGTCATGAAGTCTTTGCCGAAGCTTTATTCTTCTTGCTTAGGATTGTCTTGGCTATACGGGATCCTTTTTGGTTCCATATGACATTTAAAGTAGTTTTTTTCCAATTCTGTGAAGAATGTCAATGGTAGTTTGATGGGAATAACATTGAATCTGTAAATTGCTTTGGGCAGTATGGCCATTTTCACGAAATTGATTCTTCCTATTCTTCCTATCCATGAGGATGGAATGTTTTTCCATTTGTTTGTGTCCTCTCTTATTTCCTTGAGCAGTGGTTTGTAGTTCTATTTGAAGAGGCTCTTCACATGCCTTGTTAGCTGTATTCGTAGGTAGTTTATTCTCTTTGTAGCAATTGTAAATGGGAGTTCATTCATGATATGGCTTTCTTCTTGTCTATTGTTGGCATAAAGGAATGCTTGTGATTTTTGCACATTGATTTTGTATCCTGAGACTTTCCTGAAGTTGCTTATCAGGTCAAGAAATTTAAGGGCTGATATGATGGGGTTTTTTAAAATATAAAATCGTGTCATCTGCAAAGAGAGACAACTTGACTTCCTCTCTTCCCATTTTAATCCGCCTTTTTTCTTTCTCTTTCCTGATTGCCCTGGCCAGAACTTCCAATACTATGTTGAATAGGAGTGATGAGAGAGGGTATCCTTGCCTTGCACAGGTTTTCAAAGGGAATGCTTCCAACTTTTGCCAATTCAATATGATATGGGCTATGAGTTTGTCATAAATAGTTCTTATTATTTTTAGATATATTCAATCAATACCTAGTACATTGAGAGTTTTTAACATGAAGGAATGTTGAATTTTATCAAAGGCTTTTTCTGCATCTATTGAGATAATCATGTGGCTTTTGTCTTTGGTTCTGTTTATGTAATAGATTATGTTTATTGATTTGTGCATGTTGAACCAGCCTTGCATCTGAGTGATGAAGCCGACTTGATCACGGTCGATAAGTTTTTTGATGTGCTGCTGGATTCAGTTTGCCAGTATTTTATTGAAGATTTTTGCATCAATATTAATCAGGAATAGTGGACTGATTTTTTTCTTTTTTTGTTGTGTCTCTTCCCAGTTTTGCTATCAGTATGATGCTGGCTTCATAAATTGAGTTAGGGATGAATCCCTCCTTTTCAGTTATTTGAAATAGTTTCAGAAGGAATGGTACCAGCTCCTCTTTGTATTTCTGGTAGAATGTAGCTGTGAATCAGGTAGTTCCTAGGCTTTTTTTGGTTGCTAGGCTATTAATTCTGCCTCAATTTCAGCACTTGTTATTGGTCTATTCAGGGATTCAACTTCTTCCTGGTTTAGTTTTGGTAGGGTGTATGCGTCCAGGAATTTATCCATTTCTTCTAGATTTTCTAGTTTATTTGAATACAGGTATTTATAGTATTCTCTGACGATAGTTTGTATTTCTGTGAGGTCAGTGGTGATATCCCCTTTAACATTTTTTATTTTGTTTATTTGATTCTTCTCTCTCCGTTATTAGTCTAGCTAGCAGTCTATCTATTTTGTTAATTTTTTTCAAAAAACTACCTCCTGGATTTGTTGATTTTTTGTGTCCCTATCTCTTTCAATTATTCTCTGATCTTAGCTATTTCTTGTCTTCTGCTAGCTTTTTGATTTGTTTCCTCTTGCTTCTCTAGTTCTTTTAATTCTTATATTAGGGTGTTGATTTGAGATTTTTCTAGCTTTCTGATTTGGGAATCTAGTGCTATAAATTTTCCTCTTAAAACTGCTTTAGCTGTGTCCCAGAGAATCTGGTACATTGTCTCTTTGTTCTCATTGGTTTCAAAGAACTTCTTGATTTCTGCCTTTATTTCATTATTTACCCAGGAGTCATCCAGCAGCAGGTTTTTCAATTTTCATAAAATTATGTGGTTTTGAGTGAGTTTCTTAATCCTGAGTTCTAATTTGATTGCACTGTTGTCTGAGAGACTGTTATGGTTTCAGGTTTTTGCATTTGCTGAACATTTTTTTACTTCTAATTTTGTGTTTGATTTTAGAATAAGTGTCATGTGGCACTGAGAAGAATGTATATTCTGTTGATTTGGGGTACAGAGTTCTGTAGAAGTCTGCTAGGTCCACTTGATCCAGAGCTGAGTTCAAGTCCTAAATATCCTTGTTAATTTTCTGTCTCGTTGATCTGTCTAATACTGACATTGGGTGGGAGCCTAAGTCTCTTTGTAGGCCTCTAAGAACTTGTTTTATGAATCTGGGTGCTCCTGTGTTGGGTGCATATACATTTAGAATAGTTAGCTCTTCTTGTTCAATTGTCCCCTTCACCATTATGTAATGCCCTTCTTTGTCTGTTTGATCTTTGTTGGTTTAAATTCTGTTTTGTCAGAGACTAGGATTGCAATCCCTGCTGTGTGTTTTTCAGCTTGTTTCCATTCTCCCCATTTCCTTTTGTTACTTCAATCAATTGTAGGTTCAGTCTTTTTATGAAGTCCCATATTTCTTGGAGGCTTTGTTCTTTCCTTTCCTTTTCCTTCTTTTTTCTCTATTCTTGTCTGCATGTCTTATTTCAGTAAGGTGGTCTTCAAACTCCGATATACTTTCTTCTGCCTGGTCAACTCAGCTGTTGTTACTTCTGTATGCTTCACAAAGTTCTCATCTGTGTTTTTCAGCTTCATCAGGTTGTTTATGTTCCCCTCTAAACTGGTTATTCTAGTTAGCAATTCCTCTAACCTTTTATCAAGGTTCTTAGCTTCTTTGCATTGGGTTAGAACATGCTCCTTTAGCTCAACATATTTTTTTTAACCCATCTTCTGTTGCGGGAAGTCAGGGACCCTGAACGGAGGGACTGGCTGGAGCCACAGCAGAGGAACATAAATTGTGAAGATTTCAAGGACATTTATCAGTTCCCAAATAATACTTTTATAATTTCTTATGCCTGTCTTTACTTTAATCTCTTAATCCTGTTATCTTCGTAAGCAGAGGATGTATGTCACCTCAGGACACAGTGATAATTGTGTTAACTGTACAAATTGATAGTAAAACATGTGTGTTTGAACAATATGAAATCAGTGCACCTTGAAAAAGAACAGAATAACACCAATTTTTAGGAAACAAGGGAAGACAACCATAAGGTCTGACTGCCTGCAGGGTCGAGCAAAAAGAGCCATATTTTTCTTCTTGCAGAGAGTCTATAAACAGACGTGCAAGTAGGGAAGATATCACTAAATTCTTTTCCTAGCAAGGAATATTAATATTAATATGCTGGGGAAGGAACGCATTCCCTGGGGGGAGGTCTATAAATGGCCACTCTGGGAATGTCAGTCTTATGTAGTTGAGATAAGGACTGAGATACACCCTGGTCTCCTGCAGTACCCTCAGGTTTACTAGGGTGGGGAAAAACTCTGCCCTGGTAAATTTGTGGTCTGACTGGTTCTCTACTCTTGAACCCTGTTTTCTGTTGTTTAAGATGTTTATCAAGACCTTTTTCACTGCTGAACATAGCAGTGAAACATAGACCTTTTTCAGTGGTTCTGCTTTTGCCCTTTGCCTTGTGATCTTTTTGGACCCATATCAGTAGTTCTGCTTTTGTCCTTTGTCCTGTTCCCTCAGAAACATGTGATCTTTGTGAGACCCTTATTAGTAGTTCTGCTTTTTGCCCTTTGAAATATGGGATCTTTGTACCTACTCCCTGTTCTTACACCCCCTCCCCTTTTGAAACCCTGAATAAAAACTTGCTGGTCTGAGACTCAGGCAGGCATCACGGTCCTACTGATATGTGATGTCACCCCTGGTGGCCCAGCTATAAAATTCCTCTCTTTGTACTGTCTCTTTATTTCTCAGCCGGCCAACACTTATGGAAAATTGAAAGAACCTATGTTGAAATACTGGGGGCAGGTTCCCCCAATAATCTTCTGAACTCCACTCCTGTCAGTTAGTTCATCTTATCCTCTGTCCAGTTCTGGGCCCCTAATGGGGAGACTTTATGATCATTTGGAGGAGAAGAGGCACTCTGGCCTTTTGGGTTTTCTGCATTTTTTTTGTTGTTGATTCTTTCTCATCTTTGTGAGTTTGTCTAGTTTCAGTCTTTGAGACTTCTGACCCTTGGCTGGGGTTTTGGTGGGGGTCTTTTTGTTGTTGATGCCATTGTTTTTGCTTTTTGCTTGTTTGTTTCTCTTTCAATAATCTGGTCCCCCTTCTGTAGGGTGGTGCCAGTTTGCTGAGGGTTCACTTCAGTCCCTATTCATTTAATTCACTCCCGTGCCTGGAGATGTCATTCAAGGAGGTTGGAGAGCAGCAAAGATGGGTCCCTGCTTCTTCTTCTAGGACCTCTGACCTCAAAGGGCACCAAACTGATGTCAGTAGGATCATTCCTTTATAGGATATTTGACAACCCCTGTTGGAGGGTCTCACCCAGTTGGATGGCATGGTGAACAGGACCTGTTTCCCAAAGCACTTTGTCCCTTAGCGGAGAGGGTGTGTTTCACTGGGGACCCATCTGGGCTGCCTGGATTCCTCAGAACTACCAGAAGGAGAGGCAAAGTCAGCTGGTCTGCAGAGACTGCCACCACCCCTCTCCCTAGGGGCTCAGTCCCAGGGATATCCAAATTCTGTTCCTGAGCCTCTGGTTGGAGTTACTGGAGATCCTGCAGGGAAGCCCCACCCATTGAGGAAGGATGGGTCCGGGTTAGACCTGAAGAGGCACTTTGGCTCCAGACTGCCACAGCCTGTGTGTTGGGCTGTTGGGACAAGTCTTGGGACCAAGCCATCCAGTCTCCCTGGCTCCAGCAGGGGAAAAGCACAGACTGGAGCTATAGAAATGGTTGCTGCCCTTCCCCAGCCCAGGGAGTTTGGTGTATTAGGCAGTTGTGAGTCCCACTGCTGGCTGCTGCCTTTCCCCCAAGGAGTTCAAATGGCTTAGACTGCAGGCAGCATCAGCAGGTGCTGGTCAGCCCTCCCCCTAGGAATTCAGTAGGCTTAAGCAGATTCCAGCTGAAAGGCTGTAAGAATCTCTGTGTTCAGGAGTTGGGACAGAAGCCCCAGTGGCATAGGTTCACGAGTGAGATCTTCTGGTCCATGAGTTGCACAGTTCCATGGAAAAAGCACAGTTTCCCTGGCTGGGTAGTGCTCTCACTCACTGCCTCCCTTGGCCCAGGGAGGGAGTTTCCCTTCCCTGCATGGCTCTCGGGTGGACCACTGCACCACACTGCTGTTCCTTCTCTCCATGGGTCAAGCCAGCCTTCTAGTAAATTTTGATGAGAGAACCTGGATACCTTGGCTGCTGGTGAAGAATTCACACTCTTATTATGTATTTTTTCGATGAGAGCCTTTGAACACCAAGGCTTCTAGTCAGGCATCTTGCCCTGCCCCCACCCCGATTTTTTCAAATGTGAATTGAGTTATCAGCTTGCTGTTTAGAAGAGGTGGTGGGATTTGCTCATGAGAGGGGAACCTTGTTGCCTCACTGTGAAACAATATCTGTATTATTTTCCACAGAGAAGGGTACTAGCTTTTATGGGGTGGAGTGAAAGTTCATGAAACCAAAATCTTTGGGTTCATTCAGAAAGTAATTCCTATTCAAGGAGCTCAGGTTTTCCAAGTTAGAGACCTGACCTTGGCATAAGAGTTGCTTAGGTTCACCATTTAATCATCTTCTAAGTTCAGCACTCTAAATATTAAATCCTGGAGTTGATGTTAAATATTTTCTTCTGATCTACTGCATGAAATGTGGGTTTCTCTGTAGATTATTAAACATACTCTCTGATTCTGACATTTTGTTTCCATTACTTGTTAATTGCCTTGAGATTTTTTATCCACTTGTGGGAAATAAATGTCTTTTTCTCTAAAGCTAAACTTGAATTAAAGTTAAGAACATAGTATCTATATCAACATAGTGTGAGTTTAGGGGAAATTGAAAAGATTGTGCAACAACAAAAAAGGCTTTTAAAAAAAATTTCTTAAACTGTTATATTTTTCTTTTTGTCAAAATTATTATCGGTCAAAGAATGCTGCACTTATTTTACAAAATGTTTTTATTTAGCACAAATCTTTTACTAAGCACATCATAAAATAAATTATTTTTATCAGATGGTAGTATGTAAATGTATTAAAAGAGTCACATTTTAAATGTGTGAATTGAAGGATTCAACATTAACAGAAAAATATACCCTGGTGAAAATTAATTTTTTTTTTACAAAACATTGGTTAAAATTCAGGACAATTTTACAAGCACTTCCTGCCTCTGCCTCTCTTACTGCCCAATGAAGTGTTTTTTTTTTTATCATGGGTACCTAATTAGTGCAAGGTTTATTTAGGAAGTCGTTATGTCTGAGAATACTTAACTTCTACTCTTCTGTCTTTGATGAAGAGGCTCTAAGTGGATTTAAAAACTCCTGGTGGGCACTTATTATTCTTAGTGCATTCAGTAAAATATATCAGCAAATTAGCCCCTGTCTCCTGGTTGGCCTAGGACTACATAATAAAAGCATTTTATGATAAAGCTAAAATTGACTTTATATAGAACTTTTTCTACTTAAGAAAATTAGAACCTAACATTAAATTCAAAGTTCACTATAGCTTCAGATAGGTTAAGTATAAGCTACCTTTACTTTTGAAATGGATTTTCTTATGACCAAAATTTAGGTTGATATGTTACGTGAATATTTGCATGTATAACCATTTTTATTCTGCATTTCTTCTATTAACCTGCTGACATTGAGAAGTAATAGCATTGTGTTGATTTTTCCAGTTCAAAAATTCATGTTGCACTGAAGCTCATTGTTTGCAAACTCATTCAGCATATTGGCATTAGATCTAAAAAGAGGATGTACAACATGAAAACAAACATCTTTCTTAGTTGGCTCTTTCATCTTTTATATAACTATGCAACTCAGTAACCATTAGGACTACTTTCAATTACATTTGGATTTCATCACTTTTTTTTACTCCAGAAACTATCTGAAATCATCTCAATAGTTACAGAGTTTGTGATGTCAACAAACTTTTTTCAGTAGTGACTACGGTACTACTGCCCATAGTTAGTTATCACTGCAGTTTTGCTGGCAGCCTGAGATCTACAAACCCTTGAAATTATGGAGCACTAATTTGTTTAAATAGCCGTTTTTTTAAGTTGGCCTAAGACCAGGAATAACAATGAGTTCTCTAAATTTATTGGATATTTTATTTATTTTTGAACTTTATTTTGTGATCGTATAGCTTCTAATAATACAAATCTACTCATTTTAGGTTTTTTTTGTTTAAACATAGATTTATCCTAATATAAAATGCCATCATTTTTTCTTAAGCCATCTTTGTTTCCATTGTCCTTTAAGACATCAATTGTCCGGGGAGAACAGAGTATTTCAATTTACAGATAACTTCATTGCTTTAGTGGAATCGAATATCAGGACATGATAAAGCCAATTTCTCCATGAGTTTAACTTAAATGATTTGCAACCATAGTGCCTCCTCTAGGTTCCATGTTACACCAGATACCTTACGTATACATACTCTGTGTTTATTATAGGAAGATTTACTATGAAAAACAGTATGAAGGTTTCTCAAAAAATCAAAGGTAGAACTACCATATGATCCAGCAATTGCACTCCTCACTATATATCCAAAACAAATGAAATCATTATGTAAAGAAATAGCCACACTCTCATGTTCACTGTAGCATTATTCACCATAGTCAAAATATGGAAACAAATAAAATGTCAATCAACGGACTATTTAATAAAGAAAATGTGGTTGATACATACAAGGGAATATATTTCATCTTTAAAAAGAACAAAAATGATTGCCATCATGGAGAGTCTGGGAAGATGTTATGTTAAGTGAAATAATTCTGTCACAGAGTGAAAAATACTGCAAGATTTCACTTTTATGAGGTATCTAACGTAGTCAAACTAATATTAGAAGAAGTAGAATGGTGGTTGTCAGAAATTTAGGGAAGGTGAATGGAAAGTTATTATTTAATGATTTTACAGTTATATGGAATAAATACATTTTAGTTATCTGTTGTACAACATAGTGCCTGTATTTGACAATACAGTGTTGAGAACTGAAAAATTTACTGAAAGGGAATGCTTCTAGGTTTGCTCATTCAGTATGATGATGGCTGTGGGTTTTTAGTAGATGACTCTTATTATTTTGAAGTATGTTCCTTCAGTGTTTTGTTTTTGGAGGGGTTTTAACATGAAGAGATGTTGAATTTTATCGAAAGTCCTTTTTGCATCTATTAAGATCGTCATGTGGTTTTTGTTTTCAGTTCTGTTTATGTGGTGAATAACATTAATTGATTCGCACATGTTGAATCATCCTTGCATTCCATGAATGATGCCCACATGATTGTGGTGGATAAGCTTTTTGATTTGCTGCTGGATTTAGTTTGTTAGTATTTTGTTGAGGATTTTTGCATCAATGTTCATGAAGGATATTGTCCTGAAGTTTTTTTCTTTTTTTTCTTCTTTTTATTATATCTCTGCCAGGTTTCACACCACAATGACACTGGCCTCATAGAATGAGTTAGGAAAGACTTCCTCCTCCTCAATTTTTTGCAATAGTTTCCATAGAAATGGTACCAGCTCTCCCTTACACATCTGGTAGAATTTTGTTGTGAATCCATCTGATCCTGGGCTTTTTCTGATTGGCAGGCGTTTTATTACTGATTCAATTTCAGAAATCCTTATTGATCTGTTCAGGGATTCAATCTCTTCCTGGTTGAATCCTGGGAGGACTTATGTTTCCAGGAATTTATCTGTTTTTTTTATAGCTCTCATATCTTTTATGTAAAGAGCTGTTCATAATAGTCTCTGGGTTTTTCTTTTTGTATTACTGTGGGGTCAGTGGGGACAAATGTCCCCTTTGTCATTTCTGAATGTGTTTACTTGGATTTTCTCAAATTTTTTATTTATGCGTCTAGCTGGTAGTATATCTATCATATTAACTCTTTCAAAGGACTATCTACTAAGCTCAATGATCTTTTGTATAATTTTTTGTGTCTCAAATTCTTTCAGTTCACCTAGGATTTGGATTATTTCTTGTATTCTGTTAGCTTTGGGATTAATTTGCTCTTGTTCGTCTAGTTCCTTTAGTTGTAAAGTTAGGTTGTTAATTTGAGATCTTTCTAACTTTTTTATTTGAGCATGCTATGCTCTAAATTTTTCTCATAATAATAATTTGGCTGTGTCCCAGAGATTCTGGTATGTTGTATCTTTTTTCACAATCATTTCAAAGAATTTATTAATTTCTGCCTTAATTTCATTATTTTATCCAGAAATCATTAAGAAGCAGGTTGCTCTTTTCTATTTCATGGTATTTTTTTTCTTAACTTTGATTTCTGTTTTTATTGCATTGTGGTCTGAGACTGTGGTTGGTATGATTTCAGTTTTTCTTGAATTTGCTAAAGATTATTTTATGTCCTATTGCGTGATTGATTGTCGAGTATGTGTCATATGCCGCTGAGAAGAGTATATATTCTGTTGTTTTGGGGTGGAGAATTGTGTAAGTGTTTATTAGGTCCATTTCCCCAATTGTTAAGGTTTTGAATATCTTTGTTAGTTTTCTGCCTTGATGATCTGTCTACTACTGCCAACAGGTTGTTAAAATCTCCCAATATTATTGTGTGGTTATCTAAATATCTTCATAGGTCTCTAAGAACTTGCTTTATTAATCCAGGTGCTCCTGTGTTGGGTGCATATATATTCAGGACAGTTAAATCTTCTTGTTGAATTGAACTCTTTACCATAATGTAATGCCCTTCTTTGTCTTTTTTGATCTTTGTTGTTTCAAAGTCTGTTTTGTCTGAAATTAGAATAGCAACCCCTGCTTTTTCTGTTTTATATTGTTCGGTAGATTTTTCTCTATTCCTTTACTTTGAGCCTATGGGTGCCAATGCATGGCAGATGGGTCTCTTGAAGACAATATACCATTGAGTTTTGCTTGTTTATTCAACTTTACACCCTCTGCCTTTTGATTGGGGCATTTAGCCCATTTACATTCAATGTTCATATGGATATGTATGCATATGATCCTGTCATCATGTTGTTAGCTAGTTATTATACAGATTTGTTTGTGTGGTTGCTTTATAATGCCATGGGTCTACCTATTTAAGTGTGTCGTTCAGGCAAGAAAAAGAAATAAAAGGCATCCAAATAGCAAAAGAAAAAGTCAAACTATTGTTATTTGCAGACAATATGATTATACCTAGAAAACTGCATAGTCCCTGCTCAAAAGCTCCTTGATGTATCACAACTCCAACAAACCTTCAGGACGCAAAATCAATGTACTGAAGTCAGTAGCATTCCTATACATCAACAACATCCAAGCTGAGAGCAAATAAGAAACACAATCTCATTTACAATAGCCACAAAAAGAATAAAATATGTAGGAATAGAGCTAACCAAGTGAGTGAAAGACCCCTGTAAAGAGAATTATGAAACACTGCTTAAAGAAATAAGAGATGACAAAAACAAATTGAAAAACTTTTTATGCTTATGGATAGTAAAAATTAATATTGTTGAAAATGGCCACAAGGCCTAAGCAATTTACATATTCAGTGCTAATCCCATCATACTACCAGTGGCATTTTTCATAGATTTAGAAAATCTATTTTAAAATTCATATGAAATCAAAAACAATCTGAATACCCAAAACAATTCTAAGCAAAAAGAACAATGCTGAAGTCATCACACTACCCAGCCTCAAATTATACTACATGGCCACAGTAACCAAAACATCATGGTACTGATATGAAAACAGACACATAGATCAATGGAACAGAATAGAGAGCCCAGAAATAATGCCATACTCCTACAGCCATCTGATCTTCAAGAAAATTAACTAAAACAAGCAATGAGGAAAGGAATCCCAATTCAATAAATAATGTTGGCATAACTGACTAGTCATATGTGGAAGATAAAAACTGGACCGTTTCCTTACACCAGACACAAAAATTAACTCAATATTGATTAAAAACTTCAATCTAAACCAAAAACTATAAAAACCTTGGAAGATAACCTAGAAAATATCATTCTGGTCATAGGACCTGGCAAAGACTTCATAACAAATAAGCCAAAAGAAATTGAAACAAAAACAAAAATTGACCTATGAGACCTAATTAAACAAAAGAACCTCTCCACAGCAAGTGAAACTATCAACTGAGTACACGACAACCTACAGAATGGGAGAATATATTTGCAAACTATGCATCAGACAAAGGTCTATGTACTAATCCACTCTAATGCTGCTAATAAAGATATACGCAAGACTGGATAATTTATAAAGAAAAGAGGTTTAATTGACTCATGGTTCCACCTTGCTGGGGAAGCCTCAGGAAACTTACAATCTTTGGGGAAGGTACCTCCTCACAGGATGGTAGAAGGGAGAATGAGTGCCAAGCAAAGGGAGAAGCCCCTTATAAAGCCATCAGATCTTGTGAGAACTCACTCACTATCATGAGAACAGCATGAGGGAAATGGCCCCCATTATTTAATTATCTCCACTGGTCCTGCCCTTGACGTGTGGGGATTATTACAATTGAAGGCAAGATTTGGGTGGGGACACAAAGAAATACCATATTATTCTGCCCCTGCCACCTCCCAAATCTCATGTCCTCACATTTCAAAACACATCTTGCCCTTCCAATAATCCCCCAAAGTCTTAACTCATTAACCCAAAAGTTCAAGTCCAGAGTCTCATCTGAGATTCGGCAAATCCCTTCCACCTCTGAGCCTGTGAAATCAAAAGCCGGTTACTTCCTAGATACAATGAGGGTGGAGGCATTGGGTAAATACATTTATTCCAAATAGGAGAAATTAGCCAAAACAAAGGGGTCATGGGCCCCATGCAAGTCCAAAGTCCAGTAAAGCAGTCATTAAACCTTAAAGTACCAAAATTATCTCCTTTGACTCCATGTCTCACATGTAGATAATCTTGATGCAAGGGGTAGGCTCCCATGGCCTTGGGTGGCTCCACCCTTGCGGCTTTGCAGTCTATAGCCCCTCTCCTGACTGCTTTCATGACTGGCATTGAGTGTCTGTGGCTTTTTCAGGCTCTGTGCTGCAAGCTGTCATATCTACCATCTGGGATCCGGAGGACAGTGGCCTTCTTTTCACAGTTCCACTAGGCAGTGCCCCAGCAGGAACTCAGTGTGGGGGCTTTGACCCCACAATTCCCTTCCTCACTGGCATAGCATAGGTTCCCCATGAGGGCTTCATCACTGCAGCAAACTTCTGCCTGTACAACCAGGTGTTTCCATACATCCTCAGGAATCTAGGTGGAGGTTCCTCAACCTCATTCTTGACTATTGTGCACCTGCAGACCTAACACACATATAAGCCACCAAGGCTTGGGACTTGCAATCTCTGAAGCAACAGCCAGAGATGTACATTGGCCCCATTTAGCCACAGCTAGAGCTGAAGCATCTGGGATGCAGGGCACTATGTTCCAAGGCTGCACAGAGCAGGTGGGCCATGGGCCCAGCCCACAAAACCACTTTTCCATCCTAAGACTCCAGGCCTGTGATGGAAGGGGCTGCCATGAAGGTCTCTGACATGCCCTGGAGACATTTTTCTTGTCATCTTGGCGATTAACATTTAGCTCCTCGTTACTTACGCAAATTTGTTCAGGAGCCAGAATTTCTCCCAGAAAATGGGTTTTTCTTTTGTATCATATTGTCAGGCACAAATTTTCCAAACTTTTATACTGTGCTTTCTCTGGAATGCTTTGGCACTTAGAAATTTGTTCTTCCAGAAAACCTAAATCATCTCTCTCAAGTTCACTATTTCACAGATCTCTAGGGCTGGGGCAAAATCCCACCAGTCTCTTTGTTTAAAGCATAGGAAGAGTCACCTTTGCTCCAGTTTCCAACAAGTTCCTCATCTCCATCTGAGACCACCTCAGCCTGGACATCATTGTTCATATTGTTATCGCATTTTGGTCAAAGCCACTTAACAAGTATCTAGGAAGTTCCAAACTCTCCCACAATTTCCTGTCTTCTTCTGAGCCCTCTAAATTGTTCCAAACTCTGTCTGTTACTCAGTTCCAAAGTTGCTTCCACATTTTTGGGTTTCCTTGTAGCAGTGCTCCACTCTCCTAGCACCAATTTATTGTATGAGTCTGTTCTCACACTACTAATAAGACATATCTGAGACTGGGTAATTTATAAAGAGGTTTAATTGACTCACTGTTTCGCATTGTGGGGAGGCCTTAGGAAACTTACAATAATGGTGGAAGGCACCTCTTTGCAGGGTGGTAGGAAGGAGAATGTGTGCCAAGTGAAAAAAGAAGCCCCTTATAAAACCATCTGATCTTGTGAGATCTCACTATCATGAGAATGGCATGGGGGAAACCGCCCCCACAATTCAATTATCTCCACAAGGTTCTGACCTTGACATGTGGGGACTCTTACAATTCCAGGAGAGATTTGGGTGGGGGGAACAGAGCCAAAGCATATCAGTTTAATATCCAGCATCTATGAAAAACAAACACTTCCCTTAAAAAATGGGCAAAGGACGTGAATAGACACTTTTTTTAAAAAAAGATGTGGCCAAGAAGCATAGGAAAAAATAGTCAACATCACTAGTCATTAGAAACATGCAAATCAAAACCACAATGAGATACTGTCTCACATCATTCAGAATGGCCATTAAAAAAAAAAAAACAGATACTGGAGAGGTTATAAAAGGTCTACTTATGCATTGCTGGTGGGAATGTAAATTAGTTCAGCCCTTGTGGAAAGTAGTTTGGCATTTTCTCAAAGAACTTAAAACAGAATTGCCATTTGACTCAGTGATCCATTGTCAGATATATAACCAAAGGAAAATAAGCATTCCTGTATATGAACAATAGACAAGCAATGATCCAAATCATGAATGAACTCCCATTCACAATTGCTACAAATAATAAAATACCTAGAAATACAGCTAACAAGGGATGCAGAGGATCTCTTCAAGGAGAACTACAAACCACTGCTCAAGGAAATAAGAGAGGACATAAACAAATGAAAAAAAATTCCATCCTCATGGATAGGAAGATTGAATATTGTGAAAATGGCCATACTGCCCGAAGTAATTTTTAGATTCAATGCTATTCCCATCAAACATTATTGACATTATTCACAGAATTAGAAAAGAACTACTTTCAATTTCATATAGAACCAAAAAAAGAGCTCATATAGCCAAGACAGTCCTAAGCAAGAAAAACACAGCTGAAGGCATCATGCTACCTGACTTCAAATTATACTACACGGCTACAGTAACCAAAACAGCATGGTACTGGCACCAAAACAGACATATGGACAAATGGAAAAGAATAGAAACCTCAGAAATAACACCACATATCTACAGGCATCTGATCTTAAACAAACTGGACAAAAACAAGCAATGGGGAAATAATTACCTACTTAATAAATGGTGCTGGGAAAACTGGCTAGCAATATGCTAAAAACTGAAACTGGACTCTTTCCTTACACCTTATGCAAAAGTTAACTCAAGATGGGGTAAAGACTTAAATGTAAAACCCAAAACCATAAAAACTCTAGAAGAAAACCCAGGAAATACCATTCAGGACATATGCATGGGCAAATACTTCATGACGAAAACGTCAAAAGCAATTGCAACAAAAACCAAAACTGACAAATGGGATCTAATTAAAGAGCTTCTGCACAGCAAAAGAAACTATCAGCAGAATGAACAGGCAACCTACAAAATGGGAGAAAAATTTTGCAATCTACCCATCTGACAAAGATCTAATATCCAGAATCTACAAGGAACTTAAACAAACTTACAAGAAACAAACAAACAATTAAAAGGTGGGCAAAGGATATGAACAGACACTTCTAAAAAGAAGACATTTATGCAACGAACAACAAACATATGAAAAAAGGCTCAACATATCACTGATCATGAGAAAATGCAAATCAAAACCACAATGAGATACCATCTCATGCCAGCCAGAATGGTGATTATTAAGAAGTTAAGAAACACTAGATGCTTGCGAGGCTGTGGAGAAATAGGAAAGCTTTTACCCTGTTGGCAGGAATGTAAATTAGTTCAATCATTGTGGAAGGCAGTGTGGCGATTCCTCAAGGATCTAGAACCAGAAATACTGTTTGACCCAGAAATCCTATTACTAGGTATATACCCAAGGGAATATAAATCATTCTATTCTAGAGACACACATGTATGTATGTTTATTGCAGCACTATTTACAATAGGAAAGACATGGAACCAATCCAAATGCCCATCTATGATAGACTGGGTAAAGAAAATGTGGTACATATACACCATGAAATACTATGCAGCCATAAAGAGGATGAGATCATTTCCTTTTCAGGGACATGGATGAAGCTGGAAGCCATCATCCTCAGCAAACTAACACAGGAACAGAAAAGCAAATACTGCGTGTTCTTACTCATAACTGAGAGTTAAACAATGAGAACACCTGAACACAGGGAAGGGAAAAACACACACACCGGGGCCAGTTCGGGGGTGCGGGCCGAGAAAAGGGAGAGCATTAGGACAAATAGCTAATTGATGTGGGGCTTAAAACCTAGATGACAGGTTGATAGGTGCAGCAAACCACCATGGCACACATATATCTTTGTAACAAACCTACACGTTCTGCACTTGTATCCCGGAACTTAAAGTTTAAAAAAAAAATGTGCCTTAAAGACATAGGCATGCATGTGTTCATTGTGGCAGTATTCACAATGGCAAATACATAGAATCAGCGTAAATGCCCTTCAATGGTAGACTGGATAAAGAAAATGTGGTACATATACACCAGGGAATGCTCTGCAGCCATAAATAAGAATGACATTATGTCTTTTGAAACAACATGGAAGGAACTGGAGGCCATTATCTTAAGCAAAATAAAACAGAAACAGAAAAAATAATACCACATGTTCTCACTTTTACGTAGGAGCTGAAATGTTGAGTACATAAGGACACAGAGAAGGGAATCATAGCCACTAGGTCCTATTTGATGGTGGAAGATGAGAGGAGTGTGAGGATTGAAAAGCTACCTTTCAGGTACTATGCATATTACCCGGCTAATGAATTAATCTGCACACCAAATTCCTGAGACATGCAATTTACCTGTATAACAAATCTGCAAATGTACCCCTGAATCTAAAATAAAAGTTAAAAAACTACTGAAAGGTAAACATTTTATTACCAGTTCAATTTTGTTACTTGTTATTGTTTTTTTCAACTTTTCTGTTTCTTCCTGATTCAATCTTGGTAGGTTGTATGTGTCCAGGCATGTATCCATTTTCTCTAGTTTTCCTATTTGTTGGCCTATAGTCATTCATATTAGTTTTTAATAATCTGTTGTATCTTTGTGGTTTCACTTGTAAAGTCTCTTTTTGTTTCAGTTTTAGTTATTTGAGTCCTTTCTTTATTTCTTAGTCTAGCTAATCATTTGTTGATTTAATCATTTTAAATCACCAACTTTTTAATTTTTTTGATCTTTTATATTTTTAAATCTCTCTTTCAATTATTTCTGTTCTGGTTTTTGTTATTTGTCTTCTTCTGCTAATTTTGGGTTTGGTTCACTCTAGCTTTTCTTGTTCCTTAAGAATTGTTAGGTTCTTTATTTGAAATCTTTCTAATTTTTGATGTAGGCACTTATCGGTACATTATTGCTATACTATTTGTTACATGGAGTAATATTAGAGTAAAATTCCCTCTTAGTGCTGATTTTACTGTATCCCATAGGTTTTGATAGGTTAAATTTCTATTTTCATTTGTCTTAAGAAATTTTTAAATTTCTTTCTTAATTTCTCCATTGACCCATTGGTCATCCTGGAGAATGTTTAATTTCCGTGTGTTTTGTATTTATACAGTTTCCAAAATTCTTGTTATTAATTTCTAGTTTTATTTCTTCATAGTCTGAAAAGACACTTGATACAATTTTGATTTTTAAAAATTTGTAAAGACATGTTTTGTTGTCTAACATATAGTCTAGTCTGGAGATGATTTCATGTGGTGATGAAAAGAATGTATATTCTCTTGCTGCTGGATGAAATGTCTTGTAAATGTCTGTTAATTTCATCTGGTCTATAGTGCAGTTTACAATAGTCGTTTATTGATTTTTTATCTAGATCTGTCCAATGTTGAGAATGGAGTGTTGGTGTAAGAATTTGATAAATAAGGTGGTAAAATTATTACACTTTACTCTGTGTTTAGATAGAGTTTAGACTTCTTTATATGTTATCATCTGTTTGTTTTTGCCATTGATTTCAAATTTCTCGTAAACCTAACCATTTAATATTACTACTGAAAAGCTATTTGCAAGTTTGTGTTTCTTGCTTCTCTTAAACATTACCTTTTGAAAAAGCTACAATTATTGTTTAAAAGACTGACAGTAGGATGGAAAATAAGAGGAACTTGTTGATAAAGCTTGTAATTAATTTTAAATATTTAAAAGTTGGTTTAGTAGTCAATCATAGAGTAATAATGAAGAAAATGAAACAAAGCTTTTCTTTTATTATTTGTTTAAATAATTTACAGTTAGAATAATTTATAGCTGGCATAGTTCTTTAATATCCAATTACTTTGAGTTAAATAAATTTCAAAATTAAACTTTAAATATATGAATATAAAAGAAAACTGCAGACATAAAATACTTTACTTTTTCTTCTAGATCCATTGTTGATGAAAATATAATCGGCTTTTGGTCTGAGATGTAGGCAAAGCAGAATTATAAGAAAAATTAAAGAAAATTAACTCACCCTCCAAATATTGCCACTGGCCAAGAAATAAAGGTGGCTTTTCTTATTGCTTTAAGAGGTGCCAGAATGTTGCAGAAAGGCCCCTTCTTAGAAATAGCCCTGAGTCAAATTCATTTTGGTATAAACAGCATTTCAGATAAATGATTTTCTCATTCTTATTCTGAAATTTGAAAGATCATAATAAGAATAATCACCTTTGAAAAAAGGTGTTTTTATTTTGCTTACTGGGCTTTTTCTGACTTTTTTTTTTTCAATTAATGGAGCTCTGTGCATAGGAAGATAAAAGATACTGGGTGTTGTGTCAAATTAATCTATATGATTTATTACAAATGTGAGAATGACCCCTAATCATGTAGGGTCAGAAAGCATGGACAAAATGGTTTGTGTGGCACTACCTGACTCACCAACCTTTCGTTCTCAGGATTTTAAAATCACTTTCTGGAACTCTTGAGGACACCATTAACCCAAAATCAGCACTACATTCCCTGCCTCTGGCTTTTATCTTCAGCTGCCTTATTTTCTTTCAAAATATTTACAAAAGTGATGATGAAAACAGTTGATCAAAGAATAGCTTAGATGGGCTTTGGCTAATAAAACATTTTGTTAAATGACATTGGATTGGATTTTATTACTAAAACACATATTTTATGAAATAATCACGTAGTTAACACACAAACTTTATTGCCATTTCTGAAAAGAAAATTTCAAAGAAGAGAAGCAGGAGGAAGAAAAATAGTTACTAACTAGGGTTATTGTAACGAAAAAGTGAATATTCACAGGGCTAAACAAATTATGACAGGAGTCAAAAACCAACAAAATAGAACTATCAAGCTGGTTATTTAGTATCAAGTTAAAAACAATCATATTTGATTGACTTTTTACATAAATCAATGACCAAAGACCACTGGGGATATATCTGTAGTTGAAAAGCCTGGATTTACACTAATTGCAGTGAGGAATAATGCACATCATGGTGAACTCAGGTGTATGCCAGTAAGAGGGTATAGGATTTGGTTTATGTTAAGGGATTTGGGGAAGATTTAAGAAAACAGGGCTATGCTTAGAATTGAATGTTGTCGGGAAGTAAGGCAATTCTGATTTGATACATGAATAAAGATTATCTAGAAAGAGAAAATCAAGCTCAGACTAAAATATTTGAGAATTAAGTGAAATAATAGATTCAAAGGGATTAATGAAAATCTTGCACAATATAATTTGCTTATTTGCTTACTTCATTAGTCACAAAATTTTTGAAAAATACTTGAGATGTGCCTGTTTCTATAACCTGTATTTGTAAAAGTTCTTACCATCTGTATAAAATTTACTAATTTTTAATGATGTTATATGTCAAATCAAAACTAATTCTTCCTTTCACAGAATTTGTTTCAAGTCTTTATAAGAATGGCAGTATGTGAACTGACAAAAATGATTTAAATTGTTACTGTATGCTTTCCATACAATACTTTACATAATGTGTAATATATCAAAAACATATTTGGCATTATAGAGATATGAAAGACATGTAGCACTTAAAGTATATCTCAGGGGATGTTTCTGGAAATAGCATATATTGTTCTTCAGTGGTGAAAGGATGACATTAAAGTCAGACAATCCTGGAATTGTATCTCTGCCATTTACCAAGGTTGAGATCTAAAATGAATTATCTCATTCACTAAGCTTCATCTCCTGGCCTATAAAATGACATCTGTAACATTTACTTTACAGACAATTTTTGGGGAACTCGTGAAATAATGTATGTACCATACCTAACACACAGCACTCATTTCATGGTAACTATTATTTTATTAATAAGTACTTTATCATAGGGGCAGAATGGTGTAGAAAAAGGATGGTAGATATGTTTTTGATTTTCTGTTTCTTGGTGTACAGAGATTACTATTTTGCGTGCACAATGACCCTGTCCCGAATAAAACGAAGAATGTGTTCTTAGGGTCTCATTCAATGCCACACTAAATAAATGATGGCCTATCACTTTAGATTTAATTTTTTTTCATGTTTCACAAGATCTGAAACCAGAAATAGAGTCTTGGAAAGAACAATAACTTGGTCAGGTGCAGTGGCTCACACCTGTAATCCCATTACTTTTGGAGGCTGAGGCAGGTGGATCCCCTGAGGTTAGGAGCTCAAGACCAGCCTGGCCAACATGATGAGACCCCATCTCTACTAAAAATACAAAAATTAGCCAGACGTGGTGGTAGGCGCCAGTAATCCCAGCTACTTGAGAGGTTGTGGCGGGAAAATCACTTGAACCCGTGAGGTGGAGGTTGCAGTGAACTGAGATTGTGTGGCACTGCACTCCAGCCTGGTTGACAGAGGGAGACTCCATCTTAAAACAAAAGGAAAAAAAAAAGAAAAAAACAGTAACTTGATAGATTCGTCCTGTTGATTTTCAACCTAAGCAAATCACATACATATGACAGCCTGGGAGGGGTAATTCATACATATGATTAAGTGTAATATTGATGACTGAGTTTTCCACTCCAGTAATAGAGTAGAGGAATAAGAAAAAATAACTGATTAATTCATAAAGTTATTTATCATTTGGATTTGGATTACAATCTGGATACGCAACAATAGGAAACACAGTCCTACAAAAAAAGCAGTTCTTCCTGTCTTGGTTCTTTACTTCTAGTATTCATGTATGCATTCAACAATATATTTTAACATGTATTGTGTAATAGGAACTAATATGAGAAGTTTTACTTGAACAAAACAGATGAAACTCTTATGGAGCTTACAGTGTGTAACCTCAAACCACATATAGCAACACTGAAGGAAACCATGTTATGGCATGGTGGCTGACCTACTCATAAAGAGAAAAACAATTGAGTATAGAGTAAAAATGTAAAGATTTGATACCTTATTATTATTCTCCTTTTTAGCTAAAATAATTTAAAAGGCAATAAATTACCAGCCTTTGATGACTTTGGGCCCTTTCTTTGTTGTCATAGATATATATATATATTATATAGAGATGTAGATATAGACCAGCAACAGCTGTTGCATAGATTTAAACTTATAATCAAAAGTTAACATCATCTTAAACAATTGTAAAAAATATAGGTATTTGAAAAGTTCATAACGAAGTATAATTTCAAAATCCAGTATCTTAGATAAGGCTTCATCTTTTTTATCTTCATTATTACAATAATCTACTAACCAGTCTCCTGTCACCTATTGGGATTATCTCCTTTTAATAAATTATTTAATGAAAAAATTCTAATATCACTGAAACAATCAACATTATGTCAGCTTTTACATAAAATCCTATATTAGCTTCCTGGAATCACATTAATAAATCAAAGATTCCTAGCTTTGGCTTACACCTTGCCATTTTCCAATCAGATTCATGTCTTGCTAGAAATCTTAGATCAAGCCTTGCTGGTGGACTCTCCACACTCTATATTTTCTCTCACCAAATCTAATTTGTGCATTAGACTCAGTTTGGATTTCAATTCTTCTATGCAGTTTTTCCTACTTGCATAGTACCTCCTCATTATCCCTTGTCCCACAGGCTAGATTAAAGACTTTGTAAACCTCACATTGTTTTCCTCTATCTAGTACTTGCCATAGTTAAATGCATTTCTGTAAATTCAGTAAAGTTACAGGGCACAAAATCAACATAAAACTCAGTAACATTTCTGTATACCAACAGTGAACAATTTGAAAAAGAAACTTAAAAGTTATCCCATTGACAAGAGACACAGATAAAATAGCTAGGAATTAACTTAACCAAAGATGTGAAAGATTTCTATAATGAAAACTGCATAACACTGAAAGAAATTGAAGAAGACACAAGAAGTCAAAAGGCTTTCCATGTTCATGAATTGGAAGAATCAATAGTGTTAAAATATCCGTAAGTACCCAAAGTAATCTACAGATTCAATGTAATCCCTACGAAAATGCCAAAGATATTCTTCAGAGAAATAAAAAAAAATCTAAAATTTATATAGAACTACAAAAGACTCAGAATAGCCAAAGTGTTCCTGAGCAAAAACAGCAAAACTGGAGGAATCACATTATCTGACTTCCAATTGTATGATAGAGTTATGATAAACAAAACAGCATGGTACTGGCATGAAAACAGACATATAGACAAATGGAACAGAAAATTGAAGCCAGAAATAAGTCCATACACCTATGGGGAACTCATTTTGACAACAGTGCCAAGAACATAAATGGGAGAAAGGATAGTCTCTTCAATAATTAGTGCTGGGAAAACTGGATATCCATATGCAGAAGAATTAAACTAGACATTTGTCTCCTGTCATCTTACAAAAAATCAAATCAAAATGGATTAGAGACTTATATCTAAAACCTGAAACTATGAAATTACTAAAAGAATATACTGGGGAAACTCTTCATGTCATGGGTCCAAGAAAAGATTAATTTTACTTATTTATTTCTTCATTTAAATTATTATTATTATTTCTAATAGAGACAGAGTGTCTCTCTGTTGCTCAGGCTGGATTGCAGCGGTGCCATCATAGCTCATTGCATCCTCAAACTCCTGGACACAAGTGATTCTCCTGCCTCAGCTTCCCAAGTATCTAGGACTATAGGAGCATGCCACCACACCTAGCTAATTAAAAAAAAAAATTGTATAGATGAGGTCTCACTGTGTTGCCCAGGATGGTCTCAAACTCCTTGCCTCAAGCAATTCTCCTGTCTTGGGCTCACTAAGTGCTGGGATGACTGGTGTGAGACACTGCACCAAGGCCTGGGCAAATGTTTCTTGAGTAATACTCCAAGAACACAAGCAACCAAAGCAAAAATGGACAAATGAGATCACATCAAATTAAAAAGCTTCTGCTCAGCAAAATAAATAATCAATAAAGTTAAGAAACAACCTGCAGAATTGGAGAAAACCATTGCGAACCCTCTATCTGACAAGGGATTAATAACCAGAATATATTAAAACATTTAAAAAATCAATAGGAAAAAAATCTAATAATGCATTTTTTAAATAGGCAAATAATCTGAAAGGACATTTTAAAAAACAAGACATGCAAATGGCCAACAGGTATTTGGGAAAGTGCTTACTATCATTAATCATCAGATAAATGCCAATCAAAACTACAATGAGACATCATCTCACCCAAGTTAAAAGGGCTTGCATCCAAAAGAACAGCAATAATGAATGCTGGTGAGGATGTAGAGAAAGGGGAACCCTTATACACTGTTGGTGGAAATGTAAATTAGTACAATCACTATGCAGAAGAGTATGGATGTTTCTCAAAAAAATAAAAATGGAACTACCATATGATCCAGTAATTCCACTGCTAGATATACCCCAAAGAAAGGAAATCAGTGTATCAAAGAGATATTTGCACTCCTGTTATTTTTGCAGCATGATTCACTCTAGAAAAGATTTGGAATCAACCTAGGTATTTCTCAACCAAGAGTAGATAAAGCAATGTGGTATGTAAACACAATAGAATATTATTCAGCAATAGAAAAGAAGGAAACCTTGTCATTTGCAGCAACATGGATAGAACTGTGAAGTGAAATAAGCCAGGCACAGAAAGACAAATTTTCCATGTTCTGATTCATACGTGGGTACTTAAAAATGAAAAAAATTGAAGTCATAGAGATAGAGTGTAATGATGATTACCAGAAGCGGGGAAGGGTAGTTAGGGGGCACGGAGAGTGAGGATGGTTTATGGTTACAAAAATATGTTTAGATAGAATCAATAAGATCTAGTATTTGATAGAACAATAGGGTTACTATAGCCAACAGTACTTTATTGTGTATTTTAAAATAACAAAAAGAGTGGAGTTGGAATGATTCTATTATAACACAAAGAAATGATAAATGCTTAAGGTAATGCTTGGTGTAATCATTACACATTGTATACCTGTAACAAAACATCACATGTACCCCTCAAACATATACACCCACTACATACCCACTAAAATTAAAAATTAAATAAAAAATATTTGGTATAAAATACATATTTTTTGAATAAGTGAATTAATGTATGAAAAAACAAACAAATATCAACGTATAATTCCACTAGCAATACTCAATTCTGTATTCAAAACCTTTAGCCTCATAATTGTTTCAGAATTCAGAACTGTTTAGACAGATACTATGTTCAGAAAAGTAAATGGTACAAATGCTACAGGTTATATAAACATTCAGTGCTTGCTGGGATAAAAGTAATAAAATAGGTTAATATTCTAATATTAACCTAGTAATTACCATGTTTCATATGTTTTAAGTATGTTCATTTCCTAGGTGAAAGATATATCTCAAAGTTTCCAACCTTGTGTATTTTTCCAAGAAAGAGATACGTTTTTCTTTAGGAATGACAAGACCTCTTGAATGTTTTCTTTACTAAGTTATCCAATAGTAAACTTATGTTCTCCTCCAAATTTTTAATGATATTTCTGTATGTGGTAATGATATTAATCACCTTGCTTATTAAACAGAAGTAATTTAAAATATGTTTCTCTTTTAATTGTTATTTTAATATTTAACACAATTTATCTTTAAAAGTGATCTTTTAAAGTTATATGTATACATGTAATAAATGTATACAAGTAGACTTTTTCTATTATTCTGAGACCAATATTTCAAAACCAGATTCTGGAATTTCTTTTGGAATAGATCTCAATTTTCTCCCATACATGTTACTCTTTCAATTCATTCCTTTCATTCATTTATTCATTGATTGTGTTAAATGGAAGGTGATTTGTTGGACACACCAATGCTCCTGACACATGCTATTCACTTGGAGCAGCTCCTCTTATGTGGCACATTCACAGTGCAACGGTAAGTCATTTCACCATCTTTATGCTTATTAAAATTAAATCTAATCACTAGAACCCTCATAGCTAACTTACAGAAAGGATAGATTTTGTGTGTTTGTGAGTGTTGCAGGTTACATCAATGCTACTATGATATGGTCTTTAAAACTTTTTACCATAAAGACATTCTGTTAGTCCCTTTGCATTGTTCTAGATGAATACCTGAGGCTGAGTAATATATAAAGAAAAAAAGGTGGCTTTTTTTTTTTTTTTTGGCTCGCAGTTCTGCAGGCTGTGAGAGAAACATAGCCTCTGCTCCTGGGGAGGCCTCAGGAAGTTTACAATCATGGCAGAAGACAAAGGGGAGCCAGCACATCACATGGCCAGAGGAGAAAGAGAGAGAGAAGGGGGAGGCCCCAGCCTCTTTTAAACAATCAATCTCATGCGAACTAATTGAGGGAGAACTCACTCATCACCAAGAGGATGATGCTAAATCATTCATGAGGGATCCACCCCCATAATCCAATCACCTCTCAACAAGTCCCAACTCCAACATTGAGAATCACATTTCAACTTGAGATTTGGAGGGAGCAAACATCCAAACTATATTAGACACGAAAACTGTTCTTAAATTCAAAGAGATTACAGCCTGTGTTAAAGCCCTGCTACAAGGGACTAGAGGAAAGGAATTAAACTGATTCTGCTTTCTCTCACTATCTGGTTGCAGACCAGCAGTCTTATAGCCTGGCTTTGTACATATTGCAATTTGATATAGTAGTTGAAAAGTGGCCAGCTAACAGGGAATTGCAGTAATCAAGCTGTTGGGGAAAAAAAATCGATGTACTGAACAGACTTGCAATCATATTATAAGAGCAACACAAGTAAAGACAAGCAATGGTCCTCTTCTGCCAGCATCAATGTGGAGAGAGTGGAGGGGAAAAAATGACTTCAAACTGCCTAAGGAAAAGATATCATTCAAAAGGCCACTAAGAATCTGAATTCTAAAACCATAAAAATGGAATTTAATCAAATGCCATTTTTGTCAAAATTAAATAAAATGACTTAATTAGGAAGTCACTTATATGAGTTAATAGAACATTTTTATTGTTTGTGTGAGCTAAATTACAAGAAATTTTATCATAACCAGTGTTACAAATTTATGTATACTGCAGGAAAAGTAGCATGTTGTGCTAATGTTTAAATATAGGCAAATGCTAATGAGTTACCATAAATGGTTCAGTTATACAAACTTTCTCAGATATGAGTATCCAGAGTAGTATGGATATTACAAATTAAACCAAATCATATTTGGAGTCTTTCTTTTGTTCACAAACATACTTTGTTTCTAGGAGAATAGGGGAAGGAAGAATTAGGTCAGGAGGATAAGAAGAGGTAGAAAAATGAATGAAGAAATGAAAAGAAGAATTACACACAAACCAGTGTGGACTACTCTCTTGGGGGCAGCTAAGTCCTAAATCAATCTGAGGCTGTTCTTGAAATGCAGGCATACGTTTCCAAGCATTATATTAAAATTTCATGATCAATAACGCTGAAAGCAGCAGAACATACAAGCAAAATAAGTGCTGACAATTCACTAGCATACGAATTTAATAAAATGTCATCCTCCAGCCTCAGCAGTAGTGCCAGGAGGAGATGACCATCTTGATTAGAATCTGTCAAATGAATCTCTGTTTGTCAGGTAATAATAAACTCAGGATAGTACCTTTTGTTCCAGGTTTTGTTTACTCTTCAAAATACAGCAGTCAATTCATATTCTTATATAATTTTACTATTTTTACACTGAATAAACAAATCAAACATAGACCTTTTTATAATAGAGGAAAATCCAATATTATTTACCTACTTTTGTTCTGTGTATAGATAACATCGAGACGTGAGAGTTAGTCTTCTCTGTATATGTACTCACATAAGAATCTGTACATGTACTCACACAACACTCAAATATTTTTCAATGAAGTTTCATCATCTTTGGAGTCTTACCTGTTATTTGTTAAGGACATTGAGAATGTTGCCTTTCATCCTTACTGAAAAATTCAATACAACATTACCTAAGATATTCTGCATGGAACCAGGCACTAAATGGTAAATATTTACAAAAATAATCAGTTTTGGCTTAAAGGAAACTCCAGTCTATTTGAAGGTAATTGATAATGCCAGGTAAAAGCTGTGAAAAGCATGGTGATCAGGGATATATCATATCTGAGTGACTGGCCAGAATATGATTTCTTCTGTTCTTTCTGTTATTAAATTAATGGTTTGAGAGAGAGCAAAAAAATACTTGGAGAGTTTAAAAAATCTTTTCTTCACAGAAATGATATATTACTATGTTTTTATCTATTGCCAAATGTTGATATAACTTTACAATTACTCTTGAAACAGCATATGGGAACAGTCTGAGAGTTATTCTTAAATGCTGAAAGTTGCTTTTGAGTAAGTCTACTTACCAATTCCCCATCTTTTTCCTAATTATCATTCTATTAAAGCATCTATTCAGGGACTGATTCAGTTGTTTATTCATTTAATCAATATTCATTTTAACAACCTACTATGTACCAGTCTTTAAACTTAACAACTGAAGAGTCTCTTGCATAGACCACTACTGAAAATTATCTGAAATTTGCTCCATTCCTATGAGTTTGGGTGACACTATGAACCTACCCACTTTTGATGTCTTGTCTGTCTACTATTCTGTCCACTACTGGGGCTTGTCTAGAAAATCAGTTTCTGAATTTGCAAGGGTGTTCAACTGCTTGAGATAGTTTTAAA
This sequence comes from Homo sapiens, assembly GCF_000001405.40. NCBI lineage: Eukaryota > Metazoa > Chordata > Mammalia > Primates > Hominidae > Homo > Homo sapiens. Next base: position 66,036,873 of record NC_000004.12, read on the forward strand.
ACAGATTTAAACACATGTTGAAGATTACTGAGAAAAGTTTCAACTTCGAAAGCTGTGGTTTTATGAAAAGAGAGTTTTATGTAATAATGTGATGTATTTTTTCTTGATTATAGAGTTGGCTTAATATTATTTATTCTCCATTAATAATACATATATTTTAAATGTTTGAATCTGTCTCCAGAATGAAAAGTGGTTTTATAATTTCTAAAAAACAGTTATGTACAAGGAACACTGAATGAGCTCTAGGCAGGTGAAGTATTAGAATGTGTTGCATGGAAAATTTACTAAGAATACCTGGTTATAATGGTCTATAGTTTCAGGGTGCTTTGGAGGATATCACAGGATAATTGGTTGAGCCCAGGAGTTTGAGGCCAGACTGGACAACATAGTGAGTCCCCATCTCTTAAAAAAATTAAAAATGAAAAAAAATTTACTAAGTAAATTGAAAGGAGATGAAAGTATTCTATAACTAATGAAGAGAATGGAAGTAAACAATGAAAAGTCACTAAAAATATACTCAAATTACAATATATTCCTTTCTTTTACCAAAATGTGCTCTATTCCATTCAAGAGTGTTTCAGGTATGGCATTTTGACATTTTCCTTCTGGAGTATAACAAAGTCATACATAATAAAGCATAGTATATTAGAAAAAAGGACCAGGCGCAGTGGCTCACGCCTGTAATCCCAGCACTTTGGGAGGCTGAGGTGGGCAGATCACGAGGTCAGGAGATCGAGACCATCCTGGCTAACATGGTGAAACCCCATCTGTACTAAAAATACAAAAAACTAGCTGGGCATGGTGGCGGGTGCCTGTGGTCCAAGCTACTCGGGAGGCTGAGGCAGGAGAATGGCGTGAACCCAGGAGGCGGAGATTGCAGTGAGCCGAGATCGGGCCACTGCACTCCAGCCTGGGCGACAGAATGAGACTCCGTCTCAAAGAAAAAAAAAAAATTCAATTATATTTTATAAGAGTGGTGCTTGACCTTATGCTAGTTTAAGAACAGTCTTAATATGGAAATTATAAGTTGACTTCTTATTCATAATCTGCTAGGTCAATCAGCAAGGTGAACTTTTTGGTGGTTGTTTTTGCAACACATTTAGTATATAATTAACCCCTTTATGTATATTTCCCTACAATTTTTCTTGTACTATTGATAGTAAGCCACAGTGCATAGGAATTGAATTACAACTATAGAAACTCTTCTTGCTATCTCTTACTTTTTTCATTACTTATTGCAGGAGAAATGAAAAGCAAGTCCATAACCATAAATTTGTCATTTGTCATCCCCCAGTCTTCACAAAACCTCATATTTACTTCCTCTTTCAGCAGAGTGGCTATCATTAGTGACTAACAGAATAGAATAATAATAATTTTTTTTCACCAACTCTACAGATGACCTTCTGAAAGTTTGTTGGTCTCAAATTTAAAGATTTGTTCCTTGAATGTAAATGTCCTGATTTCAAAAAATGTATCAGGACTTTGAGTATTACACTAGAAAGAGTGGTTTAAAATTCTGCAATTTATGAACATTATAATTTGGGAAACTTAATTTATTTAGGTAAAATAAAGTTTACTTACATTTAAATATGGAACTTAATTTTCATGGTTAGACAATGGAAAAACAAAACACAACAGCGACAGGTCACTTTTGTTCCTTAAACATTTCTTGCTCTGTTTCTCTTCCTCCTTCTTTTTCTAATCATTGTATTTTGTGAATAAGGAGTTATACTACATATTTCCCTTCTTTTTCTACCTGTAGCAATGTTTATACATTTCCTAGCTTTTATACTGAGAAAAGCAAAGTTATATTAATAGCGGAATCTGTAAATACAGGTCATGAAATTCATACAGTTTTGTTGAAATCAGTAGCTTTTTAGCAATGATGACTATATACATGGCATACACTTCTGGATTTATATAAAAGTATACTTCGTTGATTGCCACATGTAATTTAATAACCTTGCCACATCATATGTATTGATCTGTATGCAAATATGGTACTTGTAGTCCAAAAGCCTATTTTTTAAAGTTAATTTTTAAGCATACTGACTATTAATAACAAAAGTTAAGTTTAGGCCAAAGTGTGGACTACCTTTATAAAACAGATGAGCATATATTTATGTTGCCAAGTCAAATTAGCAGGTCCCAAGAGAGATATAGATTACTCTGCCAAAAACAAAGCAAATTTTTTATTTCTTGACAAAACTAGGCAAATTCTGCATATTAAATCCATGTGTGTATGTGTGCATGTGTGTTATCATCTCAAAACCTCCAAAGCCAAAGCCTGTTTATTGAGAGAAATGCCAGAAATAGTGAAAAGTGGACGGTAAGACAATCAATCTTGAGAAGGTGTATATTTTCTTGAAAAGAATTTTCAAAAGGAATCACAGAATATTTAAGATTCAATAAAAATACAGAATAATTAGAAGTGGAAATAGATTCATATCTTAAGATAAAAAAAATCATTAAACCCAAAAATGAAATGAGGAGTTATGATTTTAATTACACTTATGGTTTCCACCTGTGTATATTGTTCCTCATAGCCCTAATTCATTTGCTAATTGTATGATGGGACGGTTTTGCTCTTCTTTTCATTTTCCCTTTTATTCAAAAATGTTTCTGTCTTCATCCTAAACTCTCAGTTCACAAAGCTATTTTTCTATTTGTTATATTTGTGAGGAGAAACATTCATTTAGAGAAATCTTCCGTTTTTTGAAGCGTAATTTTTCTATCAGAGAGGTTTCTTTGGTTATTTCTGTGTTTTTCTTTAGGATTTCTAATTTTATTTTCATTTGCTGTAGTATCTTGGAATCATTGCCACACCATTCCACTTGACATATCTCTGACATAAGTAGCCCTATCTAGCCATCATTTCTGGCTAGACACATGTGTGTGTCTGTTCTTTGATATCCTTTCCTCTTCATGTTAGCCTTGCCTATATCTTACCTTTAGAACTTCTGTTTAAATACTGGTCATGGGTAGCCTCGGTCATTGGAAGTTAGCCTTGTTTTCTATCTGCTTTACTATTGCTGGGTGATATTGGAATATGGAAAGTCATAAATTGGTGGGGTTTATTGTTCTCTCTAATATTTTTAGAATAATTCTGGAGTTTATTATTCACAGTGAACAGTATGTGCTATTTGTATAGGTATCGCCTCTCAATTTTGAGTAAATTTTTACCCAAAATCCATTATGAATCATCAGGCTCCAGTTACTGACAAGGTGTAGGCAGGGTAATGACACTGATGGGGTATAATCACTTATAGTAAAATTTATTTCCCGTAAGTGATGAAAACTTAACATGGGACTTTTGTTCATCTCCTGCTTCCTTAATTATGACCTTGAAGATACTTGTTTTATTTTTTATTTTTTTATTATTTTTTATTATTTTCTCCTCTGTATATGTATTTCTGAAATACATGTAAATGATATTGGTGTATTCAACCCATGTGCCATTTCTTAACTTTTTCTCAGTCAGAGACAATTTATAGTATAGGCCCTTTATTTAGTTTGAATTTTGCTAGTACATTTTCCTTTATATATATATATATATATATTTTTTTTTTTTCTGTTTTAATAGAAGGAGGGTTTGGGCTCTTGTTTCTAATCTTCCCTCTTTCATCTATAGAGACAATTCAATGCACATGGCCAATCACTCCCTTACCTGGAAGTCTGAAATAACTGATGATGATACGTAGTGTATTAAACAAGAATCAGTTATTATGAAAGGATGCTTAGAGTCATATGATAGTCAGTATCTTAATTCCAACTGTGACATATTTACTGCCAGTGTCATAATAGCTATAATTAAATGTTTCTGTTCCGTCACCATTTTACATGACTGAATTCTAAGCACTGTGTCAAGAAAGATAAATATATTGTCCTGTTTCTAACTGACCATCACCTGCTAAAAGTATGAAATAGTATTTCTAGTTTCCACTGTGACAGATAAGGAGCTTAGGAGTCATCACTCCATCCTAAGAATAAGTAAAAAGTTGAACAAACTCAAAATCGACAATTCTTTCAGTATCTGTTTGAAAAATGAGGTCACAAACTGCTTGCCCCCAAAATTCAAGAGACAAACATAAAAATAGGAAAAATCACAATTTAATGGAAAAGGGACCCATGAGTAGAAACCGCCACAGAAAAACCAGTGCTAGGGTAGAAAAACCGCAACTGTAATTGACAAATTGCTGGAGGCTCAGTGTAGACAAGTCTAAGATTTAAAAACTCCAGAGAAAGCCAGTCTTATGAAAGACCCGACACTTCTGGGAGTTTTAACTCCAAGAGTCTTAGTAGGTTCCTCACAGTGAGAAAGCCATTTGAAATATGCCCAGAGCAGAATTCCCAGAACATTCTGTTCTTCTTAATAAGGTCTACCCTTAAGAGAAATGATTTTACCAAAACCCAACTGACCTAGGGAAAGAGACATACTAAATTCCAGGCCCATCTAGCCTTCCTGTATCACCTAAGGAGGGGGAGGAACTGAGAAGCATTTGTGAAGTTCACAGTCCAGGGACATAGACTTCCTAAGAGACTGAGACCTAATTATAGATCTACAAATACTTTTCCCTTTCCCACATCTTAGCACAACATCACTAAAGGTCTACCTGTCACTGTTCCTTTGATTTCATACATCATTGCATAGCTTTTCACAATATTGCAAAGGGTACTAAAAGGCATAAAGTGTAATTTGAAGACACAGAACAAACATCAGAACCAGATACAAATATAGCAGGAATACTAGAATTATCAGACCAGGAAAATAAATAACTATGATTAATATGCTAAGGGGTATAGTCTAAAGCAGACAACACTCAAGAACAGATATATCATGTAAGTAGAGAAATCAAAGTTCTAAGAATTAAAAGAGATGCTAGAATTTTAAAACACTGTAATAACAATGAAGAATGCCTTTGATGAGCACATTAATAGACTGGACCTGGCTGAAGCAAGATTTAGTCACCTTGAGATTATGTCAGTAGAAACTTCCAAAAGTAAAAAGCAAAGAGAAAAGGGACTGGGATAAAAAATGAAGCGGAATATCCAAAAACTTTGGGACAACTACAAGACGTATAATATACATTAAATGGTGATACTGGAAGTAGACGAGAAAAGGGAACAAAAGATAATGTTGAAGCAATGACAGCTCGAATTTCTTCAAATAAATGTCAGGCACCAAATCAAAGATCCAGAAAGCTCAGAAAATACTAAGTAGAACAAATGCTTAAAAAATAAATAAATAAAAACAAACCCCTACACCTAATTATGCTAAATGCCTAGAATTACATAGGACTTTTCAGAAACAATGCAAGCAAGTAAAGAGTGAAGAAAGAGTGGAATAAAATGCTTAAATATTGAGATGGTGGTGGGGGGAGGGAGGAACTACCAACCTTGAATTCTGTATACAGTAAAATTATCCTTCAAATGTGAAAGAAAACTTTTCTCAAACAAAAAATGGGCCATGGCCGGGTGCAGTGGCTCACGCCTCTAATCCCAGTTCTTTGGGAGGCCAAGATGGGCAGATCACTTGAGGCCAGGAGTTCAAGACCAGACTGGCCAAAGTGGCGAAACCCCATCTCTACTAAATATACAAAATCGGCTGGCTGCTGGGGTACGTGTCTGTGGTCCCAGCTACTCAGGAAGCTGAGGCATGAGAATCACTTGAACCTGGAAGGTAGAGGTTGTGTTACAGTGATCCAATACCACACTACTGCACTCCAGCCTGGGCAACAGAGCAAGACTCTGTCTAAAAAAAAAAAAAAAAGAAAAAGAAAGAAAAAAAGGGCCAGGTGTGGTGGCTCACATCTACAATCCCAGAACATTAGGAGGCCAAGGCGGGCAGATCACTTGAGACCAGGAGTTCAAAACCAGCCTGGGCAACAGGGAGAAATGCCATCTATACAAAAAATAAAAATTAGCTGGGCAGGATGACACACACCTGTGGTCCCGGCTACTCGGGAGGCTGAGGTGGGACGATTGCTTGAGCCCTGGAGACAAAGGTTTCAGTAAGCTGAGATGGTGCCACTGCACTCCAGCCTGGGCTACAGAAATTAAATACTCCATCTCAAGAAAAGCAGGGAATGAATTTGTTGCCCACAGACTTACCGTTCAAGAAATGTTAAAAGATGTTTTTCAGAGATAGAGAAAATGACGTAGATTAGAAACTTGGATCTAAATAAAGAAAGGAAGAATATTAAAGAAGGAATAAGTGAAAGTAAAATAAAAGGATGAGCTATGCAGCTATCAGTTTTATTTTATAAATCACCTAAATTCATAGAAATTCTGAGGGTAGAAGGAGATTTGCAGTATGAAGGAAGATCTTGACGTGATTTGTAAAAAGCAAAATCATAGATGAGGACATAAGAAAATAATATATTTAATTTTATGTGTCAATGTGACTAGGCTATGGTGACTAATATTTGATCAGTTGTTATTCTAGATGTTTCTGTAAAGGTGCTTTTGAGCTAAGATTAACATTTAATTCTGTAGATTCTGAGTAAAGGAAATGACCCTCCATCATGTGAATGGGCCTTATCAAATCAGTTGAAGGCCCTAATAGAATAAGACTGACCACTCTGGAAGAAGAAAGAATTCCGCTGGGAGACCACTCTTGAACTGACTCTGTAACACTTTCTTTGGTCTCTAGTCAGCTGGCCTACCCTGCAGATTTTAACCTTGACTCTGTGTGTGTGTGTGTGTGTGTGTGTTTGTGTGTACACATATATATACACACACACACAAAGCTGGCCTATCCTGCAGATTTTAACCTTGACTCTGTGTGTGCGTGTGTGTGTGTGTATATATATATATATATATATATATATATAAATATATATAGTGAAAGAGAAGGATCTATATATATACACATATAAATATCTGTGTGTGTGTATGGATGGATATATATATATATATATATATACACACACACACACATATATATATATATATCTCGATATATCCTGTTCATTTTTTTCTCAGGTGAATCTTAACTAATACACCAGGAAAACACTTTTGGCTCCATTTGCCATTATCTCTGTCTATGCTCCTCTAGTGCACATATCATTAGGTTAAGAAAATCAATTAGTATAAAAATTCCATAATTTGCCTATAAATACAAAAAGTAAAGAGTATATGGATATCAACTTTTAGCATCTCTGAATATTTTCTTTTAGACATACTTTTTTCCTCTTATTTAAAAAATGTTTTGTAGGTCCTTTTCCTATTTGGTCTCTAAATGCACACATTTTTAATTTCTCAGTTTCTTGTGTGTAATAAAGATTGGCTAAAATTTTCTCAGAGACAAAAACAAGTGCTCAAGTTTTAATTAAACTTAAAGTTTCTTCAACACAACTATCAGCATTTCCAGAAATACTGGTAATACAATTCTTTAGACATACTAACATGTATTAAAGATTTATTCAGTTAACATGAGTAATGACTTAATTTTTATAGCTGAATTTAAATTCCAACATCTGCAATCTTAAGTAAATTTATGATAATTTCAAAAATTTCCTTCACTTGCCTAACATATACTTCCACCTAGGTCTAGTAAGATAATCTTGGATTTTATGAGACAACATGAGATAGAATACGTTAATTTAATACCTCATTATTTATTTATTTATTTATTTGTTTATCCATTTATTTAACAAATATTTATTTAGCTAGCCAAACACAAGAAATCCAGTGGAAACTAAGAAAGCAAGATCACTGTCTTCAATTAGTTTATAGTGTAATAGGAAACACAGCCAAAAAGAATTGTTGAATAGGTGGTAACACATATGACAGGTAAATCCAGAGTACTGTAGGAGAAAATGAGAGTAGACTTCCAAAGTTTAGGACAGGAGTCAATGACAATCTACATGTCAAAATATAATTCTTATAGATAAGAAATAGGAGGCATAGAAGAAAAAGGTGAAACAGAAGCACTACCTTAAGAAAGTAGAATACGTATGCAGAGATTCAAAGATAATAAAAATCTTAAGTTCAGGTTTCTAAATAGTTCATTAAAAGTGAATAATATATAGAAGAGAATTGTGGTTTGTCTTAGTCTGTTTTGTATTGCATGAAAGAATACCTGAAACTGGATAACTTATTAAGAAAAGATGTCTAAATTTGGCCCATCGTTCTCCAGGCTCTGCAAGAAGCATGGCCCCAGCATCTGCTTCTGGTGAGGCCTCAGGAAGCATTCAGTTGTGGAGGAAGACAAAGGAGGAGCAGTTGCGCTATACAGCAAAAGAGGAGGAGGCAGGAAAAGGAGGAGGAGGTAGCCGGCTCTTTGTAACCAGCAGACCTCCCATAACTAATGGAGTGATAACTCACTCATTACTGCCAGAAAGGCAAGAAGGCATTCATGAGGGATCTGTACCTACAACGCAAAGTCCTCCCACTCCTTCTATTGTGGGCTACCTAAAAATGGAACATATTAACTTCCAAGATATTTGGGTGCACAGATATTAAAAATAAAATAAGCTGCCACACACTAATGGAAGATATAAATGTCTTCCATTAATATCTTAGGTTACAATATTCTTTATTTGTGGTTAAGGTTAAATATTCTCAGTCTTCTTGTTAAGAGGACCGAAGTTTAGCATAATAATTAGCACGTAGACTCTAAGACCAGATTGGGTTGTTACTTACCAGCTTTGGACAATTTGCATAAATGTTCTTAGCTTCAGTATCCTTTCAGTAAACAATAATGTTAATAATAGCTCCTATTTCATAAGTTTGTTGTGAGGATAAAAGTGTTATGAAGACATGACATCAATTTCTGATACATGCTAAGCACATTAAGGCCTTAATAAGTATAAATTATTTTTTATCTGTGCAAGAATATATGATTAAGAGACCTATGATCTTTTATTTTTTCACTGAGTTCTCAAATTTGTGTTTCCATTTTTCTTGGACAATAAAGGATTTATTTTACATGTATGCATACTAACCTGCTAGAATATAGCAAGAATATTTTTTCACAATAAAAACCACATAGATACATATAATTGACCCCTCCTATGATACCTCCATCCTAAACTAGAGCTTGTGAATATTTAACCTTAGATGGCAAAATAGACTTTGCAGATGTAATTAAATTAATTACCTTGAGATGGAGAGATAATACTGGATTATCTTAGTGAACTCAATGTAATCACTAGTTTCCATGAAAGTAACAAGGGAAGAAGAAGAGAATAGTGGGGCAATGTAAGAACGCAAATCACCATTGCCGACTGAAGGTGGAGCAAGGGGGTCACGGGCCGAAGAATGCAGGCACCCTCTAGAAGTGGGAAAAAGGGAGAAAATTGATTTTTCCCTAAAAAACACTGAGAACAAAATTTTCATTGGTGAATGATGCTCTAGCCAAAATGAGGGCCTATAAAGTCATTGGTTAGGGCAAAATATGAAAAGACCATCAATCTGGAACATATTCAGTACCAAATAATACAATCCATTCATTCTTTCCTCTTTTTTTCTTGTTTACATAAAACTAAAAGGATATCAAATTTAGTGAGTTGAAGAACTATGCTCACACATTTCCTTTTCATTGCATGGTCTATATCAGAAAAGAGATTGAGGCAAAAACCAATTTGAGAGGGTGGAAATGTTCATACAGAGCACGCATGTATGAAAATATTGAACGTAAAGCTTGATTTTTATTTTTACTTATGCCTGTTTTGTTTTTACAGATCAGTATTGGGATAAGAAAAATCAACTCAGTATAACTGTCAAAACCAAAGAGATTGAGTTGGAACAACTATTTGAAACTTAAATAAAAAAGTTACCATTTTGTAGTAAAAGAAAAAGCAACATATATTGTAGATCAATCTGTTTTATAAATCAGGGGTCTAATGTACCAAAATTAAATAACCAGAGAATAAATTTCTGGTGCTTTAAAAATTATACTCTCTTTTATATTTAAGAAACTAATGTTCAGCAAGCAAATAATTCAGGAGATATTTATCAAAACAACTCGGTTTAAGGTCTGGAGAAAGTGGTAGGAGTGATATTTAAGAAAGGAGAGTAAACACAAAACTAGCAGAACAGATGGCACTATCTAAATATCTGTCCCCCCAGATACGTTTCTGAGGATTATACTGAATCAGGGAGCACATCCAGTAGTGAAATTTATTTGAAATAGAACATTGAGCTAAATGAGCAGGGAGTTACCACTTCTTGAGTGTGCTATGAAAAAAAAGTGTAATTTGCCAACACAAATGATAAAAATGATCTATATCTATTTAATAGTTAATATCTTAATATGGTTCAGAGTTAATTCAATTAAAATCTACTAATATTCAGGGAAATGAAAATTAAAACCAAAATGAAAATTAAAATAAAATGGCTCCTACTAAAAAGTGAAAAAACGATAGGTGTTGGTGTGGATGTGCTGAAAAGATATTGCTTATATGTACTGGTGAGAATGTAAGTTAGTATGACCTCTATGGAAAACAGTATGGAGATTTTTCAAAGAACTAAAAGTAGATCTACCATTTGATCCAGCAATCCCACTACTGGGTTTCTACACAAAAGAAAGTAGGTCATTATATCAAAAAGACACCTGTATGCATATGTTACTGCAGCACAATTCACAGAACAATTCACAGTTCTAAAAATATGGAACCAACCTAAGTGCCCATCAACCAATCAGTGGATAAAGAAAATGTGGTATATATACACCAGAGAATACTACTTAGACATAAAAATGAACAAAGTAATGTCTTTCGCAGCAACTCGGATGGAACTGGAGACCATCATTCTAAATTAAATGACTCAGGAAAGGAAAAACCAAATACCGTGTTCTCTCTTATAAATGGGAGCTGAACTATGGGTACACAAAGGCTTACAGAATGGCATAATGGACATTAGAGACTCAGAAGGAGGGATGGTGGAAATGGACTGAGGGATGAAAAACTACATATTGGGTACAATGTACACTACTTGAGTGACAGATACACTAAAATGTCTGACTTCACCATTACACAATTCATTTATATACCCAAAAACCACAGGCAACCTTAAAGCTATTGAAATAAAAATAAACAAATAAAAATGAATGAACAAACAAAATATATGGAAACAATCTAAATGTCCATTGATAGATGAATGGATAAAGAAAATGTGTTATAAACATACAACAGAGTATTATTCAGACAAAAAAGGAAATTCTGCCATATGCAACAATGTGGATGAACCTGTAGGATATTATGGTAAGTGAAATGAGGCAGTCATGAACAAATACTACATGATTCTATGTATAGGAGTTATCTTAAATAGTCAAAATTATAGATGTGGAGAGTAGAATGGTGGTTTCCAGAGACTGGTGAAGAGGGAAAGATGAAGTTGTTGTTCAACAGTATAATGTTTGTTATGCAAGATGAATAAATTCTAGAAACCTGCTGTACAGCATAGTGCCTATAGTTAACAATTCTGTATTGTTCAGCGTATCTGGAAATGATTCTAACTAGCAACTCCCTAAATCTGACTTTTTGCCTTTGTAACGCGGTAATGAGAAAACTAACAAAAAAAAAAAAAAAGAAAAGAAAAGAAAAGAAAAGAAAAGAAAAGGAAGAAAGAACCCCAAACACAGTAATTTGTATACATGATATTTTCTTCATATCAAACTAAACATGATCATACCATTTGTTCAACCACTAACAGTGTACTAGAAAAAAAAGATAGAATTATTGAAGGAAAATTTTATAAGAATGACATTTTCAGAATTTGAGAAGAAAATAATATGACTAAGTCAAATAATACTGAGTCTTAAGAGTATCAACAGTGTAGGAATTAAGCAGAAGGTAAATTGTTTTTTTCAGAGGAGTAGCTTGACATATATATGACTGAGGAAAAATAAATTTTATAACTATGTCATAATGGACTGCTATGGGACATTCAAGACCACTCAATATGGATGACAACTTTACAATATAGTTTGCAGATTGTAATGAGTTCTAGGATGTTTCTTTACTTTGAAGTTGTCTAAGACTTTTCAAATAATTGACTAGAAAATGAGTTAGCAAAGCCTCTCATGTCTTCTGAGTACTGGAAATATTTATCTGGGACTCTTGGTGAGCTCATCATCTGGTTCCTGCTATAATTATTCAGGCCTGATATCTTTTTTTTTCCCCTCTCAATTAGCTATAGAGTAATACGATACTGCAGGGCTTTCACTATTTCTGTTCTCCCTTGTAATTGAAAGTTCGGCAGAAGTTTAAGGAAATATAGTCTCCAGGGAGCAGCAGGAGTTGTATTCATCACTATTTGGTTTTAGCTGGCTTAAAGGAATGAGATAGCATGAGATAATTATTCTGTTTTCAAGCTGTAATTTATAAAGGCCATGATAATAGTTTAAATTGGTTGCTGTTTTAGGTTAGTTTCAGTGGTTAATTTTCAAAGTTAAACCATAAAAAGATACACGTTAGCATTTCTTAACGATTTTAAATTTTTATTCCTATTATTGTTAAATATAATTTATTGTGCCTCTCATTTTATTCTGGTCCTATGCAGTATGGCTTAACTGAAAAGTTATTTAATACCTCTAACAATTCTATGAGATAAACAATATTATTATTATCATTTGGATTTACCCACTATTATTACCAAGGCGAAAAGGAGGCCAGGAGTTATTATAACTTGCTATGTGTGAAAAGCACTAAGTGGTAGAGCAAGTAATGAACCTGTCTCTGGCAAATAGGTCAAAATAAAAACAAAAACATCCTCTATTCTAAAGAAGGAGCAATGAAATAGGAACATAAATTAAAAATATCAGGACCAATTTGGCTTTACATTGATTTGTAAAAAATAACCTAGACAATTAAAAAAATACATATTCTTCCATTATTTGTATGTGATTTTTATCAGAAGCCTGAGATGAAAGAGCAACTTTCTTGTTTCTTCAGATAAAATGTATCATCTATAATCTCTTCCAAAGATTGTCTACAAAAATATTGGTGCAGTAGTTATAGCTGATTTAACATATTTACTTCTACTCTTTTGTAATTTTGAATGATTGTGGAAAAAGCCTCCAAAATATATCTCAAAGCTGACTTAGATGTTTATAAAAAGAAATGTGGGCAATATGCACACCGCATTCTGATGCCAGACTGACTGGGTTCAAATTACATCTTCATCGCTTCTATCTGTACCTTGGGCAAGATATTTGGCACTGCTAAAAGCCAGTTTCTACACTTGCAAAATGGGTAGACTGTTGTAGAACCTCAATGAGTATTACATGAGTTAAGAAGTGTAATGCACATTGAACAATGCATATCATACAGTAAGCCCTCAAGTATTAATGATTATTATCATATATGCCACAGAGAACAAGATACAATCTGGAGATTTGAAAATATAAAGGTACTCAAACAATGTGTCCAAAGCACAAGTTGACATTTTTATTCTTGATTGCAATAAACAATTATAGCAGGGAAACGTTTTACAGGAATGATGAATGAAGTGAGCAAAACCACATGGCAACCTAAGGACAATATTTAGCCCTAAGCAATTTTGCACTCAAATATAAAACATTTACTCAATCTAACATGTTTGTATCTTACATAGACATATAAAACACACATTTATGATGGATCAAAACAAAACTCCAAGAAGCAGATGTCCATCACTTTTGATCTGATTATAAAAAACCACCAGTAGAATCTTACAGCTCTTTTAGAAGTATATCTATATCCACTATCATTCAATAGGTTCTTAACTCAATTTATGTGAATGTTTTATGAAAATGAGTCTTTAAAAATACTGATTATTCCCTCTATGCTGACTATTTGATGAATTAATGTTGATGTATTAGTCTGTTTTCATGTTGCTAATAAAGACATTCTCAAGACTGGGCAATTTACAAAAGAAAGAGGTTTATTGGACTTACAGTTCCACGTGGCTGGGAAGGCCTCACAGTCATGGCAGAAGGTGAAAGACACATCTCACATGGCGGCAGACAAGAGAAGAGAGCTTGTGCAGGGAAACTGCCATTTTTAAAACTATCAGATCTCCTGAGACTTATTCACTATCATGATAGCAGCACAAGAAAGACCTGCTCCCATGAGTCAATTACCTCCCACTAGGTTTCTCCCATGACATATGGGAATTGTGGGAATTACAATTCAAGATGAGTTTTGGGTAGGGACACAGCCAAACCATATTAGTTGAATACTGATAATAAATTGTTAACTTCTAGGTTATAACCCATCCCAAATGTTGTTAAATACTTACGAGTGGTGCTGAGGCCCATGTAATTGCTTAATCAGATCTCAGAGGACCATTGAGACCTCCAATGAGATAGAAATTAACTGTATTTTATGTCTTAATATACAACGGTTTCTCCTTATTGTAAACATTTCAGGCAGATGTGATTTGTGACCATTAATTAGATAATTGAATATAAATTAGCCCCTTTTCTCCCAAGGGAAATGCTTAATTTTCAGATATTCAATAGCTGTTGGCCATTTGTTGCATTCCTGGTTTGAACTGAACTTCCCACTACTTAGCTGTGTTATCCTCTGCTGAAACAACTTTTACACAGGATAAAAAAAATCAACCAATCACAGTCCCACACAAAATTGCAAAACCTCAAAGGCTGGTGATAAAGGAAATAAAATCTCCAAAGTAGTTAAGATTTATAATATAAATTGTCACTTTCTAAAGAAGCTCCACAGATACTGTATTAAGTTTGTGTAAATTGGCTGTGGTAACAAATGGACCCCAGAATTTTAGTGACATAACATAATAGAACATTTCTGAAAGTGTGCACGTCACTGGGGGCTGTTTTACAAAATCTTGCTGGCATAGAGTTTGGCAGACCTTTTGCCATCTTTGGCATTGTTTTCCAGTGTCAGCCTAATCTTATTTACATAGTCAAACAAAAGAAGCCATCATCATTTTTCAAATGAAGGAAGAGAGAAGAGGAAGGGTAAACGTGTCTGGAAGATTATTATATTCCACTGTGGAAGTATCACCTACCACTTCTTCAAACACATGGACCAGAATTCACATTGCTCCACCTGCAATAGAGCCTTGGAAATATACTATGATTGTGCATCTTGGAAGAAAAGGAAGTCAATTTTGATGAAACACTAAAAATTATTGCCTGAGAATGTATTTATATAAATATTCTCATTTAAAGATTATTAAATAGCATATTAATGAAAAGAAGCAAATAAATTCAAGTAAAAGATTGAACAGAACTAAACATGATTATAGAAAGATAAACTCACTGTCATCACCTAGACTCACTTCAGCCTGGCAGAGTATGTGTGTTTTAATTGTCCCCATATGTCTAATCTTCCACTACTTTTCTTCTATGTCCAAGCTTCATTCAAAGTGTGAAAACTGATGAAGGGAATATACGTCCTGAATTTGCTGTAGATGCAATCACCTTAACTTTGAAATTGTTTACATACCAGGCATCAATTCAGCTTAAAATTCACCTTTATTCTCTGATCAGAATTCCCTAGATTTAAAAAACAAAAACAAAGATTTAATAAACATATAATCAGTAACATTGATCATACAGATTTTTGTGAAAATATACTGATATTGAATCTTCATACGAAAACATAGCCAGACCAGAGATCTATAGAAGTTGTCAGAAGACTGTTGAGGAAAAAATGACTTTTATTTTCAGTTATTTAAGAAGACCTTGATACAGGATAGGGGATAAAATTTGGATGTGTTCCTAGAAAAATATGAGGTTAATAACTGATGGTTGGGAGAAAAAGAACTTCATTCCTTGAAGTCAGAAGTTGGCAGCAATGCACACTGAGGGAGAGGATGCCAAGAAGCAGCCATTAGCAAGTGGCATTGTCATCACAGAGAGAAACGAGAGTGTAAGAGAGGGATGTGATTCTGAATGCATATATGAGAAACTCAAAATATAATGAATGTAATTAGAGAAAGGTAAATATAATGTTTTGCAGTGATAACCTTGAGAGAACTTCTGCCATTGAAATTTGCATCATAGGAAAAATTTCTTAAATATTATAACAGAAAAGGAAATTTAATAAGTAATTATAATTGCTATTTTACAAAACATTATTTCATGCAAGTAATATAGATGCTAAGACAGGTAGCAATACAAAAGTAATTTTTAAAATACATTGTAGTCATTTTAATTCATTATAAATTGATTTTCTACTTGATTAATCTTTGTGCCAAAGGTTTTTGTTTTGTTTTGTTTTTGTTTGTTTTGTTTGTTTTGTTTTTTTCCCAGAAGTAGGTGTTGTCAGCTGGTGGAAAAAAAAGGAAAAAAAAAGTAAGACAGGATATCTAGATTTTAAGATGCAAAGTGCAAAGGGACTCTGAGAAATTACATGGAAGTCTATGACGAAAGTAAATAAAACAATTTTGATGCTACACAATTCCTTAGAAGACCTGTAATAGGCAGTAAGAATTACCATTATTCTTTAGCGCATTATAAATGACACTGCCTAAGTATGTTAATAATGAACATTTCATCATAGTTGAAAATTTCACCTAGTTCTAGTATCATTAAATATGAGACTAAATGACCTAATAATTTTAATAATATCTTAGTTTTGCACAGGACTCTGCATTTTAGTTTGTACAGGGCTCTACAGATTATTTGATAAGTATAGCATATTGATTTTTATAATAACCTTGTATAATTACCAAGCTGGTATTAACATGATTAACAACAAATATATATAAAGAAAAGAGAGCCTATAAAATAACTCATTTAATGTTAAATACACATACACACACACAAACACACACA
The DNA here is from genome assembly GCF_000001405.40 of Homo sapiens. Classification (NCBI taxonomy): domain Eukaryota; kingdom Metazoa; phylum Chordata; class Mammalia; order Primates; family Hominidae; genus Homo; species Homo sapiens. The sequence continues at coordinate 66,053,620 of NC_000004.12, forward strand.
CACACACACACACAAGTGCACGCAAAATATATAAAAACAGAAAATAAAACAGTATTAGTGGCCAGAATAAAGGCTAAGACCAGCAAGAACAAATAAGCAAGGTTTCTGGTATAACGGTAGCTCTGTTTTCATTAAACAGTATTGAAGACATATTATAAGCTATATCTAAGTTAGACTTAGAGTTGTCTGAATCTTCTACAAAATCTGTAGTTCAAAACTGAGCTCCTTATCTAAGCTTTTTAGCTTGCTCCTCCTCTTGTATTTCCATATTAACACTGGTCCCATTCATTTACTGACCCCAAAATACTCATTTGTTTCTAGCTTTGTACACCATTCTATCAGCCTTAAAACTACGCAATTCTGCCTCTAAAGGGCTTCTCAAGGGGAATTGATTGCAATATTATTACAATAGGTAGGAAACAACGAACTAAAGCAATAGGAATAGTGAGGAAGTAATGGAACCAATATGTGTTCTTACTGGCCGCATCTCCATAATGAGAAAAGTGAGAAAAACAAGTATAGAAAAATGTCCAAAGTGCCCAAAAAAATGTAATACCAAAAATAACATGTAGAACCCAAACCAAGCTTATGTAAGAAATTAGGGACTCATACAGGAACCACTGACATGCAAAATGAGATTTCAACTGATTTATGCCTATGCCTATGAGAGGTAGAACTTGTAGGCAGAACTTGAGCTAGTTATCTGCTAGGTTGATATGTACATTCAATATCACCATGGGGTACCAGTAACCAATTTTTAATAAAACAAAAACAAAAAACCAAATGAAAATTTATTCTGCATGACTACAAAGAGGTAATACATAGAAGTGAGTAAAAACAGAAAGTTTAAAAATATAGTAACTGAGTTTCAAACTAAAATTCTAAAGCATATAGGAAAAATAAAATAATAAGCATTCATAGTGACAAAATATAATGGAACAATCTGAAAATGATTAAATAACAAGAATCAATATACAATTAATTTCTAGTTACATAACTTTTATTATTCCTATATACATTAATCACACTTCTTTGAACTAGTCAAATTTTGAAATATTGAAAAGGTTGTTGTATGCTCCTTTGGAGACATTGTTTTTGCTTGTCACATTTAGTATTCACTTCATTATACTGCTTAATATGTCTTAATTTTTTTTCCCCTTCAGTTCAAACTAGTAACTTTCCTTGATATCAACTACTCAAGGGTTAAGTATTCTACGTAATATGAAGACATTTATTACTAAATATGCAATTCATCTTTTTTGGATAAATCATTACAGTTCCTGCTGAATTCACTCACAGAAAATTACTTTTTAATGGCACCAAATGAAAATTGCAATCAGAGAAACAAACATGTTAAATTTCAATTGCAGCTTAGATTTGCAGTGTTATTCTGTAAGTTCCTTACATAACTGAGGGGATATGGAATAGTGGAAAATACAAAAATTTGAGCATTCAACAGACCTGATGTCAAATCTTAGTTCTATTACTTACTCATGTGACTTTGAGTGAATTGTTAAAGTTCTCTGCATTTCACTTATAATCGGTATCCTTATCCATAAGGTAGACATAGAAATTACATAGGATAGCATCCTTAGGGTGCTTGCTACATTAACCAACACTCCTCAGCTGCTTGATAAATAGTAGTGTTTATTGTGGTCATTTTATTGTCTTTGTAGTTATGATCTCATCTTATCACCTGCTGAAATACACATATAATTCCATCCTTGTTCCTTTTCAACATTAAATAAAACTTTTAACTTTAAAAACGTGTTTAGTAACCTGTATTGTTTTGAGCACTGACACAATGTAAAGAGGTCCCCAGGTAAAGAGAATGACTTTCTCAGAACTTAGTCCAGCACTGTTGTTTGAGAAAAATGAGTATGTGTGTGTTGATTTTCTAAATAATGTCGGGCTTTGGATTAAAATGCAGTGCTTACCGTGTTTTGTTCACATAGTAGTTTTATAAATGCTGGCTTACTCATTTATGAACTAGTTTGATATTTAAATATGCATTAGATCTATATCCATAAGAAGCCTATGAGGTAGGCACTGTACTTAATAGAAAAATATAGTACAGTAGAGATATAGTCATTGCCTTCATGGCATTTACAGTCCAGAAGGAAAACATGTGGGTTAGGGGCAATATCTTTCCAAGGATATGTTCAGTGTGATATAGGACTAAATTGGAAGTATATAAATCATGTTTTGCAATGTTTTGTGTTTTAAAATAATATTTTTGAGTTCACATTACATTATTTTAATGTACTTCAGTGTAATCCATAGTTAACATTTTAATATTCTCAAAATATTATTGCTATAGTACCAAGCAGGAAGAACCTTATTATCCTGGAAGTTGATACAGGTGAAAATTATTCAATAAATTTAGGGTATATTGATTAATGACTAACATAACATTGCTTGGATTGTACAAGTTTCTGGTGCATATTATTATTTCAGTTTGGCACAATGAATCCATTAGGCATGTCTCTGACATGAATTGTATATCATAATGTCACAGACAAATTTATAGTTTATATCTGCATAATGTTACAACTATTACAGCTTTAATTAGGTGCTTTATGATGAGTCATGACTTTTGTTTCCTATGTTAGAGAAAAAAAAAAACCCAGATATTTAGTCATTAAATTCCTGACAGAAGAAGACATCTAGTTGATTTCATGTCTTTGTAGCTAGATCAATATAACTCATCCTGAAATTCTGATAGCCTTTTTATCTTAGTCAGTTCAGGTTGCTATAACAAAAATATCATAGGTTAGGTGGCTTAAACAACAGAAATCCATTTTTCACAGTTCTGGAAGCTGGGAAGCCTGAGATCAAGGTGCCAACTGATTTGGTTTCTGTAAGGGTCCTTTTCCTGTTTATGTTTTCATAGGGCAAAGAGCGAGAGAGAGGGAGGGAAAGGGAGACACAACACACAAACACACACACACACACACACACACACACACACACACACACACACACACACAGATCCTATCTTGTATCTATCTCATAAGGACACTAATTCTATTGAGGGCTTCACTCTCATGACCTAACTACCTCCCAAAGGCCCAACCTCCAAATGCCATCATGTTGGGGAGCAGGGCTTAAACATATACATTTTAATGGGTTTAAAAACATCCTGTCCATAGAAGTCCATCCCTGGACCCCCAAAATGTATGTACTTCTCACATGGAAAACAAGTTGATTCCATCCCAAGAGCTCCAAAGTGTTAACTTGTTCCAGGGCAAACTCGCATGTCTGAAGTCCACAATCTCACTTAAATATCATCTAAATCAAATATGGGTGAGACTTGAGGTACAATTCATCTTGAGGCAAGATTCCTCTCCAGGTGTCAATCTGTGAAACCAAACAAGTTATGTACCTTCAAAATGCAATTATGAGACAGATACAGGGTAGACATTCCCATTACAAAAGGAAAATAAGAAAGAAGGGGTGACGTGTTGTAATCTCAAAACCTAGCAAGCAAAATACCATCATATTTTTAGGCTCAAGAATAATCCACTTTGAACTGATGCTATACCTTCCAGGCCCACTGGGGCAGCAGTTCCACCCCTAGGACTCAGTGGAATGGTGGTCCCACTCGCCCCACCCCCACAACTCCAGCCTTTGGAACAAAGGTGATGTCCCTGTTCATGTGACTCTGCTGGCAGCAGTCCCTCCTTTTGAAACCGAAGTGGAGGCAGCCCTGTCCTCCAGTACCATAAAAGCTGAGCCCATGGTGGAAGTTGCATCCCTGAAGACCCATGAATTGCCTGTGGGGTTATTCTTCTCTTGTCTTGAAGAACAGCACAGTTTTGTAGCCAAATAGCTCTATAGTTTCATCCTGTAGAGTCTATGAAGTCTGACAACCTTCTTTCATTTTATCCCATTTTATTTATCTCCTTTATTCCAAACTGGGAGTGTTTTTTTTGGGGGGGGGTGAATGATGAGGTTCATGGTTCACACACATAATAATAATCTCCATATCAAAGGGTTGTTTGACCACACCCTTTGTATTCTCTGTATCATGGATAGGCTGGAAATTTTTCAAATCTTTATGTTTAGGTTCCTTTTTGTTTAACAATTTCTTCTTCAATTGATTTCTGTCTTCTTGCATTTTATCATAAGCAATCAAGAAGAACCACAATGCTCTTTTAATATTTTGCTTAGAAATCTCCTCAGCTGATTATCTAATTTCATTGTGCACAAGCTCTACCTTCCACAAATCACTTGAACACAAATGCAATTCAGCAAAGTTGTTTGCCACTTTATAAGAATCATCTTCTTCTCATCCAGTTTCCAATAACATGTTCCTCATCTCCTTCTAAGACATCATCCAACTGGCCTTTAGGTCCATACTTCTACCAACATTCCATTCATGATTCCATGTATGTATCCTCTGAAAAGAGGGAATATTTCCCAACACCTCTCCTTTTTGCTTTCTGAGTCCTCATCAGAGTCAACTTTAGCAATCCTTTCAAAGCAATATTGGCTTTTTATAGCACATACCTCAAAACTTCTACCCTCTTCCCATTACCCAATTCCAGAGGTGCTCCTCATTTTTAGGTATTTGTTTCAGCAGCACTTGACTTCTCGGTACCAGTTTCTGTCTGAGTCTTTTGTGGTTGCTATAACAAAAAAATATCATGGACTGGGTGGCTTAAACAACAGAAATCTATACCTTACAATATGGAGAATGGGAGGTCCAAGATCAAGGTGACAGCCAATTCACTTTCTGTCAAGTCTCCTTTTCATGATTATGTCCTCACATGATGGAGAGATGTCATGTCTCTTGTGTGAAGGCTTCTCTGTCATGACAAAATACCTCCCAAAGTTTCACCTCCAAATACTAGCACTTTGGGGATTAGGGCTTTATTATATGAATTTTGTAAGGACACATACATTCAGTCAACTTCTCTAGGTTGGCATGGAGTTAGGAAAACCTACTCAGAATACAAAATAGTTCTAGGAGATGAGAATACTTCATAGAACTTTAAAAAGAAAAGCTTCTAGAACTTCTTCTAAAGCATAAGTTTTCTTGAATGTATCTCATAAGTGATCCAAGAAAATCAGGTAGTATAAATTGAATATGGTAAATTATAGTTGGCCTGAATTGAGGAGTTTGAAAAGGCGGTGGTTGAAATGTGAGTCTAAAGGTAATGTATCCACATTGTTTGGACTTTGAATCTTAAATATTTTTTCTATGTTTTCTTCAAAAGCCAACAATAACAACAACAAAAAAAAATAGGAAGAATAATTATTTATGGCTCAAGGTGCTCAGATATAGCACTTTCTAGACTAATATAGCACATAAAAATGGCCAAATTCCTGGATATTTAATGTATATACCCTTATCATATCTCCATTTATTTAAGTACACAAGAAATGGCTCAAGATTTTTATGAGATTTATATGTGTAAATGTAGAAAATACAAACAAAAATGTAAATAGTGACAAAAACAAATTTTTTTCTCTGCCAGTTCTAAGTGGGAAAACAAAAAAACAAAAAGCCTTGAAATACCACTTGGATAGATTTCTGCAACTGTATTGCTATTCTTAACATGTTCCAGCTCCATCACAATCAATCCATTCTTGGTTGACTCCTCATTCTTTTAGCAATTAACACAATTTATCAGGTTATGAATATGCAACAAAAATAACCCTTGACAGATTTTTCTTCATCCTGGTTATGAAACCAGGCTTCATTTTTCCATATGGCATTCCAACTGCTGGCACAATTGTTTTATTTCACTTGGCATTGACTGCCCTATTACTGTCTTCCATTGCCTTTTCTTATCAGTGTGTGTCCAAATTAGCCATTTCTGCCACTTAAAGTGAAATTATTCAATCATTACATTTAAGAAACGACAAGAACTTTTGAGCAATTGGGTGAATTTTAAGCAAAAAGTTGAAATTAGATGTGGGCTGCATGACAATTCAATTGACATGAACACAGTATGAAAGTATCAATCTGGCTTTTAATGCATAAAATGCATAAACTTTTTTATTGTACAGATTCCATCTTGTATCATTGACATAAATAGTAAAGTTAAATGTAAAGAACAGAATAATTGCAAAAGGAGGTGTAAATCTGTTCTCTGTGGTGTTGAAAGCCAGCTCTCTAACCTTTGGCAAGCCGTAGAGCCCTTCTGTGTCTGAGTTTACTTACTGCACAATGAGCATGTAATGCCTGCTCTCTGCCTATTTATATTACAGGGATGAGAAGAAACTGAGTGAAGCAGGTGAAATGTTTCTGACTTCTTAGACATTCGGAACAATAAAAGCTGGGAATGCTGTAATTATTAGTTTGGCATCATTGAAATAATATCAGACCACTTTGGTGCCTTTCATTTTATTTGACAAATTGATTTTTTTTAAGTATCGCTTTTAGATAAATATAACTTTTAGCGAAATTTTAATCTCTTTGGAAGTTCACCTGTGCTAATTCCTTAAGTGTTTTAAAGTAAATGAGTTTTAGGGAATGTCTGGCTATCCTGAAGTGGACAAATTTTTAAAATTTTATTTTATTAAGGTTTAATACCATTTTAATAGTTTTGGTAAAAAATACAAAAGAATATCGTATAGACAATATTTGCAAATACTGGAGCAAATATTAATGTCCGAAAGCTCCATATACATGACAGAAATATTGGTACAATAGACAAACAAAAATAAGTTTAAGAAAGGATATTATGAAAGAAGACAGTATAATCTTAAAACTGGAATATCTCTAGTAAAATTACTATCTCTTGTAATACCGCTTTAAATAACAATAAAGCATACCCATGTTTGTGCATAAAAGGCTTTTTAGACATAGAATGGAATCTGCTCAATGAGCTCTGTAGCCTGTGAACAATTACAAGTATGCAAGAAGCTATGTCAGTCTACAGCAGCGCTTAACTAATATGAAATCTCATTGATAAACTACTCCTACAATCCACTGCCCCTTCCTTCTGCAATATTTCAGAATTCTGCTGTTACACGGTTATCTGACTTGATAGCTGCTAAACATCCATGTTATCACCGTATGCTGGGTAACACGCAATATTCAACACTTGCCATCCAATGATATAATGGGTCATACAGATTTTACATGTGTTCTCAAATGCCAGATTTTGTTTAGATTTAATGTTCCCTCCTGACCAGAGATTGAATTTGAAAGAGAGAAAATAGGCTCATACTTGAAAACCAAAACTTGACAGCTTTGTCTCCCTAAGAAATGTGCCTGTTCTGAAGTTCTTACTTCCTTTTTTTATTGCCTTCTTACCTGACTGGATAAAAAGTGCCTGGGAAGCAGGAAGCAGGTAAGAATGTGAGAGATTCACAGTATGTGCGTATTCCCTGATTACACGCACTGAACATCTACAGTTTCTTAGAATCTAAACTGGAAGCATCACACCCTTATCCAATTTAATTGTTTCCTCCACATTCTCAAACCTAAAATCTCCACTAGCTGATTTTTTTTTTTTTTTTTTTTTTTTTTGAGATGGAGTTTCATGTCAACCAGGCTGGAGTGCTGGGGTGCAGTGGCCAGATTTCAGCTCACTGCAACCGGGTTCAAGCTATTCTCCTTTCTCAGCCTCCTGAGTAGCTGGTACTATGGCACGCACCACCATGCCTGGCTAATTTTTGTATTTTTAGTAGAGACAGGGATTTGCCACGTTGGTCAGGCTGGATTCGTAAATTGTGTCATTTCCTACAATTGCTTAGATGATAAAATATAGATAAAAGTAAATAAGAAGAAAATTTTAACAAGTTAACTATTTAGAGATGTATTGCTTGGGCAAATTCATGGGGCCTTTGTTTCCTCATCTGAAAATTTGAATATGACAAGTGTTTATCATGTTTAAGAATGAGAGTCTTCTCTTTTTAAAAATAATCTATCTTGTTAGAGTTTAGCTGTCAAATATTCAAGTGAAATTTAATAAGAAGAGAAAGAAAGAAGGAAAGGAAGAAAGGAAGGAAGAAACGAAAGAGGAAAAAAGACCTGCAATGATCTAATAAATCATGAGCATAACACCCTAATGTGTTTACAGTCTTAGAGCAATATACTGGACGTTGAACCATGTGGCTACTTGAGGATCGTGAGAATGAGGTATAAGGTATATATGACAGAAGGTGGCTGAGAGTTAATTAGAACAAACTTCAAGAATGTCCATGCCTCATCTTAAGTCATGAGTATAATTTGAAACTCAGCATAGTTCCAATAAAGAGAGAAAATACCCTATCATCTCAACAAAAACGTGGATTACATTACAACACGTTTTTTACCAAAGGGGACAATTTTTCATTACTTAACACTAAAGTGCTGAAACCATTAGTGTACCCTTTTAGACTTAAAATAAACATGTGTATTATGTGCCTATATCTCCCAATGGAGATCACAAATGGTGTCACATTGCACTGTGGATCCATTAGTAACATAATGGCATCCAACCACAGGATTTGCTAATGGTTTAAATTGGAAAGCAGATTTTTATTTTCTTCAGTTCAAAAGAGAGAGAGAGAGAGAAAAAGGAAAATAGTAAGAAATGAAAGGAAAGGAAGAAGAAAGAAAATCTTCCCCTCTTGTTCCTTTTACGTCCATAGTCAGCTTAAAATTTTGTTTCTGTTGAGTAATTCAGGATATGACACTTTAAGAAAAAATGAATGAATCAGAAGACCCAGTATTTTAAACCGTTGTCTAGCATATAAAATTTAATAAAGGTTAGAGCCCATGTAAAATCATTTAACAAAATGTTTTTTTCTGATTAGACAAAGGAGAACTGTAACATTTTAAAACTGGGGCATGTGACCTAATTTTGGATAGATGTCTCAGGACATGCAAAAGCCTGTTTTTATAAATCATGTACAGAAAAAGCTAATTGGCTTCTCAGTGACTTACAATATCATCCTTATAGCAAAATTGCTGTAATTACTAGAAGGAAAAGGGGAGGTGGAAACTTTATAGTAATGAAAGATATGAACAACTCTATTTCTAGAAAAAGGAAAAATAATTCTAGGGAAAGGTGTCAAGTATTAAAATAACATATAAAGAATTCTCTATTTTCTTACTGTGTTTTGAGAGGATATAAAAAATAAGAGATAGGACATGATTAAAATGTATTACACTGCAACTAAAGCATGGCTCTCTCTGACTGCTAATACGGCATGCAGGATACTTAAAAGGAAATTTGTCGGGGAGATTTCTGGCTCACAGGTATTGTTTTTTTAACATAGAAATCAGAATTTTTCTAAGAAACCTAGCTTCATTCTTGGTTACTGAATAGTGTCCTAAGGCCACCAAGCTCCATTAAACCCCTCTGTCTTGTTTTAAGAGCTCTGCTGAGAATAGTAATTCTGATCATTATTTTCTTAGGGAAATATAGGCATATGTTCACTCATTCTGCCATGTTGCACTTAAGTGATTAAAAATTCATGTTCCAAGTAAGAAGCTGTTAAGCAGCTAATTATTTATTCTGTTTACAAGATATGCCCCAACTGGTTAGGGAAAATGGATGCTAGGGGCTGAAGAAAGCATTAAATACATTTAGGGTGAGAAGGCCAACCTGCCTCCTGGTGGGTATATTACCAAGTGGTACAAATTGAAAGAGTGCCTTAAGCAAACAAACCACCCATTAAATAAATGGATTATTCATTTTAGGAAGACATGAAGTATCTTTTACCTCTTAATAATCACACACACAAAATCTACTTGAAATTCATTGTCAGAGAAACTCAATTCATTATATACCCAAAGCTAGCTTTTTGAATGGAAGAATATTTTTGAAATTAAAGGGATATCATAGTAATGTTAACAAAGAGAAAAAAGGTAGACTTAAAATATATTTTTTAAATCTCATATGAAAAGTATGCACACTAAACAAATGTCTAGAATGAAATTGGGAATCATCCCTAAAAATTGCTAATCAAATACATTTTTAGAAAGCCCTTAAAATTAGTAAGGTGGATATTATTGGGATACCTGACACAGGCAGTATGAAGAAATACATTTATATCCTGTGAAATTAATTCAGTAACAATGTCAATTGTCACATAGTACTTATGACTTGCATAAAGGATATACAGGCTATAGAAATGATAATAAAATGTGGTGTGAAGTACACATGAATATGATGTATAAAGTCACCACTGGGTTTTGAGAAGCCTATTCTAAAGAAAAAAGGGCCTGAATTGAAATATGAGCTGAAAAGGTGATCTCAGAATCCAGAAATACCTAAATGACCATTTCATGAACTTTCAATTTTCCAACTTCTGTTAGAATGCTGAATGTCTCTGGAGTAAGCTTTCTGCAGCTAAATTTTAGATATTTCTAAATGAATATATGAGTAAATGTTTATTGAGACTGTCAGGAGAATAGGTCATTCTCATTAATGAAATAAACCTAGTTAACAAACATCATATAATTTACAATTTCCAAAAAGTTTTATATAATAAAATATATGTACATAAACCATTATAATAAAAGACAATATGTTATATTTTTGGTAATTTAAAACATGTTTTCATATTAATATTATGGGTGTGTATTAGCATTGTACTACATTATTTTTTGCAATTAAATTAATAATACAGAATAGACTTTATTACCTATGGTTTTCTTTTAGATTCTACAATTTAAGGCTGCTACCTTTTGTTATTTTTGATGATGTAATAACCCATAGACTTTTATAATTAAAAAAAAAACTGATCCAGGTCTTATGACAACTCTCAATATTCCAGTCATTTTGTCACTTATAGGTTTGTTTATGATTTTTATTTCCCAACAATAACCAGGCTGATAGAACATAAAATGCAAATATATTATTTAAAATCATAATCACAAATCTTCTATGTATAAATGTTTTGCTTCTTGCATCATCTTGTTCCATTTATTTTTTCAGTGTTACAGCTCCATAGGGTCTCCATACGCTTTTTATACTTCGTGCTTACATGTTTACAACCTGCAAAGCATTTATTACAACTCATTGAATGTTCACCTTTCATTAATGTATATTTTAACCTGCCATTAAATTCTACTTGCCTGCAAAACAAATACCATTGCTTAAGTGATTAAATGAGAGGTATAACAAATAAAAATATCAAACTAATATTTTCATTTTTATGGAGCTTAATGCTATACTAATTTCTCCCTTAATCACCTAGAATAGTAGTTGAAAAAATACAGCCTCAAGGCCAAATACAGCCACTATCTGTTTTTGTAAATTCAGTACAGTTTTATTGAAACATTGTTATACATGGGTCTCAACCAAAATGGTGAAAAATAACCTCCAGGCCTAATGCCTGGTAGTGCGTAACAATGTACTTATTGGGGGCTTATGAATGGCCAGGTATGACAGTCGCTGATGTACTTTGATCATTTTAGACAAACTTTTAAATTATTATCTCAGCGTTTGCTATAGGGATATTAATATACATCTTAGCATCATATTCTACATAGAAAATCTGTGCTTTGTTCAATTATTTTATATTTATATCTACATCTACATTTACATCCATATCCATATCTACAGCTAATTTCTACATTAGTATGTCCTAAAACACACAGCCCTGGAATGTGTAGGTAATGGAGAAGCAGCAGAATGTGCCTGAAGCTAGTCTTTAAAAAATTCTCCCAAATTTAGATATTCAAAATTATAAATAAAAACTTGCTTCTTACAATTGCTTAGTAAAAATGGAAGTTCTCTTCTGCTAGAAAGATATTTGATTACGCAGTCCCCATAACTCATGACCCCAAATTTAACAATATAACTTTCTCAACTTTTAAAGGATAAGAGTTTTCTGTTGGTCTTAGGAACCAAAAACATTGGTGCAACTCCAAATAAAAGTGATAAATGTATTTTCTTCCCTTACTATAACTTCCCTAGTCCTTCTAATTACTCCAATAGTTATTACCTCTACTAATATTTATAAAGGCAGCTTAAACCCTATATACCCCTTATATATACAATAATAAATGCTCAGTACACCATTTTACAGTAATAAAAATGATGAAATAATGCTAAAGATGATCTCTTCTCATATTACAAAATGTTTCATTTACAATTAAAAATTGTACATTACAAAATGCAAACTTTAAATTTTATAATTACAAAATTATTGTCAAATAAAGAGGTGATCAAAGAACCCAAATCAAAATATAGAATGAAGTTGTTATACAAATGTGTCAAGGAGTTAAGAACAGCGATTTTTTTCCAATTTAGAGCTGCTGGTTGCACTGGCAGATTTTTGAAAGAAAGGGAAGCCACCTCTGTGAGACTAGCAGAGTAGAGACATATCAGCATGATGAGAATACCTATTCCTCTGTGCTATCATGCAAAACAATATTTCTCTAACTTTGATTCCAAAATTGAACAAGTGTGCATTCATTGTTCTGGTTGAACCTTTTCCCTTTGGTTTTATTTAAATTACAAATTTACCTGTTATAAATGAAAGAAAAAGATCATCGATAATTTGATATGAATTACATTATCATGTCATTGGTTTTATTTATTCATTTATTTATATTTGTTTCTTATGATTTGTTTCAAATAATAGGGTAATATGAAATTAACAGGGAAAAAAATGGTTAGGAAATAGTAAATATAAAAATAATGGGTAGAGTGGAGGTATTAAAGAAATATTATTACCTACTATATTTTTGCCTAAATTGATTTTTTGACTTTAGAATTCTATAACATCTTGACAATGCTTTAAATTTGTAACCTAACTACAAAATATTTGCTTATTCTATTCAAAATTATAGTATATCTCATATATTCCAGTAGTAACTTCTAAGGAATTTAAATTAACATTAGTATAAATTCCAGTGAGTTTAATAAGTTCTCACTTTTACAAATGAAGAATTTTAGGCAAATAAATATTTTATTCAGATTCTTACAGCAAGTTGAGGACAGAGCAAGAATAGAGTTGATATCTCTCAGTACTGGTGCTTGGGCTGCAAAATTTGTGCCCGGGGAAAGGTCTTGAACTATTACATTTGTCTTAGGCTTAACCTCAGTTATATCACACCTTGCCATTTTCTTCCTCTTACTAAACTGGCACAAATCTTCCTCTAAAAGTTTCTCATGCCAATTATTTACAACATGATAATAGTAGCAAAAGGTTTAGATTATTTTCTTTAGACTTATTTTTAACTTTACAAATGTAGAAACAGTAATATAGATGAAAAGTTGATGAGGGTTATTACTTTGGACATAAACTTTTTTAGGGAGAAAACTGCAGAGTATCTAAGCTCTCTGGAGACATAATAAAAATAGACTAAATGACACTTTCGTATTTTCTCAGACTCTCCAAGTCTCCTTGGGAGAACACTTTGTCCTTTTTAAAAACTCATATTTTTACTTCACAGTCTCCAATTATTAAAGGAGAAATTGTGCTTACTAGGTGAAACTAAAACATAGAAACATTAAAGTTGAAATCTGCAACATTGGTTGAAGAGTAATTGCATACACACACATTTATATCTGTTTCTGTACAGCAGTGTATTAAGGTGTTGAGTACATTAATACGTTATAAAAACAGACTAGTAATCAAGTTATTTTAAGGAGTTGAATGCTAAGTGCAATAAATGTACTGCATAAAATTAATTATTTGGCATTCATTTCAAAGTAAAACTATGTAAGATATTCTTGATTTTCAAAATATTCTGCTTGGGAGACTTTATATTTACCTAAACAACTTTGTCCCTCTCAAAAAGTGTTTTAAAGTTACTACGATGTATTTTTTTTTTCATTTCAGAAATTATGACACATTCTTTTGAACATCATTAGTAATAGAAAGTATACATTTATCTATAATGAGTTAGTTTTGAAAACATTATTGAGAGTCAACTTTAATAAATGTATGACTATTGAACAGCCTAATATTAGTTTGGCACTGAAATGCAGAGCGTTTTTTTAAGACTCTGAAAGCAATTTATTGAAGAATCCCTTCCCAATACCAAAATTAGATACATTAAGCAAGCACATTATTATTAAAATGGGTCTGTAACTTTGGAAAGTTGCTACTTTGTAGCAAGATTCTAATGTAAAGTTTAGCTGGGAAATAACAGGCAGATTTGTACAATAATTCTAATGGCTCTATCATGGGTTTCTTTGTGCCAGTAGATCTTGTTCATGCTGTTCACTGTATATGTTTATATTCATACTGTATTCTTAACATGTTTACTTTTCATTTCAGCACTTATTAGGAAAAATAGAAACAAAAATTTGAATGTCTCCTCTACAGCTTTATAGTATACTCATTAGATTTTAAGTGTCTCAAAATAGAGGGAAAATTTAAACCAAATCAAGGCCAAAATAGAAATGAATTAAATTAATTAATTAAAAAATACTACAAATATTCTTTTTCAATAAGTCCTTTGTTAGTATTAATTAGTCAAAATTTTAAATATATTAGCTATAAAATAACAAAATTATGTACATATAGTAGAATAACAGAATAATAAATTAATTTAAAGCTAATTTATATGTACTGTATATAACAAAAATTAACTCTAGTAAGTTCCTTTGACAATAGTTAAATTAACTGCAGGACTACCAATAGCAACATGTCAGTGATATATGCCAGGTATTCAGATGATTTTTACCTAACGGATAAGATGCTAGATCTAGATTTCAGCTCTTCTCTTGTTTTTTTGTTTGTTTGTTTGTTTGTTTACAAATCAATGTAATGGAGGCCTCTGGGAATATCTGCAGTTTCTTTTGCCTGCAGATGTCTGCCGCCTCTGATATGTTGTTAATTAATCTCTAGCTAGAGAATATTGTTTCAGTGGTGAGTTAAAAGTTTTAAGTCAGAGAAACAATTTTCATATTAAAGTGATATAGTGAAAAGTAATGGCAATTACTGAAAGTTTTGCAAATTTCAAAACTGGTGAAAATTCCAAGAAATTAATAATTTGAGTGAACTGGCTCAATTTTCTCTCCTTTAAGGAGACTTTCTGGAATACAGATGAGAAATTTTGTGCATGCAAGCATAGTTGTGTTTATATATATGTGTATGCATTTTGTTTCCTCTTATAGACATTATTTAAGTGCTAGCTTATTGGCACTTGACACTCATGCTCTAAATATGTTACTGTAAATGAGAGGTGAATGGTTTTAATGGTCCAGTAAATCTCATAGGTCCTGATATAGCAAAGAAAACTTTGCAGTTAAAGCAAATACTTCTGACTGAAATGGCAGATAGAAGCTTTCTACCATCATTCCTCATAGAAGCACTGACTTTAGCAACTTTCCATGTACAAGAACACCTTTGTGTGAGTCTTGGAGTCCAGCAGGGACGTTCTAGCATGCGCTATTGGAAGAGTATTAGGGTGTTAATTGGTAACATAAAACACATGAAAGTATAAAATTCCCTGGCAAATGGATACTTAGTATACATTTCAGAATAATACTGTAATGGCGGCATGTAAATCACATATAACTAGCATGAAGGTTAAAAACTAAAAGTATTAAAAATAACTATAACTACAATAATTGGTTAACGGATATACAATATAAGAAGATGTAAACTGTAACATCAAAACATTAAATAGGGCGAGGAGTAAAAGCTGGAGTATTTGTATGCAATCAAAGTTAAGTTGCTATCTGCTTTAAAAAGAGAATAATGATTACAACATGTTTTGCATAAGACTCATGATAACCACAAAGAAAAAACTAACATTAGGTACACAAAAATAAATGAGAAAGGAATCATAGCATACCACTACAAAAAATAATCAAATCAAACCAAAAGAAGAAAACAAGAGAGGAAGAAAGCAACAAAGGATCTACAAAATAGCCAGGAAACAATTCACAAAATGACAATAGTAAGTTCTTACCTATCAGTAATTACCTGAATGTACATGGATTAAATTCTCTAGTGAAAAGACATACAAGAGCAGAATGAATTAAATAAAAATGCTCAACTATATTCTGCCTACAAGAGATTCACTTCACCACTTAACCAAACAAATAGACTCTAAGTGAAAGGATGCAAAAAGATATTTGATGCAAATGGGAAACAAAATAGAGTGGGGGTAGTTATACTTCTATCAGACAATCTAGACTTTAAGCAAAAAACTGTATAAAGAGACAAAGAAGGTTATTTTTTAAACTTTTATTTTAGGTTTAATAGTACATGTGCAGGTTTGTTGTATAGATAGCTTGTATGTCAGGAATTTGGTGTACGGATTATTTTGTCACCCAGGTAATAAGCATAGTACCTGATAGGTAGTTTTTTGATTCTCACCCTCTTCTGACCTTCAACCCTCAAGTAGGCTCCAGTGTCTCTTGCTTTTTTCTTTGTGTCTATGTGTACTCAATATTTCACTCCCACTTATAAATGAGAATATGCAGTGTTTGGCTTTGTGTTCCTGTGTTAGTTCTCTTAGGATAATGGCTTCCAGCTTTATCTATGTTGCTACAAAGGACATGATCTTGTTCTTTTTATGGCTGAATAGTATTCCATGCTACATACATATACCACAATTTTTTTTATCCAGTCCAATGTTCATGAACATTGAGGTTGATTCCATGTTTTTGTTACTGTAAATAGTGCTACAATAAACATACGCATGCATGTGTCTTTATGGTAGAACAATTTATATTCCTTTGGGTATATACCCAACAATGAGATTGGTGGGTCAAATGGTAGTTCTTTGAGAAATGTCAAACTGCTTTCCACAGTGGCTGAAATAATTAAGTTCATAAGGTAGGGTATAAGCATTATCTTTGCTCCATAGCCTTGCCAGCATCTGTTGTTTTTTTGACTTCTAAATTATAGCCATTCTGACTGGTGTAAAATGGCATCTTATTGTGGTTTTGGTTTATATTTCTCTGATGATTAGTGATATAGAACATATTCTCCTGTGCTTGTTGGCTACAGGTATGTCTTCTTTTGAAAAGTGTCTGTTCATGTATTTTGCTCATGTTTTAATGGAGTTGTTTTGTTTGTAAATTTAAGTTTCTTATAGATGTTGGATATTAGATTGTTGTTGGATGCAAAGTTTGCAAATATATTTTTTCCCATTTTGTAGATTGTCTGTTTACTCTGTTAATAGTTTATTTGTGTCAAAACTCTTTAGTTTAATTAGGTCCTATTTTTCAATGTTTCTTTTTGTTGCAATTGCACTTTTGGCATGCTTGTAATAAAATTTTTGTCAGAGCCTATGTTCAGAATATTATTTCTTAAGTTATATTCCAGGGTTTTTATACTTGGAGGTTTTACATTTAAGTCTTTAATCCATCTTGAATTAGCTTTTGTATATGGTGTAAGGAAGGGGTCTCATTACAGTCTTCTGCATATGGCTATCCAGTGATCCTAGTACCATTTATTGAATAGGAAGTCCTTTCCACACTGCTTGTATCTGTCAACTTTTTTGAAAATCAGTCAGTTGTCAGTGTGTAGCTTTATTTCTGGGCTCTCTGTTCTGTTCCAGTGGTCTATGTGTCTGTTTTCATACCAGCACAATGCTGTTTTTGCTACTATAACCTTACAGTATAGTCTGAAGCTGGGTAGTGTGATGCTGGTGGCTTTGTTCATTTTGCTTAGGATTGCCTTGGCTATTTGAGATCTTTTATGTTCCAGATTTATTTATTTATTTATTTATTTATTTATTTTGAGATGAAGTCTTTCTCTGTTGCCCAGGCTGGAGTGCAGTAGTGCGATCTCGGTTAACTGCAACCTCCTCCTCATGGATTCAAGTGATTCTTCTGCCTCAGCTTCCTGAGTAGCTGGGACTAAGGCATGCGCCACCACACCCGGCTAATTTTTGTATTTTTAGTAGAGACAGAGTTTCACCGTGTTAGGCAGGCTGGTCTCAAACTCCCGACCTCGTGCTCTGCCCACCTCAGTGCTGGGATTACAGGCCCGAGCCACCATGCCTGGTGGTTCCAGGTAAATTTTAAGATAACTTTTCCTAATTCTGTGAAGAACATCATTAGTTGAACGATAGGAATAGAACTGAACATACAAATTGCTTTGAGCAGTATGGCTATTTTAATAATATTGATTCTTTTTAGCCATGATCATGGACTGTTTCTCCATTTGTTTGTGTCATCTCTGATTTCTTTGATCAATCTTTTATAATTCTAATTGTAGAGATCTTTCACCTCCTTGGTTAGCTGTATTCCCAACTATTTTATTTTCCTTGTACTATTGTGAATGAGATTGTGTTATTGATTTGGCTCTCAGCTTGAATGTTGTTGGTGTAATAAAAATGCTACTAATTTTTTACACTGATTTTATATCCCGAAACTCTGCTGAAGTTGTGTTTCAGATCTAGTAGCTTTTGGGAAGACAGTATGGGGTGTTCTAGGTATACATTCATATTATTGCAAACAGAGATAGTTTGACTTCCTCTCCTCCTATGTAGATGCCGTTTTTTGTTTGTTTGTTTGTTTTGTTTCTATTGCCTGATTTATCTAAGACTTCCTGTACTATGTTGAAGAGGAGTGGTGAGTTGACATCATTGTTTTGTTCTGGTTCTTAAGGGGAATGCTTCCAGCGTTTTCCATTCAGTAAGATGTTGGCAGTGGTTTTGTCATAGATTCCTTTCATTATGTTGAGGTATGTTCCTTCAATGTCTTGTTTGTTGAGGGTTTTTAGTGTGAAAGATATTGAATTTCATCATAAGTCTTTTCTGTATCTATTGAGGTGATCATATGATTTTTATTTTTTGTTCTGTTTATGTGATGAATTATGTTTATTGATCTGCATATGTAGAATCAATCTTACATCCCAGGGATAAATGCTACTCGATTGTGGTGAATTAGCTTTTTGACGTGCTACTGTATTCAGTTTGCTAGTATTTTGCTGAATATTTTTACACCAATGTTCATCAATAATATTGGCCTGAAGTTTTTTGTTGTTCTTGTTCTGTCTCTGCCAGGTTTTGGTATCAGGATAATGCTTACCTTATAGAATGGGTTAGGTAGGAGTCACTCCTCCTCATTTTTTTTTTTGGAATAGTTTTAGTAGGAATGGTACCAGCTCTTTCTTATACACCTGGTAGAATTTTGGTGTGAATACAGTGGGTCCTGGGTTTTTTCTGGTTGGTAGGCTTTTACTTTTAATTTCTGATTCAATTTCACAACTCGTTAGTGATCTATTCAGCTATTTAATCTCTTCCTCATTCAATCTTGGGAGGTTGTATGATTTCAGGAATTTATCTATTTATTCTAGGTTTTTTTTTATTGTTTTCATATATGTGAGCATAATAGTCTCTGAGGGAATTTTCGTAGGTTCAGTGATAACATTCCCTATTTTATTTCTGATTATGTTTATTTTTATCTACTCATTTTCTTTATTTGTATAACTAGTGGTATACCAATTTTATTTATTCTTTCAAGTAACCAACACTTGGATTCATTAATCTTTTGCATAATTTTTCTATTTCTATTTTCTTCATTTCAGTTCTAATTTTGGTTATTTCTGGTCTTCTGCTAGCTTTGGTATTGGTTTGATCTTATTTTTCTTGTTCTTCTAGGTGTAATGTTAGTTTGTTAATATGAACTCTTTCTAAATTTTGATGTGAGCATCTAACACTATAAATTTCCCTCTTAAATATGCTTCGGCTATGTCCCAAGATTCTGGTATGTTGTACTTTTTCTCATTGGTTTAAAATAATTTCTTGATTTCTGCCTTAATTTCATTATTTATCCAAAATCATTCAGAAGCAGGTTGTTTAATTTCCATGTAATTGTATAATGTAGAGCACCTTCCTTAGTACTGATTTCTACTTTATTTTGCTGTGGTCTGAGAGAGTTGTTGGTATGATTTTAGGGTTTTTGATTTTGCTGATTTTTTTGGTTCACAATTATGTGATCCATTTTAGATTATGCGCATATAAGAATAATATATATTCTGTGATTTTTGGTGGAGAGTTCTGTAGATGTGTTAGGTCTGTTTGACCAAGTGTCAAGTTCTGGTTCCCAATATCTTTGTAAGTTTCCTGCTTTGATGATCTGTCTACTACTGTCGGTGGGGTGTGTTGAAGTCTCCTACTATTATTGTGTGGTTATTTAACTTTTTTCATAGGTCTCTAAGAATTACTTTATGAATCTGGGTCCTCCTGTGCTGGGTGCATATATATTTAGGATAATTAGTTCTTCTTGTTGAATTGAACTCTCTACCACTATGTAATGCCCTTCTTTGTCTTCTTTATCTTGTTGGTTTAAAGTCTGCTTTGTCTGAAATTAGAAGAGTGATGCCTGCTTTCTTCTCTTTTCTCTTTGATTGGTAGAATTTTCTCCATCCATTTACTTTGAGTTGATGGGTATCTTTGCATGTCAAATCAGTTTTTTGAAGACAGCATACACTTGGATCTTCCTTCTTTATTTAACTTGCCACTCTGTGCCTTTTAAGTGGAGCATTCAGCCTGTTTACATTCAAGATTAATATTGATATGGGCAGACTTGATCCTGTCATTATGTCGGTTAGCTGGTTATTATGCAGATTTAATTGTGTGGTTGCTTTATATTGTCAGTGGTCTATGTACTTAAGTGTATATTTGTGGTGGCTGGTAATGGTATTTCCTTTCCACATTTAGCACTCCCTTAATACCTTTTATAAGTCAGGTCTGGTGGTAGCAAAATCCCCTAGCATTTGTTTGTCTGAAAGTGTTCTTATTTCTCCTTTGCATATAAAGCTTAGTTTGACTGTATATGAAATTCTTGATTGGAACTTCTTTTCTTCATGAATGCTAAATATAAACCCCTAATCTCTTCCGGCTTATAAGGTTTCTGCTGAAAGTTCCAATGTTAGCCTGATGGCATTTCGTTTATAGATGACCTGCCCCTTCTTTCTAGCTGACTTTAACATTTTTTATTTCATTTCGACCTTTGAGAATCTGGTGACTATGTGTCTAGTAGATGGTCATCTTGCATAGCATCTCACAGAAGTTTTCTACATTTCCTGAATTTGAATGTTGACCTCTCTACTGAGGTTGTAAAAATTTTCATGGACGATACCTTCAAATATGTTTTCCAAGTTGCTTACACTCTCCCCATCTCTTTCAGGAACACTAATGAGTCGTAAATTTGGTCTTTTTACTTAATCCCATATTTCTTGGGCATTTTATTTGTCTTTTTTCTTTATGTTTGTCTGATTAAGTTATTTTGGGTAACTTATGTTCAAGTTCTGAGATTCTTTCCTCAGCTTGGTCAATTCTGCTGTTAATACTTGAAATTGTATTAGGAAATTCTTGGAGTTTTTCAGCTCTTATCAGATCACATTGGTTCTTTCTTAAAATGGTCATTTTGTCTTTTATCTCCCTTACTGTTTAATTGTATTCCTTAAATTTTTTGATTAGATTTCAAGTTTTTCGTGATTCTCAATGATTTTTATTCTAATCCATATGCTGAGCTATATTTCTGTCATTTCATCATTTTCAGCCTGTTAAAAACATTGCTGGGGAACTAGTGCACTTATTTGGAGGTAAGAATTCATTCTGGCTTTGTGAGTTGGAAGAATTATTTCATGGGCTCTTTCTCATCTGTTTGGGCTGATGTTCCTTCAGTCTTTTAGGTTGCTGTCATTTAATTAGGATTTTTGCTTTTATCTTTCTTGATGTCCTTGGGGGATTGATCGTGATATAGGGTGTATTCATTTGGCTGGCTTTGTTTCTGGATAATTTTAGGGGGAAAATATCAGCTCAGTAATCCTGGACTTTAACTCTAACAGGCCTGGGACAAGGCCCAGAATTTTGCTATCTGGCCCCTTGACTTTAGAAACTTGATGCACTAGAGGGGCTAAGGTGTTCTCATTCTACTAATAGCTCCAACACTCTGATGGGTAGGGCCAACCAAAGTGCTTCATCAGGGTGGTGGCAGAGGGATCTGTGCCCACTTGCATGTCCCTGCAGCCACAATGGGGTGCACACACATTGGCTTAGGTGGGGTACTGACAGGAGCATGGCTGTGGCATTCCTGCATGTGCTCACACCCTATCTACTTTATTAAATGACTGAGGACCTGTCTCTGTTATATGTATATCTCCATTAACATCTTTCCATATTGTTGTAAGTGAATTTCACGTTTAGCCACTCACTGCCTGCAGAGTCCCATTAACAAGAACAAATTGTGCTATAAAGTTCCAAAACTAGCTTAGGAGAAGAAGTACAGGCTTAGGCTTCCTGCCTTAGGGGTACCAGTTTGAATTTTTAATATAATGTGTGGCAATTTTTCAAGAAGATATAAAAATTATAAACATATAGGCACTCAACATTGGAGCATCTAAATATATAAAGCAACTATTAATAGACCTGAAAGGAGACATAGCAATATAATAATACTAGGGGATTTTAATACTCCAATTTTAACAATGGATAGAGCTTTCCGACACAAAATCAAAAAGAAAATATTGGACTTGGATAGTACCTCAGATCAAACAAACTTTAAAAAGCGTATACAGAATATTTCATCTCAAAGCAGCAGCATACACATTCTTCTCAAATATACATGCACCCTCTCCAGAATAAATAATAAGCTAGGCCAGAAAGCAAGTCTTAGAAATTTAAGAAGATTGAAATTATATGAAATATCTTGTCTGGTGATAATGCCATGAAACTAGAAATCAATAACAAGAGGAAAACTGTAAAATTAAAAAAATATGTGGAGACAAAACAAATATTATTGAACAATCAAGTGGGCAAAGAAGAAATCCAAAAGGTAGTCCAAAATATCTTAAGACATGAAAATGAAACACAACATTCCAAAACTTATCAAATGCTGCCAAAACAGTTCCAAGAAAGATTTTAGCAATAAAGTCTAGGTAAAAAGAAAATATCAGAAAAACTTACTTTATACCTTAAGGAACTAGAGGAAGAACAATCCAATACCAAAGGTAGCAGAAGGAGGAATTTAACAAACGTCATAGCAGAAATAAATGAAATAGAAACTAGATAAACAGTAGAAAAGATCAATAAAACTGAGTTGGTTTTTTGAATAAGCAACTAAACTCATAAATGGAAGAGGAGACATTATAACTCTTATCACAGAAATACAAAAATCATGAGACTACTATGAGTAATTACATGACAGAAAATTGGATAATCTAGAAGAAATTGATGAATTAGTATAAATATACAACCTACCAGGACTAAATCACAAAGAAATAAGTAATTTTAACAGGTCAATAATGAGTCAGAAGATTTAATCTCTAGGAAAATACCTCCAAACAAATAAAAGCTGAAGACCTGATGGCTTCACTGGTAAATTCTACCCAATATTTAAAGAAGACTATGATATCAATCCTTCTCAAACACCTGCAAAAAGCTGAGGAGGGAGTACTTTCAAATTGATTATATGAGTCCAATATTAACCTGATACCAAAACCAGACAAGGATGCTGTAAGAGAAAAAAATTACAGGTCAGTGTCTCTGAGGAGAACAGATGCAAAACTCCTCAACAAAATGCTAGTATACTGAATTCAACAACACATTCAAAGGACCATATGCCATGATTGAGTGAGGTTTACCCCTGAGATGTAAGGATGATTCAACATATACAAATCAATAAATGTGTTATACCATATTAACATAATGAAAAACAATAACGTAATGATGATCTCAATAGATTAACAGTAATCACTTGACAAAATTAAGCATGCTTTCATGATAAAAACTCTCAGAAAATAATGTGTAGAAAGAAAGTACTTCAACACAATAAAAAGCATATCACAATCATATAGCAAACATAACTCTTAACAGTAAGAAGCTGAAAGTTTTTTCTATAAGATCAGGAACAAGACAAGGATGCTCAGTTTAACCTCTTCTGTTCAGTATTGTGCTGAAGGTTCTATCCATAACAATAAGACAAGAAAAAGAAATAAAATATGTCCAAGTCAGAAAGGAAAAAGTAAAATTGTTTTTTATTGCAAATGGCAAAATTTTATATATAGATAACCCTGAAGACTCTACCAAAAAAGGAAGAACCAACAAATAAATTGAGTAAAACTTCAGGATACAAAATTAACATGCAGAATAACAATAGTGTATCCAAAAAATATTAAGAGAGCAATCTCATTTCTAATATTATCAAGAAGAATAAAATACTTAGGAACAAATTTAACCAAGAGGGAAAAAGTTGTACACTAAAAACTATAACATTGATGAAAGAAATTGAAGATGACACAAATAAATGAAAATATATCCCATGTCATGGATCAGAATAATGAATATTGTCAAAATGTCCTTTCTTCCCAAAGTGATTTATGGATTCAATAAAATGTCTATCAATATTCCAATGACACTTTTTACAGAAATAGAAATAATAGTTCTAGAATTTTATGAAACCACAAAAGACTCTGAATAGGTAAAGCAATCTTGAACCAAAAAAAAAAGCAAAAAAACCCAAAAAACAAAGATGGAGGCATGACACTCTCTGATTTCAAAACATCATGATGTTTTGCATCAGATAAACACAGATATGTGGAACAATTGATCAGAATAGAAAGCCAGAAATAAACCTAAGCACATATGGTCACCTAATCTTAAACTAAGGTGCCAAGAAAACACAATGGAGAAATGATATCCTTTTCAATAAATGGCCTTGAGAAAACTGGATATTCACATGCCAAATAAAAAAAAAGAAATTAAATTTTTATCTCACACAACACTTAAATATCAACTCAAAATGGAATAAAGACTTAAACGTTAAGACCTGAAACCATAAAACTCCTACATGAAAACACAGAGGAAAAGTTCCAGGACACTGATCTTGCCAATATATATTTGTTAGATCTGACACCTAAAGCACAAGCAACGAAAGCAAAAATAAACATGTGGGACTATATCAAATGAAAACATTTCTGCAAAGGAAGCAATCAACAAAATGCCAAGACAATTCATGGAATGGGAAAAATATTTGCAAACTATATCTTATAATGTGTTAATATCTAAAATATAGAAAAAAATGCATGCAACTCAACTGTAAAAAAACAAACAGCTAAAAAGTAGAAAAAAATGTTTTAAATAGACATTTCTGAAAGGAAGACATACAAATGGCCAACACATACATAAAAAGGTGCTCAACATCATTAATCACTAGAGTAAAGCAAATCAAAATCACAATGAATTATCATCTCACATTTGTTAGAATGGCATAAAATATTTAGAAGTTAAGTGTTGATGAAGGTTTAGTGAAAAAGGAACCCTCACAAACATTGTTGGTGGGAATGTAAATTGGTACAAGCATTAGTAAAACTATATAGAGTGTAATCAAAAATTAAAAATAGAACTACCATATTATTTAACAATCCTACTTTAGGCTACATATGCAAAGGGAATAAAATCACTATCTTGAAGGGGGGCTTTACTTACTTGTTTATTGCAGTTTTATTCACAATAGCCAAGATATGCAAACAACCTATGTATCTGTTAACAGATGCTTGTATTAAAAAAAAAAAACCACAACAACCCTGTGGGATATATGTATATGCATATGTATATCCCACAGTATTTACCCAATTTAGATGATAAAGTTTATTTGTGCACATACCCAAATATGATAATATTTACCTAGAAATTATATAGACAACTAGTGAACTTTATCATCCATATTGAGCTTATGGAAAACTTAAATATTTCAGAAGTGATTTTATGGTAATTGCTTGAGAGAAAGCTTTCTTATATTTATTACCTGATAAGGATAGATTCTTCTGATGAATGTTATTATGGAACAATGATCTTATTTATATCTCTATATGAATATTTGTCTTTATATCTCTATATATGAATATTAGTCCACATTAGAAAAGAGGAACATACTGCCATTTACACAACATGGATGATTTTGAAGCATATTGTGCTAAGTGAAATAAGCCAGGCACAAAAAAGACAAATGTTGCATAATCTCATTTATATGTAATATCTAAAAGAGTAAAAGTCATAGATACAGAGAGGAGAAGAATGCTTACTAGGTTTGGGGGGTAGAGGATAAGAGAAAATGTTGGTCAAATGACACAAACTTGCATTTATAAGATGAATAAGTTCTAGATACCTAACGTGTAGCATGGCAACTATAGTTAATACTATTACGTATACTTGAAATTTGCTAAGGGAGAAGAACTTAATTATTCTCACCACGTACACAAAAAAGGTACCTAAGTGAGGCGATGGATATCTTAATTAGCTTCATTATTATAATTGTTTTACAATGTATATGTATATGAGTACATCATGTTTTATAACTTGAAAATATCTGCAACATTTTACAAATATTTGCAATTTTTTGTCAATTGTATCTCGATAGAAAAAGCTGAGAAAAATGTAGATACTCCCCTGGCTTAAACAAGTACAGCAAATATTTGCCTTATTGCACATGGAGTATTGGTACATGGAATATTAAATCTTTTAGAAAAATTTTTAAGAAAAATGTATTAAGTGGGTAATTAAGCATCATTGCATGTACAAGAAATATAATAAATCTTATTCAAGATATATAGATTTAAACATTAAGTGTTTAAAAAAAACTTTGTAGGTCTTCTATAATTCTTATTATCCACATGACAAAACAATATTAAACTAAAAGAGAAACAATATACTCAATTTTATGAGCCTCACTAAAGGAATAAATAGTATAGTAAATTTTCAGAGAGATTATCTTAGATTGCTAATGGTGTCATTAATTTATCATCAAACATTGCCTAGTTGCTCCCAACTTAAGAAGATTGTAATAGTAGATATGAGATGAGAGCAGAAGAATAGCTCAGGGAAAATGAAGAGCTAAGTACATGTGATTTTTTTGTTTTGTTTATTTTTTATCATGGCCAACAATTTCAGGATTGCGTGTATGCAATGAGATATGTTACAGGCTCTGTTTCTGAGAAATATCACCTTAATAAACAGTATAACTGCACTTCTTTTTTTTTAGCATTTCCTCTTATTTGCTCCTTTTCTTCCTTGGTTTTAAAGTTGTTGCTTTAAATATCACTGAGTGTGGGTGTGCGAGAGAGAGAGAGACAGACCAAATGTTCTTTAACTTTTTTTTAAATTAAGCATTTATCCTAATGATGTGACTTCAGGATGATATAGTACTTTCTCTCTAGCAACCCACTTACTTTCACTAGTCTTCTATCATTTTCTTGAGAAGTCCTAACATCCTCACAGGCCGTTCCTTGTAGGAAATGGCCACCTCCAAATAAAACCTTCCTTTTAAAAATTAAATGACAAATTAAACTTATTAATACAGCTTGATTTCCAGTAGGGGTTAATCAAATTTCACCTGAATTAATTAACAAATGTATTTTAGAGTAGAAAGACATTTATAATCTATGTATTTGCCTTTAATTCCTGGTTATTGTTTATCTAATTTTATACTGAAGAAAGTATAAAGAAGATAAGAATAAACAACAAAAAACACTCTTAAAGCAAAATTACAGTATTGAATTGCTGCTGAGAAAATGATATTCCACATATTTCAATGTTATAAAATTAGAATCCAAATGTATGAAGAAGGGAGCATTTGGACCAGTATACATATTAGTTAAATTGCTGAAAATATCTATTTCATGTCAAATAATATATGACCTTTCTGAGCAACACACTGTGATATTGTTAATATGTTAGATGAATATAAATAATTAAATATATAATTCTTCTCTTCAGGGTTTTAGAATTTAACTAAGAAATATGTCCATCCAAAAAAGAATAAAGAGAAAATATTTTTACGTACTTCATTGTATATGGAAAATGGCATTATTTAGAATAAGGAAAAATTGTGTGTAGAAGGAGAACAGGATGATCACAGTGGACATGTGGTTCACTAATCTAGGAATAATTTCTTGGAGGCCACCAACTATGTCAATCTCTTTCTGTGTTGCATTTTCTCTGTGCTTTGACATAATAGATGATAAAATGTACATTTAAATTTGATTTTTTTAGAATAAATTTAAGGATCAGATGCTAAACTATGGATCTAAATTTTTAGAATAAATTTAAGAATCTAATGCTAAATTATTTAAGTGGACTCATGTTCTATCTATTTTAGCAAATTCATCACAGATATAAAATTATAAAATGAGTTAAAGTCCCCTTGAAAGACCTGTAAATAGTATTTATCCAAAAATTATATATACAAATAATAAACTTTATCATCCAAATTAAGGTTATGGAAAACTTACATATTTCAGAAGGGATTTTACAGTAATTGCTTGAGAGAAAACTTATTCGTATTTATTACCTGACAAGGGTAGTTTCCACTGATAACCCTTTATGGAGCAATTATCTTATTTATCATTCACCCCATGCCAGGAATGTGGAGCTGAGAATGCAACTTCTTGTAGGACTTAATAGGAGTCCTTTGCAATTGAAGCGGGAGGGGCAAATTGAATAAGCTCATGTCTGAATTTTGTCTGGAAAACCTACAGAGTTAAGAAGAGATGGCTGTATTTGATAGCAAAAAATTCTCAAGTTTCTTAGGCCAAAGAAAGTATGAGGTTTTCCTAAGATTCAAACATGAAGTACCAAGGTTGGAAGGGCAATGAAACTGAAACAGATACTCTGTGTAAAGGGTACTACCTACAAACATGTATCAAGCAGGAGGGTAGGCAATACTTTTACCATCTAACGGAGCATGGATTTTTTTTGTCCAAAAAAAAAAAAAAAGGTCGGTGAGAGACTTCTAAACTCTAGGAAACACACACACACAAAAGCTAATGAGAAAAATTTGGCTGTAATCTAAAGGAATAAGAGTTTGTGAGGACGTCTCAAGTTATAACTTTCCTAATTGTTATAGCTTGCAATTTTGTATCTGTGATGACAAGATAGAAGAGAAGTGAAGTTTTAAGGCTGATAACTAAAAATATAGAAACACTCTCACCTTAACTGGGTATAGGCTTCTTGTGTGCTGCAAACCCAAGCTGGAGAAGGAGGAAGGAATATGAATACCAACAAAAGCTTTGACCTTATTACAGAAAGATTGGGTATTTTAAATGTACTGTTGAGTCTTTTATTTTGCTACGTAAACTAACTATAGAAATTGTATGGTGTAGAACAAAAATGTATGGTCTTATTCATGTGTTTAATCTATGGCCAATGGAAGAACTAGCTCCACTGAATACAGAATAAACGAATAGTCAGATGAAAAAGTAAAGTTGTATCTGTCAGTGGCAAGCACATAGTACTCCATAATTACATTACTACTTATTTGCAGAGCTTAACAAACATTTGATACTAGCTACAAACTCTTGACGATTTTAGGATCCTGTGTATACTGGCATGCTTTACATACTTGATTCATAAACTCAGTGTTTTTAATGATATATGTTTCAGATTTTTTAGGTAGAAAATGAGGTTTATGATAAATCTAAAAATACTACTAAATAATGTTTCATGTGGGTGTTTGTGTGTTATGTGTTAAGCTACATTTTCTGTTAGAGTTTATTAAGTATAGCAGGTTTGTCATGTTAGTACTTTAATTCTAATGATGACAAATAGAATACATCTAATAAATACCATTAATCCTTTACATTAATGTGTTTGTCTTCTACTACTGTGTAGCAAATTACCAGAAATTTAGCAGCTTAAACAACACACATTTATTATCTCACAATTTCTGTAAATCAGGAGTCTGAACACAGTCAGCTGAGTCCTCTGCCCAGGATCTTACAATGCTGTAATCAAGGGGTTGGCTAGGCTGTATTCATATCTGAAGGCCCAGCTGGGGAAGAATTACTACCAAGCTCATCTGAGTTGCTAGCAGAATTAATATTCTTGCATTGTAGGACTGTTCAACCCAGCTTTTTCTAGCTATAAGCTGGAGGCCTTCCTCAACTTTTGTAGGGAACCTCAGCTCTTACACCACTTCTTTTCCACACTGTCTAGACTCACCCAGAGGTTGCCTGCTGTTGCCTGTTATGTAGGCTTCTCCAACATTGCCACTTCATTTAGTCAGCATGGAGAGTCTCAAAAGAAAGTGGGATAGCAGGACGGAGTCTTGTGTAATATAATAACAAGAGTGACATCTCATCTTTGACATATTCTATTCATTAGTTGCAGTCATAGGTCCTGCTTACGCTCAACTAAATGGAATTACAGAAGGGTGTGAAAAATAGAAAACAGAATCATAGGTGGTCACTGTAGGGTGAGGTGTCAGAGTCCCAGCAGTAGAGAGTGGTTGGCTTGTGGGTGGTAAAATATTTCACTGACAGCAATACAGGTTTGAAAAAAAGAAAAGCTTTATTAGATAGAAAGAATGCTGCGTCAGAGTTCAGAGGGGCACTTCGGCAAGGAGGACTGAGCACTCTGTGGTGGATTTTCCTTAGTGGTATTTATGGACTTTAAAATGGGAGTTTAAGGGTAATTTGGACCATGCTAGCATGTAGGTCATAATAAATGATTACGTTTGTAAACATTTTGATGCCTTGAGGTCAGCAAGGGTGACACAATGAGCTTTGACATGCATGCATTCCAGAAATTTATAGAAATTCTAGTTACTTATAAATTTTGGAGAAAGAAGTCTGGTACTAGATGCTCGCTGATACGTTTAAGCTTTGTGTCCCCACCTGATATGGTTTGGCTGTGTCCCCACCCACATCTTATCTTGAATTGTAGCTCCCATAATTCCAACGTGTTGTGGGAGGATCTGGTGGGAGATAATTCAATCATGGGGGCAGTTTCCCACATACTGTTCTCATGGTAGCGAATAAGTCTCATGAGGTCTGATGATTTTATAAGGGGTTTCCCCTTTCACTGATTCTGATTCTATCTTGTCTGCTGCCATGTAAGATGTGCCTTTCATCTTCTACCACGATTGTAAGACCTTGCCAGCCACATGGAACTATGCGTCCGTTAAACCTCTTTTTCTTGATAAACTACCCAGTATTGGGTATGTCTTTATCAGTAGCATGAAAATGGACTAATACACCACACAAATCTCATCTTGATTCGCTTTTTTTTTTTTTCCTTTTGTGACTGATGCCTGCTCTGTTACCTAGTCTGGAGTACAGTAGCATGATCTCAGCTCACTGTAACCTCTGCCTCCGAGGCTCAAGCAATTCTCATGCTTCAGCCTCCCAAGAAGCTGGGACTACAGGTGCAGGCCACCACACCTAGCTACTTTTTGTATTTTTAGTAGAGAGGGGGTTTTGCCATGTTGGCCAGGCTGGTCTGGAATTCCTGATCATCCTGAATTATAATCCCCATAATCCCCATGTGTCAAGGGAAAGACCAGGTAGAGCTAATTGGATCATTGGGGTGGTTTCCCCATGCTGTTCTCATGATAGTGAGTGAGTTTTCATGAGATCTGGTGGTTTTATAAGGGGCTCATCCCCCTTCACTTGCACCTCTCCTCTCCTTCCACCTTGTGAAGAAGGTGCCTTGCTTCCCCTTCATCTTCTGCCATGATTGTAAGTTTCCTGAGGCCTCCCCAGGCATGCTGAACTGTGAGTCAGTTAAACCTCTTTCCTTTATAAATTATGCAGTCTCTGGCAGCTATTTATAGCAGTATGAAAACAGACTAATACACCAGCTTTAGATAATAGGGACATCTAATTACTTATGAATTACTCAGATAAAGAGTTTTGCCACTTGATGGTCTGCTTGATGGCTACCAGGTGATCTTTCTTTTCCTCAGTCACCTTAGAGTCCATCTGCTACTTTTATGATTCATCAGTAGAGGCTTTGTTGTAAGCAGGAGAACTTCTTTATAATCGCAATAAAGGTACACAAATTTACATCATAAAAATAGGTAATAGCATAAATACAATACACTTATTGTACTTATTTAACTTCTGCAATTCATTTTATACAACGTTATAACCTTCTCACCAAAATTATGCTAGAATTTCTAATTATTTGTTAGATTTATCTAATTTTTACTGTAATGTATATGCAACACAGAATGTGCCATATTATTCATTTTAACTGCGGAATTGAGTGTCAGTAATTGCACTCATAATTGTATGCAACAATCACCAATATCTTTCTGTTTTTCTATCGATCTAATGTATTATACATATTATATGATAACTATATATATACACTAAAATATTTAGGTATACACACATACAAACATATTTTCACTGAGGTGTTCTTCATTTGAGTGAAAAAATGTCCCACTGATTTGAATGAAAAGGTTAGTTGCCTTTAGCTTAAGAGTATTAATATAGCTTTACAGTCTTACAGTTTATGGTATGGTCTTTGCAGTAATTAAATCATTAGAATTTTTATTTCTTAGCTTAGCCAGGTTTTTGTTGTCATATTCTTATAAATGTCCAAACTCATGTCTCTGAAGTTCTCATTCATTATTCTTAGCACTCTACCAGAACTACCAACTTCCTGATGAAGATATTTACAGCATACTAAATGTTGACTCTGAGATGCAATGGCTTTTCAAGGTAAAATAAAAATAACTATGAGAAAGTATAAATTTCATTGAACTTTTTATAAGAAACATTTTCTTCTGGTGAAAGATCAACATTCTCAGCAAGTAATATAATATTCAAAATTTTAAGTAATAAATGTGGAAAGCAATGTATAATATGTTATTTTTCTTAAATTATCCTAAAAATGACCAGAGTGTTTGCTCTTCTTAGGTGAACTAGGAAATTGGTTGTTCTTTGTATTGTTTGAATTTATTAAAGCATGTATATATAAATATGGTATATATGTACATATGGTATATCATATATATGCGGTAGTATACATGGTTTAATACATTCAAATATAAATTCAAATATATATCTATATAAATTGTTTATATATATTTGATTACTAAAATCCAGCTAATTTAAATGGAACAAAAATTATGTGTTTGATTTAGTGTCTATCACTTAAAAATAAATTTAATTTTTTTTTTTTTGAGATGGAGTCTCGCTCTGTTGCCCAGGCTGGAGTGCAGTGGTGAGATCTCGGCTCACTGCAAACTCTGTCTCCCAGGTTCATGCCATCCTCCTGCCACAGCTTCCCAAGTAGCTGGGACTACAGGTGCCCGCCACCATGCCCAGCTAATTTTTTTTTTTTTTGTATTTTTAGTAGAGATGGGGTTTCACTGTGTTAGCCAGGATGGTCTTGATCTCTTGACCTCAGCCTCCCAAAGTGCTGGGATTACAGGCATCCAGATTAAGGGTGGAAGTGCCTTCCCCAGCCCACTGACCCAAATGCTAATCTCCTTTGGCAACACCTTCAGAGACATATGCAAGATCAATATTCTGTATCCTTCAATTCAATCAAGTTGACACTCAGCATTAACCACCACAAGTTCACCTCTTGTGAACTTGAACCCCTAAACATCTCCTGAGATGCTATTACATAAAATTAACAACACTTAAATGCTGATATGAAGTCAGTAAATCTTATGTTGGCAGGGCGCGGTGGCTAAGGCCTGTAATCCCAGCACTTTGGCAGGCCAAGGCGGGCAGATCACCTAAGGTTGGGAGTTCGAGACCAGTCTGACCAACATGGAGAAACGCCATCTCTACTAAAAATACAAAATTAGCCGGGTCTGGTAGTGCATGCCTGTAATCCCAGCTACTCAGGAGGCTAAGGCAGGAGAATTGTTTGAACCAGGGAGGCAGAGGTTGTGGTGAGCCAAGATCGCACCATTGCACTCCAGCTTGGGCAACAAGAGCGAAACTCCATCTGAAAAAAATAAAAAATAAATCTTATGTCACATGATAAAGGAAACATGTTTTTAACAAAAGAAGGAAACACTCATGACAATTACAGTCCTGGTTTCTGCAGCTGGTCATGTGGTCGTAGCTGGTACTGATGACTACCTTCTTCTACTACCCTTCTGTATTCCCTTTGCCTTCAACAAGCACGTCAGTAGTTCGTGGTTTGTTCCTGGTGGAGTGACCCAAACCTTCATTCCTGAAGGGTCTGGGACATTTGTAGTCCTGCCTGGATTGTGCTGTTGTAATTTCCCATTGACCTTAGTCACTGGGCAGGGTAATGCTAAGAGATGCCCTAATGAATCTCGTGTATTCCATGTATACTCTTCCTTACCTCAATTGTGGAGTAGTAGACTAATTTATTCTTGATAGTCCAGGTCAATCACCCTGGCCGACACTGTAACAGTACAATATATTGGATGCTGATTCAGAGCATACACAGCCTTCGGAGAACTTTTCCCCAACCATGCAAAGTACTGTCACCTAGTTGGCATTGTAATTGTGACTTCAAAAGGCCATTCCACAGTTCTATCAATCCAGCTGCTTCAGGGTGATGGGGAATGTGGTGAGCCCACTGCTTTAGCCATAAAGTGAATGCCTTGGTCAGAGGCAATGCTGTGTGGAATACCATGACAGTGGATAAGGAATTCATGAGTCCACAGATGGTAGTCTTGGCAGAAGTATTGCGTGCAAGATAGGCAAACCCATATCTGGAGTAAATACTGTTCCAGTGAGGATAGACCTCTGCCCTTTCCATGATGGAGGAGATTCAATATAATCAACCTGCCACAAGGTAGCTGGCTGATCATCCCAAGGAATGGTGCCATATTGAGGGCTCAGTGTTGGTCTCTGCTGCTGGCAAATTGGACTATGGCCACTTTGCTCATGAGCCCATTGAGTGATGACAGGGGTGAGTGGGGAAAGAGGCTGAGTCGTGTCCACAAAATGAGTTATCCTATCCACTTGATTATTAAAATCCTCCTCTGCTGAGGTCAATCGTTGGTGAGCACTCACATGAGATACAAATATCTTCACAGTTTTTGACCACTCAGTGAAGTCCATCCACATACCTCTTCCCCAAATTTCTTTGTCATCAATTTTCCAATCATGCTCCTTCCAAGTCCCTGACCATCCAGCCAAACCATTGGCTACGGCCCATGAATAAGTATATAATTGCACATCTGGCCATTTCTCCTTCCATGCAAAGTGCATAACTAGGTGCACTACATGGAGTTCTGTCCACTGGGAAGATTTCCCTTCACTGCTGCTCTTTAGGGATGTCCTGGAAAGAGGCTGTAGTGGTGCAGCTGTCCACTTTTGGGTGGTACGTGCATATTGGGCAGAACCATCTGTGAATCAGGCCCTAGTCTTCTCTTCCTCTATCAACTGATCATAGGGAACTTCCCATGAGGCCATTGGTGCTGGCAGGGGGAGAGAAGGCAGGGTGGCAAGGGTGGAGACCATGGGCATTTGAGCCACTTCCTCATGTAACATACTTGTGCCTTCAGGACATGCTGGAGCCCAATCACATATATACCACTTCCATTTGAAGATAGAATGCTGCTATGCATGATCGATGTTATGCCTAGATGTGTCAGAAAGCACCCTGTTCATGATAGGCAGTTCAGGTCATATGGTGACTTGATGACCCGTAGTCAAACATTCAGTTTCCACCAAAGCCCAGTAACAGACCAAGAGCTGTCTCTCAAAATGAAAGTAGTTATCTTCAGAAGATGGCAGGGCCTAGCTCCAAAATCCTAGGGGCCTTCGTTGTGATTCAACTATGGGGGCTTGCCAAAGGCTCTAAACAACATACCTATCTGCAATTGACACCTCAAGCACCGTTGGACCTGCTGGGTCACCTAGCCCAGGTGGCAGAGCAGCTTACACAGCAGCCTGGACCTGTTGCATAGCCTTCTCCTCTTCTGGACCACACTCAAAACTGGCAGCCTTTCAGGTCACTCAATACATGGGCTGAAGTAACACACCTAAATAAGAAATGCGTTGCCTCCAAAATCCAAATAGGCCCACTAGGTACTGTGCCTCTTTTTGGTTGTAGGAGGGGCCAAATGCACTAACTTATCTTTCACCTTAGAAGGAATATCTCAACAGGCCCCACACCAGTGGACTCCTAGAAATTTTACTGAGTTAGAAGATCCCTGAATTTTATTCAGTTTTATTTCCCATCTTCTAACACACAAATGTCTCACCAATAAGTCCGGTGTGTTTGCTACTTTTTGCTCACTGAATCCAATCAGCATAATGCCATCAATGTCATGGACTAGTGTGATATCTTCCAGAAGCTACAAGTGATCAAGGTCTCTTCAAATAAGATTATGACACAAAGAAGGGGAGTTGATATATGCCTGAGATAGGACAGTAAAGATATATTGCTGGCCTTGCCAGCTGAAGGCAAATTGCTTCTGGAGGGCCTTATGGACAGGAATGGAGAAAAAGGCACTTTTCCAAGTCAATGGCTATATACCAGGTACCAGGAGATGTGTTAATTTGCTCAAGCAATGAAACCACATTTGGTACAGCAGCTGCAATTGGAGTCACCACTTGGTTAAGCTTGTGATAATCCACTGTCATTCTCCAAGATCCACCTGTCTTCTGCACAGGCCAAATGGGAGAGTTGAACAGGGTTGTGTTGGAAATCACCACCCCTGCATCTTTCATGTCATTGATGGTGTCACTAATCTCCTCAATCCCTCCAGAGATGCAATATTGCAATATTGTTTTTGATTTACTATTATTCTATGTAGAGGCAGCTCTAATGGCTTCTATTTGGCCTTTCCCAGCATAATAGCCCTCACCCTAGCGGTCAGGGAGCCATTGTGGGGGTTCTGCTGACTGCTAAGTATGTTCTTGCCAATTATGCATTCTAGCACCGGGGAAATGGCCATGGGATGAGACTGGGGACCAGCTGGATCCACTGTAAGTCAGACCAGAGATAAAACTCCATTAATTACCTGACCTCCATAAGCTTCTACTTTAACTGGAGAACCACAGTGATATTTTGGGTCCCCTGGAATCAATGTCAGCTCAAAGGCAGTGCCCAGTAGTCCCTGAAATGTCTGATCATTTCCCTTTCCCCAGTGCACAGTTACCCTGGTAAAAGGCCAGAGGTCTCCTTGGGGAAGGATGGGAGAAAGATTCACTTCATAAATGGTCTCTAATGTAGTAGGCTCCTTCCTCAATGGGACCTGGCATCCCTTTCATTCAAGGGGTTCTGGGTCTGTAAACTGGCTCATGTCTGGAAATTGACTGAGGGGATGTGATTCTCTGTTTTTATAATTCAAATTAATCTTCTGTCCATTCGACCTAGAATTTTTCTGCTTGTATAAATTAAGCAGTAATGCAGTAGGCTTCCTACCAATCTCACTTCTAGAAATAACATGATTAATTACCCAGTGCCAGAGTTCTACGTGAGTCAGACCATTCTGATTGCAGCTTTGCCTCTGCTGTCCATTACAGTAGCTATGCCCACATTGCCTTTGATGGTTGAGTGCCTCCGCCTGGACCCTGCCACCTCGGGATCCAATTATTCCCATTGTATTTAAATTTTGCAGTTGAGTGACTGTAGTTTCCACTGTTAGATCTGACATACAGAAAAGAACAATTACAGGGCTCTTCAAAGATGCAGGTGCTGTCCTCACAAATCTCTTTCACAAGGCATTGGTCAATTGTATATTTTCTGGACCCTCCCAGCTGGGATGAGTAGGTCTAAAGTGACTAATCCACTCTACCATCCCAATCTCCCTAAGCCTTTGGATCCCTTCCTCTACATTAAACCAAGGTAAATCAGGCATTTCTAGCTCACTCACAGTGTGCTATCTTGTAATCCATATTTCAGCTAACCAAGCAAATAAACTATTAGAATCTTTTTAACTTCCTCCCTAAGCTGCAACATTAAATGCAGAATGATTACTTAGTGTGCCCAAATCGATATATTCAGCCTGATCCAACTCTATGTTCCTTCCACCATTATCCCACATCCTTAATATCCATTCCCATGCCTATTCTCCAGATTTCTGCTCTCAAAAATTAAAAAACTCAAGCAGTTCTTTTCGAGTGCACCTCCTCATGGCTCACACTCTCAACCTCATTTCTAGAGGCACTCCAAAACTTTAGTCTAGTTATAAGTCTAGAAGCAAACACGGGTTTTGGAGGTGGCTGCTAAGGAGAATCAGCATTATCTTGCCTGGCAACTGCCTCAGTGGAGGCCATCACTGTTGCCTCAGGTGGTGCAGGGTTAATCTCCTCAGACAAAGGTAGAAAGGCTGATGGCAGCATGGGTTGGCGAGGGGATGTTGACACTACTGTGGATGGGGAAGCTGTTTCTTCCAGCAAAAAAAGATTCATCGAAATTTACAAACTCAGTGTCCCCAGCTTCATCAGGGTTCTCCCACACATACTCATTCCAAGTTGCAGGGTCCCATTCTTTTCCAACCAATGTCTTCACTGTAACAGTAGACACCTGGAGAGGCTGTGCATGCACCTTTTGTTGCAGGTCAGCCAGTCTCATGATAAGAGCTTATGTCTGGTTTTCCACAATTTCAGCTCTTTCTCTACAGGAGATAAGACTCTCACCCTGGGCAATCTTAGCAATTTGAGGCTCAGTGTCTTCTGAAGCCGGGAGATAGAATAACTGAGTTCATCATTTTTTTCCTCACTTTTCCACTGAACTTAGAAGCAACCAACCTGCTTCATTATGTTCTTTGGTTCTCCATATATGGTCAAAGGTATTATATATAGAGTCACTAAACTCCTTGCCTCTCATGAGTGATGAATCAGGAATGTCAAATACATTTATTTTGGATAACTCTCTAAATAGTCCACACCAAAAACTATCAGTGTTCTCCCTACTATTAGAAGTACAGTCCTTAGCATTTTTGGATCAAATGATATTAAGCAGCCAACTCCAGAAACCCCCAAACCAGTGAAAGTACTCCATCCTTAATATTCTGTTCCCCTAGAATCACTTCTGGCACCAAAATCTGGATTAGTCATGGTTCCATAGGGAAACAGAACTAATGTATATATATATATACATTATATATATATATAATGTGTATATGTGTATATATATATATATATATATATATATATATATATATATAAATTTGGATTGTGCTTATCTAGATTAAGGGTGGGTGTGCCTTCCCCAGTCCACTGACTCAAAAGTTAATCTCCTTTGGCAACACCCTCAGAGTCACACCCAGGATCAATACCTTCAATTCAATCAAGTTGACGCTCAATATTAACCATTGTAATGATATAAAAGTTTGGCACCAGATACAGTTCACAAAGACCTTGCTGATAAAACAGATTGTGGTAAAGAAGCTAGCTAAAACTCACCAAAACCAAGATGGCAACTTCTGGTAATCCTCACTGCTCATTATATGCTAATTAATTATAATTCATTAGCATGCTGAAAGACACTCCCATCATCTCCATAACAGTATATAGATGCCATGGCAATATCAGGAAGTTACCCTATATGGTCTAAAGCAAGGAGGGACCCTCAGTTCCTGGAACTGCACATCCCTTTTCAGGAAACTTATGAATACTCAACCTCTTGTTTAGCATATAATCAAGAAGTAACCATAAAAATAGCCAACCAGCAATACTTAGGGCTTCTCTGCCTACGTAGTAGCCATTCTTTATTGTTTTACTTTCTTAATAAACTTGCTTTCACTTTATGGATTTGCCTCTAATTCTTTCTTGCCCAATAGCAAAGAATCTCTCTTCTGGTCTGGATCTGGACCCCTTTCCAGTAACATATCTATACACACGCACACATACACAAACACACACATAAATATGTACATATATATGTGTGTGTACATGTGTGTGTATATATATGTGTGTATATATATGGAGAGAAAGGAGAGATGGATTGAGACAAAGATATTTGCAAAAGCATTCATTCAGTAAAGTACTGTAGATATATATATATAAGGTGTTTAGCAAAAGTAAGTATAGTCAACCCTCTCTATCTGCGGGTTCTGCATGCATGTATTCAACCAACTATGCAATAAAATATTTAAAAATAATTAAATGACAAATAACAATACAATATTTAACATACAAATAAAAATACAGTATAACAAATATTTACATAACATTTACATTGTATAAGGTATTATAGGTAACCTACAGATCATTTGAAGTATACAGGAGGATATGTGTAGGTTTGATGCAAATACTACATTTTTTAATATAAGAGACTTGTTCATCTGTAAAATTTTTCGTATTTGCAGGAGTCCTGGAACCAACCCCCGAGGATACCAGGGAAACACTGTAGTGTGTGCGTGTGTGTGTGCGCGCATGTATGTGTGTGTGCGTGTGTGTAGTTGCTCCCTACGTTTCTTTTACCATTTGAACATGAACTATCATTAGAGAAATTAGGCTCTGTCCAAATTATATAACACAAAATGTTTTTCTTACTTGTTACATAGATAAGATTAAAAGGTTCATGAACTGGAAAAGAAGAAAAAAAGGTGTGCACATGAGTTTAATGAGGAAAAGGCCTCTAACATTGCATGTGTTTCATGTCTTTTTTTAACATCACTGAGGGACTACCTTCTTGAGAAAACTAAATACAAATCTGGTGTTACTCTCCTGCTGGAGGCACAAACTATTTCTTTATCCTAGAAAAGGTACCTGTTCCCCTGAAAATTAATATGATTAGCCTGAAGACATAGTGAAAAATGACAACCACTTTATTAGGTTACTAAGATCATCTTTTCCTGTCTATTCAGAAAAACAAAGGTTTCAATAATTCAGAATTATAATCCACTAGTGATAAAAACAAATTAATCACTATTATCATTAAATATACAATATTAGGGCCCACTGAGAGCCATCCCAGTAACCCGACCACCGCTGGTCTTCACTGGACACCATGAACCACACTGTCCAACCTTCTCTCCTATCAACAGCGGCCAGCCCCCCAACTATGAGATGCTCAAGGAGGAGCATGAGGTGGCTGTGCTGGGGGTGGCCTACAACCCTGCTCCCCCGACGTCCACCGTGATCCACATCCGCAACGAGACCTCCGTGCCCGACCATGTTGTCTGGTCCCTGTTCAACACTCTCTTCATGAACCCCTGCTGCCTGGGCTTCATAGCATTCGCTTACTCCGTGAAGTCTAGGCACAGGAAGATGGTTGGCGACCTGACTGGCGCCCAGGCCTATGCCTCCACCGCCAAGTGCCTGAACATCTGGGCCCTGATTTTGGGCATCTTCATGACCATTCTGCTCATCATCATCCCAGTGTTGATCTTCCAAGCCTATCAATAGATCAGGAGGCATCATTGAGGCCAGGAGCTCTGCCCATGACCTGTATCCCATGTACTCCACCTTCCATTCCTCACCCTGCCCCCGGAGCCGAGTCCTGTGTCAGCCCTTTATCCTCACACACTTTTCTACAACGGCATTCAATAAAGTGCACGTGTTTCTGGTAAAAAATAAATAAATAAATAAATAAATAAATAAATAAAAATATACAGTATTACACACTTACCCTTATATGATATCCACATTTCCAAAAATATTCAGTTGCATCCTCCTCTTTGCTCACTCATGTTTAAGTTTTTCCTATAGCAAATTAAAAGGGAAAGATACAGGAAAAGAGAGAAAGAGGGAGTGCGAGCAAGTGAGCAAATCAAATGAAAAACTGTTGGATAAGTTTCTGCTATCCTAGATGATGTAATAAAACCCGGAGGTGAGTCACAGGGCTTAGGTTTAACCTATTTCCTTCATACGTGATATAATTATTGGTGTTTTTTTCTTTTTCTTTCTTTTTTTTTTTTTTTTACCAATTTCTGCCCAGTAGCATAGACGAAAAGACTAAAGAAAGTGGTGACTCCTGAATCTCAATAGAGTACTGGCACCACTTCCCTACGAATTACTAAAAAAGAATGAGAAGAGAATCAGAGAGAAGGTATAAATTTGAAATTTTGCCCTTTATGTCATGGTGATGTGACAACTAATATCTCTGCACAAATCAGCATCTGAGACTTTAAGTAAACAGACCAATATCTTTATGGGAAGGAGAGGAAAATCATTTTTCCTGCTTAGTCAAATGACAAATAAATGTAGCTAATTTATAATTCATCCATGATACAAATTTACAGACCTTTGGCTCTGAAAAAATGTGCTTTTTACATTTCCATAGTGATAGTTAACCTCAGAACACTCTATGATGGTAATGTGATATTTTTTGAGTAATGTAACATGAAAAATACATTTTTTTGGTCAATAGTCTTCAAAGATAGTATTCTTTACCTAATAGTGCTGCTTCTTTTTGCTTGTATCTTGGCCTTGGAGCATCAGAATTTATGTAAAATTGTCACGTTTCACCATTACCTTCATTTGTGCTTAAGTGCACACACACACACACATTCACGAAAGATTGTGTTACTTTTCTTGCCAAAATAAGAATGACATCTTTGTTGAATTTTTCTTTATAAAGTTAAAATTGCATTGCAATAGATACTGTTCCTAAATATGGCTTGCATTTTTCCACGGGTCTTTTCTTTCAATTAAGGAAACATTGCTATAAGATGAAAATATAAGATGCCCAGCCTAAAATCATGTATTTACATTATATATGCTTTATGTATCTCCAAACTTTTTAGTTATTAAAAAATTAATGTTCTTTTACATAGTGAATGGACACAGAGATATTCATAGGAACATTATTTAGATTAGCTAAGCAAACTTCTGAAAGAAAATTGAAAACCATGTTAATGTATAATCATGGAAAATTGATTAAATGATGCAATTTGTGGCTTATTCATAAACAGGCTCATAAAGTCATTTTAAAATACATTTAAAATGTTATTATTAGAACTGTTTACACTTTATATTAAGTTAAAAATTAGGATACCAAATTATATGTGCAAAATACTCTCGGTCATGTAAAATATTGTGCATATAGACAGAAATTTGCCAAAAGTCAGTTAGTTGCGGTCACTGAGTGTGGTTGTTTAGATGGATTTAATTTTTAAAATACATTTTTTCAGCATTTTGTAATGTGCATATTTTGTTCTCATAATCAACTCTTTCTAAACTGCATCTTTTAAGCATATTTTAAAAAGCAATTTAACTGTACAGTTTTTACAAAATGTTACAAGTTAAATGATTAAGCACTTATAATTTTGAGAAGTTTGTACTGTAGAACACTCTGATAATTTTGTCAAATTAAGCTCTGTATTAGCAGAAAAGGGTGAAAGTGCAAAAACTTTCATAAGGATGATTTTAATTTCTACGACATTTTATGCTATGTTCTGACATGTTGTATTTCAGTCTTCCATTTTGATGAAACACTCTGTTGTTCTTTGCTTTTTCATGTAATCTCACCAGAAAAATAAAAAATAGTATAGCCTCTTTTTTTTAAATCACACTTGATGTATATATTTGTCAGATGTAGAATTGTAAGTGCTTTAACTCTCTCCTATTAACCACTCTGAAATCCACTGCATCCAGGAATTAGGTTCAGGTAATAGCCTGCTGACACCTAAGGTAAAATTCAGTCATTGTGTATGCATGTCAAAATCTATTAAAGCAATTGAATGAAGAGCTTACACTACAAAGCTTAATTAAACACATAGATTTTCACCTAGCTTATTTTAAAAGTATGACTTTATCTAAATGATGGAAAAAGAGTTTCCATTGAAATTATCTTTTACATTGTCTCCAATACATATTAGAGAATTTTCCTGTGGTCTGCAGCTATACCATTTATTATATTGATGTTTATGAAAAGATTCTTTTTTTAACTATATTCACCTTACATTTGGGTCGAAATTCACGGTAATTTGAAACCTACAAATAACTGTAAATGACTCTCTTTTGCCAAGTACTCAACAACATTTGTATGAACACAGAAATGAGCTTTGATACTGAGCAAATTCAACTTGGAGAGGTAGTTTAGGTAATTTGTTTCATTGATGTCTCATGACAACCATTATGAGTACTCAGCATAATCAAGTTCCTGTTTTATAGTATAGCCCTGAAAAAGTCAATAGAAAATTGAGATTAAACAAATTTTGGGGCAGTGCTTACTTTCATGTGCTAGTCTGTTAGTAAACGTTTATTTCATGAATATGCATTGTGTGCATACTACATACCATTGTAGGTGCTAGCTGAAGTAATCTAAAGTACACAATGGTTCTGCCCTCCCAGTGTTTATCATTGAATGCCAGTGACAGGCAAGTAAGTCATTCGCAAACACTGAACTAAATTTAATGACGAAGGAACTATAGGCTTTTATGTTAGCACGTCAGGGGAGATCTTGGCATAGACTTTATGGAAATGGAAAGGTATCCTTGAGGACATT
Source organism: Homo sapiens (assembly GCF_000001405.40). Lineage (NCBI taxonomy): Eukaryota > Metazoa > Chordata > Mammalia > Primates > Hominidae > Homo > Homo sapiens. Next base: position 66,097,568 of record NC_000004.12, read on the forward strand.
ATGTCTATTTTTAATCATACAGAATATGTAAGCTTGGCCAATAGTTACGAATGGGAGGATGGAACAATAGTCAAAAAATTTCTGTCAGAGGAAAGAGCATATATAAAGAGAGAGAAAAGCATTTTATGGGATTCAAAATAGACAGAAATGGCCAAGATGCAGAGTGAAAGGGAAATAGTAAGAATTTAGTCATCATTTAAAAATATATTTTATATTGTATAATGTTTAAGTTATATAATATTTGAAAATTAAATATTTTAACATCTGCAAAGTTACTTTCCAAAATACACTATTCAAGTATCTAAATTTTTTTGTTAAATGCTAGGCAAAATGCTGTACTACTTCTTTTGCTTGTAAAATAATTGAAGTCAGGGAAGGTATCTCCCTGCCTCAGTCAGTTTGGGCTGCTAGAGCAGAATACCATAAATTAAGTGTTTTAAAAGTCAGCCATTTCTGTCTCACAGTTTTGGAGTCTGGGGAGTCCAAAATCATGGTGTCAACAGTTTTAGTGCCTGGTGACATCATGTCTCCTGGTTTGCAGATGGCCTTCCTCTTGTATCTTCACATGTTGGAGAGCAGGAAGACAGCAAGCTCTTTTTCTTCAAACAGAAGTCTCTTTTTTAAAAAGGCACTGTATTAGATCATTCTTGCACTACTATTAAGAAATACAGGAGACTAAGTAATTTATAAAGAAATAAAGTTTAATTGGCTCACGGTTTTGCAGGCTGTACAGGAAGCGTGATGCTAGAATCTGCTTAGCTTCTGAGAAGGCCTCAGGAAACTTACAATCATGGTGGAAGGGAAAAGAGGAGCTGGCACTTCGCATGGCCAGAGTAGGAGAGTGAGAGTGGGGAGGAGCCACAAACTTTTAAACAACCAAAGCTAGTGAGAATTCTATCAGGAGAACAGTTCTAGAAGCATGGTGCTAAATCATTAGAAACTGCCCCCATGATCCAGTGACCTCACGCTAGGCCCCACCTCCAGCACTGGTGATTACAATTCAACATGAGATTTGGGTGGGAACACAGATCCAAACCAGACCAGGCACCAATTTCATTCTTGAGGGCAACATCTTCACGATTTAATTATCTCCCAATGAGCTGCCTTCAAATACCATAATCTTGGGTGTTAGGGTTTCAACATATAAATCTTCAGAGGATAATCTGAAAATGTCTCACAGTTTTGGAATCTGGGATGTCCAAAATCATGGTGTCAACAGTTTTAGTACCTGGTGACATCATGTCTCCTGGTCTTCAGATGGCCTTCCTCTTGTATCAGCCCATAATTCCTCCACTTGTCAAAGACAATTATGCCTAGTAAATATCAAAACCAGAGTTTGAAACCAGATTATCTGAGTAAACTGGTTATTATTTATTAAGGTGTCCACTTCTTTCAAAAACAAAGCAAAACTAAACAAAACACACGGATAACTATTCATATTTAATTTATATTGAAAACTAAGTATCTTGGCTTTGATTTAAATTACCTAATCATAACACTAGAACATTAAAGTTTTAACTCACTTTATTTTTATAACTGCTCCCAACTTGACTTTCAAAGCTGTAAATTCCCTGTGGAATTATAAAATTTATTTTTGCCAAGTTAAAGTCTTTAGTTACTTCTAATTTAAATCACAGTGTCCTTTGGTCAATATAGAAATCCAAGTTTCATAAACTTTTCTTTTGCCTTCCTTATTTTCAGAGTGAAACCTAGGTTTACAAAGCTTACTTATAAACCTGACATCTGCAGCAATTTTTCTAAATTATACAGCATTACATTGGTCTGTTGGCTTGTGCTGTTGTGGAGTATAGTTTATTTTATTTGATGTTTTGTTGTCAAACCGTGACTCTACTTGACCCCATAGTTGACTAACGAGTTTCTATCATGACCTCTAGTATCCCTAATCACTAGGCCTGTAATTCTTTATTTTATTTTTATTAGATTTTTTTTTTTTATTTTTTGGTATGTGGCATCTCAATTACTCTTCCTAAAATTTTAAAAAGCTCCTTCTCATTTCTTGGACAATGGGCCTCTCTAAAACCACCTCAACCCTATATAGGTAGACATTTCACTCCTTTCTTATTTCTGGAATATCACAAAGAACATGAATTTCTGCTAAATGGTTTACTGTATACCTTTCCTACCACCTGGCAAATGAGTTAAATTCACCCTGGACTTTGGATTCACCACAGATTACTCCAAATTCTGTTGTTTCCAAATCACTTCGGGAATAAGACCTGAGGAACTACAGAGACTGGAAAGTCCCTATTAGTGAATAAATTTTCTTTTTTTTTTTATTCCTTTGCTTAAATCTTAGTTCAAAGTTCAGAAATGGTACATATTTCCTGTCTGTTTGAAGTTTAAAAGACTTTTAAAAATAATCTTGGCCGGGTGCGGTGGCTCACGCCTGTAATCCCAGCACTTTGGGAGGCCGAGGCGGGCGGATCAAGAGGTCAAGAGATGGAGACCATCCTGGCTAACACGGTGAAACTCCGTCTCTACTAAAAATAGAAAAAAAATTAGCTGGGCGCGGCGGCGGGCGCCGGTGGTTTCAGCTACTCGGGAGGCTGAGGCAGGAGAATGGCGAGAACCCGGGAGGCAGAGCTTGCAGTGAGCCGAGATTGCACCACTGCACTCCAGCCTCGGCGACAGAGCGAGACTCCATCTGAAATAAATAAATAAATAAATAATTTAAAAAAAAAAAATTTTATGCAATCAGGAACACATTCTCAATCTGTTTCTTAATCATATTCTACATTTTCCAGAGTTTGTGGTCTTGCTACTCCAAACCAATATTTCTAAAATTTAAAACACATTTTTTTTTCTTTCTCAAGCATCTGGTTCTTTAAAATAGAAACACTAGCTTTTGTAGACTCTGTATTTGCAGATATTAAAAAAATCAACTCATATATTCAAGTGACTTTGTTCTGATTTGTATCTGACCAGCATCACAAAGAAATGAATACCAATGAATTATTAAGTGTAAAAATGAGAATAACGGTAAAAATGAAGAAATAAATATATATATATGACTTCATATAATGAATAGTAGCACAAGTTCAAAAATTTGTTTTTTTCTATATGTTGATGACTAGTTAGATACATTACATTAGGCTATGCATATTTTTAAGCATTTTGCATAAAAAATAACTCAAATAAATAGACAGTTAGACCTAAATATGACCCAATAAAACTCAATGCTAAAAGTGGATAGGCAACATTTAGGTTAGAGTAAAAACATAATGAAACCTAAATTAATAGTCAAAAACTGGAAAAACAATTAAAATTGAGTCTGTTTCATTTGCTGATAAATTTCTTTTATTTCTTTTTTTCTCTTTAAAATCCCTATATTGATTAAAGGCTGCTAGGAATTCTAGGAAGAGATGAAATATTCAACTAATAGGTCTGCATTTAAATGTTCTTTAATTATTAAGTCCATTTGCTTTATAACTTTCAGATACAATATAATTTGAGCTAGTGTGATTTTGGGTTTTAACTAATAGAAACCTAAGGGGTCTGAAACAGACCATTACTGGCAGGGATTCAGTGGTCTATCGGTATCAGAGTCAGTATCTCTGTAATGTTCATAGCCTGTCTTTGTCAGCTGTCACCTCATGGTTACAGAGTATTGTGTTCTAGAAGTCACATTTATATTCAAGGCAGAAAAAAAGCAGAAAGAGATCTTGTTCTAGGTATGGCTCAACTGTAATAATCAAAGGAGAAAGTTTCTAGAGCATCTTTCTTTCCAGCAGATTACTGCTTAAATTTAACAAAGTTTAGACCAGAACTAGGTCACATGGCCATTTCTAGCTGCTATCATGGTGGGAAAAATAGAAACATTATTGTCATAATGGACCTAATTTTATCATAATCCCCTGCTTGGGGCTAGAAACATTTTGTCAGGGTTCTGTTAAACTAAAAATTAGGGGAGAATGGGCATGAAGCCAAAAACAGAGTCTGACACAAGACTATCAAGACTATCATTTGATTCTGACTGTAAATTTGAAATAAAATTTCTCTTCTAATTATATAAATTGATGTGTTATGTCCTGTTATATAAATGAGAATGATATGATTTGGCTGTGTCCCCACCCAAATTTCATCTTGAACTGTAGCTCCCATAATTCCCACGTGTTGTGGGAGGGATCCGGTGAGAGATAATTGAATCATGAGGGTGGTTTCCCCCACACTGTTCTTGGGGTAGTGAATAAGTCTCACGAGATCTGATGGTTTTGTAAGGGAAAACCCCTTTTGCTTGGCCTGCATTCTCTCTTGTCTGCTGCCATGTAAGGTATGAGTTTCGCCTTCTGCCATGACTGTGAGGCCTCCCCATCTATGTGGAATTGTGAGTCCTTTCTCTTTTTCTTTATAAATTACCCAGTCTCAGCTATGCCTTTATCAGCAGCATAAGAACAGACTAATACAGTAAATTGGTACCAGGCTATGGGGCACAAGCTGTAAAGATGTCTGAAAATGTAGAAGCAACTTTGGAACTGGGTAACATGCAGAGGTTTGAACAGTTTGGAGGGCCCTGAGAAAGGAAAAAATGATGTGGGAAAGTTTGGACTTCCTAGAGTCTTGGAGAGCTCAGAAGATAGAAAGATGTAAGAAAATTTGCAACTTCCTTGAAATTTGTTGAACGGCTTTGATCAAAATGCTGATAATGATATGGACAATGAAATCCAGGCTGCAGTGGTGTCAGGTGGAGGCGAAGAATTTGTTGGGAACTGGAGTAAAAGTGACACTTGCTATATTTTAGCAAAGAGACTGGCGATATTTTGCCCCTGCCCTAGAGATATGTGGAACTTTGAACTTGAGATAGATGATTTGGGGTATCCAGTGGAAGAAATTTCTAAGCAGCAAAGCATTCAAGAGGAAACAAAGTATAAATGTTTGGAAAATTTGCAGCCTAAAGATGCGATAGAAAGAAAAAACCCATTTACTGAGGAGAAATTCAAACTGGCCATGGAGATTTGCATAAGTAATGAGGAGCCAAATATTAACCACCAAGACAATGGGGAAAATGTCTCTAGAGCATGTCAGGAGTCTTCAAGGCAGCCCCTCTCATCACATGCTCAGAGGCCTAAGAAGAAAAAATGGTTTCTTGGTCTGGGCCCAGGGCCCCCCTGCTATGTGCAGCTTAGGGACTTGGTGCCCTGCATCCCAGATGCTCCAGCCATGGCTAAAAGGGGCCAAGGTACAGCTTGGACCATGGCTTCAGAGGGTGCAAGCCCCAAGCCTTGGCAGATTCCATGTAGTGTTGAGCTTGAGAGTGAACAGAAGTCAAAAATTGAGGTTTGGGAACCTCCATGTAGATTTCAGAGGATGTATGGAAATGCCTGGATACCTGGGCAGAAGTTTGCTGCAGGAGCGTGGCCCTTATTGAGAACCTCTTCTAGAGCAGTGCGGAAGGGAAATGTGGGGTTGGAGCCCCGACACAGAGTCCCTACTGGGGCACTGCCCAGTGGAGCTCTGAGAAGAAGGCCACCATCCTCTAAGCCCCAGAAAACGGTAGATCCACCAACATCTGGCACCGTGCACCTAGATAAACCACAGACACTCAATGCCAGCCCATGAAATCAGCCAGGAGAAGGGCTATACATTGCCAAGGCACAGGGGAGGAGCTTCCCAAAGCTGTAGGAGCCCACCTCTTGTATCAGTGCACCCTGGATGTGAGACATGGAGTCAATGGAGATCATTTAGGAGTTTTAAGATTTGACTGCGCCACTGCGTTTTGGACTTGCAGGGGGCCTTTAACCTTTTCATCTTGGTGAATTTCTCCCATTTTGAATAAGTGTGTTTATTCAATGCCAGTACCCCCAATGTATCTAGGAAGTAACTAACTTACTTTTGATTTTACAGGCTCATCGGCAGAAAGGACTTCGCTTGTCTCAAATGAGTCTTTGGGTTGTGGACTGTTGAGTTAATGCTGAAATGAGTTAAAACTTTGGTGGACGGTTGGGAAGGCATGATTGGTTTTGAAATAAGAGGGCATGAGATTCAGGAGAGGCTGGGGCAAAATGGTATGGTTTGGCTGTGTCCCCACCCAAATCTCATCTTGAATTATAGCTCCCATAATCCCTTTGTGTTGTGGGAGAGAACCAGTGGAAGATAATTGAATTATGGAGGTGGTTTCTCTCCCACAGCTCTCGTGGTAAGAGAGCTGATGGTTTTATAAGGGGAAACCCCTTTTGCTTGGCCTCTCATTCTCTCTTGTCTGCTGCCATGTAAGATGTGTGTTTCACCTTCCGCCATGATTGTGAGGCCTTCCCAGCCACGTGGAACTGTGAGTCCATTAAACCTCTTTTTCTTTATAAATGACCCATTCTCAGGTATGTCTTTATCAGCAGCATGAGAATAAACTAATACAGAGAGATATAACATAAAGTCATATATGTTTTTTTGAAACATCAAATTCAGTGCCTAAGTATCACTTACTCAATCCAAAGAGTCAGTCTTTTTTACCTGTGGATGACAACTTAGAAACCCAGCAGTTTTAAAAATCAGCCAATGAGCCATATTTGCCACCAAACATCCACTGGCATTAGCAAATGACACTACCATCTAAAACTGGCTTTCAAATAAAATAAAAACAGTGCTGTTCACTACAAGAAGTATTATAGTTTTCAATGCCTTGATTGTTACAGCAGCATATCCTGCAGTAGTAGCTGCAGTCTTTATGTGTGTTGTAGTAGAAGAACATAAGACACTCTTTAAGTGTTATCCTTAACCAGTGACATATCAAAACATAAACCATTCCAGTAACCCTATCATCAAATACAGAAGTAATTGTCTTATGCTAGTAAAGTTGTCCATGTTTTCAAGAACAGTGTTTTATAAAATGTTTTTGAAGGGCCACCTGCATTAAGAATTTAGAATTCAGTCACAGAATGCCTGTGTATGGAATTTTACATTTTTAGTGAACACACCAGGGGATTCTCATGCACTCTGAAATCAGAGAACCACTCTTCTAGAGTGTAGCAGATTAAATAGTGGCTGGATTCAAAATGTGTGTTCAGGCAGAACCTTGACAAATGACATTATTTGAAGTAAGAAGAGTCTTTACAGATGTCATTAAGGTTAGGGTCTTGAGATGAGATATCCTGAGTTAGAATGTGCCTGGAATCCCATGGTCGGTGTTTTTATAAGTGACAGAAAAGGAAAAGACAGACACAGAGAGAAGAAAGACATATGAAGATAGAGGCAGAGATTGAAGTTATCAAGTGTGTAAGCCAAGGAATGTCAAGAATTGCCAGGAGCCCTCAGAAGCTTGGATAAAATGATGAAACAGATTCTAAGAGAATATGTTTCTGTTGTTTTAAGCTGTGAAGTCTGTGGCAATTTGTTATGGCATCCTTAGGTAGCTAATACATATGGTAATGTTTGCTATCTTAAGTCATTGGCTTTTCAAACTTGAGCAATGGAATAACCTGCATAATTCATTAATTTCTTTTTCTTTCTTTCTTTCTTTTTTTTTGTTTTTTTAGACAGAGTTTTGCTCTTGTTGCCCAGGCTGGTGTGCAATGGTGTGATCTTGGCTCACCACAACCCCTGCCTCCCAGGTTCAAGTGATTCTCCTGCTGCAGCCTCCCGAGTAGCTGGGGTTACAGACATGCATGACCACGCCCAGCTAATTTTTTGTATTTTTAGTAGAGATGAGGTTTCTCCATGTTGGTCAGGCTGGTCTCAAACTCCTGACTTCAGGTGATCTGCCTGCCCCGGCCTCCCAAAGCGCTGGGATTACAGGCGTGAGCCACCAAGCCCAGCCGGGTTAATTTCTAAATTAGAAGCATCTCTGATGGACCCCTCATGGGACTACCTGAAGTCTCGAACTACATCACAGTTCAACTTCTCCCTTTTGTCAGTCTTCTATCCTAATGTCTTACTGGTACTGTTCTTGAGAGCATTCCTAAATATACCATGTGTGATTTTTGGAAGTTGGTAGCAGTCTGGTTTCTAGAAAGCAGACCCTAAAATGATACCTTACAGCTAAATCACCTACAGGCAAGCAGGAAATGAGGATCCCATCACAGGTGAAAGGTAGAGTACCACATCCCATTGGCTTGCTGTTGGACTACAATTATTAAATTTTCAACAATGCTGATGCAAAATGAGAAGGGCTACTGTGGAAAGGATTGAACTGGCAGATGTATTTTCTCAGACTTTGAAAGGTGGAGGAGGTGATTATTATGAGACTATTTCCTGGGAAATAGTGAATGGCTTTGCTGATTGATCAGGACTTGGGAGAAGAAAGATTAAACACTGTGGGACAAGGAGCTCTGGTAAAGAGGCAAGCAGATGGAGTTATGAGAGAGATATGACTTTTATATGGTGCTGTATCCCTAATTAGGTAGACTACATATGTCTGGAATCAAGTTGTTCCAATTACAATAGCCCTTAGTAGCCTCACTTCAGTGACTTACCTAAATAATTTGAGCGTCCTGACCCTAAAACTGCAGTCCCAGATCTTGTGATTCTCAGAGGTTGAATATTTGCGGAAGGCTGACTAAACTTAACCTACGGCTGCCACGTGGCCCTTTGGGGTTCGTTGTGCATACGTCAAAGCCAATAAAATGAGGTATGCTGCCAAGAATAATTGTTGTTGGTAATCAGGAATAGGTAGGGTTGGTCTGATACAATAGAGGCAGAGAAGACAGTGTTTGCCAAATTAATCCCCTGGAGCATCTAGTTGACTTGCTCTGCCTAATTTTGATGGTATGTGAGCAAGCACAACATCAAAGATCTCAGAAGGACATGAAAAATCAAAGGGCTCAAACCTCTCAGGTATGCAAATCTGGGTCACCTTGATAGGTAAGCTACCCAAATCAGCCAGGATTCTAGGCAACAATGAAACAAATTTAAAATATGTATCAGAAGGAGGCAAACAATAATTTAAAAAATAGTTGCAGCTGTGAAATTAGCTGTGGCTATATGAACTTATTTTTTCCCCATTAACCTTCCGCTTATAAGTTGTCCAGAAACAATACCAGCCAGAGTCTTGGAGAGTATGTTCCCAAATAGAGTAAACATACCATGCAAAGCACATGGATTCTAACTAGTCAGGGGGTGGTATGCAGTGGATGCTGTAGCTTTGCCCTAGATTCACATTCAATCCTGGAAGGCAGCTCACAGGTGAGACTCTCAAGGAACTCCCTCATTGAAAGGCTTCTGTCATAGTTAAAACTTCTCTTAGGGCCAGCCCCCTTCCCAAAATTGGTCCTCACAGAGGTTCAAAGACCCAATCTTCTTGTCCCAATTTGGGATATCTCTGAAGTGCCATCAGCTAAGGTCTGTGTTGCAGGTGCATTGTAGTTCAAATTCTTCCTCTGCCTCATCCTGCTTCTCTCACTCATAGGTATTCTAGATAAGGCATAACAGAAATTATCAATGTGTACCTTTTAATTAAACAATGACTTTACTTAAGACCTGAATATCTTTTAAACTTTTTCTTTCCTGAAAATTTCTTATCCTTTTAAAAAGTATTTTCATTTACTCTCAGGTATACACATACCTAGTTTGAAGAAACTGATATACTCCACCAACTGTTCAAAGCTCTTTAAATTTTCAATCCTTATTATAACTCATTTTTTTGAGAAACAAGTCAATAGAACACTTATATTAAAGATAGAATTAGTCCTGAAAAATAATTTGTTCATGATTTTAGATGCTTTATCAGATGTGACAATTTATGTACTTGCCTATGCCTTCCATTAAATGTCAGACATTTTAATTTTATTCAGTTTACATCCACCTCTCACAACACCCGCCTTCTAATAATTAGTCAATATCCATTCAAAAATTAATATATGAAAAAATATGTACATAAGAAATATGCATGCTAATGAACAAGATTATGTTTGAAGTAAAATTACCGGTGAAAAAAATACAAATATGGTAAGATTCCAGGAACCTGTTTTTATAGTCCAAATTCTTTGTTCTTGCTTTTAGAGAAAGTGTAAGTTTGTTTCCAAATCAGGCATCAGGGTGATATTAAGTATGACTGGAATCTCACTAGGCAGATGTGCAGTCACTGTAAATGCTGATAGTGTTCCTGTTTAGTACAGAACGTTTATAATTTTTCATGTAATCAATGACAACCTGTGACAGATTTCTTCCAAATAAAGGTCAAATTTCATATTAGTCTGTCATAATTGATCTTTACACAAAAGTAGAAAAGTTCCAAGAATTTCTGTAGAAATATGTTTTCGTTCTATTTATTTTTCAAATGCAGAATATTTTCTACATATAGTTTAAAAAATTTATGCTCTTATTCTTTCAACATCAAAGCAACACCTTCTCAAAATAAGTTATTTTTGTAAAAATAGTTCAGGGATGCCTTATAATTTATATGCTATTTTAATGAAGATGTCTAATGTTTTTGGAGAATTAGCATAACATGAATTAAGTCAGTCAACCCTGGAACTAAAGATGATAGTTATCTTCAGCACTGTAGTAAATGATTATAGATCATCTGGGGCAATTGTTTTCAACAAGAGGTAATTTTTCCCTCAAGGGAAATTTTGACAATGTCTAGAGACATAGTTTGCTTGTTATGACTAGGAGGATGCTATTAACATTTAGTGAGTGGAGGCCAGGGATCCTGCTAAACATCTCATAATGCACAGGAGAGGCCCCCAAAATAAAGAATTATTGAGCCTGAAATGGTAGCAGCATACTGACTGAGAAGCCCTAATCTAAAATAATCTCAGTATTTTAGGCAACATTCGGATACACTTTCTGGAGAAACATTTTAGTTTTCAAATGCTTCAAAGATGGATTCTACAACTTCAGAAATCAGAATGTTATTATATTGCCTTCTTAATAACAAAGAATTTGGGCAGTACATAAATTCTCCATAATTGTTTTAGAAAAGAGTTTAATTGAAATGAGTTTATGATTTCAGAGTTATTTAAATACGTTATTTATTTTGAGAAGAAAAATAAATGTAAGCATAAATATAAACGTAAATGATCTAGCTGGTAATTTGGGAAACTATTTTTGTTTTGTCTTCTGATAATTTATGCAGATTTAAAAAGACATCACCTGCCCAGATGTTTTCAACGTGTAAAAAAAGAGAAAACTGGCATTTCTAGGGCATGTTTAATCTTATCATTGACTGTTTTCTTTAAAATTAATATTGTAACTAAATTCTACTGTTCCTATGTTAGGCTCACTTACTTTATACTTCTATTCATTTCTTGTCTGGCCTATATTCAGATTTTTCAAATAATTTATAGAATTGTTATTTTATTTTACTAATTTGCTATGTATACATTATTATTTTTAAAGTTATTTTAGATATTAAAACATTTAATTTTTACTCATTGTCACTTAATATACATTATTATTTTTATTAATTTTGATAAAAAGAGAACAATATACTCCATTTTCTCCTTCTCTTATTTTGAGTCATTGTTCCAAATAGTTTTAAAGCCACAAAAGTACTATTATTTTTTACCTTTACTTACTTTCTCACTATTCATTTATATATTCTCTTTTTATTTTCTTTCTCATTCTTCCTGCAGTTCTGTTTGTTTCCATTTGGGGTCATTTTTCTTCAGTCTTAACTTCCTTTTGATTCATTTAATTTCAGGTTATCTTGTAGCAAATGCTGTTAGATTTTTGTCTGAAACACTTTATTATTGTAGCTTCAATTTTAAGAATATTTCCTTGGGCATAGAATTCTAGATAGGTATTTATTTCCTTTTATTATTTAAAGAATACCATTCCATTGTCATTAGGGCCATAATTTGTATAGAACAAATTTCTGGTGACTTAAAATTACTCCTCTGAAATTAATGTACAACGTTTTCTGGCTACTTTTAAGATTTTCTGTCTCTTTTTTCTAATTTCATTTTAGGAGGGATCAGATGATTTTTTTTTTTTTTTTTTAGTTGGAGTTTCATTCTTGTCACCCAGGTTCAAGTGCAATGGCTCGATCTTGGCTCACTGCAACTTACGCCTCAAGGGTTCAATTGATTTGCCTGCCTCAGCCTCCCGAGTAGCTGGGATTATAGGTGCCCTCCACCATGCCCAGCTAATTTTTGTATTTTTAGTAGAAACGGGGTAGCACCATGTTGGCCAGGCTGGTCTCGAACTCCTGACCTCAGGCAATCCACCCACCTCAGCCTCCCAAAGTATTGGGACTACAGGCGTGAGCCACCACACCCCACCCAGGTGATACTTTTACAGATTTGTTACACGGGTAAATTGTGTGTCACTGAGCCTTGATGTGTGAAGGATCCCATCACCAAGGTAGTGAGCATAGTATCTGATAGGTAGCTTTCCAACCCACACCATCCTCATATCCTCCTCCTTCAAGCAGTCCCCAGTGTCTTGTATCCATCTTTGTGGTGTCCATGTATATTTAATGGCTTCTCCATTAGTTCACTTAGGATAATAGCCTCCAGCTGCATCCATGTTGCTGCAGAGAACATGATTTTATTCATTTTTCTGGCTGCATACTATTCCATTGTGAATATGTACCACATTATTTTCAGTCCACAGTTGATGGCTATATTCGTTGATATCCCTTTGGTATTTTGATTAGTGCTGTGATGAAGATATGATTACATGTGTCTGTTTGGTAGAACAATTTATTTTCCTTTGGGTATATACACAATATTGGGATTGCTGCGTTGAATTGTAGTTCTGTTTTAAGTTCTTTGAGAAATCTTCAAACTCCTTTTCACAGCAGCTAAACTAATTTACATTCCTACCAGCAGCATATAAAGTATTCCTTCTTCTCTGTAACCTTGCCAATATCTGTTGTTTTCTGACTGTTTAATAATAGCCATTCTCTGGCCATATGCAGAAATCAGAAACTGGACCCCTTCCTTGCACTTTGTACAAAAATTAACTCAAGATGGATTAAACACTTAAATGTAAGACCTAAAACAATAAAAACCCTAGAAGAAAATGTAGGCAATACCATTAAGGACATAGGCATGGGCAAAGACTTCATGACTAAAACACTAAAAACAATGGCAGCAAAAGCCAAAATAGACAAATGGGATCTAATTAAACTAAAGAGCTTCTGCACAGCAAAAGAGACTATCATCAGAGTGAACAGGCAACCAACAGAATGGGAGAAAATTTTTGCAAGCTACCCATCTGACAAAGGTCTAATAGCCAGAATCTATAAGGAACTTAAACAAATTTACAAGAAAAAAAAAAAAAAAGTGGACAAAGGATATGAATAGACACCACTCAAAAGAAGACATTTATGCAGCCAACAAACACAAATAAAATCTCATCATCACTGGTCATTAGAGAAATGCAAAAATCAAAACCATAATTAGATAACACCTCACTCCAGTTAGAATGGCAATTATTTGACCTGCCCTAAAAGAGCTCCTGAAGGAAGTACTAAACATGGAAAGGAACAACCGGTAACAGCCACTGCAAAAACATGCCAAATTGTAAAGACCATCAAGGCTAGGAAGAAACTGCCTCAACTAACGAGCAAAATAACCAGCTAACATCATAATGACAGATCAAATTCACACATAACAATACTAACCTTAAATGTAAATGGGCTAAATGCTCCAATTAAAAGACACAGACTGGAGAATTGGATTAAGAGTCAAGACCCATCAGTGTGCTGTATTCAGGAAACCCATTTCACGTGCAGAGACACAAATAGGCTCAAAATAAAGGGATGGAGGAAGATCTACCAAGCAAATGGAAAACAAAAAAAGGCAGGGGTTGCAATCCTAGTCTCTGATAAAACAGACTTTAAACCAACAAAGATCAAAAGAGACAAAGAAGGCCATTACATAATGGTAAAGAGATCAATTCAACAAGAAGAGCTAACTATCCTAAATATATATGCACCCAATACAGGAGCGCCCAGATTCATAAAGCAAGTCCTTAGTGACCTACAAAGAGACTTAGACTCCCACACAATAATAATGGGAGACTTTAACACCCCACTGTCAACATTAGACAGATCAACGAGTCAGAAAGTTAACAAGGATATCCAGGAATTGAACTCAGCTCTGCACCAAGCGGACCTAAGAGACATCTACAGAACTCTCCACCCCAAATCAACAGAATATACGTTCTTTTCAGCACCACACCACATCTATTCCAAAATTGACCACATACTTGGAAGTAAAGCATTCCTCAGCAAATGTAAAAGAATAGAAATTATAACAAACTGTCTCTCGGACCACAGTGCGATCAAACTAGAACTCAGGATTAAGAATCTCACTCAAAACTGCTCAACTACATGGAAACTGAACAACCTGCTCCTGAACGACTACTGGGTACATAACAAAATGAAGGCAGAAATAAAGATGCTCTTTGAAACCAACGAGAACAAAGACACAACATACCAGAATCTCTGGGACACATTCAAAGCAGTGTGTAGAGGGAAATTTATAGCACTAAATGCCCACAAGAGAAAGCAGGAAAGATCTAAAATTGACACCCTAACATCACAATTAAAAGAACTAGAGAAGCAAGAGCAAACACATTCAAAAGCTAGCAGAAGGCAAGAAATAACTAAGATCAGAGCAGAACTGAAGGAAATAGAGACACAAAAACCCTTCAAAAAATCAATGAATCCAGGAGCTGGTTTTTTGAAAAGATCAACAAAATTGATAGACCACTAGCAAGAATAATAAATAAGAAAAGAGAGAAGAATCAAATAGTCACAATAAGAAATGACAAAGGGGATATCACCACCGATCCCACAGATATACAAACTACCATCAGAGAATACTACAAACACCTCTACGCAAATAAACTAGAAAATCTAGAAGAAATGCATAAATTCCTCCACACATACACTCTCCCAAGACTAAACCAGGAAGAAACTGAATCTCTGAATAGACCAATAACAGGCTCTGAAATTGAGGCAATAATTAATAGCTTACCAACCAAAAAAAGTCCAGGATCAGATGGATTCACAGCTGAATTCCACCAGAGGCACAACGAGGAGCTGTTACCATTCCTTCTGAAACTATTCCAATCAATAGAAAAAGAGGGAATCCTCCTTAACTCATTTTATGAGGCCAGCATCATCCTGATACCAAAGCCTGGCAGAGACATAACAAAAAAAGAGAATTTTAGATCAATATCCTTGATGAACATTGATGCAAAAATCTTCAATAAAATACTGGCAAACTGAATCCAGCAACACATCAAAAAGCTTATCCGCCATGATCAAGTGGGCTTCATCCCTGGGAGGCAACGCTGGTTCAACATATGCAAATCAATAAACGTAATCCAGCATATAAACACAACCAATGACAAAAACCACATGATTATCTCAATCGATGCAGAAAAGGCCTTTGACAAAATTCAGCAACTCTTCATGCTAAAAACTCTCAATAAATTAGGTATTGATGGGATGTATCTCAAAATAATAAGAGCTATCTATGACAGACCCACAGCCAATATCATACTGAATGAACAAAAACTGGAGGCATTCCCTTTGAAAACTGGCACAAGACAGGGATGCCATCTCTCACCACTCCTATTCAACATAGTGTTGGAAGTTCTGGCCAGGGCAATCAGGCAGGAGAAGGAAATAAAGGGTATTCAATTAGGAAAAGAGGAAGTCAAATTGTCCCTGTTTGCAGATGACATGATTGTATATCTAGAAAACCCCATCGTCTCAGCCCCAAATCTCCTTAAGCTGATAAGCAACTTCAGCAAAGTCTCAGGATTCAAAATCAATGTGCAAAAATAACAAGCATTCTTATACACCAATAACAGACAGAGAGCCAAATCATGAGTGAACCCATTCACAATTGCTTCAAAGAGAATAAAATACCTAGGAATCCAATTTACAAGGGATGTGAAGGACCTCTTCAAGGAGAACTACAAACCACTGCTCAATGAAGTAAAAGAGGATACAAACAAATGGAAGAACATTCCATGCTCATGGGCAGGAAGAATCAATATCATGAAAATGGCCATACTGCCCAAGGTAATTTATGGATTCAATGCCATCCCCATCAAGCTACCAATGGCTTTCTTCACAGAATTGGAAAAAACTACTTTAAAGTTCATATGGAACCAAAAAAGAGCCTGCATTGCCAAGTCAATCCTAAGCCAAAAGAACAAAGCTGGAGGCATCACGCTACCTGACTGCAAACTATACTACAAGGCTATAGTAACCAAAACAGCATGGTACTGGTACCAAAACAGAGATATAGACCAATGGAACAGGAAAGAGCCCTCAGAAATAATGCCACATATCTACAACTATCTGATCTTTGAAAAACCTAACAAAAGCAAGCAATGGGGAAAGGATTCCCTATTTAATAAATGGTCCTGGGAAAACTGGCTAGCCATATGTAGAAAGCTGAAACTGGATCATTTCCTTACACCTTATACAAAAATTAATTCAAGATGGATTAAAGACTTAAATGTTAGACCTAAAACCATAAAAACCCTAGAAGAAAACCTAGGCAATACCATTCAGGACATAGGCATGGGCAAGGACTTCATGTCTAAAACACCAAAAGCAATGGCAACAAAAGTCAAAATTGACAAATGGGATCTAATTAAACTAAAGAGCTTCTGCACAGCAAAAGAAACTACCATCAGAGTGAACAGGCAACCTACAGAATGGGAGAAAATTTTTGCAACCTACTCATCTGACAAAGGGCTAATAATCCAGAATCTACAATGAACTCAAACAAATTTACAAGAAAAAATCAAACAACCCCATCAAAAAGTTGGCAAAGGATATGAACAGACACTTCTCAAAAGAAGACATTTATGCAGCCAAAAAACACATGAAAAAATGCTCATCATCACTGGCCATCAGAGAAATGCAAATCAAAACCACAATGAGATATCATCTCACACCAGTTAGAATGGCGATCATTAAAAAGTCAGGAAACAACAGGTGCTGGAGAGGATGTGGAGAAATAGGAACACTTTTACACTGTAGGTGGGACTGTAAACTAGTTCAACCATTGTGGAAGTCAGTGTGGCAATTCCTCAGGGATCTAGAACTAGAAATACCATTTGACCCAGCCATCCCATTACTGGGTATATACCCAAAGGATTATAAATCATACTGCTATAAAGACACATGCACACGTATGTTTATTGCGGCACTATTCACAATAGCAAAGACTTGGAACCAACCCAAATGTCCAACAATGATAGACTGGATTAAGAAAATGTGGCACATATACACCATGGAATACTATGCAGCCATAAAAAAGGATGAGTTCATGTCCTTTGTAGGGACATGGATGAAGATGGAAACCATCATTCTCAGCAAACTATTGCAAGGTCAAAAAACCAAACACCACATGTTCTCACTCATAGGTGGGAACTGAGCAATGAGAACGCATGGACACAGGAAGGGGAACGTCACACACTGGGGCCAGTTGTGGGGTTGGGGGAGGGGTGAGAGATCGCATTAGGAGATATACCTAATGCTAAATGACGAGTTAATGGGTGCAGCACACCAACATGGCACATGTATACATATGTAACAAACCTGCACGTTGTGCACATGTACCCTAAAACTTAAAGTATAATAATAATAACATTTTTTTAAAAAAAAGAAAAGAAAGTATTGACTGCCAATGGCTCACAACTGTCCCTTTTCTAGGGAATCTATATTTTTTGGAAGAGAACAGCAGTTTTAATGTTTCTATCTTGGACTGTGAGCTGGAAACCATGTATTAAGGGTAGTATACAATAAAGTAGAAGGAAGCTCTTAAAAAAAAAGTCAGGAAACAACAAATGCTGGCAAGGCTGTGGAGAAATAGGAATGCTCTTACACTGTTGGTGGGAATGTAAATTAGTTCAAACATTGTGGATGACAGTGTGGCAATTCCTCAAGGATCTAGAACCAGAAATACCATTTGACCCAGCAATCCTATTAATGGGTATATACACAAAGGATTACAAATCATTCTACTATAAAGACACATGCACATGGTATGTGTATTGCAACACTATTTACAATAGCAAAGACTTGGAGCCAACCCAAATGCCCATCAATGATAGACTGGATAAAGAAAATGTGGCACATACACAACATGGAATACTAAGCAGATGTAAAAAAGAATGAATTCATGTACTCTGCAGGGACATGGAAATGCTGGAAGCCATCATCCTCAGCAAACTAACACAGGAACAGAAAACCATACACCACATATTCTCACTTATAAGTGGGAGTTGAACAATGGGAACACATGGATACAGGGAGGCAAACATCACACACTGGGGCCTGTTTGGGGGGTGGGAGGAAAGAGGAGGGAGAGCATTAAGACAAGTACCTAATGGACATGGGGCTTAAAACCTAGATGACAGGTTGATAGGTTCAGCAAACAACCATGGTACATGTATACCTATGTAACAAACCTGCACATTCTGCACATGTATCCCAGAACTTAAAGTAAGAAATAATAATAGCCATTCTGATTAGTGTGAGATGATATATCATTGTTTTGATTTGCATTTATCTAATGATTAGTGATTAGTGGTGTTGAGCAGTCTTTTTTGTTTGTTTGTTTTTTGTTTTGAGACAGGGTCTCTCTCTTTCATCCAGGCTGGAGTGCTTTAGTGTGATCATGGCTCACCACAGCCTCCATCTCCTGGGCTAAAGCAATCCTCCCACCTTAGCCTCCTAAGTAGCTGACACTAGAGGAGTGCACCACCATACCTGGCTAATTTTAAAATTTTATTTACAGAAATGGGGTTTCCTTATGTTGCCATGCTGATCTCAAACTCCTGAGGTCAAAGGATCCTCCTGCCTCAGCTTCCCAAATTGCTGGGATTATAGGTAGAAGCCACCATGCCTGCCATATGTTTTCTTTTGAGAAGTGTCTGTTCACGTTCAAGATTCTGGATATTAGCCCATTATGTAGATTGTGTGTTTACTCTGTTGACTTTTTTTTCCTGGGCAGAAGCTCTTTAATTTAATTAGGTCCCACCTGTCAATTTTTGTTTTTGTTGCAAATGATTTTGAGGACTTAGTCATAAATTATTTTCCAAAACCAATGTCCAATACATCCTTGATTCTTAGTAGTCTTACTATTGTATTTCTAGGTGTTGCTTTGCTTGAGGGTTGCAAAACTTTTTGGATATGTAACCTGAGGTCTTGAATCAACGTTTTGAATCTTTTCGCCTTTCTTTTTTTTTTTTTTTAACTCTATTTTATCCCTGTATTCCGTTGCCCTCCTAGCACCTCTACTGAAATTATGTTAGACCTTTTCACAATGTCCCATCTATCTTTAAGTTGTTTATATGTTTGTCATTTTTTTCCATGTATTTAAGTGTGGATATACTCTTTAAATACATTCTATTTGTTTATTTTCCAGTTTACTAATCGTGTATTCTGCTGTTGCTAATGTTTCATTAAATCCATATAATAATTCTTAATGTCAAATACTATATTTTTAAATTTTAGAATGTCACCTTTTTACAGACCTTAACAATCTCATAAAATTCTCCATCTTTTAATTAATTATACCATTTTGTTCTTTATTTGTTTATACAAATATTTTGGCCTTATTCTTTTATGTCACATGTAATAATGGTTTTATTGAATACAACATTATGTATTAAAATACAGATGCTCTAGTTAATGACATCTTTTTCCAGAGTGTAGGAAAATGTGATGGTAGCTAATTACCTTAAATCAATAAAATTCTATGTTCAATAGGGGCTAGAATATTTCTCTGGTAAGACTTAGTCTACTTTTTGTTTACTCATGCCAGTCCTTTCTTTTTTTATTTTTTTTTTATTTTATATATATATATTTTTATTATACTTTAAGTTCTAGGTTACATGTGCACAAGGTGTAGGTTTGTTACATATGTATACATGTGCCATGTTGGTGTGCTGCACCCATGAACTCATCATTTACATTAGGTATATCTCCTAATGCTATCCTTCCCCCCTCCCCCCACCCCATAACAGGCCCCAGTATGTGATGTTCCCCTTCCTGTGTCCAAGTGTTCTCATTGTTCAGTTCCCACCTATGAGTGAGAACATGCGGTGTTTGGTTTTTTTATCCTTGCGATAGTTTGCTGAGAATGATGGTTTCCAGCTTCATCCATGTCCCTACAAAGGACATGAACTCATCATTGTTTATGGCTGCATAGTATTCCACGGTGTATATGTGCCACATCTTCTTAATCCAGTCTATCCTTGTTGGACATTTGGGTTGATTCCAAGTCTTTGCTATTGTGAATAGTGCCACAATAAACATACGTGTGCATGTGTCTTTATAGCAGCATGATTTATAATCCTTTGGGTATATACCCAGTAACAGGATTGGCTGGGTCAAATGGTATTTCTAGTTCTAGATCCCTGAGGAATCGCCACACTGTCTTCCATAATAGTTGAACTAGTTTACAGTCCCACCTACAGTGTAAAAGTGTTCCTATTTCTCCACATGCTCTCCAGCACCTGCTGTTCCCTGAGTTTTTAATGATCGCCATTCTAACTGGTGTGAGATGATATCTCATTGTGGTTTTGATTTGCATTTCTCTGATGGCCAGTGATGATGATCATTTTTTCAATAAAATACTGGCAAACCGAATCCAGCAGCACATCAAAAAGCTTATCCACCATGATCAAGTGGGCTTCATCCCTGGGATGCAAGGCTGGTTCAACATATGCAAATCAATAAATGTAATCCAGCATATAAACAGAATCAAAGACAAAAACCACATGATTATCTCAATCGATGCAGAAAAGGCCTTGACAAAATTCAACAGCCCTTCATGCTAAAAACTCTCAATAAATTAGGTATTGATGGGACGTATCTCAAAACAATAAGAGCTATTTTTTTTTAATAGAGAGCCTGATAATTTCACTGCAATTCTTTGTTCCAGGGAAAGGTAAGAAGGAGCCAACTATCTACTCGTTGCCTCCCAGGGATTTAGAAAATTATGCTCTACTTTTAGAAGAGCTTACTCAGGTGTATAGATTTTTATTTTCCCCATAATAAAAGTAAAATTGGGATAGTTGATTACATCAGCTAAATCAGAAACTTGTATTTATAAAAGTTTGGGTGACAGTTCTTGAAAGACTCTCATTCACGTGTAAAAATAGGCCAGTTCCTATTGAGTTAAATTTGGCAATATAACACAAAATTACTTAGGCAATATGATTTGACCCAGAAATGCAACTTTTAAAAACTTACCCTGAAGATATATTTCAAACACAAAGTAATATATATGCAGATGACTATTCTTTGCTTGTAGATGAAAGTGTTTTAAAGTAAAAAATAATAGAAACTACCTAAATTTCCAATATAAGATTTTTTTATTTTATGATACATACACCAAATGTAGTACTATTAAGGTGTAAGAGAATGAAGAAAGTCTATGGACCAATATGGAATAACTTCAGGTGATATTATTCAATGAAAAGATATAAGGACAAAAATGCATATAAAGAATGCTACTTTTTATGTAGGTAAGAAAAAACAGGAAAATGGAAAGTTGCATGCAAGTAGATAATGGGATGGGAAGGATATGTCAGAGACTCTATATATTTGTATAACTATATTTTTCGTAATTATATATTTTCCTGTAGTTTTTGGCTTTTGGAAGTTGTTAATGTATACATATTCCAATATATCAACAATAATGGGAAGATAAAGTAAAACTGAAAACAGTTATCAAACTGAAAGAAATAAATGAATTTCAAATGACTAACATGGCCACTTTGAAAAAACAAAAACAAAAGAAGCAAGGCAATCCAAGAACACAGAATTTTACTGTATGCCCTCATTTCTGAGTAGGATAAATTTGGTGGGGGAGTAATGAAAACGTTTCCTGAATTCTTTTCAGTGAACTTATATTTGGTAGTGATATGGTTGAATCCACTTAAAAATAAATTTATTTGTATTGTAGATTGAGAAAATGAGTAAATGTAATGAGATTTGGGGAGCCACAGTCCTCACTACAGAATATATGATACACAATATAGAAGGGGAAACATAAGAATAAGTCTCTGAGAAGACGTGTTGGAATTGAGTTTAATATCAGTTTGATACTATGTATATGTATTTTTGCGCATATATATGCATATGTATAAACAAACAAACTTTCTATTTCTGTCCACAAAGTGAACTTAGGAAGAAAGACAATCCAGTACCAATGGGCATAACTGGAACTCCAATCTTAGTTTCTCATAATAGAATTTGTCACTTTCCCCTAAAAAGAACCAGAGCTATTTCTTGAAATGGCTGATTCTAGGCTGGGACAGAATAGACAAAAGATCATCCTGGGATATCTTGTTATAGCAGAAAGTGAGGAAGTACTCTAAAGGCTGATGGAGACTGTCGCAGTGCATGGGATGTAGCCTGAAGGAGCTCTAAATAGCCAAAAATAAGACGATTTGAATACCAAAATAATGAAAGACATTAAGAGAGCACAGACCAATGAAAAACTAGAAACCCATGAGTCCATATTGGATATTAAACAAACAAAAAATGAGGAGAAGGGAGAACTCTTGCTTACAGTAGATTTGTGAAGGCCAATTTACAGAAGGAGTTCTGGACATGGAGAATCAACATTGCTGTAAAAACTGGTTCAGGTAAAAAGCAAAGGCTTATAAATAAAGAAAGGAATTTGATGAGAAGTAGGCTTAGGGAGATCTCTCTACATATTTCTTATTTGCCAGAGAAAAAAATTGCAGCTATACAGACAACACCTTGACTGAGTGATTAAAATTAATATTATTAGTAAAAGGCAGATGAACATAGTGTCTCTCCAGATGTGATAACCTGAGGAGGACTTAAGAGATCATATCTGTAATATCCTTGCCAGGAATTCACAACCTGTCGGCAAGCAAGAGAAAATACAAGACAAAATAAAAATGCAGAAGGTTCTATGAAAAAAAAAAATAAGGTGGTGTGGAAATTGTACTTTTTTTAAAAAAAAGTGGCCATGATAAAAAAGACATGATAAAACTGTGGAAATATTTCAAATTGAAGGAGACTAAAAGTTACAATAACTAAGTTTAATACTTGATCTTGGATTGGACCAAGTAAACTGATGTAGAAAAAAACACTATAAGCAAGGTATTGTATAAATTGGAATATGGACAATAAATTACACAGAAATATAATATTAATATTAAAATTGCTGAAGTTAATAAATGTATATGATTATGCTAGTGATCATTCTTATTCTTAGGTATACACTTTGAAATATTTGAGGAATAAAATGCTATGATATATGCAGCTTAATCTCAAATGGTCCAGAAAAGTATTGCAGATAGATATTGAAAAAACAGATACAAATATTCATAAACATTGTGTAAAGTGTTTTGATGGTTAATATTATATGTCAGCCTGCTTAGTGTATGGTGACTGTGTGGTGAAAGACTAGCAGCACAGATGTTGCTCTGAAAGTCTTTTGTTACTGTGATTAACATTTCAATCAGTAGAAATTAAACTAAAGCAGATTATCCTCCATAAAGTGGGTGAGCTTTAATAAATTAATTAAAAGCCTTAAGGGCAAAGATCAAGACTTCTTGAAGTTAAAAAAAATCTGAGTCAAGATTGAAACATAAGAACTCTGCCTCAGTTTCCAGCCTGCTGGCCTTCCTTGTGGATTTCAGAGTTGCTAACCTCTACAATTGTGTGAGCCAGTTCCTTAGAATAAGTACCACTTTCTCTCTCTCTCTCTTTCTCTCACTCTTACTCTGTCTCTCACTTGTAGCTCATCTCTGTTTGCATATATATACATGCACATTCATTCTGGTTCTCTAAAAATCCCTAATATAATAGTATGTATATTTACTATATACTATTATTATCCTTGAAACTTTTCTGTATGTTTGAAGATATTTCCATACAAATATTTTTAAATAATATAACTGTTGCATTTTAAACAATCACATTTACATATTAGCTTGTTCAAATCTATTTATATGTCTATATGTGTATGTATGCATACATGTTTGCATGTATATATATTCACATATTATATACATGCACGCACTATATATATATTTTGTCATGCTGAAATAAATATTTTCTCTGTGTTTTAAATTTAATTTTTATTTTTTAACTTTTATTTTAATTTCAGGGGTATATGTGCAGGTTTGTTATATAGGTAAACTTATGTCATGAGTTTGTTGTACAGATTATTCATCATCCAGGTACGAAGGCTAATATTTATTAGTTGTTTTTCCTGGTCCTCTTTCTCCTCCCACCCTCCACCCTCTGATAGGCCTCAGTGTGTATTGTTCCCCTGTATGTGTCCGTGTGTTCTCATAATTTAGTTTCCACTTATAAGTGAGAACATGAGGTATTTGGTTTTCTGTTCCTGCATTAGTTTGCTGTGTTCTTAGCATTTTGATAGTCGCATGGAAGAAAATGCAAATGAGTTCTGAAATGCAAAAAAAAGTATTTGTAGGCAAACTAGATCAGGAAAGTGATCAAAGAGAATGTTTCTTTAAATATTCAAAAATCTATAAATAAACTTAAAATTATTGAAAGCCTTTAATTAACAGATTCCTATAGTACATCAGTGAGAAACGAGTTTTCAGTAAGATCATTTTATCTATCTTTTTATCTATCTGTCTATATTTTTCAATCTATCTTTACTACTTTCCATATGTAGTAAAGGGTACTCTATAAACAAACAAGCCAGTGTGAACTCTAACATAGAAATTTATACTTTTAGACAGAAAGGTTTTTCATTTAAAATTTAAAGGTAAATTCTACAGCTTACCAATTAAATACCTGTAGCATATTTTAACACTCTTGGACTCCTATACACAACTATTTTTAACAACTTTGCCTGCTTAACATAATGGTTCTATTTTTTCTTCTCTAGGAATCTAGTTTGTTCCCAAGTTACCATATCTCAGAGGCATATAATGCTGTCCAATTCTCTTGAAAACAAAAATGTAAGTAGTTATAGCTCTTGGCAATTTATTGTACCAGTAATTACTCATCTTCTTATCTTTCCAGCTTGTATTTTTTTTTAAACAACACACACTTAGTCAAAGACTCCATCAATTCATCCACTATCAGATCCGAAACACCATTCTTGTGTGTGAAGTTGTATTCATTCATTTTCCACCCTATTATCTAAATAAATAAAGGCTTCATAAATAAGGTTCATAATGCCTTATTAGGTATTTGGTTTGTTTTCAACTACTGGTAAAGCTATACATGAAAACAACAATAATAGCAGGCCAAATAATACAAATGCCATAACTGATGTCCAAGGGAAGTGGAAACACAGAAAAGAAAAAACAATTCAAGCTGAGTGATGAAGAAACGCTAAACGAATGAGTTGGCTTAAATTAAACAAGTGAAATATAACTAACGTATCTGGATGGAAAGATAAATTTCTTAGTTTATAAATGTATTTTGTCTGATTGCTTTATTTACACTATCTCCTAATTAACTCCCCGTGTTAACTTGGGGCAACCCCTGTTCAATTAGTGAACTGTTTTATAAATTAATAGTTTTAATGTGGCCATTTGAATTTTATATATATAATATATATATGGATGTTATATATTGATATACACATATATTCATATTTAAATAATTTCAAACCATATAATTATATATATAACACATATATTTTTAAAAAACAAGACTGTGTTTGTTACCAGATTCCTTGGTACATCACACAATATTCAATAGCATGTAATTCAGGATTTTAGTAAATGACAGTACTGTCTGTGATCAATATTTGCCAGTATTAATTGGAGCAATGTATAGAATTCATGAAGATGAATAATTGATATCTGATATTTTCTTGAGGAAAAGTTCCTAGGAAACTTTTACAAAAGAAGAATATATCAATGTTCTTAAAGTTGAATATGACTCATGGTACAGACATGTGAAGGATGAGACATGACAACACAGACATATCCAGCATGCATCATTTTCTGTGCATTATCTAATGTTTGCCTCAGAGAAGAGATCCATGATAATTAATTCTTATTTTTATTCTATATTAAGATTGCAAAATAAATAAATGTATTTTTAAACCTGGATTTAGAACACCTTGTTCAAATGCTTTGATCAATGGATAAACCAAAAACCTGAGAAATAAAGGCATGTGACTAAAGACCTTTAATGGTAGAGCAAGCCCCTGGTCCTGTGATTTTTGGTTGGCATGCTTTTTATCTCCATTGCATTCCTAGAAATACCTTTAACTCAAGAACAATTTAATAAAAAGGGGATTCTTCCATATCAGTAATGAAACAAAAGTTTTCTAAGGTAGACTTTTCCCGGTGTTTTCATCTACATAAGGTGGCATGCTTGTTTTCTGATTACTCCCATGATCCCAATGCCTTGTCCATCCCTGGGGACAAATCAAAGAAGAAAAATAGAAGGTCATCTTTGGGTCACTGCTATTCAGTTTGCTGTGCCAAGCTGAAAACCAAGGCCATTAAATATGAAAATCCACTCATTGTCTCAGGCTTGATTGTATCCTGTCTTTCAGATCAGACTCACCATAGTCATAGCAACCCTAATAGGCGGATGTGCATTGGACCACATCATTTGCAGGGTGTCTTTAACTGAGAAAAGTTTTGTTGAAAATATGTGTGATTAATGCCTTCAACTATTATCTCTCATTGAACAGACATGAAAGGGGGCTACTTTGTGAGCCCAGATAAGCCTATTGCATGGCCATTAATGGCATATTCAGCCCTTGCTGAATTAATCTATTATTGCCTCTTGTCTTTGGTAACCATAACATGTTGTTGGAAGGCTGTGCAAAATTTGAGTAACTGAACCACAGCTCCAGTAATCCTTTAGACCTGGGTGTAAGAGAAGAGTGAAAAGCTGTTTAGTGACTAATTGAGTGTGCTGTGCTGTTTCATTAGTATTAAGCAGTGGTTCTTTATTTTAATCTGTTTATATCAGAGTGATATATCACCTTAACATCATCAGTTACTCAGCAAGCTTCACACAGTTCCTCTATCCATAAATATAACTAAAATAAAAGATCAATAGAAAGGCTTAAATCTTGTGTATGTGTGTGTGTTTGCGTGTGTGTGTTTGTGTGTGTGTGTGTGACAGAGAGAGAGAGAGAGAGAGAGAGAGAGAGAGAACCAGAGAAACAGAGAGAGACATAGCACTCAAAGCACAAACAACCAAAACTTTATCAGAAATATGAAGCTGACATTAGGTCAACGTTTATATAAATCATGTAGAATATGGCTCATGGGCAATACAGATACTGAAGAGCAAATCTTGATCTATTGTCCTGCATCAATTCAGGTAGAGTGAACACATTGGCAAGATTGAACATGGAAAAATTTGGGTTATGATTAGGTGGGCAGAGAGATTTTTACCTTTTCAAGACTGAAAAGGTAACTGTGTCTAAAACATATTATTTTGTATAAGTAAGAGCAAATTCTACTTTGCAAATCAATCAGTTATTTGAAGAAGGTATTACATAACAAATGGCATTTATGATAATTTGACCTGTGTTGAGCAATAGGAAATGTAGAAAATTTAATTGTAGCAAGTTAAAATTGCAAAGGAAATAAAATGATTTTAAATAAATTTTAACGCAATATTTTTATGTCAAATATGATCTTTTATAATTTATTAACCTGTAATTGGCTACCCATTTATAAAATAATATAATGAAATCTGCACATCACATATTATACCTATGTGAAAATACATTCACAATGGCAAAAGGACATTTTATATATATATATATTAAAAAATACATATTTATGTTATACATATGTATGTATATAACTAAACTATTAAGATATGAGATGAGAATAAATACAGTTTTAAAAATAACCTTGTAATGAAAGATGTAGCATGAGTTTCACAATTCTGAAGTAAAGTATTTCTAGATTTAACTGTAAATTTTTAAGTTTCTATAGAGTAAAAATGTTATATAAACAAAGTTAACAAGAAATGAAAGGCTGAATGAAATTCTTATTATAGAGAATTTCATGACAATACAAATAATCCTCTAACATTAAACAAAAAGAGCACTTAATTGAAATAACACAAGTGTAAATAGTTATCCATAAAAATCAAGTATCTATGTAACTTTGCCACAAGGCACAAACGTCTTGTGTAGTGCTTGATCAGAAAATAAGCAAAGAAATGGAAAATGAAATAAGACTATTTCAACCCTAAAATACTGGCTTTTTTTCAATTTTATTATATTCGTTATCAAATATGGTATGAGATTAAGAGCACTTTTATATACTCCTTGTGCCAATTAAATTGACACAGGCATTGTAGGAGCATATTTGAGCATCTGTGACAGACTTAAGATGAGTATTTCCACTAATGTATAAATTTGGCATAAGAAACCTGTTTCATAGAAACACAACTATATACATATATATATTTACATATCCTTTTAAAATTACATACAAATATGTTCATAGAAATATTGTTCATAATTATGACCAGTTGGAAAGATCTAAAGCTCTACCAATAAAGAACAAATTACATCATAGAAGACTATATCCTTTAGAAAACTAGGCAGCCATGTAAAAAAAAGATGCATTAAAAAACACTCTCTAAGCCATATTATGAAGTAAAAAAAAAGAAAAGAAATATAAGAATTCATAGACAAATATGTATATTGCAATTCAATTTCTGTAAAAATATCAGAAAAATAGAATCTTTGTGTATGTGCATACATATACATAGAACTGAAAAATTGTCAACCAAATTAAGAATAGATTCACGTGTGTATATATTTTAAAATTCATTATATCCCGGGTGCATTCAATACTACTTAAGAAGAAGAATAAAATGTAAATGATATATACACATACAAAAAATCTTAAAATGACTCAAACATTGTCAAAACCTTGCATCTAGTTAGATATAATTACTATCATCATCTGAGAAAATACTGTTTTTAGCACTATATAAAGACTGTTGATATATCTCATTTAATTCCTGTAGGACCTCGATTTTTCTCACATGCATAGATATTACATAACCTGTTCAAGTCATACAATTAATAAATGACAGATCTCAAATTCGATTCCATGTTTCACTGATTACAAATACAGTGCCTTTTGAAATACAACAACAATATCACATCTTGCTTATAGAGGGAAGTTGCTTAGAAATGCTTATAAATTGATCACTTTAAAATATTTTATCTATGTCACAAAAATAAAATATTGTTGAATGATTACAATCTCTTAAAATAAAATCATCAATTTAACAAACAAAATCAGTGATATGTCCAGTTGCATTACTTATGTAATGGAAAGAAGACTACTCTTATATATTTGTAAGTATTGTGTTCAAAGGGCAATTGTACAGAAAAGTTTTACTGCATGCTCTTTTTCACCCTGGATACTTTTTCTTCCAAATCCATCCAATTATTTCTCCACATTGTAGTCAGCACTATCCTTCATAAATGAACATTTGATCATATTATTCTTTGCATAAACCTTTTCAATGTCTTACATGTGTCTTTAAATTAAATCTAAACCCTTTAACACAGATTGCCACAGGATAGCATAGCATTTTGGGTAAGCATCCAAACTCTAAAAAAAGCCTGCGTTCAAATCCTGAGTCGGGATTATCATTCATTTTTAAACTTGGAAAGATATCTTATTTCTTTTTGCCTCAATTATCTTATCTTTAATATAGGTCTGATAAAATGCCTAATAGATAATAAAAATTAAATCTAAAAATCCATGAGGAACTTAAATTGTGTACACATAATTTAGCGCTGATGTTTATTTTTACAAGACACTAGTCAGACTGATGTGCACATTTCTTTGCCCAAAATACTGTACATCTTTGTCTCTGAATCTTTGCACACGTCATTCTGTTGGTTGAAACGTACTTACCTTCCTTGCCTGTCTGACGGCTGTTATCCCTGTGGTCTCAGCTTAGATACTGCTTCTATCAGGAATACTAACTTGAAGAACCAAGCCAGTGCCAGATACACCTATTCAAATATTTCAGAGTTTCCTTTACTTCTCCAATCATAGTCCTGATCTCACTGTAATAATGGAATTAATTTTTTTTATCCTTCACCTGAACTTAATACCATAAAGCACTCACTTTGGAGTTAAACAAATTAGCTCTGGTTCTTTCTTACTCTTTAAACTCAGCCACAAAACCTTTCTGATGCACAGTTTACCTAAACTATAAAATAAAGTCCATATACCTTATTTTCAGAAATTAGTAATGTAATGTAGATGCCTTACCTTAGCATAGATTATCAACAAGAGGAAATCTGCAGTAAATGATATTTCAAAGTGTTATTCCTCTGCTTAAACTGGTGCCAGGTACAGAAGAGCCACTCTAAAAATTTGGGTGAATAGTGCAATAATTGTCCTCAGTAGTGTAAAAATGTTGCTATTCCTGTATAAATAAAAATAACAGCCCTCTCCCTTCATGTCAACCTAACCAAGACATATTTTCTAAAATGCTGTAATACCTATGCCTTTTACAAAGTCAGGAAAAGCCAATAAGATAATACAAAACAGCAATTGTGACTACTTAATTGTCAGAAATTAATAATATTGTCATAATGATCAAGACACTGAATAGATATTCTTATATATTATTGGTGATAATAGAAAATGATACTGCCATAATGAGGCAATAGATATCCAAATTTTAAAAATGTATATACCCTTTGTTTTATATTCCACTCCCAAAACCTTATGTAAAAGAGATAAATTAATACACAAACTATCACAATGATTTCAATGCATCATCATCTATAAGAGAGAAAAATTCATAGCTCCTTAATTTGAGTGTGTGCTCAATTAATTATGATAAATAAAACTATGGACTGTGTATAGTTTTTATATGGTTTGAGTAGAGTTCCATAAATAACATGAAAAAATAATGGGTTGCTAATTAAAATATGTAATCTTATGCTATCAGAATATGTACATGAACGTATGTGTCAGTGTGTGTGTACATATTTTAAAATTGGTTAGTATGTTCAATAATGATGGAACTGACTGCATCAGACAGATCCTCCTGCATATATCAACTATAACTTGAACTATGTATTTTTAAAAAATTTAAGGCAGAGAATAGATAAGATTTACCCTTTATGGAAGAGAACCACACTGTGTCAGCTTTACATACTTTTCCCCCTAAAGGCTCTCTTTAATTTGCACAGCATGGCCAAACTCTAGCAGAAAAGCATAGTTTCATTGGCTGGAGTGTCAGAAAACAGTCTGGGGCTACCATAATGGTTGGAAATTTAGGAAGAGAATACCAAAAATTAGTGAGTTACACGTGGTAGAAGCTCACCACCTGTGTACATACAAAAATCTAGTCAAAGCCCCAGCTGTTCCTTAATCAACACTTGAGAAGGACACACTCCAAGGAACATGGACTTAAAAACAGTGGCAGGGCACTATTCAAAATAGTAAAGACGTAGAATAAACCTAAATGCCCACTGACAATAGACTAAAGAAAATGTAGTACATGCCCAGGTGCAGTGGCTCATGCCTGTAATCCCAAACATGTCAACTAACTCCTGAGCTCAAGTGATGCACCTGCCAAGGCAAGTGTTTATTCCCAGCACTTGCGAAGTCAGGTGCATCACTTGAGCCCAGGAGTTAGAGACCATCCTGGACAACATGATGAAAACCATCTCTGCAAAGAATACAAAAATTAGCAGGGTGTGGTTGTATGTTCCTGTAGTCCCAGGTACCCAGGAGGCTCGGGTAGGAGGATTGCTTGAGCCCAGGAGGTTGAGGCTGCGGTGAGCTGTGGTTGTGCCACTGCACTCAAGCATGGGTGACAGAGTGTGACCCTGTCTCAAAAAAACAAAAAAAAAAAAGAAAGAAAGAAAAAAAAGAAAAGAAAAGAAAAAGCAAAGAAAGATTGGGAGGCCAAGGCAGGCAGATCACTTGAGGTCAGGAGTTCAAGAACAGCCTGGCCAACATGGTGAAACTCCATCTCTACGAAAAATACAAAAATTAGCCTGGTGTGGGGGTGGGCGCCTGTAATCCCAGATAAAATAATCCCAGTAAGATGTCCATCCTCTGTTGCCTGAGCCATGCGTGAGTTGAGGGTTGCATTCAGAGGCACAGCAAAATTTAAACCTTCATCTGGCTGTAAATTTTGACCTGACCAGACTTTCTGGGATCTCCTTTGTACTTTCTTACCTCAGCGGTAAGCCAGGGGTGTGGGGTAGGTTAGTATAACAGTGTTTCTATTATTCTCTCAATTTCCAAATCTCTGCATTAAATTTCTAGGTGCTTTGTCACCTTATCTTAACTATTTCATCACTTCTGAAGGTAAAACTTTGGGTTTTGCCACCTGTCATGACCAGAATAAAAGTTCCACCAGGTAAGAAGATCACAAACTCACTCATCGTATACAATGCAGTGTAATTTTTTGTAAGTCGATAAAGTTAATCCTCATTATTTACAGATACTATATTTGCAAATTTGCCTACTGGCTAATGTGCATTTGTAATTGCAATAGCTGTACTCATGGGCTTTGGTGCTTATTCGCAGACATGCACAAAATGGTGAAAAATTTGAGTGGCACATGTTCCCAGATGAGATAGAAAAAGACAATGTTCTCCCTTGTTTAGTTCTCATACAATGAACGAGGGTCGTTTTTACAGTCTATTTACAGCCACATTTTTCACGTTTGTACTTTTTGTTGACGATTTTGCTGTTTAAATTGACCCTGAAGTGTAGTACTGAAATGCTGTCTGGGTTCCTCAGTACAAGAAGGCTGTGCTGTGCCTTACAGAGAAAACACGCATGTCAGACATACCCATTCAGGCATGAGTAGTAGTGCCGCCAGCCATAAGTTCAATATTAATGAATCAATGACATAGATTTAATAGGGCATCTTTAAAGAGAAACACCCATAAAAGAAGATTATTTATTGATCAGTTGATGAAAATACTGTAACTATAAGCTAGGGGGAATCTAACCATGAATTTCCCCCAAGAGCAATGATTCTGGGTTCATTAATTCAGTGTTCTCAGCAAAGTTATAGAATATAAGTACCACGAATAACAAATATCAACTATACTTCTCAAGCTGTTGTCCATCTTTGAATATTTTTCAGTGTTCTAAAATTGTTGTTTATGATAGTATGGCTAGTTATAGTATACTCTTTTTTTCTACAGTAGATTCCCTGAACTTCTCATGTTGTCATTTCTGAAAGTAGAGTATGCTGCTTATCTTATATTATTTTTTCAATATTAATATATTTTTTGGATTTTACAGTTTATCTCATAGCTTCATTTTGTTATATTATTAGCTATGAAAATTACATGAAAAGAATGATTTGAGAGACTCTGTGTTCTCAGTATTATGGCATTCATATACACGTTCTTTTTTTGTTCCTGCTACTTAAACAAAAGCCTAATATCTTTGGAATGATTTCACGACAAAATATAAACTTTTCTACAAATTTAAAAATATAACTTACCTAAAGAAATTAAGTAGAACATATATTCAGAGTGTTACAAAATTAACAAAGTAAATCATTTTGTGTTCTACGGAAAATCTAATAGATTATTTTCAGTACTTCCGAGGCCACCTGAATTCTCTTCTGTCAGGAACTTAATCCTTCCCCAAGAATTAACCACTATGTTGAGTTGTGATAATCATTAATCATTATTTTAATTTCTTTATTTTAGATTTATGTATAGATTCTGAAGCAATACTGTTTTTAGTTTTGCTTGGTTTTAAAATGTGTAAGAATGGACTCCTACCATACATACTTCTGTTCCATATGGTTTCTTTTGTCCAATATATTATTTATAAGATTCATCCGAATTTTTGTGTATAGCTTTAGCTCACTCATTTTTATTGCCATATGATATTTCATTGTATGAATATATCATATATTTATTAAATCCATTCTACTGTAAATGACCATTTGGATTGTTTGTATTGCCTGCCTGTGCCAAACTATGGTGTTATGAATGTCCTGTGACTTTTAGTGCATGCATTTGTCATTTTATGTAGGGTCTATGCATAGTGTTAGGATTTCTGGGTCAGAGGGTATACAAATTTTATAATTTAACAGATAATGTCAAAAATGTTCAAAAAAACATGCTCCAGGTCCTTGTTACCAATGGTTATTTTTTTCAGTAGTGGTATTTTTTGAGATTTTAATTTGCTTTTCCCTGATTACTAATTTGATTAAACATCTTTTCATATAATTATTTCACTTTTCTTTTTAAAAAAATTCATTTATACATTTTGGAAATTCCCCCCTCCCTCCATCAGTTTGGGTTATTTTTTTTAACTGCATGAAAATATCCTTTTCATATTTTGGGCAACAGGGTTTTTGTTAGCTTTTTAAATGTTGAGTATTTTCTCCCATGTTGCGACTGGTATTTGTATTTTCTTCACGGTATCTTTTGATAAATACAGTTTATATATTTTATTATATATATTATTTATTATGTTAATAAATACAATATTAACTTTTTTGTATTTTAACTCATTAGTCTTTTAATCTATTCTCATAGCTTTTTTTATTGTTTCATAACATGCATTGAAGTAGGTTCTTGTAAATATTTCACTCTATTATATTCTACATAATAATATTCTGTCCATAGTTTTAGCTTTTCTTTATTTGGAATTGATATTTTAATGTAGCAGGAAGAGAGTTTATGATTTCATTCTATGTCACATTGATATCCCATTGCTCAACCATCATTTATTTAAAAGATTGTTTATTCTGTATTGATCATTCATTCCATGTTGGGCATACGTTGTTCCATACAACATATCAATATTTCTGCTAATTCTTTGCTCCACTTATATAGGTTATTTAATACACTTGAACCAATACAATATCATCTTAACAATTATTGTTTCAATATTGTCTTGTTATTTTCAGAGTAGATTTTTTTACCTGGTCATTTTATTTATGGGTGTCTCGTTATTTTCTCTTAATTGGCTCAATAGTATAATAATAAATAATAATCATTTCTGTATTTTAAGTAGAATTTTATTTAATCTATTGTCAGTCTTAGGAAATTTTTCCCTTTTAAAATATTGCATCTTCCAGTCTATGAACATGGTGTGTCTCCCCATTTATTCAAGTCTTTTTTTCTCTTTAAGTTGTTATATTTTTCTCTGAAAAAAATCTTTCTGTACTTTGAAGTTTACTCCTATGACCTCCATGCTCCATATCAGATTAGTGCACATTATTTTTTTCATGTATCTTCATGTTTTTATCTATATCTTATCAGTTTCTACTCTGAATTAAAATAATTTTTATAGATATTTGTTTTTCACACTAAATTTGTAGGCTACTCAAGAACAGGGAATACATTTCATCCATTTTTAAGCCTAACATAGTTTCTCACATTATATTCTCAGAAAACCTATGTTTATTACAATGTGACAGTCAGCATATAGAAATGGTTATGGTAATTACAGTAAAACTATTCAACATAGTGTTCTTTAAGCTGAAACTGGATCCCTTCCTTACACCTTATACAAAAATTAATTCAACAGGGATTAAAGACTTAAATGTTAGACCTAAAAATCAATTCAAGATGGATTAAAGACTTAAACATTAGACCTAAAACCATAGAAACCCTAGAAGAAAACCTAGGCAATACCATTCAGGACATAAGCATGGGCAAGGACTTCATGACTAAAACACCAAAAGCAATGGCAACAAAAGGCAAAATTGACAAATGGGATCTAATTAAACTAAAGAGCTTCTTCACAGCAAAAGAAACTACCATCAGAGTGAACAGGCAACCTACAGAATGGGAGAAAATTTTTACAATCTACCCATCTGACAAAGGGCTAATATTCAGAATCTACAAAGAACTTAAACAAATTTACAAGAAAAAAACAAACAACTCCATCAAAAAATAGGCAAAGTATATGAACAGACACTTCTCAAAAGAAGTCATTTATGCAGCCAACAGACACATGAAAAAATGCTCATCATCACTGGCCATCAGAGAAATGCAAATCAAAACCACAATGAGATACCATCTCACACGAGTTACAATGGCAATCATTAAAAAGTCAGGAAACAACAGGTTCTGGAGAGGATGTGGAGAAACAGGAACGCTTTTACACTGTTAGTGGGAGTGTAAATTAGTTCCATCATTGTGGAAGACAGTGTGGCAATTCCTCAAGGATCTAGAACTAGAAATACCATTTGATCCAGCCATCCTATTACTGGATATATACCCAAAGGATTATAAATCATGCTGCTATAAAGACACATGCACACGTATGTTTATTGCGGCACTATTCACAATAGCAAAGACTTGGAACCAACCCAAATGTCATCAATGATAGACTGGATTAAGAAGATGTGGCACATATACACCATGCAATATTATGCAGCCATAAAAAAGGATGAGTTCATGTCCTTTGTAGGGACATGGATGAAGCTGGAAACCATCATTCTGAGCAAACTATTCCAAGGACAGAAAACCAAACACCGCATGTTCTCACTCATAGGTGGGAATTGAACAATGAGAACACTTGGACACAGGGTGGGGAATATCACACACTGGGGCCTGTTGTGAGGTGGGGGAAGAGGGGAGGGATAGCATTAGGAGATATACCTAATGTAAATGACTGACGAGTTAATGGGTGCAGCACACCAACATGGCACATGTATACATATGTAACAAATCTGCATGTTGTGCACATGTACCCTAGAACTTAAAGTAAAATTAAAAAAAAGAAATTATTGTATAGATGTTAACATTATGGAAAAATATCCATGGATTTAAAATAAAACACTGGAGTCATGTTTATCTTTTCTGCCTCTCACATCCGTCATCAACTTCACAGTAGTAATGTTGACTCAATTCTTATATGTAGTATCTTAACCTTTCTATTATATATTACCTCTACCCTCTGCACTATCACCATGGTCCAAGTGTCCTTCACCTATTTCTCAGAAGATGGCAACAACCTGTCTCACTAACAAAAAGTAATTTTATGTAGTTATCAAGGTAATCATTTTTAAATGCAAGTCCAATCAAAAGACTACTGTCTAAGTCTATTGGGGCTGCTGTAACAATATATCACAGACTGGGTAACATATAAACAACAGATTCTATAGCTCACAGTTCTGGAGACTGAGAGTCCAAGATAAAGGCACCAGCAGATTTGATATCTAGTGAGGGCCTATTCTTCATAGATGCTGCTTTCTGTGTGTTCTCACATAGTGGAAAAAGGCTAGGGAGCTTGATTAAGATTCACTGATGAGTGCACTTATCCAATTCATGAGGATGGTGCCCTCATGACTTAATCACACCCCAAAGGCCCTACCTCTTAATACTACCACATTGGGTATTAGGTTCCAACATTTAATTTTTCGGGGGAGGACATCAACATTTATACCACAGCAAGTACTCTGTTTGAAAATGTTCTAAATCACTTTTCATTTCACTCCTAGTCAAAGCCAGAATCTTATAATAATCTGTAAGGCTATAGATGATCTGGCCTTACCTTATCTCTCCAAATGCATCTACTGCTTTTGGCATCATTTAATACTTTTCATCTACACCAATTTCTCAGACATTCCTTAAAAAGTACAGACATGCTCATGTTTTCTGTCTTTGCGATTGCACTTCCTTGTAAATTGGACCCATCCCAGTATTCAAACAGATGTATTCCTTGTCTCCGTTAATGAATTTGTTAAGACTTTGGTTTAAATGCCATATTTTCAGTGAGGCATTTCATGACGAATTTATGTAAAATGACACTGCTCCATTCCCTTCCAAATTATCTGTAGTCTTTACATCTATTTTCTGTTTAGTTTTTTTTCTTTATTACCATGAAATACATGGCATATCTTACCACGCAACATGTACACAATCATATAATTATATACTTTTACTATAATTTACTCATTTATATGAATTATCTTTCTTCTCCCATTCTAGAATTCAAGCTCCAATAATAAAGATTTTTCTGCTTTGTTCTTCTGAGTCCCTTGTGCTGAGAAAACTCATCTAGCATATGGTAAGAATTCAAAAATTATGTTTAGTAATTTCAAGAAAATTCTGTAAACAAGCAAAATTTGAAAAATATTTTAAATAGTTTAATATAAAAGTTAGAGACAAGATGTTTTTTCTAACTAGCATATTTGATGTATGATATTTTTTAGCTTCATACCTATTATCTGAGCTATTGCATGTAAATATTAGATATCACATTAAATTTGGATTATAAATAAATTAATAGAAAGTATTGGCCAGGCATGGTGGTTTATGCCTGTAATCCCAGCACTTTGGGAGGCAGAGGCGGGTGGATCACCTGTCAGAAGTTCGAGACCCGACTGGCCAACATGCCGAAACCCCTTCTCTACTAAAAATACAAAAAAATTATCTGGGTGTGGCAGCGGGTGCCTGTAATCCCAGCTACTCCGAAGGCTTGGGCAGTATAATTGCTTAAACCCGAGAGGTGGAGGTTGCGGTGAGCCGAGATCATGCCATTGCACTCCAGACTGGGCAATAAGAGTGACACTCCATCTCAAAAAAAAAAAAAAAAAAAAAGTATTGATTGATTAATAAGAGGAGTTATCAATGAATAATGTCTTCTCTACTTATACTTTAACTGATTTTTAACAGATTCATTAAACTATACTCTTCAAGGAAGTAACAAATAACTTAAGCACTTAGAACTTATCAGATATGAGTGTTACGTGTGTATTCTCAGTTTGTTATTTGGAAGTCATTTTTATAATGCTGCATGTGCTTGAAGAGGGATTTCTCTTTAATTGTCATCATATTTCAGATGCACAGTGAGAAGCCCATTAACTATGACCTTGTCTGAGGAGAAAGCAGGGAAATAGTTAGAATGATAGAATATTTTTTTGGAAGTACACAGTTGGCATCGAGACCAGATTTTCTTAGATCATTAATAAATATGCTCTAAAAGTGAAGTCTTTAATGATTTTAAAATAAATTCTAACAAAAGAAATTCCAAAGGCTCCTCTTAAAATGTCTGATCAAGCATTACTGGCAGTATAAGCCAAAGAAGACAACATATAAAACTATAACAAAAACAATCCAGAACATTAATTACTATTTTAAAAATATTTAGTTAACTATTACTGCAACACCAAAACTACTAATATAACGAATTAAAATTACAATTTATAATTACTCCAAATTCTGTTGTTTAGATGGGTGGTTCTTCTGCTGGTTGCACCTGGGCTTACTCATGTGATTACCACTAGCTAGTGGGTCAGCTGCCCTAGGAGACCAATGATGGCCTCACTCATTCTGGAAGCTTCTGGCTGGTTGTCAACTGAGGCACCTTGGCTCGCCTCCACAGTCTCTATTTTCTAGATAGCTAGACCAGATTTTTTTATAAGATGGCAGAAGTGTTTCAAGAGGGTGAATGTAGAATAGTTGCAAAACCTCGTGTGGCTTGGGCTCCAGAACTCACACAAGGTCACTTCCACTATCATTTATTGGTCAAAGCAGGTCATGAGGGCTGCTGAGATGTAAGGGTTTGGGGGATCGGCTCCACTTTTAACAAGAGGAGTAGACCAGAATCTATGATCATATTTAATTTACCACAATCCCATGAGACAATTTCATCAAATTTTGCAATAGGCTCTGAGTAACAGAGGTATCATTTAAGAGTTTATAATAGCATTTAGATTCATAGATAGAAGGTTACTGATAAGATTTAGTGAAAGATAAAAAATTAGTCAATATAAGAATTCAATGTGATGTCCAATTGCACAGTTCATTTTTCTATAGCCACTTGGTGCTGTGATTTATTTTGATTGAAAATGAATTAAAATGTAAATAAAATGGTTTGTCAAATCAAAGTGGATGTAAAATCAAAGTTATCTACACAATGAATAAAATATAGGTATGATTGAGCTTCACAGTTCTATTTAATGAGCAGAATACAAAAGTATAATGCATAATCGCTGACCATATAGATTTTCTAGTCCTAAAAGGAGATAATATATGGACATATTAAATGACTCAAACTTCCTGTTTTAGGGGCACTATTCCTGGGCATGCTGCTACCAGTGCAGTAACCAGGGCACTACCTACCATCATTAGCACCATTTTCAGATTACAGACAAGATACGAAGTGTAATGTCAAATCACCAAATTCAAGCAGGATTAGATAAGAAGCTGAGGTTCAGAGAAAATGTGTGAGAACCCAGGGGCCATGATTTGTAGGCTCATCACAGACAGACGGAAATCAAACCAGATAAAAGTTCTTTAGGGCAAAGTTCAGGTGCTTTTATTGGCTTCTATTGAATGTGACTACTAGTTTATGCCAAGATCAAAGTTGCTGACATTATACAGAGACAAAGGTGCCAACACCAAAAACACATGTAAGGGCTAAGTGAGTATTAAAGGCAGCCTGAAATAACATCCTAAATCAATGATCCTCAAAGTTTAGTGTCCATGTACCTCAAGGGCTTGCTGAAGCACTGACTGGTGGGTCCCACTCTCAGAATTTCTTTTGATTGAGTAGGTCTGGGGTAGGACCTGAGAATTTGCATCTGTACCAAGTCCTAGATGTTACTATTGCCACTGGTACAAGAAACACACTTTAAGAAACACTATTCTAGATAAAAAAAAAAAAAAAAATACCGCATCAGCCATCAAATATTATATCCTATGCTTTAGGTTGCCAGCATTTGGAACATCAGAAGCTTCTGCAGGATCTGACATCACTAATGCTTCTAGAAAGTTTATTTTTTAACTATCACTAATGTCTATTATATTTTACACCACTATCCTTCGATTCCATGCACAGGTAGCTGCATTTGTTTGGCAAAGTCTAGTTCATATGTTAATGTTAGCTGCAAGTCAACTTCAACTCATAATTTCAGAAATTTCCCAAACATAAAAGTGTTTCTGATTCTGGACAGCCAACAGAAATGTCAAATGTGTGTTCCAGGAAGAGAGATCTCAGTTGGCAAGAGGGAATCTTAGCCTCTTCTGGATCTGGATATCTCAGGCCTCAATTTCAAGTCCAGATATAGTTAAGTTACTCTTATTTTGTATAGACGAAAGAAGGGCTCTGAAAAGCAGTGGCAGCCTGAACTCTAAACAGGTAATTATTACCCTAAGGCATGCCAAGTTAAAGACAACTATTCTAAATATGTAGGAGCCAAAATATCTAATTTTGTTTCCCTTTTGGTATTTATTTCTATTTCCCTAACACCAAATCAATAGAAGCTTTTAACTTAAGTGTTCCAATCTTCTCTCAATTATACTGCCCCAAGGGCTCCTTT
Organism: Homo sapiens; assembly: GCF_000001405.40. Classification (NCBI taxonomy): domain Eukaryota; kingdom Metazoa; phylum Chordata; class Mammalia; order Primates; family Hominidae; genus Homo; species Homo sapiens. Next base: position 66,138,723 of record NC_000004.12, read on the forward strand.
TGAAAGATGGGGAGAATTGTCTTTGTAAGAACTGATGTGATAATAATATTCTAGGTAAATATTAAAAGGAGATAATACTCAGATGACAAAAGTTGGGGTTCCAAGATTCCATGGCCATTTTCAATTCTATAGGATCTGGGATTTATCTTATAGACTGAATGGTAAATTTAGTATAGAAGGTTACATAGAAGGCTATTTTAATAATGCTATGTGAGGGTTAAGGGTATGGGTTAGAATGATAAGGTGAAATAGACAGAAATTTGGAAAAGGAATATCACATCATTTGAAGAAAAATGATGGGTCTCTGTGACTGAATAATTATAGGTACTGAAATATTTGCTTTAAGGATAATTGGAAACACAGGATACCATTATTAAAAGACAGACAAATTGGTAGAGGATCTGACTTGAAGAAAAAAGAAAACCATTTTGGATATATTGCATTTGTGGTCACAGAAAAATATATTTATTTTGAGATATAATACTGAAGCATAGGAAACAGGTAGGTATTAGATATAAACTCAGTGGCTTTCTCCAAGCAGACAATGTTCAAAACTCTTGATAATAATGTGATAAAAAGTAAAATAAGGCCAGGCTCGGTGGCTCATGCCTGTAATCCCAGAACTTTGGGAGGCCGAGGCAGGCAGATCACCTAAGGTCGGGAGTTCGAGACCAGTCTGACCAATATGGAGAAACCCCATCTCTACTAAAAAATACAAAATTAGCCAGGCGTGGTGGTGCATGCCCATAATCCCAGCTACTCAGGAGGCTGAGGCAGGAGAATGGCTTGAAGCCAGGAGGCGTAGGTTGTGGTGAGCCAAGATCGCGGTATTGCACCCCGGCCTGGGCAACAAGAGCGAAACTCTGACTCAAAAAAAAAAAAAAAGTAAAATATTCTGAAATTTTTATGAAGAAAAATCATAACTGAAATTAGAAACTTTAGGAAAAAAAATTTATCCTTTTAAAAATATTTCCAAGTATTAAACTTTTGGGTATAGTGGAGAGCTAAAAGCCTAGTGTTACTGAATACCTGATGTCTATATGATGGGAAGAAATTAATAAATATCATTGGAATTGTTGCCTACCGTGTGTTCCACATGACTTAGAAATGAAGGCATTATTGAGAGTAAGAATATTAATACTTAGGGAAACAATTTGCCCTCTGAACCTTTATCACATTGTAGTTTGTTGTATAAACAGCACCTAGAACAGTATTTAATATGTAATAAATTCTTAATAAATATATGGTTATATAATATGTGTATGGGCTTTGAACTGTGAAACAACAATGCTGCAATACTGAGTAGATGCAAAAAATAAACTCAGATTTTACATTTGTGAAAGTTGTTGAAATGGAATGCTCACTAATCTTCAAATGGTCCTAATCTCAGCATAGAATAGATGTAGAGTATTCATATAAAATGTTGGATCATAATTCAGAATGAACTTGAATTGGTCTTTGATTTTAGAAAACACATTTATACTCAAAACACAGGTATACTTAACAGACAGACTAATGAATGGAATGTACCTTCTTATTCTCATCCCATGACTGCCAACACTCAGCTACCAGCACTTATGATTTTGATCTAAACTTTGCGGTTTCTTAGAATTGCTCTGAGTCTATAAATTTGAACATTTTTTCTTAATGGCACAACCCTATATATTCCAGCTCCCACTTACCTTATCTTAGTAAACTTTTTATATTACTTTCTAATAGATTGGCAAGCCCTCTTTTTATCCACCAAAATAAATATCTTGTTTGATTTACTGTTTTTCTTATATAACTTAGGCCCTGTGAAAAGTCCCTTCAATCAGTCTCCAAATCAAGTTTCTCATAATTCGCTCTTTCACTTTGTTCTTCCTGTTTTCCCTTCTAAAATATTTTTATAGCACTCATATCCATGAATTGCAATAGTTGGTTTGTGTGTTTCTCACTTATCTATACCATGATATCATTGAGGACAGGAGGACATTTAGTGCTATTTGTCTAAAGCCTCGCATGTCATTGTATTTGAAGGAATAAATTTGGAAAACTATAATAGTGTGAAAAATTAAATATCTATAATAAGTTACTATGAGAAAAAGAGCAATGTATGCTTATTTGGAAAGAAGAAACATTGGACACACAGAAACTTACTGAGTAACATCATATACACTTGGAGAAGATAGACTGTTCAAAATAACCTCTGCCCAAATTATCAGAATTTAAAAACTTATATATATTAAATGCTTACAAATACATTTCTGACATTTAGATACTGTATAGAGGATTATTATTAATATCTGTTCTATTACCTGGTCAGTATTTAGCCCCTTGCTTTTGTATCAATTCTGAGCATGTCCTTATGCATCAATAATGCAGTGGATAGCAACGTTGATTGATACTTTTGCCTCTCCTTGGGGGAATAAAAAGCATAACAAAATGTTTTTCAGTATTAACTTTAAAAGTGGTTAGAATTTACAAATTACTAGAGGTTGTAACACAAGATAATAACTAATATTAAGTTTAAATGTTCAGAGAAAAAATGTATTTAGAATGTATAAGATAAAAATCAACAAAGCTAAATATTTAATGTATCTCAAATATAAAATATATATATTACATACAATATATAAAATATAATGTAGGCCAAAATAAATATTCCAATATTTGTTTACAAATAACTTATTCAAAATAAAATACTGTTAAAATTTAAAACCACATTTAATATTAAAATCAGTGAATTTACTAATTTTATATCATATATAAAATTATTAGATTTGACAATTATATGTAGCAATTTAATTTGGTAGAAAAATATAATCTTTCCAAAAAATGGGCTTTATGTTTTTGACACCAAATTGTGAGAATTTGTATGTATGTATGTGAGTGTGTGTGCACATATTTTCATTTGTTGGAGAATTTATTTAGGACCCTAAATAACTGGAAGAGAGTTGAATAGATAATGATCAACGAATTTCAAGTATTTCCTCAAGTTTCTTTTTCCTCAAATAACCTCAAATTTTGGTGGCTGTATTAGTCTGTTTTACCCTGCTATCAATAACTATCTTAGACTGGGTAATTTATGAAGAAAAGAGGTTTAATTGACTCAGAGTTCCACAAGCTTAACAGGAAGCATGACTTGGGAGGCCCCAGAAAAATTGCAATAATGGTGGAAGGTGAAGGGGAAGCAAGCACCTTCTTCACAAGTCAGAGCAGGAGAGAGAGAGAGAGAGAAGGGGGAAGTGCCACACAGTTTTAACCCATCAGTTCTCATGAGAACTGACCGGTTATCACTAGAACAGCAAGGGGGAAATCTATCCCCATGATTCAGTCACCTCCCATCAGGCACCTCCTGTAAATCAACTTGAGATTTGGGCAGGGACGCAAATCCAAAGCATATCAGTGGCTAATTTAGAAAAGAAAAATTCCTTTTAATGAAGGACTATTAAACAATTTTATTGATAAACACCTAAAACTTCTATTTTCTTCAATCATCTTCTTTAGTTTAGATTATCAATTTCATTAATGCTCTGTTCATATCCTGTTTGTCCAGAAAGTCTTATGTTAGGAATAAGATATTCTTGCCTGACAATTTTCCCCCTTATCTTACTTTTTTTTTCCTCTTTGCTTTATTTTTTCCCCATCTCCTCTCCCTTTCCTTCCTCCTCTTTCTTATCTATTTTTTTTGACAATTAACAAAAGAGCACAGAAAATTATAGACTCTGTAAAAGTCGGTAGAAATAGTACAATTTCCTCTTATAATAGTGGAGAAAACTATATTAAGGTATATGTAACACTATGAAAGTATTATAATATAAAATTTAATATATTTATCCTACTTAGATGAACATACTTTTCAATTAATACACCAAGAATTCAAGAATATATCAAGAGAAGATAATTCACAGTGAAATAACTAATTTTTGTTACTAAGTGGCAAAAGGAATTTTAGTAGTATTTGAATATATAATCCTATGCATTTGTATTTTTAAGAACCATAATATTTTTCTACTTAACTTCTATTTCTCCAATTACTTATAAATTATGTTTTATTCTTGAGTAATTTGTTTTTTTATTTTAAATTTATAATTAAAATTCTTATAATGGACAGAAATTCATTACAGGTTTACACAGTTTATTATTTTGGCATCTATGTTCATGCATAATATGTATTTTTTATAAAATAATTTTGTATTTGGTTAGTATTAGAGATAATATTTGATGTGGCTGTTATTTTTAAATAAATCTGGTTGAATTTTTTAAACGGAAAATTTACAACTCAATGTTGAAATCATAAACTTTCCAAAATATAATTAATTTTTAAACCTACAAATACTTAGAAGTATGTTCCATGGTGGGAGTTGTCTTGTTCAGTAAAATAAGTCAGGAATTTGAAAAGTACAGGGAGAGAGGACAATGCGTACCATGCATACAATGTAGGCTGACGCTCTTAAGTTGCTTTGACACCCTACAACAAATGAAAAGCAGGACTGTTCACCAAAAATTGAAAACCATGCATGAAAGTCAGAATCCTCCTTGGTTGCTTACAAAGACAACCTTTTTTGCAGCTGTGGTAGAGCAGAAAAATGTAAAGATTAAACTCAGAATTTAATATTTAGAGTCTCTGAGCTTCAGAAACCATTGACTCTACAGATGATAAAAATGTGTAGTGCAAAATATATGACCCTGGGTCAAAAAGCCAGGCACTCTAACACATGGCATGGGAATATCTGGATGCATAATGCATACCACTCAAGATTTCAGCTCCTCACACTCTTTTATATCCCAAAGAATTTACAGAGTTGATCCACCATTCCCTAACAAGAATTATAACTATTCTTGAGTAAAAAGGCAATGAAGAGGCCTCTCTCCCACAACATAATATGATCTGCCCCCTGAAGAGTTTTTCCAACTTCTTGGTTGATGCTAATTTTAGCTTAATCTATCCAGGCATATGCAGGAAACTGTCAATGCTCAAAAGGGGCTGCAAAAGTTAGTCAGCATATTTTATCAAGAAATATGAAACTTTCAGTATGACTGGGTTATGAAAATGCTTGATCAAGATGCCTGACATACAAGACTATACAAGACTGTAAAGTAGAGTTAATTGATTTGGAGATATTATTGATAAACATTATATAATACTATAATATCTTTGTAAGAAACCCAGGAAAAGGTGCTGACTATCTGTTTTGATGATTTCTATAAACTTGAAAAAATGAAAGCGCAGTTGAGTGATGTTAAAATATTTGAATTACTGTGGTAGGTGGTCATGGCAGAAGGGATTAAAATGCCCAGGGAACTGGGCATGGTGCAGTGGAGAACAAAAGAGCCACATTATTCAACAAGGTCACTGAGGTCACTAACTGATGCCTGGTCACAGAGGCATCAGTTTCACTAAGAAGTTCAGTGGTAGGTGACTCTTTTTTTTTATAGCTAGAACTAATGGAAGGAAAGAATATAACACAGGTTGGTTTTCGGTATGAAGGGCCTCAAAGACCTAGAGATAAAATGATCATGCTAAAATCCCAGAAATCAGGCAGTCATAGTTATCATAAAACCAGCAAGTTCAGAGTGACAGTCAAGGGAGGTGAACCCTCATAGTATTATGCGAATGATACTGGAATACGGCAACCCTAAGGGCAAAATAAATGGATAGCCAATCAGGGCACTGCCTAACATAAAAAAATCAAAAGAAACCAATACAGATGATAGGGTCTGAAAGTGGTTACCTCAATAAAAATTTACAGCCCCAGATACCTTCAAACCATTGCTGGAATAAATTAAAGAATACATAAGTAAACATATCCATGTTCATAGGTTAAAAAACAATATTGTTAAGATGTCAGCATTACCCAAAGTGATCTACAAATTCAGTGAAATCCCTATAAAAATACCAATGAGTTTTTTTTGTAGATATAGAAAAACAAATTTTAAAATTCATATAGAATCTCAAGGGTCCCAGAATAGTCAGAACAAATTTGAAATAGAACAAAATGAGGGGACTCATACTTCCCGATTTCAGAGCATATTACAAAGCTGCAGTAATCAAAGCAGTTTAGTGCTCTCATAAAAACAGACAGAGACAAATGAAATGGAATAAAAAGCCCAGAAACAAATTTTTACATATATGGCTAAATAATTTTTCACAAGGATACCCACACCATTCAATAGGGGAAAGGAGAGTCTTTTCAAAAAATGGTGCTAGAAAACTTGATATCCACCTGCAAATAAATGAAGTTAGACTCTTATCTGAGCTATATGCAAAAATTAACTCAAAATTGATTAAACATGTAAAACTTAAATTTATACAACTCTTAGAAGAAAACAGGGCAAAGTCTTCATAACATTCAATTTTGTTTTTAACTTTTACTTTGGATTCAGAGGGTACGTGTGTAGGTTTCTTACCTGGATATATTGCTTTATACTGAGGTTTAGGGTACAAATGATCCTGCAATTTGGGTATTGAGCATAGTACCCGACAGGTAGTTTTTTAGCCCATGTCCACCTCCTTCCCTCCATCCTGTGGTAGTCTCCAGTGTCCATTGTTCCCATCTTTATGTCTACGTGTACTCAATGTTTAGCTCCCCTTATAAGTGAGAACATGCAGTATTTGGTATTCTGTTTCTGTGTTAATTCACTTAGGATAATGGCCTCCAGTTGCATCCCTGTTACTGCAAAAGACATGATATTGTTCTCGTTTACGGTTGCATAGTATTCCATGGTGTACGATATGGTTTGGCTCTGTGTGCACCCAGCCCCCTCCAAATCTGTTCTGGTAGCTCCCATAATTCCCACGTGTTGTGGGGACCCAGTGGGAGATAATTGAATCATGGGGACGGGTCTTTTCTGTGCTGTTCTCATGATAGTGAATAAGTCTCAGGACATCTGATGGCTTTAAAAATGGGAGTTTGCCTGCACAAGCTCTCTCTTTGCCTGCCATCACCTGTGTAAGATGTGATTTTCTCCTCCTTGCCTTCCACCATGATTGTAAGGCTTCCCCAGCAACGTGGAAATGTGAGTCCTCCATTAAACCCCTTTCCTTTGTAAATTGCCCAGTCTCAAATGTCTTTATAAGCAGCATGGTGCTTGTGGCTCAGCTGCCATGACTCAGGAGTCTCAGAAGCCCTCCAAAGCAGTTGCTTTCCCAATTTTGGCTGGAGGTGAGTTTTCCTCTCTGTCTGGCCCTGCCACTACTGGCTCCAATTGCATTCCTGATTGCCACAGAGGAACAGGCTTTGAAACTTGACATCTGCATTCAGATAGGTGAATGTCCTTTGTTGGCCCAGAGGGCAGGATCTGTTCCTCTCAATTTGGGAAATTTTTAAAGGAATTTCCATTTGCAGGTTGAACAAACCCAACTGATTGAGAGAGGAGAGCACCCTGACAGTTTCACTGTGAACACCCTTGGGGCTTGTTTGTAACTGTGTATTGTGTGTGTGTAACTGTGTATTGTGTGTGTGTGTGTGTGTGAGTTTCTTTTGTGGGTAACAGACAGCAGAATTGGCTCCTCTAAATTTGAGAAATTCCAAAGAAAATTTTGTCTGTGGGTTGATCAAGCCCAACCCATGGGGAGAGGAATTACCCGGACTGTTTCAGTTTGCACACTCTTGGAGCTTGTTTGTTTCTGCAGCACTTGGATTGTGCCTTGATGATTGTGTGTTTGATGTAGCCATGGGAAATCAGAATTTGGTAACTGATATTCTTTTACAATACTGTTTGGTCCCAATATTCTTTGGAGTCTGAAGTTCGCTGTTGAATGGAAAAGCAAGATGGAATTCTGTGTATTCAGGCTTTTAAGTTGCTGTTTTAGGCAGTTTTGGGCCGAAGTCTGGAAAGATTTGGATTTTAAAAATCAAACTGCTATGGAAAGTGCTTTACCCAAAATTTTGTTCCATAGCCTTCATCGGATCACCTATCAGGGCTAAGTTTGGCCATGTGAATAAGTTTGTAGATTGCTGAGTCTGTATTGCTATCTCATGACTGGATTCTGAGGTAAAAACTATTGGATCTTCATTTGTGTGTGTGTATACATGCTTAGATGTGTTTATGTGCATGTACATTTATTCTTATATGTTGTGTCTACCAAATTGGCTCATAATTAAAAGTGCATTCATAAATTAAGTTAAAAAGTCCAAGCAACTTTCAAATTCACATGACTTAAGTAAAACTTTAATAAACAAGTTGGCTTTAAAATTATTGGTAAAATAAACATGGAAATGCCTTCAGAGTTGTCAGCAACTCTGAGTTTTATATTTTGTCTGGGTTTTATATTTGTCTCTGCTAGATAAAGTATCAGGGTTGGGCACAGAAGGTTATAAAACTATGAAGCCAGCCAAAACAAAATAGTCTTTGTGTGAATTTTTTGAAAAGTAAGACTAATTTAATGTTGCTGGTTTACGAAAACAACTGAATCTTCTGAGTTATTGGTGAAAATGCCCATGTAGTTAACTTTAAGGTTCTTATTTGGGTGAACATCTGATATTTTCAGGTTATAAAATGAATAACAAGGAAATGATGCATAAATAATCTTTATTAATTGCTAAAATGAATACAATTTAAATGGATAAGTGTTATAGGTGAATTTTTTGTATAAATTAAAATCTTAAAATTGTTTTTGATGCTCATTGGATGCCTGTGTCATTTCCAATTAAGGAAGGGTTATGATATGAGAAAATATGTTTCTAAAAATTGTGGAGTTTTTCTCATCTATAAAATGCTAATATCTGCTATTTCAGGATTTCTTGCTTCCTAGAGTTCACACAATATTAAGGTAGTTACTAAGGATAAGAAGTGGAGTTAATATATAATTCTGTATATAACGTGCCAAAGTAGATGTGTTCCTAGGGAGTAAAAGAATAATTTTTTCTAATTAAGAAGTTATCTACATGTTAATTCAAATTATAAACTTAAAAAGATTATTTATGAAACAAGGTAGAAAGCAACCAGTAAGTAGGGGAGAGATGTGTGAAGAAAGTTATGGGTATGAAGTTATATATTTGGTAAGGAAGGTTATAAAGAAAAGATAATTTTTATATGAGAATGGATCTTGTATAATGAGTTTTTGTCTTAAAGTAAAATGACTGAGTATTTAAAAAAAGAAAACTTAGAATGAAACACAAGGTTCAACACGTCATACATGGTCTATGTAAGTCACATGTAGTTTTTTCTTGTTTCTGTGTGTCTATCTTCACGCATATACAAAGAAAATAGAAAGTTAAAGAAGTTTAGATCATAAAATATTCTTCAAAACCTCATAGAAAACTAGAGAAATTAACATCGTGGATTGTTAAAGCTCTTACTCTTGGTAAAAGTAAAATAAGAAATAGCGTAAAGAAATACATGGGCAGTTAGGCAATTTTTAAATATAGCTAAGCATGAAGCCAGATTTAGCATAGAGCCAAATTTTACATACGTGCTTGCATTGCCTCACACTATATTTGCAATTCTGCATAGGTAGTACTAGCATTAAAGTACTTACAGTCATGCACCTGAAGTGAATTTTTTAATTGTACACAATTTATAGTGGTATTGCTGGATTTAATGACATTAACTTACTGTGCCAGGAGCAAAATGTCCATCGTGTATTTTTGTTAGGCTCTGGATAACACTGTAGCCTGTCAAGTAAACTAAGAAAAAAAAAATTGTTGCCAGGTACAGCAGCTCACACCAGCACTTTGGGAGGCTGAGGTGGACAGATCACAAGGTCAGGAGTTCGAGACCAGCCTGGCCAATATGGTGAAACCCTATCTCTACTAAAAATAAAAAAAATTAGCCAGGCATGGTGGCGGGCACCTGTATTCCCAGCTACTCAGGCGGCTGAGGCAGGAGAATGGTTTGAACCCGGGAGGCGGAGGTTGCAATAAGCTGTGATCGCACCACTGCACTCCAGCCTGGGCAACAGAACGAGACTCTATCTGCAAAGAAAAAAATTAAATTAAATTTAAAAAATTGTTTTTGCTTTTAATTTTTATTTATTTTTTGTTTGTTGTCCTCTGGGTTTTACTTATTTGTCCATATGTATAAAACTATTGATTTTTTTTTTAGATTTTAATGGAAGGCTTTTATTTGATTCTATGAATAGCAATTTTGTTTTCTATGCAGGTCCAACAATTCATTATTTGATCTATTTATCTAAAATTTCTAACTTTGTCAAGTTTCCAAAAATTGATAGAGGACACCAGCCATTTAAAATTCAGTTGGTTTTGCTTACCTCTGATGATCTTGAGAGTATAAGAAAAAAAATTACACAAATGACATATTTTTATAAGTTGGGAACCAAAATAGTACATTATTTATTATTTGAAAAAGTGAGAATAAAAATATTTAAATCGTGTTTATTTTCAAGATAATTCAGTTTAATCAATAATTTGAGTTGGTGTCAGATTTTTTTCATGAGATAATAAAGACAAACTGTGATATAGTGACAATGTTTTAAAGTTCAGGAAAGATTGGCCTTGTCCTTAAGGAGATTACATTGATTGGGATTGCTCTCAAACTACTTTAATTGTGTTTACAATGATTAACATTAAATGACATTGACTTGGATTAGGTAGTAATAATTTTTCTTTAAAATGTAATACTTTCTACTGATTTTTAATGCCAAGGTACTTACTAATAATGGGCCTTCATATGTGTACCTGAAAACAAAATATGTGCAGGTGCTTCACTGATTTGAAGATTTTGGTAGTGAAAGTTACCTAATCAGTTGTCAGTACGTATCTAGAAACCAAACCTGGAAATGTGTAATGATGCTCTGTTTATAGCTGAAGAGAAATTACTGTGTTTGTTCTTACTTTGTCCTTGTTTTGCTGTATAGTATTTAAGTGAAAGGAGATTGTTTAACCTCATACCATATTTCCAAAACTGATATTTGCATTTACCATTTTCTTAAATAATGTAGAGAAAGGTTAGTTGTCTAACTTTGATATGTTTGGCAAAGGCCCTATTACATTTGTGATGCTTTTGGTCACAGTTCTGTCACTAGAATACAGCAATTAGACATAGGCAGTGAGTAACCTAACTACTTTAATTCAGTGATTTGAATTAAAGGAGTCCTGCAGTTACTCCTAAATGCCAAATCACAGTATAACATATTAGAGAGAATGATAGCACTTTCTGTAGTATAAACATCCTACTAACAAATCCTTGTGCTATTATTTATAGGGTTTTGACTCTTGGGTCTGAAAAAGGCAGCGATCCCTGCTAAATTCTGAACACTGACATTAGTCGTCAGCCTTGGAAGAAGCAACAATCACAACGATCTGCTTTTTAATGAGGCAAAGGACCAGAAATTAAGACTATTAAAGTCCCCTAGGCCCAGGAACTATCGCAGAAGAGATGGGAACATAAGATTGTGAGGGCTGATTTTGAGGGTTGATTAGTTTAGAGTTTTCTATAAATTAAACATTAAAATCAAAAGCACACCGATGCAAGGCCAGCGTCTCCGCCCGTGTGTTGGAATAACAGGGTTTTCTTGGAGCATTGATCTGCTCTTTAATAGAAAGCTGTAAAAGGTTTTAAAAGGTTTATCAAAATCTTACCTTATGGTAAAACTGATTAAAATTGTATTTGTTTATAAGGTTTTATTAAAATTAGCTTTAACATTAATAATACAGCATACAAGGTAAAATTTGGTTTTCTCTTTTGAATAAAATTTTTATGTAAGGAATAATAAGATATTTTTGTTTACCTTTTGAGTCAACTGCAGGGGAAAAGAAAGGGAGTGAGAGGAGACAGATTTAGTTGGCCTCAAGCTGTTCTAAGTATCAGGTCTTATTGCTTGGGAAACTGAGTGTCTTCTCTATCAAAAGGTAAACATTTTTGTGCTATCATTTTGGCTAAACAAATGACTATTTTATAATAACCATGATCCTATTTTGTGATATATCAAATGTCTTAAACATTTGATAGTTGACAGACTTTCCAACAGCAAAATTTCAGAGTCTAAATTCAGGCTTTTTGACCTCAAACTAACTCTTTGGATATTAGGTTCCCTCAAGTCCAAGAAAGACATATTAGGCTTACTAGGCTTTTGTTATGTTAGAATTATGCAGAAAGCATTGTGAAATCTGAGGTGGTATTTAGCTTCCTTTCGGCTTATTTATATAGACGTGTTGTTAATATGCATTCCAGTATTATATGAGATGCCTAAAATTCTGATATGTCTTAATATATGTTGTCTGTCATAATTACGATTATTATGTTAAATTTTTGTATGCCATAGAAATAACCAACCGTCCTGGTCAACTGTGTCTTTATCTATGGCTGACTTAAGCCTTTTGTCATCTACAATCCTTGTTTTGCTTTGATCCTTCTCAAAAAGTGACTTGTAATCAGCTATGGTCCAGGGCTTGCTTCTTTGGAGGATTTCATGAAAAGGATTCTTGAATGCAGGTTTCTGATAACTTTGGAGATTGTGCCACTGGAATAGAGAGAAAACTTCCAGTGAACTAAGTGGAAGGCTGATGTGTTCATAAACATAGCTAAACCAATATCAAGCAGAGCAAGAGTTGATTGCATGAACTGAACTAATGGAGGACTAAAATAATATTTATGGCTTTTTTTGAAATATTGCTGATTCTTTTTGTTTTGTTTTTCAGAATAAGTTTTGAATAATGTTTTTCTTTTGAGCTATTTATAGCCTTTTAATATATTTTTTAGTATAGTGAGTACATCATACTTCTGTAAACACACTTTTGAAGCATATTTCTCTCTCTGTTTAATTTATCCAGAATTTGTAAACTACTTGTGAATATTTTTAATTAATGGCAATGTGGTTGCTTGCATACATTTAATAACAACATGTTTTATTTTATAATGGGCCATAACTGGAGGAACTTGTTATTTTCTCAGGCCTTTGACTAAAATGGCATTGTGAGAGGTTCCAGCAAAGCCAATTTAGGAGAGCGTATATGGACAATGATTCTTGCTGCACATTGTGTGGGTAATCAGGCCGAGTATATGGGACTGACACTTATTTTGCAGTTAGATTGGTCCTGTTGTGATTTGTCTTTGGTGGAAGTGGGGGACTGGAGAAATAAATATTGTGTTTCCGAAGAAAACTATAGTATTACACTAATCTTTGATTCCTGAGTGGCCATGAGGTCACCCATGGATGGGAGCTGCTCATGAAACCCCTCCTCAGCATGAAGCAGCCAGAAAGATCAACACCTGGATTCCCCATGATTGAGGAATTGATAAATAAAAAAGGGGACTGAAACCGACTCAACAGTCTCATAGTTTTGTTGTTGCTGTTGTTGTTGTTGTTGTTGTTCTTGTTCTTGTTAAAAACACTTCTGGTCTTAAAGCTTGAAACTTACATTTGTTTTATCTGAGCTCCTACTCCAGGAATGAACCTTTAGGCCTCTCAAAAATTATTAAAGAACTCACTGGATCACTTCATCCAGACAATGAAATGTTAGACCCTGTGTTAATCATAATTGCTTCCATGCCCCTCCATAGTTTCTGTTTTCTTACACATTGTTACGTTTTTTCCTGCTATGTAAACCCCTAGTTTTAGTTGGTCAAGGGGGTGGATTTTTAGACCAATCTTCTGTCCCCTTGGCTGCAGCAACTGGCCAATTAAAGCCATCCTTTTTGGCAATAATTGTCTCGGTGATTGGTTTTCTTTGTGGTGAGCAGGCAGCAGGAACTAGACTGAACACCTGGTTTCTCCATAACACGTGTACCACATTTTTTAAAATCTTGAATAAAAGACACCAAAGGCATAAGAAAACAAACAGGAAAATGACAAATTGGACTTCATGAAAATTTTTAAAAATATTTGCATCAAAAGAGACCAGTAAAAGAGTAAAAAGGAAACTCACATTTTGGGAAAATATATTTTCAAGTCACATATCTGATAAAATATGAATAACCAAAATATATAGAGAACTTCTAACAAGAAATAAATATATGAGCCAATTAAAAAATGGGCAAAGGATTTTAATAGACATTTCTCCAAAGAAGATATACAAAAAAAAAGCACATAAAAAGATGTTCAATATCACTAATACTTAGGCAAACGCATATCAAAACTCCAATGAGATACTACCTCACACCTATTAGAATGGCTACTATCAAAAACAAAATGAATGAAAAATACAATAGTAAGTGTTGGCTAAGATGTGGAGTAATTAGAATCTTGTCCACTTTTGAAGGAATGCAAAATGGTACAATTGCTGTGGAACTGAGCAAAAAATTAAAGACGGAATTATCATATAATCCAACAATTCCATTTCTGAATATATATATATATTATATACGTATCAAATACTATATGATTCTTCTTACATGAGGTACTTAGAGAAGTCAAAATTATAGAGGCAGAAAATAGGATGGTGGTTGTCAGAGACTGTGGTAATGGTAGGATAGGTTATTGTTTCATGAGTATAGAGTTTCAGTTTTACAAGGTGACAAGAGTTATGGAAGTAGATGGTGGTAGTGGTGGTATGGCATTATGAATGTATTTAATTGCACTGAGCTGTATAGTTAAAAATGGTTAAGATAGTATACTTATTTCATGTATATATTATTACAATTAAAATATTGGGAAAAATGTATGGATTCCCTTCCCAATTTCTGGGATTGAGATACATTTTCAACCTTTAACTATAGAATAAAATTGTGACTGGTATCCGGGAGAAAGGATTTTACAACTACAGAGCTAGTATATACCTAATGATGTTCCAGTTTGTCCTTAATGGAGCATAAAGTCTTTGCTTATGTGCACTGTATGCTGGGGAATGCAGAATAGCAGACATTTTGATAACTACTGGAAAGAGAGTTTTAGATAACATTGATACCCAGAGACTCAAAGCATCATCATGGTCCCCTGTTAGAATGGTGGTATGCAGGAGCTATGTAAAACGTGAAGGCTGGACTGAAGTCCAGCCTACAGCAGGTCTACAAGGGCCATGGACTCACTTGATGGTCAGTTTCTAATATATAATTGTAATTGCCATACTTGGAAGTCGGAACAACCTTCATATTAGATTCTTGACCACTGGGGTAAATGCTTTCATAGTGGAGAAGGCCAAATGGGAGCTTCTGAAACCATAACTCTTTGACCAAGGTAGAAAATTAAAAAATAAAAAGGAATATAACCTTTTTGTTAGTGGGGGTCAGAAGGAGGTGAGTGGTGTACTTTAGTGTCACCCTTAGGTATCTCTGAAGAATGTAGGTTGATAATATAACTTCATTTAATTTACCAGTCGAGATGATATGGGAGTGCTGGGAAGGGAAGAGTATAGTCCCTTTAAATGTTAGGGAAGCGAGGAAGGGAAGTGCTGGGTAAAGGAGGGCGTGGTCCCTGGCTAGGGCTCTGCCCCATGGACCTAGGTGAGGACAGGCATGTCCTGCCCAAATGGGGGTTGCATTTCCCAAGATCACCCTGGCCCCCCACACCCCCATCCTGGGCCTATAAAAACCTGAGACCCTAGCAAGGCAGAGACAGAGGCAGCTGGACATCGAGAGGACATCGAGAAGAGCACACTGGAGGAAGAGCATACTAACAGATGCCTGCATGCTGGCAGGCCATCGACCATGAAGGGATGAGGTGGAGTTTGACTGGGCAGTTGGAGGAGAGCTGGGGAAGCCAGGTGGCCTAACTCCAGGGGAAAACCGTCTCCTTTCTGGCTCCCCCATCAGCTGAGACCTACTTCTACTCAATAAAACTTTACACTCATTCTCCAAGCCCACATGTGATCCATTATCCTGGTACACCAAGGCAAGAAACCCTGGGATACAAAAATCCTTCTGTCCTTGTGATAAAGATGGGGGTATAATTGAGCTGGTTTACACAAGCCACCTATAGACAGCAAGCTAAGAAAGTACCCTGTAACACATGCCCACAGGGGCTTCAGGAGCTGTAAACATTCACCCATAGACACTGCCTTGGGGTCGGAGCGCCAGAGCCTGCCTGTCTGTATGTTCCCTTAGAGGTTTGAGCCGCAGGGCACTGAAGAAATTAGCTACACCCCCATTACACACACTGCGAGAGGGACAAGGGAACCTTTCTTGCTTTATAGACACTGCGGGAACCAAATGGATTCTGGATTACTGCAAGCTCAGCCAAGTGGTAAGGCCAATTTTAACTGCCATGCTAGATTTGATATATTTACTAGAGCATATTAATACAGTCTGAGTACATGATATGTGGCCTTTGACTTGACAAGTGTGTAGTGTGTATGTGTTTAATTTCAGTCAAGAAAGGAGGACACAGTAATTCTTATTCATAAGGTGTGATAAGCCACAAATGGAGTCTCCATGTGACAGTGATAGAAGATGTGCATGGGCCCAACAGTGTAAACTGTTCTTCTTAAGACTTATCTAGTTATTGTCACCACTTACTGCCCAATATGACAGCAACAGAAAATAATAATGAGCCCTTGATATAGCATTATTTCTAATAGGAAGAAACCAGCTCGTTGGTTTTAAGTCTGTTTTGCTAAGTCTCTTCCATTTTAGAAGGGTCTACAATTTATTCTCAAAATAACAGACACCTATTCTGGTCATTTCCTGTCCAGAGGGCCTCAGCTGGCACCATGCTATGAAGGCTTATTATGTACTCACTCCATAGACATGAGGGAATCTCATTCCTCCCAGAATAAAGACTTCTGTCACTTCACAAAGTAAGCCACCAAGACCACTAGAAATGTTAGGTGAGTGTGGAGAAAAATATGGAAGGGATATTGAAACAAAAAGATAACTACTAGTAATCAAAGGACCTGACCAGGAGCTAAATTTCATTTCCTTAACCTGCTTTTTTTCTTTTTTTTCCATGCCCGCCTTTAGAAAATGAGGCTCAATTGAAACCCATAAAAGTTCCTCTCCAAATATATATGAAGTATGGGGCCCATATGGCATAAGTATTGGCCTGTTGCAACACTAAAAATTCACCCGTTAGCCTTTCAAAAACTTTCTTCCAGCTGCAGCAACTTTATAATGGCTGCAACTTTCCATCTAGGCCACGCTCTTCACAAGGAAGCACAGACAATGACTGTGCCTGGAAGGAGCACTGAAACTTGACCATTTTTTCTGATGACGGGACTCTTGTACCATAAATTTTTTGCTCTAGATCTGTGTTTTGAGGTAGAAACCTTATTAAATCTGTGTCACAGTCTGAGCGTCTCTCTGCCCGATTCTCCTTCCTGTTTCCTTTTCACAGGTGCCAGATGAGCATTGCAATCTGACTCCTTTCCCTAAGGAATCCTGCTTCCTTCCCCTTAATTATTTGCAGGTATTACCCTAAGTGAACTTTCTGCACTCTTAACACCTTAGCGTACGCTACCTAAATATTTTAGTTTATGGAGTTGTATGTGCCCAATGTCTTGTGTTGAGTCTTGTTCAAAGTTTTATATAAAATGTGGAAATGATATTTTGATAGACATATGCACAGTGAAGTTTTTACTTAGATTGTTACTATAGCCAAACAAGTTAACCTATCTGTCACTTTCCTTAGTTACCTTTTTTGGTTTTGTGGTAAGAGCATCAGAAATCTACCACTCTCGGTACATTTTTGATATGTAATACTGATATGGACAGGAGGCAGGGAAATACTGGGTAAAAGAACGTGGTTCCCCAACAGAGGCCCTGTCCTCAAGCTTGGAAAGCACGGCCCTAAATGAGACAAGTCGTTACTATTTTCCCACCCAAATGTTACCTTTTTGGCCCGCCCGACTTCCCTATCCTGTGCCCATATAAACCCCAGACCTCAGCTGGCAAAGAGACAAGTGGTTGAATGTTGAGAGAAGAAGCAACTGAGTATCAGAGACTATGGATAGACTCAGCTTAACTTTAGATGGCACGACTTCAGAGAGGAGCCCAGCCATCTCTGGCTAAATTTCAGGGAAAGATCACCTTCTTCCCGCTCCATCCCCTTCTCAGCTCCCCTTCCACTGAGATCTACCTCCACTCCTTAAGAAAATCCTCTGCATTCCTCACCTTTCAAACCATTCATGTGAGCTGATTCTTCCTGGATGCCGGACAAGAATTCGGGATACAATGGTTGTGGGAACCCAAAAAGCCTGTCACACTGACTCTTCCCTGAGCTGTTTAACACTTAAGCCATCTGCGGACAGCAAAGCTAAAAGGGCATTAATTTTAACACACCTAGACACTGCCATGGGGCGGGAGCCCGAAAGTACTCACCCGCGGCCCAGCACTTGCTCACCTACGTGCTCCTGCCTGTAAGGGGTTGAACCCAACGGGTTCAAGAAAGTGAAGTTCATCCCTGCTGGCGCTGAAGTGACTGGCTGGACTTAGAGCAGGTGCAATCTAGTTCGAGCCCGTGAAAGGGTCAAGGTAACCGTTTCTTCTCAATATTACTCAGTTTTACTAACTGTAGTCCTTATGCTGTACATTAGCTCTTTAGACTTATTCATTGTATGTAACTGTGAATTCATATTCTCTAACATATTGTTTCACATTTTCTCCCTGCTCCCTACTCCTGGTAACCACCATTCTGTTCTGTGTTTCTATATATTTGACTTTTTTGTAGATTCCATATGTAAGTGAAATCTTGCAGCATTTTTCCTTCTGTGTTTGGCTTATTTCACTTAGCCTCATGCCCTCCGGTTTCGTCCATACTGTTGTAAATGGCAGTTACCGTTCTCTTTTTTAAGGCTAAATAGTATTGCATCAAGAAGACATATACACCACAGTTTATTTATTCATTCATGTGCTGGTAAATACTTACGGTGTTTTATACCTTGACTGTTACGTATAATGCAATAAACATGGGAGTACAGACAACTCTATGAGGTGCTGTCTTCATTTTCCTTCGGTATGAAATCAAAAAGATTGCTGAGATATATGCTTTACTATTTTTAAGTTTTGGAGGAACTTCCAGACTGTTTGCCATAATGGCTGTACCAATTTCTTTTTCCTCCAATTGTGTGCAGAGGTTTCTTTTTCTCCATATCCTTGCCAACTCTTGGTATAGTTTGTTGATAATAGCTATTCTTACATGTATGAGATGATAACTTACTGTAGTTTTTATTTGCATTTCCCTAATGACAAGTGATATTGAAAATATGTCTGTATACCTTTGGGCATTGGTATGTTTCCTTTAGAAAAAAATGTCTATTCAGCTCCTTTGCACATGTTTAAATTAGGCTATTTACTTTCTATGTGTTTGCTGAGTTGTCTGAGTTTCTTACATTTCTTAGGTTTTCTCCTCAGTTGTCTTAGTTTCTTTTGGATATTAAGTCCTTATTAGATATCTCATTTGCAAATTTTTTTTCTGAATTAGTAAGCTGTCTTTTCATTTTGTTGATTCCTTCCTACTGATCTGCAGAAACACTATAGTTTCATATAATACCACTTATTTTTGCTTTTGTTGCCTGAGCTTTTGGTGTGATATCCAAAAAAATGATTGTCAAAGCCAGTATCAAGGGGCTTTTCCCATATGTTTTCTTCTAAGAGCTTCACAGTTGCAGGTCTTACAGTTAGGTGTTTAATTCATGTTGAGTTGATTTTCAACTCAACTCTGGTGTGAGATAAGGGTGCAGTTTCACTCCTTTGCATCTGGCTATCCAGTTTTTTCAATACCATTTATTAAAGAAACTATCCTTTCCCCATTGTATATTCTTGGCAGACTTGTTGAAAATTAGTTGTCTTTATACACTTAGGTTTTATTTTTGGGCTCTCTATTCTGTTTCATTGTTCGATGTGACTGTTTTCATGCCATACCATACATTTTGATTACTGTATCTTTTGCAATATAAATTGAAATCAAGAAGAGTGAGTTCCTCAACTTTATTTTTCTTTCTCAAGATTATTTGGCTATCTGTGGTCCTTTGAGGTTTATGAATAAGTGGATTTACTTCTGAAATGCAAGGTTTATTTAATATGTGGAAGTAAGTAAATTCATATTAACAGAATGAAAAATAAAAATCACATAATTTTCTCAGTATACATAGAAAAAGCATTTGATTAAGTTCAACATCCTTTCAGAACTAAAAACTCTCAGCCAAATAGGTGTATGAGGAAATTTCCTCAACTTAAAAAAGCCATTTATTAAAAGCTCACAGCTAAACTCATAATCAGTGGGAGGAAAACCAAAAACTTTTCCTCTAAGATTTGGTACAAGGCAAGGATGTCCACTCTCACCACTTGTAATTCACATAGTACTGGAAGTTTTAGAAAGAGCAATCAGATTTTTAAAAGAAATAAATGCATCTAAATCAGAAAAGAATAAGTAAAATTATTTGTGTTTGCAGATGACATAACCCCATGTGTAGAAAATCCTACTCTATCATAAAACTGTTAGAACTAATACACAAATTTAGTAAATTAATTGGATACAAAATCAACATACAAAAATCCATTGCGTGGTGGCTTAGGCCTGTAATTCCAGCACTTTTGGAGGCTAAGGCAGATGAATCACTGGAGATCAGGAGTTGGAAACCAGCCTGGCCAACATGGTGAAACCCTGTCTCTACTAAAAATACAAAAATCAGCAGGGTGTGGTGGCTCATGCCTGTAATCCAAGATACTTGGGAGGCTGAGGCAGAAGAATTGCTCGAGCCCAGGAGGCTGAGGTTGCAGTGAGCCGAGATCCTGCCACTGCATTTCAGCCTGGGCGACAGAGTGAGACTCTGTCTCAAAAAAAAAAAAAAAAAGTAATAGCAATAATAAAAGAACAATGAAAAAAAAAAGAAATCAAGAAAACAGTCTCACTTATGAGCATATCAAAAAGAGCAAAATACTGAAGAATACATTTAACTGAGGAAGTGAAAAATCTGTACACTGTAAACTATAAAGCACTGGTCAAAGAAACTGAAGAGGACACAAATAAATGGACACAAATAAATGGAAAGATATCTCTTGTTCATGGATTGGAAAAATTAATATTCTTGTCCATACTATCTGAAGTGATATACAGATTCAACACACTTCCTATCAAAATTCCAATTGCATATTACATAAAAAAGAACAAAATTGGTTGAGTTATATATAAATTTATTACTAAAACATTTCAATAGGGTAAATTTGGCCTATCATAAGTGCTATTTGTTAAATTGCAAATTCAATCATGTGACTTATTTTCTTAAATTTCTTAAATATCTTCCCCAAACTTAGAGGTTTTATGTTCTTCTCGATGTAAGGTAAAATTAAAAGATAGTATATATACATATGCAAAACCACAGGATCATCATAGCATATCTTCTCAATATCTGTTTTGCTTATTTTGAAGGAATTGGTATTAAAGTTAATATTAAAGAATAAATGGCAAACATGCAAAAATTGTAGGGATAAAATATGAGTTTAAAAAGAAATGCTATTTTTGCATCAAAATGTTCTGAGCTTAAGCAATTTCCCCAGAGGCAAAATGTTTCATATTATCTTAGATGAGCCTTAAGGTGCACTTTTGTGGAGATGTTTAAAAATATTTGCTTTATCACATAAAATCCAATCACTTTGGCTGGCTACACAAAAACCCCAACCTCACTCTTGGAAGTACTCACTTTCTCTTTTTTTGAGAGGAACTCTCGCTCTGCTGCCCACCTGGAGTGCAGTGGCGCCATCTGGGCTCACTGCAAGCTCCGCCTCCCGAGTTCACGCCATTCTCCTGCCTCAGCTTTCGGAGTAGCTGGGACTACAGGCTCCCGCCACCATGCATAGCTAATTTTTTTTTTTTTTTCAGTAGAGACGGGGTTTCACCATGTTAGCCAGGATGGTCTTGATCTCCTGACCTCGTGATCTGCCCGCCTGGGCCTCCCAAAGTTCTCGGATTACAGGCGTGAGCCACCGCCCCCGGCAGGAAGTAGTCACTTTCTACCACGTGTTGTAATAACCCAAATCTCATCGATTGTTTTCTCATATGTCTGTGATTTTGTATACTTTCTTTTTCTGCTTAGAATTTGGTCCTACTAGTTCTTGGTGCAAAAGTGTTTTTCCTGCCTGAATTGTATAAATTCAAATAATTAGTAGTAGAAAATCTGCATTTGTTAATTAGTTTGAGGGTTAGGCAGAATCTGAGGGCAATCAATGTCTCTGAAAGCTACATGACAAATAGGTCCCAGGCTAATCTCCCATGTCTGAAGGATCTTTCAGGATGGCAACAGGGATGATGGCCAACTTTCGAGTCATCTTTGCATTCTTAAACTGCCTTCTTGAAAATAATTATTACACTATGTGGAAACTTTTTAGTTGTTTATCTTCACTATAAGATTCTTGGGCAATTTTATGTAGGGCTGAGCCATAGCATTCTTCCTTATCTTTCCTGCTTAGCATGGTGTTCATTATTTGGTAAACATGAGTAAATGTCTGATTTACTAAGATAGTATATTTTATTGTCTCAAAAATGCTAAATTGTTGCTACTAATTTAAGTAAATAAAAAATTCCACTAACCTTGAAAACTTAACCTAAAGCAAGCCAGATGTTAAAACTTGATGCTGATAACCTGATGAGAAAGCAGTTTACCTATACTGAGTGTAGTATTACATACTACACAGGTACTTCCAACTTAGGATTGGTGGAACAATTTAAGTAGAGAAATAAAAGACGTGTCTCCAGTGTTTTAGTATGTTTCTAAGGATAACTAAGATTCAAAGGGAGCAAAAGAGAAAGAGTTGTTACTGTTAAATAACAGACACATAAATCTTAATCATAAAACAAAGAGACTAATTCAATTATAGCAAAACTTCTTGTGAGTTATTGCTTTGGATAGGAAACTTGGATACATTGAAATGCTCTTTTATGTCAAAATCCAATGCTCTTTTATGTCAAAAGCCATTATATTGTGTTTGCCTTTCTTATTTATGGGAAAGCAAAGTGTCTGTTATAGAATAATGATGGAGGGATGTCGGGAAGAGCTCAGAATATATTCACAGTATAGTGATGATTTTCAGAGTCGGGATTGGCTTGCAGGATTGCTCTCTTTTCTAGGATGAAAGAAACAAATAAAAAATACATACACACAAATTAATACCAAAAGGTGATGAGAAACAGAAAAAAAAAGAATATGGTACTATTCACAAGTTGATTTTTAACAAATAGCTTTCTAATGCATTCTGAAAGAAATGTTCCTCTTTATTACAGTCATGGTCAATTTGAGATTTCTGATCATTTTACTTCCCAAATGTACATAAAGTTGAGAAATTAAGCAGGACATACTAGGGAGAGTTTACTGTAGTCTAGACTTGTGTATTGACTTTTAAAAGTATATTTGAACTCTCTCCCTGGATGAAACTTGGAAAAAGGATTCCTACAATTTATGCAGACAAACTTGTTAGTAATAGCATAAATGAAATTTGAGTATATAAATCAAAGATTTGAATCAAAGATGCTTGAATAGTTGAGTACCAATGAGAAACTCAAAGTCCTAACACACTTTTCTTTTAAGCATTCAGTGTGATAATTGGTGGATTTCTGGCTATCTTGCTTAAAACCCACTGGTTCACAGTGGATATAAGAATAATTTCAACAGAATAGCATCTTTGAAAGGTCAAGTTGTTGAAACTTTTGAGGAATGTCAAGTGGAAATCTCAGTACAGTAATTGTGTATTCAGAAAATCTAGTGGTCTGAAAAAAAGAAAAAAACACAGCATAAGTTACAACTGTCAAAAATTGGCATTTGTATTTGCTGCTTTCATTATTTTCCCCTTACACAAGGAGAAAGCTATAAACTAAATTTGCTACATCTAAAACTTCCAAATATCTAACAAATTTGGTGAGTTTATATATCATCGTTACAAATACAAGCATGTTTTATACATTTAAATAAATTTTTCATATTCTAGGGTTTTTATTAAATGGCTTTTATACATAAAATCATTTCATGTTATAGCACACATTTTGTTTTGAAAACTACCATCTAGATTTAGAAAGGAAGGGCTAGTACTCTGGATTCCAACAGGCCATTTATTTAATACTTGCAATGCCTTCCTCACCATTCCCTCCCACTCAATTCTCGTCACTATCTCCTTAGTTCAGATGCCTAGCATCAATGAACAATTGCAGTACTCTAATATCTAATCTCCTTATCCTAAATTTATTAGAAGAAACTTAGAGATTTTAAACACTTTAATGTGAGGTAAGAAACACAATGTATGAATAGGGAGCTGAGCAACAATGCACTTGGATGTATTTATTTTTTTCAAAGTCTTCTTACTCCACAATCAATTTTTTAACCTCCAAATTCCCTTCATTTTCATTCAATTTTATGAACTTCTGGGATTAACTTTCTATGTTATGATAGCCTGACATGTTTTTATTTATTTGCTTTTATTGTTAATAATAGCATTTATTGACTATTCTTTAAGGAATTCAATAGTCATTATTTTTAAGAATTGCAGAATACATGATACAATGAAGAACAAACAATAATTTATAATAACAGTATTCAGATTGCTCTTGATCTGTAAATGTATTTCATCTCCTCCCAGACATTGAGTGTGCTCTCACCTGCTAACCCCAGCACTGATTCTTGACCCCAAATCCGGCAACTCGCTTGTGTCACTTGACTCATGTCATTCATAATGCATGGAACCTTATAAACATTCTCCTCCTCCTCTTATTTAGCCTGTACTCTTGTTTTTGTTTTCCCTAAGGACAGGAGTGATTATATCACTGACAATCACTCAACAACATTAGTATCATATCAGTGACAAAAGCACTAACAAAATTAACAGAATTTGTGTGGTTCTCTATGTCTAAAGAAGAAAATTTACTGGACCATTAACTCACAGGACACATTTGGAATCTTGGTAGAGTTAGAGATTGCAATCCAAGTGCCATCTCAATGTGAGAATGTTTTGCTATGGGAATGTGATTTATACCCTGAATCATCTTCCTTCTCTTAATATGTCACTGCTCAAAATGAAGCTGATACGTATTTAGGAATGTTAACACCAATATTATAACGCGTGTTCCTCAAGGTTAACTACTCATGGGTCTGAATAGAGTCACTTCAAAACTCATATTCGTGGTTCTTTTCACAGCCTATTTTTTAAAACCTGCCCATTGTTTCAATAATATAATAGTTCTTGCATTTTTTTCCCAGGGATCATTTTAGAAAGTTTCCTAGTGTGTGAACATGAATTATATATACCTTATATCTGCAATTCTTCCTCCTTTTCCCTCTCTCTTCCCAACCCAATTGTCTTAACACACTTCTGGTTCAAGGCTTCCAATGTCTGCTAAACTGTCTAAAGTTTCCTTGATAGGTGTGTCTTTGGAGCCCATAGAAAAGCCACTTCCACTTGGGTCTCATCAAGCTCTGCTCCTCCTGGGCTCTGCTACCACCTATTCTGAGGATAGCACTTCCCAGGCATCATTGTCCCTTTTGCCCATAGGCCACCTTCACTGAGCAGTGCATGATCTGTCAAGCATGACTGCTCCTTCACTAGGTTTTACCATTTCTTTTTGTTTGAGCCAACTTTATGTCCAAGCTATGTTCATCAGGAGAATTAAATCTGTGTGGCTAACATGCAAAGTAGAGCATGAAGGAGTTTCTTTTTATAAAGGGATGAAAAGTATCCCCTCTGTCTATAAAACACCATGTGCCTTCCAAAGCACACTATGTTTAATATTAGTGCTGAGCATGGTAGCCACTACTTATTAGCAACACAAGTCCCACTTTTCATAACACTTTTAGAGAGATATGATTCACATCTTTACTGAGATATGATTTTTAAGCAAACAACCTGCATATACTTAATGTATACAATTTGATGAGCTTGTACATATGTGATACCATTGCCATAACAAATGTAATGAATCTATCCACATAAAACCAAAAGTGTTCTTGAGTCTCTTTTCTTGTAGTAAGAACTTGTAGTAATATTTCCTAAGCAATCATGGTGCTTTAAGACTAATTAAGATCTACTCTGTTAAATTTTCATGCACATATTGAAGCAGTTTAAGGTCAATGAAGCAGGCTCATTGTCTGAGGTGTTATCCATAATTCTTGTCTCAGGACCAAGAAAAATAAGGAGCATGGACACCAAGAGTGAGGTTTGAGTGAAAGTTTAATAAGCAAAAGAGGAAAGCTCTCTGCAATGGAGAGGGGGCCCAAGAGGGTTGCCACTTTACAGTTGAACACAAAAGCTTTTATAGGAAATTCCCCTTATCTGTGTAGCTGCCTGTGTTAAGTGCCCTTATCTGTGCAGCTGTGAGCACGTCTTAAGCAAGCCTCCTCCCTGTGCAAGACAAGTTCCCATGGAGCCCACAATGTATACATCCATAGAAGGGGAGGAAACATTTTCCTGGGAGCCCGCTGATTACACAAAGTACAAAGGCATTTCTTTGTTGGGTCTTGCTCACTTATCTGTGCAGCTACAGCTTGATTTTTCATGCTGTTTCTCTGTTTAAAAGAATTCTACTGAGGACCTGCCTTAACTGTCTGCCTGTTTTTTTTTTACCTTTTCTCCTCTCTCAATATCTTTAGTATAGGCACTATGTTGTAGAGTATCTCTCTAAAACTTACTCACCTTGTATAAATGTAACATTATACCCATTGAACTACAACTTCCCTATCTTCTGCCAACCTCCACTCTATTTTCTGCTTCTGTAAGTTCTAATGACTGTGTCAGGTTAGATTCTCATAAAGTCTGCTACCAATATAAGATTAGATATACAAAAGACTTATGGGAGAAATGCCATTAAAGCTAAAATACAAGGGTACTAAATTAGGCAGTGGGAACCTTTAGCTCACAGTGTGTACTGACTCCTGTGAAAGGAAACAGATAAAGAATAAAGGTAGGAACAGTCTTTAACTGCAGTACAGTTCTGAGAAATCGCTGATCAGGCCAATGGAGAGTTCCTGAGCAAAGGTTGCCCATTATAGGAGGGCTGAGTTTGGCCTGAGTGAACCAACTCTGAAACCACTCCACCCTCAAGGTGATTGGTAATGACCATTGGTTGAGAGCAGCCAAAAGGAAATGTGGCTTACTGTGACAACCTTAGTAGATCCAAAGGGGTGATTGATAGCTGATGAGTATGAAGCAGGTTGTTTTAAAGGAGAATTGAGCAGCGTTCCTCCTTTACCTCAGCAACTGCTAACCTCCAGTACTATAGCTCTACAAGATTCTAAGGCAAAGTAAGGGAGAATGCATATAGCAAATAAAGAATAACTTATCTCCCATTCTCCTCCTGAAGCATTAGCCAAATTAACTTTTTTTTCTCTTTTCACCTGCTATCTTCTCTCCTGTCTGAAAAATCCAGTTATAATTCTGTGGTGACTTAAATTGAACACAAATCTGAGTCTTAGATAACTTGGAACGCAGTTGTTGCCTCCTTCTGATTGCTGATTCAGTTTGTGGGATAATCTTGTTCTGGTCAATCCAATATCACTGAGGATTACTGCTTTCCTCGGCTGCTTTCCAACACTCCATGGGTATAAACTCTCTGATCTGCTGCCCTGCACATTAGCCATACAGATTTGGATTTACCTGGTAGAAATAGCTTGGGGATCAAGCTGGGTTACTTACTAAACTATTATTTAAGTATTATAGGATAAAAATAAAAGAAATCTCATTCTCCGTGGATATTGAAGGCTACCAACCCACTAAATTAAGTTAAATTAAATTGCAGTAGTCCCCACTAAACCATGGTTTTGCTTTCTGATATTTTAGTTACTCACAGTCAACCAATGTCCAAAAATATTAAATGGAAAATTCCAGAAATAACTCGCAAATTTTAAATTTGGCTCCTTTCTGAGTAGCATGATGAAGACTTGTGTCATCCCTTGAATCATCTTTTTGTCCAGTGTATCCGAGCTCTATACCTGTCTGTTAGGCGTCGACATCATCTGATCATGACATCCAATCATTGACATTGTCACAGCTCTGTGATTCAGGATCATCTGAATCCAATGATCCTCCTTCTGATATATCATCAGAAGGTCAAGAGTAGCCCATTCACCTCACTTCACCTTGTCATGTAGGCATTTTATTATCTCACATAATCAAAAGAGGAAGGATGAGTACCATACAATGAGATATATTGAGAGAGAGAGAGAGACCACATTCACATAGCTTTTATTATGATTTATTATTAGAATATTCTATTTTTTTATTAGTTATTGTTGCTAATCTCTTACTGTGCCTAGTATATAAATTAAATTTCATCACAGGTATGTATGTATAGAAAAATATAGTATAAATAGGATTTAGTACTATCCATGATTTCAGGCGTCTACTGGGGATTTTTCAACATGTCTCCTGTGAATAAAGAGTTGCTACTATATTAGTTCTACTTCAGTATAGGAAATTTGCAAAGCAGCTTACTGGGTTGCTTTGGTCTCTATCCTGATGACTGCTATAACAGATTAACTTACTTTTCAGCGTATATTCATCCTGCTTCCCCACAATTCCATCTTCATGCCCCAACAATGTTGGCCTTGACTATGTGGCTGGCTTTGTTCAAAACTATGTAGGTGGAAGTGAGAGAGAACCAATTCCCAGCCTATATCTTAAGAGGCAATGAGTGTTTTTGGACATCCCTCTGAAATTTTTAATGATCACCATAAAAAAAAGCAAGACCTGGGTGAATATTATGTCTCCAGCTTTGCCCTGGAATGAGATCTGGGTAGTAGAACCAGACTTTAGTACCAGACTCAACAAAAAGCCTCAAGCAGAGCCACACAAACTAACAGTCAAAGTGAGATTGAGAAATAGCTGTCTACTCTTGTTTGCTAATAGAGTTTTATTATGCAGCAAAAGCTTCTCAAATGAGCATCCTATTGCTCCCAGTGTCATGGATAAGGAAGTCAAATATTTGTGGCTTTCTCCCTTTAGCTATGAGATTTACTACCTCAGTTTCTTTCATGAAGGACAACCCTTCAGGTTTCCAGTTATGGTTTTTCCCATTTAAGCTGCTTTGCCTTCCATACTCATTTTGGTTATAATTAGAATGGGTTATGGGAAACACACACATTAAATAAACTGAAAACAGTAAAATCAATAAGGAAAGCAGTGTTAGTTTTCCATTTCCAGTAATGGGATTTGGTATAAAAGAGTAAACCTCCATTATATATGTGTGTGCCAGCAAGGTAGACAGATTTCTTATAGAATGCATAAGGACGTGAAAGGTAACACATGGTAAATAGCAAACATCTACCTCTGAATGCAACGGTGCTCTCATTTACAGATGAGATTGGAGCTTGATTCCTCTCATCACTGAACATTTTGTAGGGAATTAACAGAATCATAAAAGATTACTAATTTGGAGAACTAACCCAATAAGATTAATGGAACATAGATACACTAATAAAAGTGGATACTGAGCGACTAAGCAGTTTATTTTTAAGTTTCCATTGAAAAAAATATACAAACTTTAGCAAATATTGTCAGTTTTTCTGTTGCTACACAGCAAAAAGTAAATTATAGCAAGCTACAGTGAATTTGAAGGTTGCTTAAATCAATACTAGGGAGAGGTCAGAAGCCTTACATAATCCAATGTGTTGATGAACAAACGCTTTGTAGCTTAGATATAACAATTTTCTGAGGCAACTTTAGAGCACGAACTCGCTGTGATCCTGAAGTCAGGTATACATGTATGTATGTGTATATGTATGTATTTCCATTTAGCTGGGTACATGAGTCTACCTTAAACATTCCATTAGTTACAGCATTTTAGAATTTTCTTTTTTACATTATTTCATTTAGTTTTCAAAGTCATTGGATAGGTAATAGGTTAAATTGTGCCTTTTCAGTCATGAGGAACTTTCTGAAATTTTATGTGCATCTTTGTACCTTCATTCTTCTTGTTCTTCACTTTTTCCAGGCATACACCCTTCCTGACTGTCATAAATCTTTTGTTGTATGGGTAACACAACAATAAAGCTCACAAAAGTAGCAAACATTTTAGTTGTCTATTAAACTTGAATTTTAAGAAAATGTAAGAATAGACACAAAAAGAAGGAATTATTGTGCTAAACTCGAAAAGTAAGTAAATTCTTTGAATACATACAAATAGATTATTTCACAGATGTGCTGAATGAACATAAATATGTATTTGTTAAAAAAAAAAACCTATTGCTAATTACATGTTCTGTTTTTCTGTCTTAAAAAAAAACAAATATATCATTTTCAAGCTCAACAGATAGATATGGTCTTTCGCTCAATTAACTTAATCTTATAATACTGGAATTCTTAAGAAGCGCGTAGATACCTGCTTGCAGTCCATATGAGAGAGAAGCTTTGGTTTGGAATTAAATTTCAAACAGTGGGAGCAGGAGACACTTAAAATTTTATCTAGTTTCACTCTTAAAAAACAGTTAAATACAAAACAAAAAAGTATAAACAATGCACACTTCTTTTTAGGACATATTATGTTTGCTATTCTGAATTGAAATTAGAGCTGTTGGAAATCACAGTAAGTTTAAAGACACCAGTCCTTTTATCTCAGGAACTAAGTGTTATTTAAGCAAAAAACAAAGGTAATTTTTGTTAGTTTTTTTTTTTTTTTAAGAGAAGGACTACTTTTTAAGACATACTACATTTTTTAGTGTCTTTCGACAAAACTAAAGAATGTACAATTTTTTCACTGTAAAAGTGTAAAAGCACCACTTTTATACTATTATTTCTGTAAAAATATAATCTTATTGATGGAAAACTTACTTTTTAACCTAGAGATAAATTCCTTCTTAAATGCCATTTTAAATAAATGATAAAATTGGCTTCAGAGATATGAATTGGCAAGACAAATACATATTATAATTTATATCTTCCAAAATTAGCAATTTTGTATTGTATACAATTATTTAAATAAAATACAGCACAATGTGTTGTGAAAAATACGGTTATAACTATGAAAGACTAAGTCGAGTTGTTATTGTTGTTAGTAGTAGTAGTATCATCCAGGATAGGTTATATTGCGCCATCGCCTGGTCAACAGTAAAGATTTTCATAGCGTTTGTCAAAGTCAGAGGTAGAGATTCCCCCTTCTTTTCTACCTCCCTTCTTCCTTTCTTCTCCTTTTTCTTTTCCTATTTCTCCCTGCTCTCCAGCTCCTGTTTCTCTCTTTTTCTCTTGTTTTCTTTTTCTTTTTTTCATTTTTCCCTTTGAAACAAATTTTTATGGAAATTAAATCAAGACGTACTTAAATCACAACATCTCAAGAAGTCAAAGTCATACTAAATCCTGTGACTTAATTCATCTTTATTTCAAAATTTATTTTGAAATAATATGATGAATATATGCTGTAAAGAAAACACAAAAAGTACAGAATAATTTAAAAATTAAACTTTATGTCTCCTCCAAACACCTCCACCTCCACTGGCGTTATGTGATACCCATTACCAGTTTGGTATGTACATTTCTCTACTATTTGTATGCATAGACCAGTATATAAATATATTTAATTTGTATGTATGATTTCATACTATTCATATCCTACATCACCTTTCTTTTATCATGTCAAAATGATCTTATAACTCTGTATAAATCAACATATACAAAATGATTTTTTTCCCAGGAAAAAACTAACTGGCACAGTTTTATACATATATGTATAGACACATTTTTACACTGGAATTGTTTAAATAAGGTTCATACATATTTGTGAATTGAATAGATATTATTAACCAACTTGTCGGGTGCAATGGCTCTGCTGAGACCAGCTTGGTCAGGGAGACCCTAACCCAGCTGCGCTAGAGGAATTAAAGACACACACACAGAAATACAGAGGTGTGAAGTGGGAAATCAGGGGTCTCACAGCCTTCAGAGCTGAGAGCCCTGAACAGAGATTTACCCACATATTTATTAACAGCAAACCAGTCATTAGCATGGTTTCTATAGATATTAAATTAACTAAAAGTATCCCTTAAGGGAAACGAAGGGATGGGCCGAATTAATTGCAGCAGGAACATGCCCTTAAGACACAGATCGGTCAGGCTAATTGTGGCTTAAGAATGCCTTTAAGCGGTTTTCCGCCTTGGGCAGGCCAAGTGTTCCTTGCCCTCATTCCCGTAAACCCACAACCTTCCAGCTTGGGTGTTAGGGCCATTATGAACCTATCACAGTGCTGCAGAGATTTTGTTTATGGCCAGTCTTGGGGCCAGTTTATGGCAGGATTTGGGGGGGCTTGCTCCCAACAGGGTCGAGCTTGTAATCCCAGCACTTTGGGAGGCCGTGGTCAGGAGTTCAAGACCAGCTTGGCCAACATGGTGAGACCACATCTCTACTAAAAATACAAAAAAATTAGCAAGGTATGGTGGCAGACGCCTACTAAAAATACAAAAATTAGCTGGGTGTGGTGGCAGGTGCCTGTAATCCCAGCTACTCGGGAAACTGAGGCAGGAGAATCGCTTGAACCTGGAAAGCAGAGGTTGGAGTGAGCTGAGATCATGCCATTGCAATCAAGCCCAGGTGAAAAGAGTGAAACTCTGTCTCAAAAAAAAAAAAAGATATTACTAAGCAATCTTCTACATTCTTCTATAAAAGATCTCCTTTCTCCATACTACTACTGGTATTAAAATTTCAAATTTTAAATTAAGTTATTTAACTGAGGAAGCAACAACAGCCAAGCAAACTGTATTAATTCATTTTCACGCTGCTGATAAAGACATACCCGAAACTAGGAACAAAAAGAGGTTTAATTGGACTTACAGTTCCAAATGGCTGGGGAGGCCTCAGAATCATGGTGGAGGGCAAAAGGCATTTCTTACATGGTTGTGGCAAGAGAGAATAAGGAAGAAACAAAAGTGGAAACCCCTGATAAACCCATCAGATCTTGTGAGACTTATTCACTATCACAAGAATAGCACTGGGGGCTGGGCATGGTGGCTCACACCTGTAATCCCAGCACTTTGGGAGGCCAAGACAGGCAGATCACCTGATGTCAGGAGTTCGAGACCAGCCTGACCAACATGTTGCAACCCCGTCTCTGCTAAAATTACAAAAATTAGTTGGGCATGGTGGCAGGTGCCTGTAATCCCAGCTACTTGGGAGGCTGAGGCAGGAGAATCACTTGAACCTGGGAGGTGGAGGTTGCAGTGAGCGGAGATTGTGCCATTGCACTCCAGCCTGGGTGACAGAGCAAGACTCTGTTTAAAAAAAAATAATAAAATAGCACGAGAAAGACTGGCACCCATATTCAGTTATCTCCACTGGGTCCCTCCCACATTGTGTGGGAATTCTGGGAAATACAATTCAAGTTGAGATTTGGGTGCAGACACAGACAAACTGTATGACCAACCATTATTTCCACTACATAATCTTGTTAAAGATTTTGTGAATTTTAGGAAATTCAAAAATTGAAATGATCAAATTAAATTATATACTATACCTCTATATTGCTGTTGTACCTGACTTTATACAAGTGATATCACATATTCTGAAGAACTTCAGGAAAATCATTAAATAGAATTCTGAGACAGTAGGTAAGACTGAGCACCAGCACCCAGGCAAAGGCTTCTTATTCTTATCATAAGAAGTAGAAAAGGAGGATGGACCTGAAAGGAAGATAAAAGAGATTTTATTCCATGGCTTCTATTTTGTCTGTGAGTCACTTACCTGCTGAAGACCATAGAAAATATTTGTTTTATTACAAAAAATAGAAATTTTCTTAATGTTATATTCTTTGGAATAATTTAAATATTATTGAGACTATCCGGTTTTAAAGATTAGCTCAATTGTCCTGTGAAACTAACTGGGACTGGTGGTTTGGGGGGCAATTTCTTGACAAATTTCTCATCATTTGAGTAAATTAATGTGTTTCAGTTTACTATTTCTATTGTGGTTAATGTTGGAAAATTTTATTTAACAAATTAAATTTAAATTTTCTTTTTATCTAGGTTTCCATATATGTTTACATAGAATTCTATGTAACAGCTACCCTTAGGACATCTGTTTATTTGTTTCTTATTGTATTTCTGTAAAGAATGGTTTATTTTTTATTCATTTAAAGTATAAAACTTGATGATTTGATACACATATACATTGTGAAATGATTACCACAATCAAGCTAATTAATATATCCTTCAACTCACATAGTTATCTTTTTAAATTCTTTGTGGTGAGAAAAGTTTTAAACAACTATCTTAACAAATTTTAGGTAATGATACAGTATTATTCACAATGGTCACCATGCTGTACATTATATCCCCGGAAATTATTCATCTTTTAATAAAAGTTTGTACCCTTTGAAGAGTGTCTTCTCATTTCTCCCACTCCCAGCCCCTGGCAGGCAGCATTCTACTCTCTGTAAGTTTAACATTTTTAGATTCCACATATAAGTAAGAATTATTCAGTGTTTGCCTTTCTGTATCTAGCTTATTTGACTTCACATAATGTCTTTTGGATTAATCTGTGTTGTTACAAAGTGGCAAGATTTCCTTCCTTTTTATGGCTGAATAATACTCCATTTATACATGTACATAAATACTTATACACAAATACATATATATGTGTATGTATATATATGTATACATATGTGTGTATATATGTATGTATACATACACACAAACAATTCATTTATCCATTGACGAACAAGTTATTTCCTTACATTGGCTATTGTGAATAATGCTGTAATAATCATGGGAGTGCAGATATCATTTTGACATGCTAATTTCATTTTCATTGAGTATACATACAGAAGATATATTATTAGGTCATATGGTACTTTTCTTTTTGATCTTTTGAAGAGCCTCTGTACTGTTTCCCATAATCATTATATCGATTTACATTCCCACCAATAACGTGCAAATGTTCCTTTTCATCACACTCTAGCCAATAGTAATTATCTATTTATATATTTTGATAATATCTATGTCTATGTTGATAATAGCCCTACTAAGAGATGTGAGGTTGTATTCCATTTTGAGGTTTTGATTTGCATTTTTCTGATGACTAGTGATGTTAAGCACCTTTTTTATTTTTTTGATTTAATAAATGTTTATTTTTTCAAGTGTACAGTTGGTTGGACCTGTTCATGCATCTTCACCAGCATCTGGAGCATTTCCTCCATTGGTATTTCTGGTACAAATTACTTGAGCTCTGTTAAGCACCTTTTCATACAACTTTGGCCATTTGTATGTTTTATTTGGAAATATTTCTATCTGGTTCCTTTATGTTTTAATTGGGTTATCTGTTTTTTTTTTGCTATTGAGTTGTATGAACTACTCATATATTTTGGATATTAACTCCTTTTCAGATATTTGGCTTGCAACTATTTTATGCTATTATGTAGGTTGCCTTTTTATTGATTTGCTTTTCTATTGTGCAGTTGATACTACCCAAAGCCACATAGAGAGTCAATGCAATCTTTATCAAAATTCCAGTGATATTTTTCACAGAAATAGAAAAATTCTAAAAAAAACTTTAGAACTTTTAGAAAAATTACTAAAATGCTTATGGAACCACAAAGAATACTTCAATAGATAAAACAATCAGGAGACAGAAGAATGAATTGGAGTCATTACGCTTCCTGGTTTCAAATTATATTGCAAAGCTGTAATAATCAAAACAGTATGGTCCTGACATGGAAACAGACATATAGACCAATTAGACATAATAGAGAGAGTCCAGAAATAATCCTAAGCACACATGGTAAACTAATCTTGACAAAGATGGCAAGAATATACAATGAAGAAAACAGTAATTTTAATAAGTGGTATTGGTTAAACTATATATACACATGTAAAAGAATAAAATTGGTCTGGGCACAGTGGTTTATGCCTGTAATGCTAGCACTTTTCAAGGTGGGCAGATCACTTGATCTCGGGAACTCCAGAGCAGCCTGGGAAACTTGGCAAAATCCTATCTCTACCCAAAAACAAAACAAAACAAAACAACAACAACAAAAAAGCATAGAAAATATTTAGCTGGATGTGGTGGTGCATGCCTGTGGTCCCAACTACTCGGAAAGCTGAGATGGGAGAATCATGGTAGAGGCTGAAGTGAATTGTGATCCTGCTGCAGAACTCCAGCCTGGTTGACAGAGCCAGACCCTGTCTCAAAATAAATAAAATTGGACCCTTACCATACATCATACACAAAATTAACTCAAAGTAGATTAAAAACTGAAATGTAAGATATGAAACTGTAAAATTCCTTGGAGAAAACTTTCTTAACTTTGGTCTTGGCAATGACTTCTTGGATATGATTCCAAAAGTATGGCAACAAAAACAAAAAAAAAGTGGGATTACATCAAACTAATAAACTTCTGCAGAGCAAAGAAAACAATCAAATATTTTTCTTCTTTTCTAACAGTTATTTTATCCTTATGATTTCTTATTTTGAATATCTGTGATTTCTACCTTACTAAATGGATTAAGTTAGCTATTGGTTCATTAATCATGTTACTTTTTTCCAAGAGCCTGGATTATGGTTTATTATTACATCTATTCCTTTTTTTCTATACCTCATTAATTTCTTTTTAATGTTTAATTCCCTGTGTTTCTCAGATGAGAACCACTGAAGGCAATATCCATAATAATTTAGATTTATAAGCCTTATTAGCATACATTTTGGACTTTTGTAACCAAAAAAGGCATATCTGGAAAGCAATCAGAAAAACCCATATTGTTAGAAAAACTAAAATAAATCCCCACTGTGCTCCATTGCCTGGATGAATGTGTTTGTTGCCTTTATTATTTGGTTATTCTGTAAAGAGGATCTAAAATGTCATTGGCTATTAAAAACCCTGATCTACTTAAATACTGGAAAATGTCAGGACAAAATCTGTGTATAAATTTTGAGCATATAAAATACCAAATAAATGTCAGTAAATTAGCCATATTTGATGGAACGTATCTATTGCATATTATACTTCCTGAAAATACCGTGATGAGAGAAAAAGAAAGCAATGTTTTTGGAATATTGTTCATACCTTTTTTTAAACTTTAAAATGCCATCACATTGCATTGTTCTTCTTGCAAGAATATTCTAAAAGACAATAGTAATAAAAAAGAGACTAGAGACCCACCCCACAATCAAATCCACAGGGATCTTTACATGGTCTGTATAAAACAGGTTCATTGTAATCAATGTGAGTTCTTCTCATACTGAACAAAAATCAAGCAAAATGAATTCAAAGAAAGCAATAGGCAGGCTTTTTTATTGAACACTAGGATTTTTTTTTTCCTGTAGAGTTATAATCTCTGATTCATTGAATTTTTCTCTTTTCAGCAGAATAACAGGGATGAAAAAGAAACTTGCTTTAGTGAAATAACTTTTTAGATACGTATATTGCTGCAATAATAGAATTAAATTAGACATTTCCTTATCATTAGATTTTACTTTATAAGACAATGGAGACATCAATAATTTGTTCAATAAGATTTCCACATTACCACAGATTTTCTCTATCATATTGATAACACATAGGCACAAGTAATCAATATTTGATTAAATCATATTTATTTAAGTGGTATCATCTGCAAAACAGATAATTTCTAGTAGAAATTATTATTTATTATTATTTCTGGTACTCAATAAATTTTCTTCTTGATCTAGAAGTAGGTTTTGAATCATAAAGGGTTTAACAAGGCTATCTGAAATAGGACTTCTAAAACATTGATATTTTGAACAATTCCTTAAATTGCCAGAACTTTTCTGAAGAGCTAATCCACCTTATGTTAGTTTTGTCCAAGTTGGAGACACAAGTTTAATAAAATAGTTTATAATACACCATAGTTTTATTTGGCAACACAAAAACCTAACTCCTTCTAGAAGGTTAAAAAGAAGCTTTTACTGAGGTGAAGTTTTAACTTGATTCTGAAGGAAGAGTAGGAAATTACAAATGAGTTGTCAGGAATAAAAACAAAGTCACTAAGCAGAATAAACAAAACATATGAAGGTAATAAATTAGAAAATAAAAGATAATAACAACAACAAAAGTGAACTCAACACACGATAGTAATGAGAATTTCATTATATCTGCAAAATACAGTATGATGAATAGGCAAGGAATGGAGATGTCATTATAACTTGAGACAAGATTTTAAAAGTACTTAGTTTTAAGAGAGCCAGTATAAAGTTTTATTCCTAAAACTAATAACATCAACTTTCTCTTTATGATATAAAAATATATGCTTTTAACAACTTGCCAGCTGCTCTGCCTACGAAGTAGCTATTCTTTTATTCCTTTGCTTTCTTAATGAAAAAGAAAAAAGAAAAAGAAATGAGAAGGAGAAGGAGAAGGGAAAGGGAGAGGGAGAGGAGAGAAGGGAGAACAAGGGAGAAGGTAGAAAAGTATTTACCAGAAGAGGAGAAAGCTACTCTCAGGGAAAATGATTCAGTGTCCTTTGCAACAATCTAAACAGGCATGATAAGAGTCTTAACTGAGGCAACATTGTTAGTAAAAGAGAGACGCAGCAATTGGGGAGCATTTCAGAGGTATAATTAGCATAGCTGGTTGATTTAATAAAAGTAAAAGTCTAGAAATGTGGATCTAAAGGTTGATGTCAAGATTAGTGCTCTTCCTACTATGTGCATGGTGATGTCACCATGTAAGGCTTAAATGAAAAATGCTATAAAGTGTGGTGGGAAGAAAACAAAGGTTATTCTGCATATGTTAAAATACCTGTAGAAACTCTAGAAAGATGAAAAAATACATGATTTGGTGCTTGGGAAGACACAAAGGGGTAATGATAGACACATAGTGGAGAGTAGTAGCTGAATTTATGTGAAAGGGAAAGATAATAAAATAAAAAAGGCTAAAACATACTGATTCTAAGATTTAAGAGATATTTGGAGTTGGGAATATTATTCTTATATATAAGGCCACATTTATCATTACAGTGATGGATATTATATAAGCCAATAGAATGTTCATATCCACCCTGAAGCATCTTTTATTGGATAGTTTTTACCAACTAACGTAAAATTTTATATTGGCCTGTTAAAGATGTTTTGCATTTATGTATGTGAATAAGTTCATCATCTGCCAATATAAGTATAGTTTGAATAAAATAAAATTGGCAATAAACAATTTTGACCTAGAAAAAAAATGAAAGGTTTTTTTGTGCAATATAATATCCTTAAAAATATAAGGCCATGACTTAATTTATTGGTCTTAAACAGAGATTACATATGATTAGATCAATTTGTGGTGCATGACTCCATATCTAAAAGTCTTTATCAAAAAGAAAATGTTAAAAAGCTGCAATTCCTTTATATGAAACTAAAGATTGTTCATATATTCTGGTTACTGACAATTCAAATATTTATTAGCTCGTAATTTTTCAAACTGTTAAATTTAGCTATTTTGAACTGAAAGTCTTGGAACAAATTTATATGCGTGTGTGTTTGATGTGTTATTTCCAAAAACGTAAAAAATAATATGCTGAAGAACACACATATAGAATTATGTTTTCATAGACATTTGATTGCCAGTTAGAAAAAATAAGTTACCAGAAATGTCAATAAAAAGGACTCATTTGGAAAAAATGATTACAGATAAATTTCTAAAGGTTTCACTGCACTTTTTATAGGCTGCTGCTAGAGGGAAATCTAGAATGGTTAACTCTAAAGTAAAATAAGGATTAAATACAAATTTAGACTGAGTAGAATGAATTCAATGTCTGTTTTTTCTCTGGGGGATAGTTGAGAACCACCGTGAAACCAATGAAGTTCTTCTTTCCTTGAAGATTTAGTTTGTAAGACTTTACATTTTCTAAAAGATGCTGAAGGAATTGTGAATATAAGTACTCCACTGAGCTTTAACCTAGATAGACCTCTGAAAATATACCTGAATCTCTACAATGTCAACAGCAAAATAATAGGAAAATAGAGAAGAGTGAATTTAATACCCACTCATGGTAGCTTCTCCTCTGAAAAAGGAAAGAAAGAAAACAGACACATTCATAAGACATTTAACTATTTGAAAATAAGAAAAGCAAGACAAACTGGCAAAAAAAAAAAAAATAGTAGATCAAGCCATGATTTTATTACGTTGGACTTCTGCAATAGCATTCTACCTGAACTACCTGCTTCGTGTCTCACCTTCTTCCCAGTATAGATTATTCTTTATGAACTGTAACCAAAATTTGATATTTTAAATATAAATCAAATTGTGAATTTTGCCTGTTTAAAATTTTTTTGAGATTTTCCATCACTCTCAGAATAAAACCTAAACTTTGAACCACAGTCCAAAAGGCTTTTGGTGATAGGAAATTGACTATGACTGCTGGGTGGCTAGCTCACTTCTTATTCCCAGTCTCTTTCTTCTCTGCTTACTCAGAGCTAGTCACACTAGAAAAGATAGTTTCTCGCTTTAAGGAAAGGAACTCTAAGAATGTATCTTAATGTTTGTATATAATAAAAACAAAAATTTCAAATGGTTGGGAGAGAGACATGGAGTAAGAGACAAAACAGACTTAAGGAAGGAGCAGAGAGAGAGTGTGTGGGTTGAATGAGGATAAATAGAACTAAGTGGGAGAGGAAGATTGCTCCCATCCACTCAAAAGTGTATGCCTGCCAGAACCATTTAGTGGAGCTGCTGAACAGCTTTGTTAAGGTGTTTATCCCCTAGACACAGTTCTGAGCTGTGGGCATTCAGTGGTATAGAAAGGAATTTCAGAGTATGCCAAGCACACAAGAGGAGGTTTTCTAGGCAGACACAGTGTTGTGACTCATCTGCATAATCCCTTCACCCTGTTCAAGGAGGAAGGAGGACACCATGAATTCTGAGGATGTCAGTCCTGACAGCTTTATTACAAAGAAGGAGCCACTCAACTAATATGCATTCTGGCATGGCTACTTCCAGGCATATTAGATGTACCCAATTCAGAGGATACTCTAGTTTATTACTAATTTATTTCTAAGATACAAAAGGGAGAAAGATGAAAATGATGAAACAGATTTGATTACACTAAATCATAGATTCAATTTCATCAGTTTATTTTGGCTGTCCAGACTATGGGAGATAAGGACATGGAGAGAGAATGCATTTCCTTTTTCCACTCCACACCCATCATTGCTAATTTCAATACAGACATCATTGCTGCCGGTGCAATTGTTCTTCCTCTCCTTTCTCGTTCTCCTCCTGTCCCCATTCTTGTTCATGGAGGAAAAATTAAATCACTTGTCACTTAATAAAAAATATACTTTAGTAATAAATTCATCTGTAATAATTATATATGTAGACATAAATATGTATATGTAGGTGGTTTCACAAAAATGGATACATATATCATTTTCCATATTAAGAAATAAGTATATCGGTATTTTGATTAAAGAGTTTACTTAGGCATTTATTTTTTCTGAGCCAGAAATTGACCTAGCTTGAAGTTAGTGAAATGAGGCCATTAAAAACACTCTAATTAATTAGCATGAATGAAAATGCACGCCTAAAAACTAATAAAGAAGAGTTTTATATTCCCAAATGTATTTTAAAGATTTTATCTCCAGCTTC
Organism: Homo sapiens; assembly: GCF_000001405.40. Classification (NCBI taxonomy): domain Eukaryota; kingdom Metazoa; phylum Chordata; class Mammalia; order Primates; family Hominidae; genus Homo; species Homo sapiens. The sequence goes on from NC_000004.12 coordinate 66,180,019, forward strand.
GATTACTCTCTTCAATGTTAGAACTCTTTCATTTCATGAGCCACAGTTTATCCAGTGCCTACATTCTGGAGTTCTAGATATTGGAGAGGCCATCAAAAACCAAGCATGCAAGCCTCTGTTTTAATGGTGCTCACATTCTAATAAAAAGACAGTGCACTGATAAGTAAATGAAAATAAAATTAATTTAAAATAGTTATAAGGGTTATGAAAAATAAATCACAAAATCAGCTGTAACATTACCGTGAGGGCTATTTTGATAAGGCAACGAGGAAAACCTGTCTAGAAAGGTAATATTTTGAGAAGGATTTAGTCATATGAGTGTTATAGGATGAGATTCCAGTCAGAAAAAACAGCATGGGCAGGACAGGCGCGGTGGCTCACGCCTGTAATCCCAGAACTTTCGGAGGCCGAGCGGGCAGATCATGAGGTCAGGAGATCTAGACGGTCCTGGCTAACACAGTGAAACCCCGTCTCTACTAAATATACAAAAAAATTAGCCTGGCGTAGTGGCGGGCGCCTGCAGTCCCAGCTACTTGGGAGGCTGAGGCAGGAGAATGGCGTAAACCCGGGAGGCGGAGCTTGCAGTGAGCGGAAATCGCTCCACTACACTCCGGCCTGGGCGACGGGGCGAGACTCCATCTCAAAACAAAAGCAAACAAACAAAAGAATAAAAGAAAAAATAGCATGGGCATAGGCTCTTTATCTAGAGAAGAGCAAGCCACAGCCCAGAGGCTAAATCCTTCCCACTACATATTTTTGGTAAATAAAGTTTTACTGGAACATAGTCATGCCCATTCGTTTATTCATTGTTAATGGCTGCTTTTGTACTACAAAGGCACAGTGGAGTAGTTGTGACCGAAACTACTAGACCTGTAAATTCTAAAATATTTACTCTATGACACTTTTCAGAAAAAAAAAATTATTAGTCATTAATGAAAAAGGAAAATGTGATAAGAAACATGAGGAACTATCAGAATTAAAATATTATTAAAAATAAGATGGAAAAGTATTGTAGAATATTAACAGTGGAATGATATACTCTATTATGTGTCTTAAAAATATTCTCCCTTGCCCTGTTATAGAAAACAATAATAGAGGTAGGAGAGTAAGTAAAGTGATTATTGCATTAATTCAGTTTAATAATGAAGGTGGATTAGACAAAAGTGCAATGGTGCGAAGGGACTAAAATGGCCAGATTCTGGATATATTGTGGGGTAGAGTGATCAAAACATTCTGATGAATTGATTTGGTACTATGTAGAAAGGAGGGAAAAAAAGTATATTAGTTTTAGATTTGAATGGTTATGTAACTGATATTGCCAATTACTGGGATAGAAAATATTGGCCAGGAACCGATTATAGAGTGATAGATATCAAGAAACATTTTATGAATTTGTTAAGATTTATATACATAGTAGACATTTTGTCCTGCACATTACACAATACTCATTTACATGATCTTCAATGTAGACATTTTACTATAGACATTTAAATGGATGTGTTAAGATGGATAAACAAATGTGAAATTCCAAACTGAAGATAGACTTAAAAATCTGCTGCTTAATGAATGTGTTTAAAGGCATGTAACTCTATGGTATAAACAGACAAAAGGAGTAACAAGGAAAGAGAAAAAGAGTCTCGGGAGTAATTACTGTAGCACTTCAACATTTAGTGGATGAGCCATGGATGGATGATAGCACCGAAACTAAGATAGAAAGGTCACCAAGGTAGGAGGAAATCTGGAATGCAAAGGAAGAAATAGTTTAAAATAGGTGATAATGTCAGCTGTTTCTAATGTGGCTGAGAAGGTCAAGTGAGATCAGGATTTGAAAGCGTGGAGGCCAATGGAAAGTTCGCAGAGAAAAAAATTCGTGCCGTGGAAGGGAAAGACATCCAACTTCAGTGTGTTGGGGAGAGAATGGAAAGTGAGCAACAGGGTTAGACACTAGAGACAACTCTTAGGAGCTTTGCTGTGAAAGAAAGTAAACATTAAGTTTTTGTTGGAGAAAGTTGTGGCGTCAAGAAATATTTATGATTTTTGTTTTGTTTCTTCTCCACACATCCCCAGCTTCATTGAGGCATAATTGCAAATAAAAAATAGTATATATTTAAGGTGTACATCATGATTTTTGATACTCCTACAAGTTGTGAAATGATTATGTCAATCAAGCTAATTAACATATCCATTACCTCACATAGTTACTATCGTGTGTGTGTGTGTGTGTGTGTGTGTGTGTATGCATGCATGTGTGGTAAGATCATTGAACATCTACTTTCTTGGCAAATTTCAAATATACAATGCAGGATTATTAACTATAGTCACCATCCTGTACTTTAGATCTGCAAAATGTATTCCTCCTGCATAATTGAACTTTATACACTTTGAGCAACATCTCTCTATTTCACTCCCACCCACTCTCTGGGAACTATTTTACTAACTGCTTCTTTGAGTTCAACATTTTTTGATTCTACATATAGGTGAGACCATGCAGTATTTGTTTTACTGTGTATGTTCTATTTCATTTAGCATAATGTCCTTCAGGTTCATCCATGTTGTTTCAAATGATAGGATTTTTTAATATCTTGTGGCTTAACGGTATTTCATGTGTGTGTATACGTCTCACATTTTCTTTAGTCATTTGATATGGTTTGATTGTCTATGTCTGCCCAAAATTCATATATTCACATGTTGAAATATTAATCCCAAGGTGATGGCAGTGGGGTTATATTGAATTACAGTGGTGAGAGTGGGCATTCTTGTCTTGTTCCTCATCTTAGAGGAAAATGTTTCAGGATTTCACCATTGAGTATGATGTTAGATGTGGACCTGTCATATATGGCTTTTTTATGCTGAAGTAAATTCCTCCTATAGTTAGTTCGTGAAGAGTATTCATCATGAAAGAATGTTGAACTTTGTCTAAGGATTTCTCTGTATCTATTGGGATGACTATATAATTTGTATCCTTCAGTATGTAAATGTGGTATGTTTGTCCATTTGGACTGCTATTGCAAAATACCATAGACTGGGTAATTTATAAATAAGATAGGCTGGGCGCGTTGGCTCACACCTGTAATCCCAGAAATTTGGGAGGCCGAGGTGGGCGGATCATGAGGTCAGGAGATCGAGACCATCCTGGCTAACACGGTGAAACCCTGTCTCTACTAAAAAATACAAAAAATTAGGCAAGCATGGTGGCAGGCACCTGTAGTCCCAGCTACTGGGGAGGCTGAGGCAGGAGAATAGCGTGAACCCGGGAGGCAGAGCTTGCAGTGAGTCGAGATCACGCCACTGCACTCCAGCCTGGGCGACAGAGCAAGACTCCATCTCAAAATAAATAAATAAATAAAATAAATAAATAAATAAATAAGATAAATGTATTTCTCACTATTCTAGAGGCTGGGAAGTCCAAGAACAAGATGTCAACAGACGCAGTGTCTGGTGGGGGCCCACTTTCTGGTTCATAGATGATGTCTTCTTGCTGTGTTCTCATAGGGTGGCAGTGGCAAGGCAATTATCTGGGGTTTCTTTTCAAGTACACTAATCTCATTCATGAAGGCTCTTCCCTTATGACCTGATCACTTGGCACAGGCCCTGCCTCCTGGCACCATCACATTGGTGATATGATTTTAACCTATGAATTTTGATGGAGATACAAATATTTAGACCGCAGCATTCTGCCGTTGCCTCACAAAACTCATCTCCTTCTCCCATACAAAATATATTAACTGTATCCCAATAGCTCCAAAAGTTTTAACTTGTTCCGACATTATGTTTAAAGTCTCCTTAAATATCATCTAAATCAGACATGAGTGAGACTCGAGGTACAATTCATCCTGAGGCAAATTGCTCTCCAGTTGTGAATCTGTGAAGTCAAACAAGTTATGTTCTTCCAAAATACAATGTTAGGACAGGCCCAGAATGGGCCTTTCAATTCCAAAAGAAAGAACTAGGAAAAAATAAACAAGTAATAAGTCCCAAATAAGTCTTTAACCCAACAGGGGAAAAAATATTTAGTCTTAAGCCTTGAGAATAATCATGTTTGACTCAATATTCCACCTTCTGGGCAACTTTGAGACAGTGGTTGGTTCCCCAACGCTCTGGGCAACCCTGCCACTGTGGCTTTGATGGGGACAGTCCCCACTGCGGCTCTCACTGGTTGGAGTAGCACACCTGTAACTCTCCAAAGCTGGAGCCATATGCATGTGGCTCTACGGGTCTAGCGACTTGAATGCGGCCCTGTCCCCTTAATTTTTCTAGGCATTGTTCTGTGGAAGACTCTTTGCAGTGGCTCTCTATCATAGTAACATTCAGCACAAGTCATTGCTATGAGGCTTAGGGCAGCACCATCTTTCAAAATCTAAGTGGAGGAAGGCACACCTCCAAAGCTTGAGTATTCTGCATTGCCGCCAAGGTTTATCACATGTGCCATGTGAAGAGGAAGGCAACATGGCCCACACCATACCTGGACTCATTAGAGCCACACCTCAGATAGCTAAAAAGTTTCCTGCCAGAATTTGTGCAGCAGTGCTTTGTGTTGGTGCTGGGCAGCAAGTGCCTATGTCTGACAGGCACTTGTGATACCTCATTTGAAATTGTTCATTCCTCAGACTCTGACATTCTGAGGCTGTGATTGTAGCAGCAGCCTAAGTAATCACCAATAAGCCTTGGCGTCATCTTTCCATTACCTTGATGAATACCATCTGGCCATGCCAATTTCTTTATTAAACAGTTTCTTGGACACATACTTAATGTTCTCATCCACATGTATTTTCACTTTTTTTCAGTATAGACAAGTTGAGAATTTTTAAATCTTTCAGTTCTGCTTCCATTTTGAGTATAAATTCTGTTTTTAAATTGTTTCTCTCTTCTTATATTTTACTGTAAGCAGTCAGGAGAAGCTAGATCACACCTTCATACTTTTGTTTGGACATTTCTTCAGCTGAATATGCTGATATTTTATTATTATTATGTTCTACCCTCCACAGAGCACTAGGACATTAACATAATTCAGCCCATTCTTTGCCCTTTTATAAGAAGGATCACATTTTCTCCAGTTCTCAATGGTATGTTCTTCATTTCCATTTGAGACCTCACTATATTTCTACAAACATTCTGTTCACAACTACTTACATAGTCTCTAAGAAGATTGAGGTTTTCTTGACACCTTTTTAATTCTTAAGAGCCCACACCAGAATCACCCTTTAGTATCTATTAATGACAATGTAGGCTTTTTCTACATGCACCTCACAACTCTTCCAGCTTCTTTCCATTACCCAGTTGCTAAGTCACTTCCACATTGTAGGTGTTTGTTGTAGTAGCATCTCTCCCTACTCAGTACCAGTTTTCAAAATTTTAGTTTATATAAACTTCTATGGTAAAATATCACAAACTGGGTGTTTTATAAACAACAAAAATGTATTTCTCACAATACTAGAGGCTGAGGAATTGAAGATGAATGGTAGCTTCAGTAAATGGTGAAGACACACTTTCTAGTTCATAGATGGCATTGTCTGTGTCCTCGCATGGTGGAAAGAGTGAGGGAACTCCTTTGAGCCTATGTTATAAGGGAGCTAATCCATTCATGAGGACTCTGCCTTCAGGAGCTAACCACCTCTCGAAAGATCCCATCTCCTAACATCTTCACTTAGACTATTAGGATTTTATCATATAAATTTGGGTTGAAAGATGACAAATATTTGACCATATCATTCATTTTTAATATAGTTTTCCTAGATTCTACTTATTTCCTCCTTATCATTATTATTTTATTCTTTCTAACTTTGGCTTTAATTTTTTCTTCTTTTTCTAGGTCTTTAAGGCGTAAAGTAAGGCTGTTTATTTGAGATCTTTATTTTTTATTAATGTAGACATATATCACTATAAACTTTTAGAATTGTTTTTGTGGTATCTCTTAAGTTTTGATATTTGTGTTTTTATTTATGTTTATATCAATATATTTTTACATTTATCTTTTGATTTCTTTTTTAATCCATTGGTTGTTTAGGGGCATGTTGCTTGATTTCCACATATTTGTAAATTTTCCAAATTTCCTCCTGTTAGTAATCTCTAGTTTCCTACAATTGTGGTCAGTAAATATATTTGATATAATGTACCTTTCTAAATGTGTTAATACTTGTTTTGTAGCCTAATATATGATCTATCATGGAGAATGCTTCATGTGCACTTGAGAAGAATGTGAATTCTGATGCTGTTGGATGAAATGTTTTGCCTATGTCTGTTAAGTCTATTCAGTATACAGTGTGGCTGAAGTCCACTGTTTCCTTATTGATTTTATGTCTGCATGATCTATTTACTGATGAAAGTGTGGTTTTGAAGTCCCTTACTATTATTGTGTAGCTATCTATGTATCCCTTTGGATATATTCAAAATGGCCTTATATATTTAGGTACTCTGATGTTAGGTGTACATACATCTACAATTGTTGTATCCTTTTGATAAATTGATCCCTTTATGATTATATAGTGATCGTCTTAGTCTCATTTTACAGTATTTGACTCAAAGTATTTTTTGACTGATAGCAGTATAGCTCCCTCATTCCCTGCTCTCTTTTGGTTATCATTTGCATGAAATATAATTTTCTATCCCTTTACTTTTACTGTGTCCATAAAAGTGAAATGAGTCTCTTATGGGCAGGATATAGTTGGGCAATTTTTATACTAATTCTGCCGCATTATGTCTTTTGACTGGAGAAATTAATCAATTTACATTTAAATTAACTATTGGTAGATAAGGACTTACTAAGGCAACTCAAAAAAAAGTTTTCTCACTCTTCCTTAGTTTCTTCCTCCCTCTCCTGATGTCTTCCTTTGTAATTTGATATATATTTTTTTGTACTGGTATGCTCTGACTTCAGCAGGAAAAACCCTTTCTTAGTCAATCCATCCAGACATTCTGGGAGGTTTGGCTGGCAGAGTCTGTTGGTGGGCTTGCTGCTGATGTCCTCAGGTAGGCTGGCCTGGTACCTGGAATGGCAGGTGTGGCCCTACCTCCTGCAGCTGTAGGAGCCAGCCTGGAGACATAGGTTATAGGAGCAATCTTGGAGCCTGGTTTTTCAAGGGCCCGCCTGAATCCTGGGGCTACAAGGGCTGCCCTGGCACTGGGGCAGGCCTGGAATCTGCATCCATGAATGCCTTCCCAGAGCCTGGGTTCATGGGTGCTGGCTTAGCAATTGGCACTAGTGTGGACCAGGAGCCTGAGTCTATGGGTATCAGCCTGGTGCTTGAGAACACTGGTGGCAGCCTGGGACTGGGAGGCTTGGAACCTGGGTCCACGCCATCCAGCCTGGAACCTGAGTCCATGGTTGCTGTTCTGCCACCTGGCTCTGGGGTGAATCTGGTGCCTGAGGTCATGCAGGCTGGCTCAAAGCCTGGGTCTGCAGGTGCTGGGTTTGTGGGGACTGGCTTGATGCCAGGGTTTACTGTCGCAGGTCGGGTACTAGGGTCTCTGATGAAATTGGTAGTTGCTTCCTTCATTCTACTTCTCCCAAACAGAAGGTATGTGTCTCTGTGTTGTGCTGTGTAGGCTTAGGAGAAGAGTGACATGAGTAATGTGATGTGATCCTTCTGACCTCTTTCAGTGTGTGTGTTAGTATGTGTGTGTGTGGGGGTGTGTTTGTGTGTGTGTATTTTCTGTGCTCCACCAGGTGCTGCAATCTCTCACCTTTATTTATGGCTCTTGTAAAAATATTTTCATGTGCAGACGGTTCCAATTGATATTCTTTGGGACAAGCACTAGAAAGTCCTATTATGCTTTCTTGCAGAAGTCATTTTCCTAATTCTGCTTTTCAAAATATTATTATTTAAATATGGGATCAACTATACTGTTTATGATCTTTTGGGGATGGTCTCGGAAAGTAAGAAACACAGTTAGAAAGGAGGTGGAGAAAAAAATGGAGAAGAGAATCTTTTCATACCGCTTGAGGCATAGGATCCATGACACAGATGGCAGATTTGGGTATTGATGGATACATACCTGAGTCATTCATTGTAATAGGAGGGAAGGATATAAATGGTAAGTAATGAAATAGGAATATTAAATAGTTCCTGAATGAGTGCTTATGATTTCTCAGTATAGAACAATGTCATCATAAGTCACATAGGAAAAGGTGTGCTTTGAAGAGTAATAAGAGTGTGAACTATTTACTTTGCACAGCAGGGTACTATACATTTTAGGAAAGTATAGCAGGATTGCTGGGCAATTTTCAGTGTTCATTTATTATTTGTCATCATGGATGTTAAGTGAGAAAAGTGAACATTTTTAGGAGGCTTTTATGTTTGTTTTTCTAAAAATTTTCACCTGTTAAGGTGAAAACAAATAGGCAGCTATCTGGGTTTAAGCGAGGAAGGCTAGATTTGGTCAGGGTTGTTCATAGTTAGAGCTATTAATATATAAATACCACAAATGTTCTCTTCTCCAGGTATCTAGTAAAGTTGTACTTCTCCACCATTTGAAATAAGTATCATTATGTGACTTGTTTTTACTTTCCCCAGATTTATAAGCAAATTTGACATATGTTACTTCTGTGTAAAGCTCTAAAAGCCAGAGCATAATTTTCCATCCTCCATGTTAGCTTGAATCTCAGAGTAAAGATATGGATCAGAAGCCCCAAAGTACCTGTGACAAAAATGTAAAAACCACAAGGAATAACATTTTAAGCTTTAGTCTCTTTCTTATAATTTTAGCCAAGAATATGAGCTAACAAGGAGAGTGATTTGAGTGTTGTTATTATAACGTAAAATATATAACAAGCTAATATGAAGATAGGAGAAGGTCTATTTACCATCCTTATTTATTTGGGTGTGATTATAATACTGTCCAAATGAATCTAAGCTGCCTAAGGAGAAAGTTGACTTAAAAGAGAAAAGGTATCAGGATCAATGGATTGGACAGCTAAATAAAATCAAAATATATTTTTATTAATTGGGTATAATAGAGCAAATGATCTGTAAACTAGATGGTTTCACAGAGACCAAAAAGCTTGATGTTGAATTTCAGAGATGATTCAGTTGGGTTTGCATGGTCTAGAGTAAGGCTCCGAGGATGTGTTATTGTAGTTAAGCAGATTAAAAGATTATTAGAGGTGAGGCGGTACATGATCTGAGAGCCCAAAATATGAATAGATGTCCCACAAGCACTGGAAATTTAACAAATCATATTTAATGTAAAAGTGTACATTATCTGCTGTATCATGCAAAATAATTCACAACCTTGTTTGTTACTAAGGTATGCCAGTCTCCGCTCCTCTAATTTGTAAGTTCTACTCAATGAAATCTCTCCTTTTGCTAAACAGACTGTTTTCCCTTGAACATGGGCTTTTGTACATACTTTTCCCTGTAACAGAAAGTCTCTACTCCCCAACTGTGTCTCCTTCTCACGTTTATTTTGGTACATGCTTTATACTTTTCTTTAAATGTTAAGACTCAACTTGAACAACATTCCAATAAAAGTCTGTTTCATTGCCAACTCACCCATTCTTACCCTTAAAATTATAACAATCTTTTTATTGGCTTTAATAGAAGCATTCTATTTTTTTGGTCGTGCTATTGAATTATACATGAATTTTCAGTCTGTGTTTCTAGGCTGAGGTCTTTTTGATGTTGTAGAATGTGTATTGGTCAGGTGTATTCCATTTAGCAGTGAGATTAAGCAAGCATTGAACAAATATGTTGCTCAAACACTGTTTTTGAGAAAAAAAATCCCTCCAAATTTATGAAAAACTTAAAAATAAATTGGGCAAAATTGTAAGATTCCCAGTATATTGGTATAAATGCAAAACACTCTTGTTTTTAAAGTCAAACTCTTATCTTGAAAGTGAGAAGCTGTTAAAAAAAAAAAAAAAACCACAACCACCCCACCTCCCAAAACAACAAAACCAACCAACCAAACAAACAAACAAAAAACAGTAGCTGTTTTGTTTGTTTTCATCCTGGAATGACAAATCAGCTTTACCTCCCTAGACTAAATCTTATGACCTTGGCTTTTCCTTATTTATTCAAAATAATTCATATTGCTCTTATATATATTGATCTTTTTGTTTCTCTTTTTACAACAGTATATTTTTTCTCTATATTCAGAGAAGTGATTGACAACAAATGCCTGTATCTTTGACACATTTTATAAAGAACATTAGGTATCTTAGAACAAATGCAATATTTAATTTTAAATGGTAATAGTTATAGATAATGAACATTGAATTTTATTCTCTTTTCATTCTCTTTGAGCTTCTTTTAAAGAAAAAGGATTAGAATCAGGACTGCAATGAAATGACAACATTGGTTAAAAATGGGAGTTCAGGGTATAAAGGAATAATCAGAATATCCATCTCTGTGAAACAATTTCATTTTGCAGAAACAAAACAAAATGGATGAAATAAGAGTTCTGGATTGTGTTCCCAGATTTCTCATGTCTTGATGTGCAACTGAAGGTCTATTGTGTGTATGTTTTAGCCAAGCTATATAAAAAATAGATAAAAACTTTCTGGGGATAAACAAGACATCCTAAACTGTTTTTAAATTTCTACCAAAGCATTTAAAAATATACATTATGTTTTCTTTAATTTAAGGAAAGATGGGAATTTTGAAATGAGATATAAAGCAATGTGCCCTACCTATATAAACAATAAATTTGCATTTCTTATATTTACAACCAATTCATATGTATAGAAAATGAATTATTTGAAATTGTATAGCATTTGTTAAAGAGATAGAAATGTTTTCCTGAAGAATATGAAGAATTCTATAATGTTTCACTTCAAGTCATTTTACGAAACATATTCTATTGTGTCAACCCATTGGTTAAAGGTCATGATGGGCCTAGAATATTTGTTAACTTATAAAACACCTTTTTTCCCCATAAATTATCTTTTAAAATCTAGCAGCAATTAATTATATTCTCCACTGTGATAGTCAGTCTTACATGTCACCTTGGTTAGATTAGAGTTCCCAGTCATCCAATAAGAAAGGAATTTAGATGTTTCTGTGAAGGTATTTTGTAAATGCAATTAAAGTCCATAATCAATTAATAATAAGTAAGGGAGATTATTGTAGATAATCCAGATGGCCCTGAGTCAGTCAGTTGAAAGGCCTGCAGAACAAAGCTAAAGGCTTGCGGAATAAGAAGTTATGCTTGTGAACATCAGTTTGTGCCCAGAAGTTCCAGTCTCCTCCGCTTTCTAGTCTCCTTATGGATTTCAGACTTGCCCAGCCAGGTCCTACAATCACATAAGCCAATTCGTTGCAATAAATCCCTTAATGTACGTTTCTCTGGTTACACATGTCTAGAAGTGTAAAGGTGATCCTTATTTCCCTATGTTCTTCATCTACTTCCTGCTTCTTTGGGACTTTGGAGTTGGCACATACATCCTTGTCCAAGATTTTGCTTCAGACTAGAAGTATTAATCAAACAGTAAGTTTATATGGTATAAGAAAACAGCAGTAATCAAAGATGAGTTTTTACATAGAAAAATGTCTCTTTGTTGTATAAGATCCATCCACATTCCCTGGAATGGAGTGGAATAGCTAGAGAGGACAAGATGATAAGAGAAGCCTTTTTATTAAAACTCAATAACTAAATATGAATTGTGTCTCTAGACAGGTACAATGGTCTGATAAATAATTGTTAAATACATATGATTTAAATACCTTCTTCATAAAGGAGTATTTAAATAATGTGTAATGAAGTATTTAAATTATTTGCAATAGCATATTATTTTATATAATAAGTGTTTTACCTCATTTTGTTTATAGAAACAACTTTTAAAAAGTGATTCCTAGTTTAAGAGTTCTAGGCTTTCCAGTAGAATTTATTGCAATGATAAAATATCCTGTATCTGAACTCCGGAACTGCACTGTTCACTAGTCACATAAGTCTACCAAGCATTTGAAATATGGCTAGTGAGATTGAGGAAATGAATTATTTATTTGTTGTAATTAAGTAAAAGTTAAATACTCAGATATTGCTAAGGGCTGCCATGTGGACACTATAGATCTAAAGTGCACATTTTTCAAAGAGTAAAACCCTTGTAAATCAAAGCCTCATTTTAGAAAAATATCTGACCTCATCCCTTCATCAATTCAAACTTTTATAATTAGTTCTTTAAATAATATATGTGTGTATGAGTGTGTGTATATATAGCATTTATCAAACACAATGCATTTGATATTTTCTGGTTGTAAAATTAAAATAGTGTGAAGTCACAAGTGATAGCAATTATTTTAGCTGAATATATTGTCTTTCAGAAATAGGAATGTGGAAACCATACTCATAGTGTCATAAGTGCTAAAGGTCTTTTCCCACTAATCTTATTTTTCTCTATACTCTCTTCTTACCTTGTATAAATTTTTATCATTTCAATATCTTACAATAAATATTTTCCTCAAGCCTCTGGGTAAACCAAGAGATGTCACTGTAAATTAAGAAAAAATAAAATAACATATTTTTAGTTTTCAGTATTTTAAACTAAAACATTCTTGTAAACATTTATACAGTTACTTTTCAGATATTTACACTAACCCAAAAGACAGTGTCAATATTGATGCACACAGTCAGGGAATTTCTTACTATTACATATTATGGAAAAATTGACCTTACTTATTATGTCAACATCAAAGAATTTTACAGGCGATTTTCTTTCTTTCTAATGAATTTAACTCACTCATTTTAATAAATGTATTTTTAAAATTAAAGAGAATTAACTTTATACATGCCAATTTAGTGATACAAAAATAATTTAATTTGGGAATCCAGTAATGAATTGAAATAAATTTTTTCTGGCTATACTTTGTCTAGGTTAACATTCATTTTTGTTTGTTTTCTTTGCTTTCACATCAATGGGTAAAAAATGACAGGGGAAAATCCATTGTAAATAATTCACATGTTAAAAAGTGAAAGTTGATTAAATTATTTTCTACCAATAGTTACAGTGACATATTTAGGCTTTTCTTGCGCATGGCAAACTTTTTCTTCAGTATTTCAGCAAATAACTTTCTACAGCATTTAAAAGTTTAGTAAGTAATGATGCATTTTTTTCTGGACTGCCAGACAACACTAACTGGAATATATATTTCCAAAAATTGAATAATTTGGTTCTTCATCTTAACTTACATTCTGTGTATCTAGATCTCTTTGCACTTAATAGTACAATGTGTTTTTTCAGTTAATTCTTTATTGTTTTTTCTCATTGTAAATCAGCATTTTAGCAATCAGATGGAGATTTGTAAATAACATCCCTTTGTATTGAATATGGCTGCATTTTTTTCACAAATGAAAAAATTTAGTTGGAGAAATTGGTTTAAATGTATATAACAAACCACTAGCTTACTAGCTTTTGGATTTGAACTACGATGTCATAAACAGTGCATTAGAAATGTAAAATATTAAAGCTGTGGAACTGATTTAATGCTCGCTTCAAAATGAGTAATTCACCTCAACATTTAAACATCATATATTTCATAAATATTTCTTTTTCAAAAACTTATATTCACTGATAGTACAGAAAATTTCTGTAATGAGGAATTACTAAGTCCAACCAGTCAGGAAGTATTAATTTATCCACATTGTTCTAAGCACTGTGGAGAATTCATCAAAAAGTAAGATGTCCTCAGAGTCTAAAATCATACAAGGCTCATTTGTCAAATGTCTCTTGAATTCTGACAAGCACTTTTGAGCAGTACATAAGTGTCAGAGAATAAACAGCACTGAGCTCATTTATAGGAAGTTCCTTTTATTCTCATAAGCGCCTTTTGAGTAAAGGTTGTATGTCAGAAATTATTAATAAAAAAATGAAAGAAAGTGATCCATTTTTAGAAAACAAGACTTAGTTAAAAAGAACTCTAATTACTGTAGTTCTCAAGTGAATGGCCACTTCAATGGAGAAAAAAAAATGCATCAAGAAAATATATTATGTTATCAAAATCACTCATTAAAAAGTTACCATAATGACCTTTTGTTCAACAGCTTCTTTCTTACTGAATATCCATTATGAGTACATGAAAATAAAAGCTATTCTTATATCCTTAATGTATATATGGTAAACTGGTTTAATTACTAATTTTTATCACTCATTTGACATTTATTGATTAAACATTTACTGTATTTATTTGCTGATAAAAAACACAAGAATACCAAATTACACACATGCCATTTATAAAACTGTGGGAACATATTACCTACCGTGACACTTTAAGTAATATTTTGAAGTAAATAGGTCATTTTCAAGTTTGGGGCTTTTTCACTCCCAAGTCAGGAATATTTGAGGCAAAAAGAAAACCGAGAAACTGTGTTACACCGTTCCTTGATACTGGAGTGCCTAGCTGGTCTTCCTTCTTCTCTCCAACTTTCAGAGTCTTCTCATGTGTCTGTTATATATAATGTTTTTCATAGTATTAATTGGAAGGAATAGTCAAAAATATGTCTATACCACCTTCCCAAAAGCAGAAGATGAGATGATACAAACATTTTAAAGTTTGGATTTTGCTATGTACTGGTGAGGATTATGGCTTGAGAAGAGGTAATATATGGGAAAGAGACTAAAGAGAATCAAAGATGAGAGTAGTTCAATTTGATCGACTTTAAGAAAAATAAAAAGCACAAACTAACAATAATATTAAAAGGGTTTCTGTTTCTTGTACTTTTTCTAAGCTGTAAAAGGACTGGAAGGAGAGAGTCATTGCAGTAGAGAAGGAAGTATACTATAGGTTTTAAGTGTTAAGATAGTGGAATTAGAGCTATTTTGAAAACTGACTTGACTAGTTGTGCAATCTGTGCAATCTTGAATAAGTTCTTTAATATCTCCAAATTTTACTTAACCACAAGATAGTTTTAAAGATTGTTTAACAGATTGGTTTAAAGAGACAATGTAGTTTGCTGAATATATGCATGAATATGCAGAATAGAATTTGAATGGAGATTCTGAAAGTATAGATAGAAACTACATCATTTCCAGAGAATTTAGTGGGTCTGGAAAAAGGGTCGAGCTGAACTGGAGGTATAAGCGAGGAAGAAATCCAAGCAGACATATTCCATGTGCAACACACAAGAGAAAGAACCAAGTTGAAGTGACCGAGCAGGGAAATGAATGGAAGCTATCCAGTAGGAAAGAAATCCTTCAAACCTTAAAACAAACAAACAAAACAAAAGTTAATGCATCACCCAAACTGAACATAAACCGAAACTGGAGCTTCCAATAATTCTAAATGAAAAATTTTATTTCTCTTAGAAAATTTTAAACTAGAAATAATATATCTTTTCTGATTCATGTCATTAGCTTTAGAAGCCTGTTTAAGAACTGTGGATAAGTAGTGAATATGCTGTTTTCTACAACTTCTATTCTTTCTGTATAATCTACAATTACTCGAAAATTTTCAATTTTGTGTGATCATCAAAAAAATTTTAGCTATGAATGTTTAGCGTTTAATTCTCCTTCTTCCCTGATAATAGAAACTTCTTTTGCATTTTCTACCAACTACCTTCTTAAACTATGGAGACAAGACTGTCTCTACTTCAACAGAATAAGTTTTCTTGGACTAAACTATTTTTTGGAAATTACAAGAACCTAAATCCATACTATAAAGAAGGACATATTTTCTCATAGATAACAATAAACTGTTGATACACAATTTTCTATTAGTGAGTTGATGTCAAACAATTTTTGGAGATACTGGGGAACAGGAACATTATAGCCAAAAGTAGGAGACACAAAATTTTAAGGAAAATAACTGTGCCCAGTTTATAATAAAGGCATCAAGATAAAATCAACATTAGTTGTTGATATTTAACAAATTACTCAACTCTCTGTGGCAAAATTTCTTTCATTACAGTTGGAGATGCTTTGAATATTAAATGTTTTCTATTCTTAAAATGTACTTAGCATAATAAACTAGTAGGTCATTTTTTCCTAAATTACTGTCTCCTTTATACTCACCTTCAGTCAGCATATAGGTCTTTTCCATTCTTTACCCTAAAGAGATTTCTTTACCTCCCACTTGTTCCCTCCCCAGGACTCTGAAGACAATATCAGTTAGGATTAAGCCGCATTATGCCCATGATTCCCTGGGTAAATGAATTAAACTGAATTAACAGAGAGTGTAAAATTATGATACATAGTCCCTTCTCTTAGCAAGTCAAAAGGTATATTGTAAGATTTTCAATAGCTTTGTGTTAAAATTCTGAAAGATATGTTTTAGAGGCTTTTACGTTTTGTCAGATAAGGGTCAAAAGAAGAGACCTTGTGTGTAGTTACCAGGAGAACTTATCCTTTTGACTTTAAATCTTTAGGAGAAACATTTTCCTGAGGTGACCAAATACAATCGCTTTGGATTTGTCTTTTAATTCGTTGCTCACATGTGCTGAATAGTTTTCTGCCCAAGTGTCTTGCTTTCCATTTTACCTTAGGTAGTAGAAACCTACATCAGCAAATTTTTCAAAATTATATACATATGTACGCACATACATATGTGAGTGTATTTATAAACAGATATCTAATTACTGCTCTCTTGTTTATGTGTATACATTTACCATTATTAACACATTCTTTGAACAAGCATTTATTGAGAGCCTAGAAAGTGCCAGGCTGGCTACAATAGAGTTGTTAGGGATACAGAGCTAAAACAGAGTTTCTGTTCTCAGTTTCACAGGCAGAGGCATCAGGATAGGCATTTCAAAGCTACAAATGCATAGCTTTGGTGAAGTACATACCAAGATGTTTAGGAAGCACATGTCAAAATTTGTTTAAGTCACTGAAGAGACAACTAGCAGGATGGCAAAGCTCAAAAGAGAATGTCTGAGGCCAAAGTATGTATGGTCAATAAAGAAAAGAATGTTAAAATTAGATTGTAGAATTGTAAAATATAGATACACAATTGATATTAAAGCTATATTTATATGGAGTTATACTTTCTACCAAATAGAGATCATTAGCATTTCTATCAGATAAGAATTATCTATAAATCATCAATATTCCTCAGGATAGCACCTGATATTCCAGACTCTGGACCATAATGAGGAGCAAAGAAACAGTCAAACAATAAAGAAACCCTTTTGGCTTCTTCTGAAGATGACTTTAGGCATGCGTTTTGGACAATGCTCTAAGATAGCACTGAAAATCTACATGGTGATAATTTGCCACATTTTTAATTCTGCATCATTGTTATGCACATATGTGTAAGAAAGACAAGTAACCAGAAATTTCAAACAATACCATGGAATGACTTGAGATTCAGGAAATACTTGCTAAGGTTTACTTTATAAATGTTTTTAAGTAAAAGAATCAGCTGAATACAATAATTTCCAAATACATTCATCATGCAACCAATTTCTTAAAAGTGCCATATTTAATGCTCTAAAGTTTGTTCCTTTCACCTAACTTGTTGTGTTGAATGCTTATGAAAAATTTATTGACTACTCTGGTGACCCTCAGTAATTAACTTTCATCTTCTTCATAGTCCATCCTTTTAATCTTTCTAAATGCCATTTGGTAGGTGCCAGATACAGCTGCTGTCTTCCAAAGTCTCCAAATCTTGATGTGGCTGTACATTCTTTATCTCCTCCACGTGTATAAGGAGATTTGCAGCTTCCATGGTTATTGTCTCAGCCCACCCTGTGCAACATAGAATCAAGCAGGACTCTCTAGAGTAAAACCCTCTGCTGGGCCATCTGTTCATATAGGACTGTTTAAAATGTTATTTGCATTTGCTATATCCCATAGGAAACCACAGTAGTATTCCCTTTTGGGCAAATCTGTGGCATAGATATTATCACTGAATTTTTAAAGCCCACTTTTAAAAAATAGGAGATAATATAACACCCATTAATTCAATTGGGAATATAATGCAGCTCCCTAATCCCACACGAACTTGTCATCTCCATGAGCAGATGTTAACACAAAAATAAAAATCAGAATGCAAAAATCACAGATCAACACACTTTTATTACTGGACGAGCATCTCCATATTAAAACACATCAATACTATTTTACATTTGTGGGGTTTTTGTAAGCAAATCTCAAAGAAAGAAGGTTTATATAACTCCAGGTAATAACTTGCCTTTTCAATCTTAGCCCTTATTGTGGGTTAGAACCTTACAAAATATGTTGGTAAAAAATAACTAACATGTGGTTTTAGATTTTATGAAGGATTTAGTACTGAACCTGATCAATAAATAAAATATTTAAAATATATAAATTTTAAAGCAGAAAATCCATGTTATTATTCTATTTGTCACTTTTTCTTCAGAACTCTTAAATCAAGAATTCAATATCACTTCCTCATAGTTTAAACATAAACCATGCTGGTAATTTACTCTGTGTAAGTTATCCCTGATTCTACTTAAAATGATGTACACTAAACCTCCCATAAAGAGTTTTTAGTCATAGTTAAATACATTTGAGGGGAAAACACAGCTATTATCTGGTGGTCTATTTAAAAAAAGGTTGGGGGGCGTATAACATAGGGACCTTGTTGAAATGTTATTGTTATTGTTGTTGTTGCAATTGAGCTGATTGTTTAACAACACTCCAAATGTAGATTTACTTTTGGGATAACTTTCATTGATAATTAAATACCCACGTTCTTTAACTTTCTCTTATACATTTTTCTTTATCCAGTAGTCCTTAAAGCAAGCTCATTGCCTATTAATTAACACTATTATTATCATGAAAATGAAGTTGTTATTCGTATTTCAATAATAATACATGTTTGTCTTAGAAAATTCAATGTATGGAAAGTAAAAGAAAAAATATACAAAATAATTGCTTTACTTCTACTACCAGGAAATAGATATCATTATTTAGCTTAAGTGAGTATCATTCCTACTTTTATTTTCATGTAGAAAGATTAGGAGGGTCAGATAGATCAAAATACTACTATAAAAACTTGATTATGTGGTATTATGTGGTAATATGAATGTAGATTATTAAATTTTATTTATATTAGAACAAGAAAAACAAGTAAAATAGAAAGTAAAGGAATAGTTAAAATTCACATAGAATATTTTAGAGCAGAAAAATAATGTTCTAAAAGATTACCATAACTATTAATTAAAAATGATACTATGAAAAAATGTATGAAGTTAAAATGTCTTGATTGTAGGCGATTTCATCTGCCTCTCTGTTGTGATGAAGGGCTCACACATTTCCTCCTACTCCCCAGCTCTGATTTTTGTTAATTCTAGAATCACTTTTTTCAATCTCAAACTTTAAATTATTTTATTTTTTCTTAGCAATGATTTACATGGAATTACATGAATAATTTACATGGAATAACTGCTTACACTCATTTCATCCTCTCCTTCTTTATTTTTAAGCCTTTTATTTTGATACATATCCTATCTTAAATGAGTAGATTCCTTAGTAAAGTTTCTTCTTCATTCCTTCCTTTTTTCCTTCATTTTTTCTCCCTTCCTTCTTTCATCCTTTCCTTTCTTCCTCCATCCCTCTTGCTCTTTTTCTTTATTCTTCTTTTTTCTTTCCTTCCTTCCTTCCTTTTTTCCTCTCTCCCTTCTTTGTTCCCTCTTCCTTCCTTGCCTCCCTTTTTCCTTTCCTCCTTTTCTTCTCTCCTTCTTTGTTTTTTTTTTTTCCAAGAAAAGCTAATATATGTACTTATTGACTCCTTTCATCTTTTAAATATCTATCTCTTTAAGCACATACTATGGCTTGAATTTAATATTCTTCGGTCACCTTGTCTTCAGAATTCCATAACTACTGCTCCAGTGTTTTTTAACATTGTTTCTATGGAGACATTTGATGCTAACCTGATGTTTTCACTTTGCTAAGTTATTTTCCTTTTCTTCACAGGGTTCTCAACTCCTTTTTTCATTTTTGAGGGTCAATAAGTTAGCCAAGATGGGACATACTATTGAGTGTTCTGTACTAAATTTTCCTCTAATTTCTTATATTTTTAAATCAGCAGCTTGAAGTTTTTCTTAACTTCAAAGAAAATTATCTATTTTATTTATTGTGTTTACAAATTTGGGATAACTTACTATACTTATGATGTTTGATTGTTTTATCCTCTCCCTCTATAAATCAGCTTCTCTCCCTTTAGATAATTTTTCTTCTTTCACTTGCATCATTGTCAGGCCACACTCATCTACCTTGCTACAAATTAAGAGTACATTTTGTAAGATTGTATTCACTTTTACATTAACGGAACACTTCAAAAAAATGATTAAGGATGTTCAGGCCATAGAATACTATTCAGAAATGACAGCTAACAAACTATAGCTACCAAAGCAATATGAGCAAATGTCACAAACAAACACTTAGTGGAAAAAAGGTAGCCAAAACAAAAGAATATTGTATAATTTCCAATATCCAATTTTCAAAAATAGGCTAAAAATTATACTTAGATATTAAAATAATTGTTATTTTGGATAAGAGGCAAAAGGCGATGCTTTGGAAGGGAATGGGGAGAGTTCATAGATGGTGGCGAGATTTTGTCCTTTGACCTGGATGGTAGTTGTAGCATAAATATTGATGCTATGATACATAATTATAGCATAACTAATATTTTTCTCAATAAGCAATATATTGCAACTATTTTCAATATCCAAAAATGAAATTTTGAGTCTTTTCAATGTATGTGACATTGTTTAAGACCTTGATGCCATTTAAGATAGAAAACAAAATAGTCTGGATGATCAACATTTATAATTAATATTGTTATTTTAAAACTATTACATACCAAGATTATGAAAAAATTATAAATCAGTACATATTATTTATAAAAGCCAATGTAGTCTTTCAGTTTTATTTTAGTAACCAAATTTTGTTCACTTAAAAATTTTTTCACTAAAACTTCGTATATGTGAATTTCCATGTAAAGAATTAAAAGTGGTTTTAAATATAAAAGATTCTTTTTATTTGACTTTGTCCTCTCATATAACAATTATCTGAATCATGCATCATAACTCACATGATCTCAGGTTATATTCCATAGATACTTATCTAATTGAATTTATTAATATTCTTTTATCCAACCATTTTTAAGGGTTATCTAAAACTTTAACATGAAGTATATATATTCCTTTACCTTGCAGGGTAGGTTATGCATAATGGGGCCTATCCCACCTTAGTGACTCATATCATACTACTCAGATCATCCTCTTCAGTAAGTGGTCTAGTCATTACCTATAATGTGCCTTGCCCTAGCATCATTGCTATCACTATCATCATCATCGTTATCACTCTTCTAAGAGCTTAACAGATAATTTATAGTCTACTAACAACTCTGTGAAAAAGGTATTATCACTACCTTTATTTTATGGTTAAGTAAACCAGAATAC
Organism: Homo sapiens; assembly: GCF_000001405.40. Classification (NCBI taxonomy): domain Eukaryota; kingdom Metazoa; phylum Chordata; class Mammalia; order Primates; family Hominidae; genus Homo; species Homo sapiens. The sequence goes on from NC_000004.12 coordinate 66,201,316, forward strand.
AAAATTTATATAATTTGCCCAAGGTCATATAAGTAGTAAGTAGCTGTTTTACAATGAGAAGCCATGTGCAATAAGATATTCACGAAAATACTTAGGCTTGAATCTTTAACAGAAAAGCTAAAAGAAAGTAAAATAAAACACTTTCTTATATGAAATAATACCTATATACTTTGTATAAAGACCAATTTAATGTCCTCTTTACTATCTTCCTTTTAATAGAAATGTTAAAATCTTAGCCGTATAACAATACAAAGGACCATCATAATACCATTTCATCTTATGCTCATGTACTGATACACTGTCACGTAAGTAAAGGAAAATACAAGCTTAAGTCATAAGTGCAATTATATATGTTTCATCTCATTTTCAAAGATCATTGGAATCATATGACATACAATATGATTTTCTTCATTTTGATACCAACATTTATTTTGGTATGTTTCAAAACCATGGATACTATGCATACACTACAGGAGTAAAAAGTAAACATGCAATTTTCTCAGTTTATCATATTTTATTTTGTAGAATTATTGAATCAGTTTTATTTAGAAAAGTATAGAAACCACATGATGCAAAACTCAACCCAGTGGATCTCCACCATTCTCAATATTTCCCAAGAATAATAAAAAAAAGCAAGCCATATAACACATATGTACATAGTCTTGAGCTGGCTTTCTTCCAGTTATCCCATTTAAACAGACTTTAGTTCTGTGAGAACTGAATATGAATAGTAAATCCACTGAGGCTGGGGGAGACTCTGAGAGAAAAGATAGGGCTGAGAACTTGTTAGATTCCTTCTGAAGATCTCTCTCTCTCTCTCTCACTTTACATAACCCATTTGGTTGTAGCAATAGGAGCCACATTTCCAGATGTATTTTGGACAGTTCTCAAGAGCAGTAAGAACTGCGGTCCAGCTTAAACAGAGGTTTAAAACAGATTGATCAGGCAGGAGAAGTCACGTGTCTTGGGTAATGGCATTCCATTAGGTCTATGCTAGGGCTGGATTCAAGTCTGAAAAGGGAAGTGCCTGTTGCAAGCATTCTAAAACTCAGGGCTCATATAAGGGGACTTAATTACCTGAGTCTAAGAACAATATTAAAAATACTTTTAGAAATATAGATAATGTATAATATTAAGTGCATCTAAACGTTTCCATTTTTCCATTTTTTTTCTTTTTTACTACTTAATCTGTAACATTTTTAAGGCAATTATCAAAAAATCAGAAAGACTATAACAAATTTCTTCTGGTGATAGGTAATTTCTTAAAGATAAGAATTCTATGAGTTTCTACATTAAGATAATCATCTATGTATTATATAAGCATTTTCTCAGGCCCAAATATTATACTAGGTACTAGACTACAGGAATATGCCATAATTATTTCTCTCAAGGAACTTGTAGCTTTGTGGGAGAGACAGAAGAGAAAACCACTGACGACTGCATTGAAAATGTATGTTTTAGAAGCTAATCAGCATAAAAGGGTCACCATTGGTAATGCAATGGTTGAGTGAGAGAAGTTTTCTCTTAGAGAGTTTTAACTCAACATAGATGTTAGCAAAGCGGAACCAGGGAAGAGATCCCATATTAATATATGAAGTAAATTAATCTCTCTTCTATAATCTGTATTAATCACTGGATAAATATCATCACCTGTCTAAAGGCTTTGAGATTCTTCTAGAAGCATGATTAGTCACAACCACGAACATTCCCTATATTAGTTTGTTTTGTATTGCTATCACAAAATACCTGAGATTGCGTAATTTATAATGAACAGAAAATTATTGGCTCACAATTCTGGAGGTTGGAAAATCCAGTATCTAGCTGCAAGCATCTGGAGAGAGCCTTTTTGCTGCATTATATGATAATATGGCAGATGGTAAGAGGGTGACAGAGGGCAAGAGGGGGCCAAATTCCCCTTTTATCACAGCACGAGTATTACCCACTAGTGGAGCCTCCATAGCATAACCACCTCTGAAAACTTCCACTTCTTGGCCAGGCGCGGTGGCTTACGCTTGTAATCCGAGCAATTTGGGAGGCCAAGGCGGGCCAATCATGACATCAGGAGTTCAAGACCAGCTTGGCCAACATGGTGAAACCCCGTCTCTACTAAAAATAAGGAAGATTAGCTGTGCGTGGTGGCGGGCACCTGTAATCCCAGCTACTCGCAAGGCTAAGGCAGGAGAATCTCTGAACCCGGGAGTTAGAGGTTGCAGTGAGCCAAGATCAAGATCGCACCACTGCACTCCAGCCTTGGCGACAGAGCAAGACTCCATCAAAAACAAACAAACAAACAAACAAAAAGTCCACTTCTTAATACTGTTACAATGGCAATTACATTTCAACATGAGTTTTGAGGGGGACATTTATTCAAATCATAATAGTCTCTAAGGTTGCTTTAAAAGTGACATTTAGATCTAAAAAGTTTTATAGCTGTATTTGTGCATTGTGTGGATGTGTGTGTTAGACTGTCTATCAGAGAGCTATGGGAACCTTTTCTCAACTGATGGTGGAAAAAACTGTAACACTGAGGGACAGCTATTGTGAAGCTTTCAAAAGAGAACAGAGCAGGGATAGTTTTGATAAGATTTGTTTGTGCTAGCGTGGCCAACAATAGACACGGGTAACGATAGACAAATTTACCATCCCCACCCCACCATTTGCCTGGAAATTTCTTCATTTCCAATAATATTTTATCCTCTAACTGAAACAATTCCAAAAATGGAATCTGAAAGGGAAATACAAGTCTATTGAAAATAAGTATTTCTTATACTTGATACCAGAAATATCAAATAAAAATTTAGCATATAAGGGTTTTTTTGTATTTAACTCAATTTTGAAGATGTTATACCTATATTAAATAAGGTTCAATTATTTTATAGTAAACATTTGGTAATGTATTTTAAATTTGTACTCCACATAAATTATGTTTGGAAAATATTTAAATAACCAATATTTAATAAATGTCCTGAAATAAGCTAGGAGACAGTATTTTTAGAGAATCGGGAATTATGAATATAGGGAAAGAGGAGCAAGTGTGATGACACTAAGTGATGCATACTTTTGGGACACTCTTAACTCTTGACAAGAATGCAATATATTCACGAAGGACAAAATTTGAAATTCCTATCCTTCATCTAGAAGAAATAGTATATTCCTGCATATAACTTTTTAGTGGGCTGAAAATTCAGTGTTCTTCAGGCTATATACAGCTGAAGAGAAATTTTAAGGATGAAAAGAAATGAAACCTAATCTCTGATAATTTTAAAAATAGATAAACATCACTGGACTTCAAATTCACTTCCCTCTTCACAAAAGAAATGGACTCTACACACTAGTGACTCTGCCAAGGTTTTAACATTCAGTAATATCCCACCAGCGTACACTAAAGAAAATGGAAAGCAAATACCATGCCAAGATTAGACGTTTGCAGTTCTGTCTGCTTTTCCAACTCTCATCACACTCAGACACCAGGGACTGAAACAACATCATTTTAAACTTAAAAGTAAAGTTTGTCATGTGAAAATTGCAGATGAAATAAATCCTAGCTAAGCATGCCCTTTTCTCTTAGGGAAAAAAAAAAGTAAACTGGATTATAAGGATCAAATTGCTCCACTGCTTTGAGACATGTTCAAATATTCAGTTATGCACTATGCATTTGCAATTTATGCATTCTTATTACACTTCTGGTTTTGTCATGTACTAATGCTAGATAAACAGATTCTCTGCAAAATACACTCTATTTAAGAGATGTTAAGGTTAAGATACATGCACATGAAAGCCAGCAAATGCAAAACTAAAGCTGCCTAAAGGCGTTTAGACTGCCCTGCTGGGGGAAGAACACACATTCCCAAATGCAGGAAAAGGGAACAAAATTAAAGGTTAGCATGTCTAGAAAATTGTGTATATTTTATACATCCTTGAACATCAAGCTCAGTTATTTGAATTTTTAGTGAAAATATCACTTTTGAAAAGTACAAACATAGGTAGCAGCAAAATATAGGAAAGTATATTACTTATTTAATTGTAAAAACTACTAATAGCCACTGCATTTTTTGCCCCTTGACAGTGGTTTATGCTTCAAAAAATGACAAGTAGACAACAGTGGTAACTGCATTCTATTTCATGTTTATACTTCCCTAAAAATGATGAAAACATGACCCTTTTTTGGCTGCAGCTTTATTGTTATAATTCACAGGCCATACAATTCACCCATTTAAATGTACAACTCAACTTTTCTAGTATTAATTTAGTATTTGTTTTTAGAACTTACTGTATTCATGGAATTGTTCAGCCATCACCACAATCAATTTTAAAATATTGTTGTCACCCATAAACAAAAGACCATGCCCCTTAACTATCATTCCCAAACCCCTATTGCCCCCAAGACCTAGGCAACCATAATTGATTTTCTGTCTTTTAGATATCCCTTTTCTGGAAATTTCATATATATGAAATCATATAATATGTGGTCTTTTGTAACTGGCTTTTTTTTTCTCAGGCTGTTTTCAAGATTCATCCAAGTTTTAGCATATATCAATATTTTATTTTTTTGGCTGAATAATATTCCAGTTTACAGACAAGCCAAATTTTGTTTATTCATTTTTCAGTTGATTCATACTTAGGTTGTTTCTACATTTTGGATATTGTGAATAATGTCGCTGTGAATATTAGTGTACAGATTTTTGTAAGAGCATATGTTTCCATTTCCTTTGGGTATATACCCAGAAGTGGAATGGCTGGACCAAATGATAGCTCTATATTTAACATTTTGAGAGACTATAAGAATGTTTTACAAAGTTGCTGCATCATTTCACATTCCCAACAGCAGTATGTAAAGATTCTAATCTTTCCACACCTTTGTCAACACTTGGTATTATCTGACTTTTTTATTATAGTCATCCTAATGGGTGTGAAATAGAATATCATTACGGTTTTCACTTGTATTTCCCTAATAACTAATATTGAGCATATTTTCATGTGTTTATTGACCATTTGTTTATTTTCTTTTTTTTTTTTTTTTTTTTTTTGAGGCAGAGTCTCACTCTGTCGCCCAGGCTGGAGTGCAGTGGCGCCATCTCAGCTCACTGCAAGCTCCGCCTCCCAGGTTCACGCCATTCTCCTACCTCAGCCTCCCGAGTAGCGGGGACTACAGGCACCCGCCACAACGCCTGGCTAATTTTTTGTATTTTTAGTAGAGACGGGGTTTCACTATATTAGCCAGGATGGTCTCGATCTCCTGACCTCGTGATCCGCTGGCCTCAGCCTCCCAAAGTGCTGGGATTACAGGCGTGAGCCACCGTGCCTGGCCCTATTTTCTTTAGATAAATGCCTCTGCAAATTCTCTGCCCATTTTTTAATTGAGTTATTTCACTTTTTGTTATTTAGTTGTAAGTGTTCTTTATGTGCACTAAACATAAGTCCTGTATAAGATATAATATTTGCAAATATTTTCAGTAATTTTATGGATTATCTTTTCACTTTCTGATTATGTTCTTTGAAGAGCAATTTTTTTTAATTTTGATAAAGTAAAATATATCTACTTTTTATTTTGCCAATGCTTTTGGTGTTATATCTAACAATTTATTGTCAAATCAAAGGTAACAAATATATACCCCCATAATTTCTTCTAAAAGTTCATAGTTTTAGCTTTTATATCTAGGTATTTCATACAGTTTGTATTCATTTTTGTGTATGGTATGAGGTAGGCTTCAAATTTCATTGCTTATACATGGATATCCAGCTGTCCCAGTACTATTTGTTGAAAATATTATTCTTTCTCCATGGAATGATATTGGCATCCTTGCTAAGAATCAATTGAGATAGGCATATAACTTTATTTTTGGATATTTAATTATGTTACATTGATCTTTATGTCTATTCTTATGTCAGTATCACTCAGTGTTGATTACTTTTGCTTTGTAGTATGTTTTGAAATTTAGATGTGTGAGTCCTCCAAATTTGCTCTTCTTTAGGATTGCTTTTGGTATTTGGGATCCTTTAAATTTCCATATAAATTTTAGGATCAAGTTGTCAATTTCTAAAAAAAAAAAAAAAAGCCAGTTCAAATTCTGGAAAGTATTGTGTTAAATCTGTAGATAGATTTGGGAAAAATTGCAACCATAACAATAATAAGTCCTCAAATTTATGAATATGGAGTACTTCCCATTCATTTTGTTTTCTGACAATGGTTCACAATATTTAGTGGATAAGTCTTATGCTTCTATTGTTAAATTCTCACCTATATACTTTGTTCTTTTGATGCTATTCCTAGTGAAATATTTACTTAATTTCATTTTTGGATTTTTCATTGCAAGTTTATAGAAATACAATTGATTTTTGTACATTACTGACATAGTTTAATAGTTCTAACAGATATTTTTAGGATTTCATGTATAGAAGATTTCATCAGCTGCAAATAGAGATAGGTTTTACTTATTTTATCCAATCTTATAAAGATACTGTATGTTTCTTTTTCTTGAGTAATTGCCCTAGCCAGAGCTTTCAGTGTCTTACAGTAAATTAGTTTATTGATTTAAGATTTTTTTTATTATTTAAATATGGGATGACTTACTTTTAATTTGTGAAAGTTTCTTTAGTATTTCTCATAAGGCAGTTCTGTCAGCCACAAAATTAATCAGATTTTGTTTATCTTGGTGTGTCTATATTTTGCATGTTAGTTTTGCTAGATATATGATTTTTGGTTGACAGTTATTTTCTCTGAGCACTTTAAATATGTTATCTTATTTCTTTCTTGCCTTCATTGCTCTGATGAGAAGTCAGCTGTTACTCTAATGGGGGTTTCCTTTATTTGTGAGGAGTTTTTTCTCTTCTTGCTGATACAATTTACCCCTTGTCTTTGTCTTTTAATATTTTACTTTGTCTAACAGCATTTTATTATGTCATTGAATAGACCTCTTTGCATTTATCCTACTTAAATTCTGTTAAGCTTTTTAGATGTGTAGATAATGGTATTCATTAAATTTTCAAGTGATCAGCCATAATTTCTTGGATTTTTTTCTCTTTCTTCCTCTCCTCTTTTCTTAGAACCTCATTAAATATATTTGATGTTCTTAATGGTAACCCACTTTTCTCTGAAGCTATGTTCATTTTTATCATTGTTTTCTCTCTGTTCTTCAGATAGTATAAATCTCTATTTACCTCTGATTTAACAAATTCTTTCTTCTGACAGTTCAAATCTATTGTTGAACCTCCCTAGTAAGTTATTTTTTGTCCATTTTAGCTATGTGCCTTTTAACTCTAGAATTTCCATTTGGTCTTTTAAAAAAAATACACTTTCTGTCTCTTTATTGGTATTATCTATTTGATAAGACTTTGTCAGCATAACTTCCTTTACTTCTTTAAATATGGCTTTCTTTAGTTCATTGAACATATTTATAATTGCTTCTTTCAAGTCTTTGTTAAATATGATATCTGGTTGCTGTAACAGGAAGCTTCTGTTGACTTACTCTTTTCTCATATAAAAATTTCTTGTTTTTTTCATGCCTCATATAAATTTGTTATTGAAACCTAGATATTTTAGCAAATATATTGCAACAAAACTGAGAACTAATCTCTCTCTATGCAGGGCTTATCATTGCGGTTTTCTTGTTCATTTTAGTGACTGTTTAGATTATTTTAGTAAAATCTGTTTTCCATCAGATATGTGGAGACTCTGATGTCCCCCCTCAGAGGGTACAGCCTTGTGCATGCACACAGTCACCTTGGGATAACAATGGTTTTAGCAGGACAACATTTGACTGTCTCTTTTCCTGATCACACCAGAAGAGAATTTCACTATTTGTTAGTTGATTGCTTTCGATTTCCACAAAGTATTTTTTGACATTAATTGTTCCACAGACTGATCCAATTAAAATTTGGCCTCTTTGCAGTGATACTTCATGGAGTCAGTGATGGAGAGTTGTTGTGATTCCGAGCAAAGTTCTACTTTCTTGTTTCTTTTCCTGGTTCTCTCTTGTAAAGTAACTGGTACATGATTTGGCTCTTATCACCAATGAAGCTACAATTCTCTTTTTAACTTCTGTTTACTACAAACACCATTGTTTTTGAAAGTATCCTTGGGCTTAACATTCCCACAGTTTGCTGCCAATAAAGTAATTTCTTTTAGGAGAGATTTAAGCTGTTTGTTAGGTTCTGCCTCTCTGCCTCAGCAAAATATCTGAGCCATGGTTCTGGAGCTGGGATCAAGGACAGTGCCGTCCTTCTCTCAGAGTGCCATCCCTACTTTAGTAGCTGAGTACTCAGAAGAGAGAGAGGTGGTTGCCTGGGGCCCTAGTTTTATGAGCTTTTTCTTTCCCAACACTTAACCTCCACTTTATGAACAAGACAGTGAGGGTGAACAGGAATCCCATACTTTCAGCACACTACACCTTAGTTAAAGCTTTGATACCACAAATAGGGCTGCAAAGAAGAAAAGAACCCTGCTGCTTGTCTTCAGGAATTATCCTCTTTAATAGGTAACTTGAAGTCAGAATATAAAATGCTGATGTCCCAACTCTCTGGAGAAGATACTGTAGCCCTTAATAGGAAGCTGGAGCTAGAGGAAATTTTGTGTTCTTGACTTTGCCTGGTTGGGGTGGAGTTTCCATTACACTAAGCTGGAAGGGGAGAAGAGTGGAGAGGTTGTAGTTCAAATACCACTGTTTTTAAGGAGTCTTGATAGATTATGTTGAATATTTCATTATTTACTATATATCCTTAGGTGCATTTCCAGATACTCTAAATATTATTGTTATTTTTGTTGCTGTTGTTTGTAATTTTTACGTTTTCCTGAGGAGTGTATCCAAGGGGCTTCTCACATTGCCATACTGAAAATGGAAACCTTGACCCTTTATTTTCAGGAATTCAAGGTATTTCCAACATCAATATTACAAATTATTAGAGATGCGCATTGACCTTTGCAAGGCTCAAAAAAATAAATTCCTAATTTTAAGTCTTATTGATGATCACAGATGGGTATCTTATCCAAAGTTATAAAGAAACCAAAGGAAGGAAGACTCTTTAGCTCTGGGACTACTGGATTCCTTCAAGCAATAATAGTAACAACTCTCATGACACTTTTCAAAGCCTAGCACATTGTTTTACATTAATCCTGACACTAATCTTCTGTGGTGGTTACTATAATTTATATTTTACAGATCAAGAAACATGGGAGAGACTGACTGTGCTTATCTAGTGTCTGTTCTTCCCCAGAGCCCTTTTCTATTCTCCTCTGCATTGTAGGGGCTGGCTTACAGACTGCTTGTATAACACTCCAATGTCAGCTGAATTCTGGATGGGATCAGGCAATGTGGTATTATTGGGAGTTGGGAGGATGGAAGAAAGAGATAAGTCAGGTTATTTCTGCCTCTCTTTCTTTGCATCTCCTTTCTTTCCCTCCATTTCTACTACTAGCTATATCTGTTATATGGTTTCATTTGACATTGAGTGGGATCACTTGATTGCCACATTTTCTGAGTGATCTAGACCCTGCCCTGCAATAGCACTACTCCCTCCCTCTGACCTTCTGGTTCTGGGTATCTAGTGACTTTCTGGTGGGACTTATTTCTGGGGAAACTTACATTCCCTGTTTCCCTTTATATCTCTCTAAGCATCTATGTAGCCCAATTTCCAAATTAAAAGTACTTTTTTTTTTTTTTTTGAGTGGAGTCTCGCTCTGTCACCCAGGCTGGAGTGCTGTGGCGACAGCTAGGTTCACTGCAACCTCTGCCTCCGGGGTTCAAGCTATTCTCCTACCTCAGCCTCCTGAGTAGCAGGGACTACAGGGTAATTTCCCCATGTTGGCCAGGCTGGTCTCCAACTCCTGACCTCAAGGGGTCTGCCTGCCTTGGCCTCTCAAAGTGCTGGGATTACAGGCACAGGCGTAAGCCACCACGCCCGGCAAAAAACAAAACAAACAAACAAAAAAAAACCCACCTTTTTTAAAATGCACAAGTAGCTTGTGTTGTGGGTTAAGTTGCTGTGGATTCATTTACTTAGATGTTAAGTGGCAAAAATCAAACTTGAACCCAGAATACCCAAATGGAATCCCAAGATTGTTTCCACTTCTATGCCAGAGTAGCCTTTCAGATCACTCAGTCCATTGCTGATTCTCTTTGGGAAAGGGGTTATATTGTTTAATCTAGGGAGAGAAAGAAGCATAATATTGTGAAGGTAAAATTCTGTTTGCTACAAATGTAATGAACATTGCTCATTGTTCTGTGATTATTCTAAAAATATGTCCACATCTTGTCATGGGTTTTGTTTATTGTTACCAACAATAAATGGCAAATGAGAGTATATGTTCATTGAGAGAATACTTCATTTAAAAAAAATGTTATATCAAAAGTATTTGGCCACTTGTCCCTACATAACTTCCAATTTGTTTCCAATCACTTGGCAAATAATCTTTTTAAATTATGTATTATCACATTTTATACATAAGGTATAGAACATAATACACAAGAAAGAACTATTCAAAAGTCACTAAACACCAATGTGCTCTTTTAATCATAAAGTATATTTTAATAAATTTGGGGTATTTATTTTAAAAGTTTAAAGACTCTATTAGGCTGTATTTGATCACATAAAATACACATTTTACTTTCTGCCATGTTAACGTAGGAGGAATCAATTTCTGAAATAACTTTTGGTAATATAGTTTATTATTTGTCTTTTCTCATTAATAAAAATTTGATAGCTGACAAGAAGCAGTAAAAGATTAGAGAAATATATATAAATTATACAAATACATATGCTTCTGCCTGGTTTCTGAATACTATTTCATTAATAAATAAAAAATATAATTCACATGACTATTTTAAGCTAATTTTATCTTTTTTTTGTTGTTAAGAGGGTTATTGGTTTGATTCTCATGGTATAATTACAAAGAAAACCAATACTCTGCTTTGTCCATAATTTATCTCTTTCCTTTATCTAGAAGTATATAATTTATGCCATCTAAAGTTCATTATTTTTTTCTTATTATTATACCTTCAACAAGCATATATTAAGGGCCTGCACGTGCACAAATCTAGTTACCAGAATTGCATTTAATTTTAGAAGGCAGTTAATGTTCTTTCCCAACTGACAAAACCAAATTAAAATCTATATTGGCAGAATAGACCAAAATTGAGAAATAGCTGATATAACACAACTTTCTACACAAAAATGCACGCACGCGCGCACACACACACCCACTTGTTTATACACTAGACACAGCATACATGATGAAAAAATTCTAGAAATTTTAACCAAATATGTATGCTAAGTATCCTGAAAAAGCAGATTAAATAAGCAGTGATTTCTTCTTATGGATTTCCCAATTTAAATAGCTACGAAAAGCCATCTGGGCATATCCACAGATGCACAGCTTGGCTGCAAGCACAGCAGTTTACAGAAAGTCATATGCTAAGTTTGGACATTCAGGTCCTCCCTTTGCGTTACATTTTCAAAGGCAGATTATGAAGAAAAGAGTTGAGAATTTAATGCACATGTATAGTTAACAAGGTTTTTGCACTTAACTTATTTGAAATTGATTGCAATTTAAAGATGCAGTTATGTGCTCTCTAACCCCATACTGAACGTATCATGTGAAAGCAATTTCAGAGTAATTGCCTCATAAGACATAGTTAAGTTAGTTCCTTAAATATGTAAATCAAACTTGTTCCTTGACTAATTGTGATTCAATCTATGATTAAATTTAATTCCTCTTGCTTTATAAATCTAGTATTTTCTCAATGGAAATGCAGCTATGAATATAAATAAATTAAGACAACATATTTTGTTACTTAGTGGTTCCCAACCAAGCGCTATTTTTCCTTCAAGACGACATTTAGAAACATCTGGGTACACTTTTAGTTGTCACAACAGAAAGAGGGTTGGCCTCTAGTACGTAGATACCAAGTAAGCTTCTGTGCATTCTACAATGCACAGGACAATTCTCCTTGTAACCCAAGTTAAAAAATTAGCAATTCTGAGGTTGAAAACCCTGTTATGGTGTAACATTTGATTATTACGTTTTATTGTCATGTCACTACATCATAAATATATGCAGGGTCAGCTTGGTGAGTTATGTGTAAAAACAAGAATTCACTGAGTTGGACTAAAAGCAGATTGGAGATGGAAGAAAAGTCAGTAAGCCTGGACTCTGATTTGAGAAATTTTTCAATCTGAACATGTGAGACAAGAAGAGATGGGTTAATAATAATAAGCAGCATCCAAGTGACATGTGAGATAATGTAAGATTTCACATGTATTTACATGGAGACCCAGAGGAAGTAAATGGGTCAAAAATAATTTAAAGACATAAAGATAAAATATCTTCCAAATTTTGTAACAAACATCAACTTAGAAGTCTAAGAAGTTCAGTCAATCTCAAGAAGGTTAAAAGCAAAGAAAAAGACATCTAGGAACACACAGTCAATCCTCTGAAAGAAGATAAAAAGTAAATCTTAAAGGAAGTCAGGAAAAAAGAGAAGACAAATTGTATACAGGAAAACAATGGTATAAATCATCTTGACCTTCTCTTTAGATACTACAAAGGCCAGAATAAAAAAGAAAATGACATGCTTCAAAAGATGAAAAAAAAAATGTTGTTCACCCCAAATTCTATATTCATCCAAAATATTCTTTAAAAATACAGGCAAAATTAAGACATTTTCAGATAAACGAATACCGAGAGAATTTGTTGTTAGAAAACTGTGCTACCAGAAATGAATAAGAAACTTAATCAGGTTGAGGTAAATTATACCAGACTACCAGGAGGAAAACTACATCTGAAGAAAAAAAAAAAATGAAGAGGACCCCAAATGGAAAATAAATGGTAGCTATAAAGGACTAAATTTTTTGCCTTCTAGATAATGTAAAAACAAATAACTACTTAAAACAAACAAAAAAACCTACCATTGCAAATATGGGGTTTATACTGTTTGTAGAATTATAATACATGACAGTAATAGCCAATGCACAGGGGATGATAACTGTAATTATATATTTGAAAAGTCCACATGTTTATAAATTATGAATATGAAATGATTTGATAATTTTAAAAAGCAAAGAGATAGGCTGGGCGCGGTGGCTCACGCCTGTAATCCCAGCACTTTGGGAGGCCGAGGCGGGTGGATCACGAGGTCAGGAGATCTGAGACCATCCTGGCTAACACGGTGAAACCCCGTCTCTACTAAAAATACAAAAAATTAGCCGGGCGTGGTGGTGGGTGCCTGCAGTCACAGCTACTCGGGAGGCTGAGGCAGGAGAATGGCGTGAACCCGGGAGGCAGAGCTTGCAGTGAGCTGAGAGAGCGACACTGCACTCCAGCCTGGGTGACAAAGTGAGACTCTGTCTCAAAAAAAAAAAAAAAAAAAAGAGAGAGATAAATTAAGGATATATTTCCTTTGTAACTCCTATAGCAACAACTAAAATATGATAAAAATCTGTTTGGCTAAAAATTCAATATAGGAAGTAAAACCTATGTAAAAGAGTGGGACAATCTAAAATAAAGTGAGAAAAAAATAAACAGGAACTAAAAAGTAATGAAACACACATACATACAATAGCAAATATTTAGACTTACATACATCAATAACTGCACTAAAGGTAATAGACTAAACACTTCAGTTACAAGCCATAGATTATCAGCCATAATAAAAAAATAAGATCCAGCTATCAGTTGTCTGAAAGAGATGCACTTTAAATATAAAGACACACATGAATTGAAATTAAAAGTATAAGGACAGATATGCTATGCCAATAATAACTATAAAATAGCTAATGTGGCAATATGAATATCAGAAAAATTAGACTTCAAGATAAAGAGTACTATCAGAAATTAAAGAGGACATTTTATACTTGTAAAAGTTTGAATTCAACCAGAAGGCATAACAATTCCAAACTTATCTGTACCTAATAATATTTCAAAATATGTAAAGAAAAATTGACAGGAATAGAAGAAATTGATGAAAACAATTTTCAGAATTTTATAAATTATTTTGTTTATATTTAGTAATAAATACATTGTATCAAACAATAGACAGAAATGAGACAATCTGTCCCAGAAAGTGGTAACCAGAAGCCAGTTTGGATTTACCAGTATGACACAGGTAAATAGAAAATGCTTATGAATCACAAAAAGATCATTCTTAACTGTATCAAAGTGATCACAAAGGCTTAAAGTAGAACGATCTGTGGCTTGATCAGTTTTCAATCCCAATAGCAGTTATTTGTTTTCAACACTAATTGACATAACACAGCAATTTATTTTTGGTCTATTATTTTCACAAGACTAGCAGCCTAGTGTCTTCCAAAATTTTCGGGTCATGGATCATAGTGAGAAATATACATCACGTTGATGCCCAACACACATATGCACACACACACATACACAAACCTAGAATAAAAAATGTTTCATAAAACAATACTCCCACTTACAATGTATAATGGCAACCCTCTCTATTCCACTCCATTCTGTTTCAATTCTAATCTACTTAATTATATTTTATTTATTAATGCAGGACTTAACTCATTAAATTTACTTTAGGACCTATTAATGAGTCATGATCCACAATTTTAAAATTTATATTTGGACTACAATGAATATGTTTGGTTAGATTAAGCCACTAAAATGAAATATATAAAAAAGTGAAGTATCTGAAATGATTAAGCTATTTAGTCATATTATGAATATAATTATTTAACTAGATTTTACTTAATTAGAAAAACATTGGTAATCTGGTTCTTAATACTGGTTCATCTGTGAGGTAGGCATGATTTTCAGTGCACAATTCAATATATGCTACACTTTTTTCTGTTCAGCTCTACAGGTTATATGTATAAAGAGTTGTTTATTGAACAAATCTTGAGAAGTTAAAGTTGATAATAAAGATGTATGAAAGGAAGGAGAATTAGAAATAGTGAAGAAAAGAATTGGAATAGAATAAGGTCAACAGAAGAAAATAATAAGGAAGAATACAAGACCAAAAATAGAAAATAAGACAAACATAAAATTTGATAAATCAATAAAGAAAATTAAAAATTTAAGAAATTTGATGTTACTTGTGTGGCATGAGTAGGATGCCAATATCAAGGGCCTTTCAACAGCAGAACTTACTAATAGTGATATCATAATTGTACTGAACACTTTTTGCTTGTCAGATACTGTTCTAGGTGCTGAACATGTGCTAACTTGTTTATAGCCTTATAACAGTTCTAGAAGTTAGGTGCAGTTATTACTCCCATTTTATTGAGGAGCAAACCAAGATTTTCAGGATCACACATCTTGTAAGTGTAAAGCCACAATGTGAGCAAGAATTATATATCCCCAAAGCCCACATTTACACTCTACAGTGACTACATTGTGAGCTAGACACTACTATATTCAATGTTGTCTTATTCATGAGCTCTTTTTTTTTTTTTTGAGACAGAGTCTTGTTCTGTCACCCAGACTGGAGTGCAATGGCACGACCTCGGCTCACTGAAACCTCCACCTCCCAGATTCAAGCAATTCTCCTGTCTCAGCCTCCCAAGTAGCTGGGACTACAGGTGTGCACCACCATGTCTAGCCAATTTCTGTATTTCTAGTGGAGACAGGGTTTCACCATATTGGTCAGGCTGGTCTCAAACTCCTGACCTCAGGTGATCCACCTACCTCAGCTTCCCAAAGTGCTGGGACTACAGGCATGAGCCACCACGCCCGCCTTCATGAGCTTTTTAAGAGTCATACAAGCCAGTAAATGACAGAGCAGTGCTTCAAACTCACAAGACTCTGAGTTCTATTAAGAACTATGTTATACAGAAACTTACTATGAACATTGGCTATGCCCTCCACACTCTGCTGCATGCTTTACCCACTTTGCAATATGGCATTTAATTCTTGGAGTAGCCTTATCTAAAGTGACAATTATTATCTCTGTGTTGAGTATGAAAAAAGACATTCACACAGAGATGGTTTGATAGGTTATATAAGATCAAAAATATAGTAAATAGGAGAACCTGGATTCAAACCCAGGCCATCTTCCTTTAGTGCATTCAATCTTATCCATTGACAATGATACAGCCACGGGATAATGTATTTGGAGTACAGATTTTAAACCCATAGAGATTGCATGTTTTATGAAAAATTTTAAGAGTCATACAAACATGAGAGAAAAATAAGGATAATGGTAAAGGAAAGAGAGATTATGTTTGTTGAAGAATCTTTGCAGCTATTACATTAACAGTGCAATAAAGAACTGTTATATTTAAATAATTAGTATATCATCAGTACCAGTAAAGTTGTATACAGGCCTGCTAGACTGAGAAAGGACTCTAAGTACAGTGCTGAACTATGCTTACCGAATATAGTAGGTCTTTACACATATGAAAAGAGAGGAGTCAAGAGTACTTATTGAGGACAGCAAAAAGCCTTTTTTTCATTTCTCACTTCATACTAAATATCAGGATAAATTTCTAATATACTGAAGAGTTAACAAATAAATAAAATCATATATAAATAAAATGTGGGTGAATCTATATGTTGTCTAAGGTATTTTGGAGATATTAAAGATAGTAGAAAAATTCATGAAAATGTTTAAGTTTAAAAAGAGCACCTTAATATAATAAATGCAATCAAATAGGAAACTTGGGAGAAGAAAAGTAAATCTACAAAATGTTTATTAAAACAAATATAAAATACACTCAAATTCCATTAGAAAAAAAGACTATGAAAGGTATTTTGTGAGCAGCACAATGACCTTTGATCATGCAAGGCATAGGTGATAAGTTTCTTTAGCATCAAAGTGATTAAGAGGTTGGGCTCTGAAATTTGACAAACCTGGGCTAGAATCCAGTTTCACTCAACTTAATGGCAACTGTGTGGCCTTGGTCTAGTTAGCGGCACAAAGTTCCTTTAGGAATGTAAATGCTTTCAACAATGATCCAACTTACTATTTAATTTATATTCTTTCTATGTCTTTGAACTTTTATTCAACTACAACATCTGAATGATTTTCTTTTTTCTTTCTTTCTTTCCTCTTTTTTTTTTGTTTTTGCGATATAGTCTCACTCTGTCGCCCAGGCTGGAGTGCAGTGGTGTGATCTCAGCTCACTGCAACCTCTGCCTCCCGGGTTCAAGTGATTCTTCTGCCTCAGCTTCCCAAGTAGCTGGGACTAGAGGTGTGTGCCACCATGCCCAGCTAATTTTTGTATTTTTTGTAGAGACGGGGTTTCGCCACGTTGGCCAGGATGGTCTCGATTTCTTGACCTCGTGATCCACCCGCCTTGGCCTTCCAAAGTGCTAGGATTACAGGCATGAGCCACCATGTCTGGCGGGTTTTCTTTTTCTTTTTTCTTTTCTTTTCTTTTCTTTCCTTCTTTCTTTCTTTTTTCTTCTTTCTTTTTCTTTCTTTTTCTTTCTTTCTTTCTCTCTCTCTTTCTTTCTTTCTTTTTTTTTTTTTTTTGATGGAGTTTTGCTCTGTCACCCAGGCTGGAGTGCAATGGCACGATCTTGGCTTACTGCAACTTCCATATCCTGGGTTCAAGTAATTCTTCTACCTCAGCCTTCCGAGTAACTGGGATTACAGGTGTGTGCTACCACACCTGGCTAATACTTGTATTTTTAGTAGAGACAGGGTTTCACCATGTTGGCCAGGCTGGCCTCCCGCTCCCATCCTCAGGGGATCCATCATGCTCAGCCTCCCAAAGTGATGGGATTACAGGCGTGAGCCATGGCACCCAAGCTCTGCAGGGTTTTCTTACTTCTTATTCCTGTGGACTTGACTCATATGTATTTCTTATAAGCACCTGTATTCCTCCTTTCTTCCTTCTGTAATCTTGTTCACCTCCTCTTCTTTTATTTGCTGATCTTTTTATTTCGAAGATGATTTTATTGATGAAACCATTCAAAATTAGCATAATTAGTAGATATGAAATAATAAACAGCATGAGAAGAGTCAAATTTTGAAATTTTCAGAGGCAATTCTGAAGAAGGTAGGATTGCCCATAGTCAGTAAAATTTCAATATCAGATAAAAAATTAGTTTTTGTGACATGCCTATACAAAAAGTGTTTTGACTAAATATGACAGTAAAAAAAAAGGGCATGTACGAAATAAAACAACCTTGACATTGGAAAATTCAATTGAAAGCCGGCCAATGTATTAATTTTTCTACAATGACAATCTGAATTTGGGAAAAAATAAAATTGAAAACATATGTTAAAATAAATCAGGCTACTATAAAGAGAAGAATGTGTTGTAAAGAGCTGGATTTAGAACTCTTAAGTCACAAGCTGTAGAAAAGCCAGACAAGGCAGGCAGTTTTGTTTAGTATAAGTAAAATGGTTGTCTCTAAGGCATATCAGATATAACTTGGAAGATTTATTGCAAGGATGAGTCACAAAGGGAAAAAAAGATTGGATTTACAATTATATATAATCCAAAGACATAGGAGCCTAGAAAAATATCGTTTATGAATGGAAATAGAAGGTTGATGCAGTATGTCAAGTCAAAAGTATGTCAAATGCATTTGTTGAAATGGATGTAAGTATCCTAAAATTCCATTAGCAGGACAATGCCAACCATGTGGAAGAGTGGCTTTATCAAATTTTTTAAAGACAATGCTTATATCAAAGCTTTTTTCGGCAATAAGAACAGTTTTTCTAGAAAATCTATGTGTGAACTCAATATATAAAATAGAAAGCATTAGAATTGCAGTAATAGAAGCAGCAGAGGGTTTCAAAGTCCCAAGAAAGACATTAGATATTTAGCAGCCTTAATTTAAACACTAAAATAAGGATGATCTTCTTTGCTACATTAAAATGAGAAAACAAACACACGAAAACATTCAAAACTGAAAATAATTCTATTAATAAGTACCAAAGTGTCAATTCCTAATTCTTATTTTCAGATATATATTTTTAAATAAATTATTCTACGTGTTGAGCACTTGCTTTACTGGTTCCTTACACAAAAGCTTAGTATACATACCGATTATTCAGCAATTGTAAAGTTTATGATGTTGCCCCTGCTTCCTCCAAAGAGGCCCTAAAGAACCAGAAGATATTTTCCTTTTTTAAATGTGTATTTCTTTTTTAAAAAAATTTTATTTTAAGTTCTGGGATACATGTACAGAATGTGCAGGTTTGTTACACAGGCCTGCATGTGCCATGGTGGTTTGCTGCACCTATGAACCCTATCAACCTGTCATCTAGGTTTGAAGCCCCACATGCTTTAGGTATTTGTCCTAATGTTCTCTGTCCCCTTGCTCCCAACCCCCTGGCAGGCCCCGGTGTGTGTTGTTTCCATCCCTGTGTCCATGTGTTCTCATTTTTCAACTCCCACTATGAGTGAGAATATTTGGTGTTTGGTTTTCTGTTCCTGTGTTTCTTTGCTGAGAATGATGGCTTCTGGTTTCATCCATGTCTCTGCAAAGGACATGATCTCATTCTTGTTTATGGCTGCACAGTATTCCATGGTGTATATGTGCCACATTTTCTTTATCCAGTCAATCGTCAATGGAAATTTGGGTTGGTTCCAAGTCTTTGCTATTGTAAATAGTGCTGCAATAAACATATGTGTGCATGTGTCTTTACAGAAGAGATTTTATCAAAAACATATTTTGGGCAAAGGCATGTATGAGTTCAGTAATAAGGACAGGAACTACAGGCAAGAAGGAATAAAAATTGTGATGTATGGAATCAAAGGCACTGGTTTTCCTGATGTGTTATCAAAACTAAAAATTATTTTGTAAAAACTAAAAATTTTGAAATAATACATTGAAATTATCTAAATGCTATGCTAATGTGACATTATTACTGGAGAGATAAGAATAATAATGAAATGAACAGAAGCCTAATTCTTATTTCAATGTAGCAAAGTATGGGTATAATTTAAAAGATGAAGACATCTTTCACAGAAAGAAAGTATAAAACTCTAGGATTTAAAGAACATATATAGGTATTTCCAATGGCGAAATCATTTAATGATGTTCAAAGGCAGAAAGTCGGATTTGAAGGAACAGCAGGCAATAGAAATACTTCAGCTTCACATACATTGTATAAGCCTTTCCAGATATTCTGGTCACAGGTTTTAATTTATTATACTCTCTTCCTGGGCATTTACACCTGCTCCCAGGACTTTTTCTATATGCTGTTAGTGTCCACAAATAAAACAAGCATTTTGACATTTCACAGAGGTAATACGGAGCGAAGTTGGTAGATGTCAGTTATAACGATAGACTGTAGGAGACCAAAAGCAAGATAGATTGCCTTTGCATTGCAACTCAGAGCCAGCTGCCGTATTTTGAAACATTTAAATATTGCAATCCTTACATTTGCTGCCTCCTTTAGGGGTAGGTATGTGATAAACCAGAAACACCATTTCAATGTTATTGTCTTTGAAACCCAGATTTTTGATGGGGCTATACCACTCTCCTTGGATGAGAGCATCTTTGGCAAAGGGAAGTTTGGAGGTCTATCTTGCATTCAAAGTTCTTAGTTTTCATACGGCAGTTGACTTGAATGTTGAGTTAAGAGGTAGAAGGTTTGCTGGGAAGTCTACAGTGACAGGGCAGGAAAAACAGTCTTCTGTCCTCAGCCAGCAGAAAGGGAGGGGAACTACAAGCCTGTGGTAATTTTCTTTTTGGAGAATGTGGGAGAAACTTGGGACTTAGTAGCTGCCAACACTCAAAGGCAGTAGAGTCAGTTTGAGAGGACCAACGAGTTCCATCTAATCCAACAGATTAGGTCTTTTTTTTTGGTCACATTAACCTATGAGTGAATTCTCATGAAAACTAATTAAATAAAATAAACACTATTAAATAAGATTAAAAAGCAAGGCTTTCTCAGGACATAAGAGTTACAACAGATAAATTTTGCCAACTCACTACTAACAATTCTGTTCATTTTACTGCATTTACTAACATCTGATGACAATTATATTATCTCATACACACTCCTCAGCAAATATGCATTCATAATTTTGATAATAGAGGAAATCATAGTAGGCAATATTGTTGAAAGGAGGACTGTGGTCTGATTTTGAAAATCTCTGCAATGAAAACACATTTTTCATTTAGAGTGAATGTTTATTTAGTGTGGCCTTGGTATAATCGAATAAAACTTATTCTGTGCTTTTCCCACTGTCTTAAGGAATGCCTATCTCAAGTTGTTGATTATGTCTTTAGAGCAAATAAATGCAGAAATTATGCCTGGCAGTTATATGTGAAATTTTATTCATCCACGTAATATGCCAGTGCAGTCCCTATAAGTCAAACATGCATTGCCATCTGTCTTTAAATTCAGATTTGAATAATAGTTACTGATTGCCATTTACAGACCAGATCTAATTCAGAGCTCTTTACAAACATTTTATCATTAAAATATTCTGAAAAATTTGTAAGGCAAATATTATTATACCCAGTTTATAGATGAGAAAACTGATATTGAAAGCAGTTAATTAACTTCCCAGGAACAATCAGTTATACAGATGATAGATCCAAGGTTTGAATTATGATGGTCTTGTGTTTGAAATTCTCATGCCTTTGATGCAGTTGAAGCTGCCTTTTTCTTCCTGTTGTTTGTCTGTACTCTGCCTTTCTCAGGCCCTATTAGAAAATCAACCCATATTATTGGATCTCTGACATTCAACTATCTTTCCCTGTTCCCAAATCTCCTTCAAATTAAACAGATTGGAGCTTTTAAAATAATGTTTCAAAATAAAAGCCAAAATAAACCCAATTTAGCTTCATGGCAGATGTTCTAGTTCTAGGCTGAATTAGACATCAAATCTCCTTCTCCTTTGTATGTTTTTATTGTTGTTGATTTTGGAGAACAGCACCAAATTAATGAATTGCCTTTCAAATCCCCTCTCGAAAATGTGCTTACAGCCATGGACAGTCGGCCCAGGTGTGGTAGCAGAGTTAATTAGCAATGTGCACATTAGACACATCTCAGAAGGCTGCATATCTAATGCAAATGTTCCAGTGCTTAATGTTCATTCAGACGTGTATAGTGATTGCAGCATTACAGAGGACAAAGCTAGGTGCTGTGAGCTTATGAGCTTGGACAGAGCTTTCTTGTGGATTCAGGAAAAAACTGAAAGGGGCAGAATGGTGAAATCTTTTACTGATTCCTTTGGAATTGATTCTTATTGCATTAACCGGTAGGATGCACATCGTGCCTAATAATAATTACGTCGCTATAACAGGACATTTATTTGGGATTGCTTCAGTGCACAATATCCAGTGTATGCTTATGTGTGTGCTGGTCCATTTTAAAGTACCCCCTGTCAAACAAAATGCCAGTGTCACATGACAAACGTGATTAATACTCCTGTTTACCATTCGATGATTATACTTTAGCTTTAAATTTTTCTATTATTTTTGTATTGGGCCTTTTTTTTTGCACAGATGTGTAAAAAATTGAAACACCGACACAAGAGTCTCTGTCAGACAGATGAAAATCAAAATAGCATTATTCTTACAAAGTAAACCAGTCAGAAAATATACTTTAGATTTATGACAAAATGGACTTGTTGACGCCAGAATTACATTAGAATTAGGTAGTTACAAGCAGCACTGGACAATCTCAGAATGCCTCTGTCAGGAAGAGGTCTCTTAGCGCATGGTAGAGAAAATGCAGAATGAATTTATTTTGCAGATAAAATTTTACAAAAAAAGCAGAATCAAAGTAAGTTTTAGCCATACCTATTTAGTCCTTTTCCAAAACTCATCAATCAAATAAATTGATTAACCATCGAAAATGTCAAATTCTCTATTTCAGAGTAGAATAAACTATTGTTTTGTTAAGACAACTAGAATTTGTTTAATGTGTTAAAAATTTTTAATAAAAAAAGAATAATCTCTTGGGGCACATATCAACTCCTCCTTGAGACTATGTATTATAAGGAAAAAAATGTAACTACAAAAACAATAATCCTTCAGCCTAGATTAACTGAGTTTAATTACCCATTGGCTGACAAATTAGCTACT
Organism: Homo sapiens; assembly: GCF_000001405.40. Taxonomy (NCBI): domain Eukaryota; kingdom Metazoa; phylum Chordata; class Mammalia; order Primates; family Hominidae; genus Homo; species Homo sapiens. The sequence continues at coordinate 66,224,273 of NC_000004.12, forward strand.
GGGTACAATGTTCAATATTTGGGTGATGGGTACACTAGAAACCCAATCCCTACCATTAAGGAATATATCTATATAACAAACATGTAAATGTACCCCTGAAGCTAAAATTTTGAAAAAGTAAAAATTTAATCTAAAAAAAATGTTAAAATGTATGTATATATGTAACTATTTTATATATACAACATATATATACACAAATGCCAGTGTCACACGACAAACATGACTAATACTCCTGTTTACCATACAATGATTATACTTTAGCTTTAAAATTTTGATGTGTATGTATATATATACACACATATATTTTTATATATATATATACGCACATCATATATTATATATATAATGTAACTTTTAAGTTCAGTGGTACAAGTTCAGGCTTGTTACATAGGTAAACTTGTGTCATGGGGGTCTGTAGTTTTAATAGAATCTTTAAGGTTTACTTATTTGAATATTTGGCAATTATACAAATTAATTTAGGTGAAATATATAACTCCTCTGAGAGTTCCTCCCACCGGCTCTTTTAAATAACAGCTCTTTTAAATACTGCCTGTTTATTTACTTATTTATTTATTTATTTTTATTTTTTGAGACAGTTTCACTCCGTCACCCAGGCTGGAGTGCAGTGGCGCCATCTCGGCTCACTGCAACCTCTGCCTCCAGGATTCAGGCAATCTTCCCACCTCAGCCTCCCGAGTAGCTGGAACCACAGGCACACGCCACCACACTTGGCTAATTTTTGTACTTTTAGTAGAGACGGGGTTTCACCATGTTGGCCAGATAGGTCTGGAACTCCTGACCTCAGGTGATCTGCCCGCCTTGGCCTCCCAAAGTGTTGGGATTACAGGCATGAGCCACTGCACCCGGCCTGCCTATCTATTTAGACCAGTGCAACACACTGATGTATTGTAAGGCTTTAATATTAGCTTAGAAAAAAACATTGTTCTCACTAGAAGGGCCTAAAACATGTAATAGTTGTGACAAATATGAAATATGTTCATGCACCTGCACAGTTAAGCTGAGGTCACCCAAATCATGTCTAAGTATCCGATGTTTATGTGACATCCTAATGTATTAGTTTCTTATTAGTTCTGTAATAAATTACCACAAACCTAGTAGCTTAAGACAACAGATATTTATTATCTCATAGGTCTGGAGGTCAGAAATACAAAATAGATTTCACTGGGCTACAGTCAAAATGTCAGCAGGGCTCTATTCCTTCTGGGGACTGTAGGGAGGAATCCATCCCATTGCCTTTTCCAGCTTCTATAATTCACCTACATTCCTTGATCTGTGGGCCCTTCCTTCATATTCAAAGCCAGCAGTGTAGTGTCTGCCCATCTTTCTCTCTAAGGATGGAAGGACAGAAGGACAGAAGGAGGGAAGGAAGGGAGGGAGGGAGGGAGGAAGGGAGGGAAGGAGGCAAGGAACAAGGAAGGAAGGTAGGGAGGAAAGAAAGAGAGAAAAACAATGAAAGCAAACTAGCTGTATTTTGGGCAAACAGTTCTGGAAGTCAGCAAGTCAGTGGGAAACATAAAGATCTGGCTTAATTTTGTTTCTCCAGATTGCTGAGTTTTTTCCCATAACATTTGTTGATTTTCAAAATAGAGCACTACTAGTAAGGCAAAGGGGTCCAAACAAAGCGGAGAAATACTGTAACATTTCTGTAAAAATAGGCAGGGAAAATCATTTTTAAATCTACTGAAATTTTTTTAAAAAGTAGAATAAGATAGAAATGCTGTGATTTCAATAAAATTCACATTATTTTTATTTTACAAAATTTCTAGTGAAAACAATGTATACACATAATATATAATACATTCCTTATATTATATGAAAATATTTTATTTATATATTTTATTTGTATGTATTTTATTTACATATAATGTATAATGAATATATATATATATATAAAATGAATGCAAAGAAGTAAAAATATACACAACCCAATTTTTTTAACAGGGAAAAGAACATATACTTCACAAAGAGTATGCTGGAATGACCAATACATATTTTAAAAGCCACTGGACATCATTAACCATTTTGGAATTGCAAATTTAGATTATAGTAAGATATCTCAGTACATGCTCAAAATGAGGTAAATTTAAAACATAGTGAATATCAAATATTGATGTAGAGATGAACAACTGGAACTCACATATGACTCTTAGGAAGGAAAAACAATACAAACACTCTGGAAAGCTAGCCTTTTTTGCATTCACCATAGAATCAATAATTTTACTACAAATCATATACAAATGAGATATAAGTGCATATGCCTACAAAATGCATGCACAATATATCACAGTAGATTTATTCTTAATATTTAAAAAATTGGAAACATTCTAAGTCCACACCAATGGCAAATGAATAAATAATATATTTTTAAAATAGAATAATTCTACACAGCAATTTACAAAGGAAATTGGAACAATTATTACAAGTAATAAGATGGCTGAATCTCAAACACATAGCAATGGATAACAGAAGTTAAACAAAAACGTACATAGTTTTACTCATGTGAAATTTAAGTATAGATTGGTATCTAAATCGTATTATCTCTGGGAAGTTTTATAGGCTGGAAATGTATACAAGGAAAACATGTGGCTTGCTGGAAACATTTTCATGCTTTATTTAAGTGGCAATTGCATAGATTCCATATCCATAAAATATTTAAGATATGTATGTGAAATTAGTGCACTTCACAGATTTGATATTATCAATTTGAAATAAATAGCTCTCCATGTGTGTTTTTTTTTTAAAGAAAATATCATATTTTCATTGGGATTGTGTCTTCCAATCCAGGTCCATGGCCTATCCATTCACCTATTTATGTGCCTCTTACTTTTTGATTTTTCCCCAGATAACGTTTTGATTTGACTCACTTAAGTGCTTTTTACTTTTTTGATTTTTCCCCAGTTATGTTTTGATTTGTATTCTTATCATATTTTTAAAAATTTACCAACTAACAATATTTTAAAATTTTCACTTTTTAGTTTTTATGACTTTTGTACATTATTCTTGCCAATTTACATTAGCTAGCCACTTCAAAATACATTGAACAGAAATGATTATACTGGGTGTTCTTTTCTGATTCCCATCTCTGTGGTAAAGCTTTCAGCACTTGACCATGAATAATGACTGTTGAAGTTTTAGTGAATTTTTTTCTTTTGTAAATGAGGTTGTTTTCCTATAATTTTGATTTGCTAAGATAAATGTTTGTGTTATGAATATGTTGAACTTTATGAAATATTTTTCCCTTACTGTGAGGAAAATAAGGTTATTATCTCATTATTTTAACATAGTGAGTTGTTAATCGGTTTTAATATAATAGGTTTAGCTGGATTTGTATTTATCTTATCTGATATTTTTAGGGCTTCTTGATTTATGGTTTATACCAATAAGCAGATTTGGACAATTCTTGTATAATAGCTATTCCAATATTATTTTTCCCAATTCTCACTCTCTGGCTACTGTGGGAGTCTAATTACATGTATGTTACTAATGTCACTCTGTCATGTAAGTCTCTTCTACATTTTTCCACATTTAGTATATTATTTTGCTCTTTATTTTATTCATTTTTTATTGTGATATGCCCATTCTTCTGTTAAATTCATCTGCCTTCTCAGTTTATGATACTTGATTTTACAATCCATTTATAATAATTCCCCAAAGCGAGTCATCTGTGAGTCTGTTAATATAATCATTTGTTTTCTCTTCTTTTCTTGGGAGGTTTGGTTATTTTTGATAGAATTCCAGATATTTTAAATTGTAGCGACTCTGGATGATTTTTTCTTCCTCTTTAGAAGTTTGTGTTTGTCCCCTGACAGACTGGAAGAATGGAGTCAAGAGGGACTGAGTTCCCTAGAAGCTAGGTTATAAGTTTTTAGGGAGTATGTTTACTACTAATAGTATAGCCTACCTGCACTTCCAGCTGAGATACGGGATATTTTCCAGGCCCTTTTCGTTTTGGAAATTCTATCTATCTATCTATCTATCTATCTATCTATCTATCTATCTATCTATCTAATCTATCTATTTTTTCTCTGTAGTACTATGACACTAGAAAACTCAGCTCCACTCATCGGGGGCTGTGTCTAACTTCTTATTCTTTGGCCCTGTGCACCTCAAGACTTTCATATCCTTTAAATGGAAAACTGACAGACTATCACTACCACTTTGCTGAACCTCTTTTCTTACAAGGTGAATGCCTACTCTCAATTTCCTAACTACCTTGGCAGCCCAAAACTTAATTCTCCGAATTTCGCCGAAATTTCACTTATTAGCAAAAGCCCTCTGCCGGAACTGACTCTCTGGATTCTTGACCTTTTCATGTACAAGTAATAGCACAAGCACTGAGGGTGAAAATTTGCTACATAATATCACATCAACTCTCTGCAGTTCCTTCTTCCTGGGATTTTGACCCTGCAAGTCTTGTTTAACTCTGTAATTCTCTAGTTCCACCAAGGAGGTATTTTTTAAAAACTTGTTCTGTGTATTTCCCAGTTGTTTGTAGCAATATTGTTGTTCTACTACAACGTACTCTGTTGTGGCCAGGAGAAGTCATCTTACAAGGCTTTACTTAAATTATTCAATGATGATTCTTAGACTAAATTTTAGAGCCACAGTTATATGTATACCTCAAAAATCACTATTAATAATTTGAAATTCTTTACCATTCTTTATATAACTGATTAATAAGTGTTTCAGGGAATGTGATGACATGGTGGCCTCTTTATCAATAATATTCTGGGCATAAAGAGACTAATTCAGGTTTGAGGCTACTATTCCTATCTGCTTCTCCACACTTCTATAGAGCCAAACTAAATAAGACTATTCTATATGCCAGTGCATCATTAGTGTCTTACAGGTCCTAGCAGAGAAAGATAGGGATTAGACTTTTTGCTGCTAATTATATAATTCCAAGATTAGAGCTGTATTTTTAGTTTTCAAAGTAGTCTAAGCACATTTTTAAAAAATAAAACTGTTTTCATATCAATCAAGTCCTATTACTAGGCTCATGAAATAATTTGAGGAATGTACTATTTTTATTCTTTGCAATAATTGTATGAGGATAATGATAATTTCTTATATGTTCAAAAGAACTGACCAGTGGATCTAACTTGCATTCTGGGAAGGTTTTTAAGTCAGATTTAACTTTTTAATTAGACATAAGACTATTCAGATGTACTATATCTTTTTGTTATGTTTATGTTTAAAAAATTGTCCATTTCATCTTTCTGGTTATTTTTTGCTGGTTGTTTTTCAGGGCATAATTTGAGTTTCTTATAAGAAAGCACTATTTTTAATTTTATTACTATATTTTCCAACCCCAGATTATGAAACTGCGTAAATTCCAGTCTCCGAAAGACATTTTAAATATGGGAAGAATTGTTTGTCATGGTTGAGGGAAAATGTAAAGCAATAATAAATCTTTCTAAAACATTTCTTCACAGTTGCCTACTTACCCCTTAAAACTGTAACGCTCAATCACCGTCACATACTCAGAACAGCATAAAACACTTTCACATTTTTTCTGAAAAATCTGAGGCAAGTAAACACATTCTAGTATAGAATATAAAACAAAACTGTGAGATTAGAGAAATAAAATGCCAAATTAAGATAAGAAACAATTACCTCACTGCCCTGTGCATTCAGAACTGTTGTATATTCTCAAACTGAACTACAAATATTTAAAATGTTGATAGTAACCTACAGAATTTCTTCAACTAGGGAGGGTTTCCTATATGAGTCAATGTCCTTAAGGTAGCACATAAAGAAGGTGTCGTAGTAATCATAAAAAGTAAATATTGCTGTGTCATTAATTATAGAAGAAATGTCTCCTAGAAGCAGCTTGAATGATGTCAGTAAAAAGATGTAAAAAAAAGAAACCAATATGCAATGGCACAGAAGAGTTCTATGTCTAGGGAAAAGCTAAGAACATTTCTTTAGGCAAGATTTTCTTTTAGGCCATTAGGGCTGCGCCAACAAAATACCAGAGGCTGAGTAGCTTATGAACAACAGACAAGCATTTCACGCAGTTCAGAGGCTGGGAAGTCCACGATCAAGGCACGCACAGTATCTGGCAAGGGCCCCCTTCCTCATCTTACAGGGTGGAAGGGACAAGGCAGCTCTCTGGGTTTCCTTTATAAAAGCACTAATCTCATTCATAAGGGCTCTGCCCTCATGATGTAATCATCTCACTAAAACCCCCAACTCCTAATACCGTCACCTTGAAAATCGGATATCAACATGTGAAGTTGGGGAAACAGCTTATAGTAGATTATAATCAGTAAGAAAAAAAAAGGTTGAATATATTTCCTGGGAGGAATAGAGAGAGCATGCAGGGAAATATACATGAAATAGAAAACACGAAATTGTGTTCAAAAGTGGAGGAAATATAATGGATTACATGACAATATCAGACACCTTCTTATAATTAACCCATAATTGTGTTCATTTCAGGCTGAAATTTACTGACTAGATCTGAAGCTTTATTCCTCTTCAAAACATTTTCTATGTGTATATAATTAAATGCAATACTTGTCTGAAAAAATAGAATTGAAAATATTTGAAATGTTCCAAACTCGTAGCACATCCCTAGGAAAAGTAAAAGTTTTCAATATTTTATACTATTAAGTTATTTCACTTTTAACATGTTCTTACCTGCTTTATGACTTATAGATGAGGCACTGGAAAAACATGGAAACTAAGAAAGAATAACATTTTTTTACTGACTTTGGTCTCTGTTTTATCATGGCCTCTAACTTTAATCAGGGCTCTGGATAACAGAGCTTATGCCAGCAAAAGAGACTTATGAATCCTTAAGCATAGGAAATATCTTCCCTGAATACTGCCCCTGGAAGTACTGACTTCCAGATGTAAGGCGTTTTATTTGCAAGCCATTCTAGGGGGGAAAGATATGACTTTAGGAATCACATAAGAAAATATGTTCCAAGTAAATTTTCTGCTCAGTATTGTAGCTGTACCATATCACGACTGTATAAGGTTGAAGAGTTTATCTGAAATGAGCTTCTGAACATTTCAAGGTTTCTAACATAGTTTTGGTACAAAACACATTTTCATTTGTCACAATCTGGAATGTGGAAATACCCTCTCAGTGAACCAATGTCAAATGTGACAGTCAGTCTGGCATTAGCAAAACATTTATTTTATTTTTTCTAAAAATCCATCAGTCAAAGAAATCAAAGTTAAGAGAGTTGATGGGCTGTACCTATATTCCAGTGTGCTAATGGATTTTGTCAATAAAGAATACTTACAAGCACGAATCATTGTATCACATATATATAGTATCACATACATATATACGTACATACATATTTTTTAATTATAAAGCAAAATTATTTAACTCATTAAAAAAAGACCGTTTTTAGATTCCATGTTTTTATTCTTACTTCAGAATGCTTCTTTTTAGAGTGAAAAAACGGTGTTAGTTCATTGTAAAATCACATTCATGTTCAAATTACGTTATATTGGAAGATGCGGGTTAACATTTCAAATTATGAAAAATAAAACAAAAATTGTTATTGGATAAATAGTTCTTATTTGTTCTCATTTATTGTAAGCTAATCAATAAGCATTTTATTCTGAAATAATTTTAGATTTACAAAAGTATAATGTAGTATATGTGGTTCCATATTCCCTTTATCCAGCTTCTTTCAATATTAACATCTTATATAACTATAGCAAATTTATCCAAACTAAGAAATTAATATTTATAATAAACTGCAAGTTTCATCTGAATTTTGCCAGTTTTACCATCCATATTCTTTTTTTCTGTTACAATCTCCAATCCAGGAAATGATGTTGCAATTTATCATTAGTCTCTTTCATCTATGACAATGTTTTCTTATGTCTTTAAAATCTCGTCACTTTTGAATGCTGGTTAGGGATCTCAAAGAAAATCCTAAAATAGGGTTTCTATGATGTTTTCTCACGGTTAGATTAGAGTGATGGGTTTGGGGTAAAGTCCACAGAGGTGAAGTGCCATTCTTTTTCATTTTTAATTTTTATGTGTACATACATAGTGGGTGTATATATTTATAAAGTACATGATCATGTTTGATACAGGCATACAATGCATAGTAATTGCATCAGGGTAAACAAAGTATCTGTCACCTCAAGCATTTACCATTTATTTGTGTTACAAACAAATTATACTATTAGTTATTTTTTAAATGTACAATAAATTATTTTTGACTATAGTCTCCCTGTCATGCTATTAAATACTAGTTCTTATTCATTCTAACTCTATTTTTATACCCGTTAACCATCTCTACTTCTCCCCAACCACGCTGTGCTTCCCCCGACCCCCGCACTACTGTACCCTTCCCAGTGTCTGGTAACCATCATTTTACTCTCTATCTCCATGAGTCCAGTTGTTTTAATTTTTAGCTTCCACAAATAAGTGAGAACACGTAAACTTTGTCTTTCTGTGCCTGGGCTGATTTCACTTAATATAATGACCTCTAGTTCCATCCACGGTGTTGCAAATATCAGAATCTGGTTCTACGGATGAAAAATACTCCATTGTGTATATACACCATATTTTCTTTATCCATTTGTCTGTTGATGGATCATTTTCAGCACAGCACATCAGGGATTACATGGTATCAACATGACTTCTTACCAGTGATATTAAACTTGACCACTTGTTTAAGGTAGTGTTTGCCAGTGTACTCCATTGTAAAGAAAATACTATATTTGTTTGTTTCTTTCTATATTCTATTTTTTGGATGTGAGTCACAAAGTCTATCCCATACTTGACATGGAGTGGGGGGTGATATTAGCTACTACCTCATGCAGGGGGAGGTTACCAGAATATAGGATTTTAAACATTGCTTTTAGGATGAATTGAACTTTCTCTCCATTTGCTGCTGAATATTTTTATATCAGTATGAATTCATACATTTTTATGCTATTCTTTGAGTTACACTATACTATTGGTTTTTTTTTAATTTTTTGCTCAATTTTTTTCCAGGTTTGACCAGCATGAGGACTTTCAGGTTAACTGTTATATCCATTTAATAAATGTATACAATTTATTTCATTGGTCGATTTTGAGCATTTCTTTACTTTCTAGCATTATAAAATATTTCAGGTTTAATATCATCATTTTATTTCTCCAGGCCTTAATTCATTTTAATGGAGAAGGGTGTTTGAAAATCATGATTCAGACACTTTGTGTGTTCATTTTTATTGAGGTGTCATTGATCTAGGCCCTCTCAGTTGGCAGAGCAAGGAAATGCACATGTGCATAATAAGAAGCATATGCACACACATGCATCTGTTTATCTTTATCTGTATCTATGTACTCTCCATCTATCTATGATGTATTGTTCCATCAATCTTTCATGATCTATCATATATTTCTATTAAAATAAACATGAGTTCTTTTGTGTGCTCTACTCTAATCTAGCACCATGGGGTTCATTCTAGCCTCTCTCTCCTCCCTTGCTTACTTGTCGCTTCATTCTCTAACAGTAAAAATTCTGGCTTCCTTTGTCTATAATTCATACACTTATTTGTTCAACCATAGATACTTATAAAGTAATTTAAAAATTGGTGACACATGCCCTTATTTGAAAAATATATATAAACTAGAGCAGGGGTTAGTAAAAGTTTTCTGTAAAAAGCCAAATAGTAAATATTTTAGATTTTGCAGGGCAAAAAGTACAGTCGAGCAAAAGTTCTGGCCAAAATGCCAGAGTATATACATAATTTAATATAAATCTCTATTGGCTGGGTGCAGTGGCTCACACCTGTAATCCCAGCACTTTGAGAGGCTGAGGTGGGAGGAACACAAGGTAAGGAGTTCAAGACCAGCCTAACCAATATGGCAAAACCCCATCTCTACTAAGAATACAAAAATTAGCTGGGCATGGTGGCGTGCACCTGTGGTCTCAGCTACTTGGGAGGCTGAAGCAGAAAAATCGCTAGAACCTGGGAGGCAGATGTTGCAGTGAGCTGAGATCATGCCACCGCACTCCAGCCTGGGGGAGACAGAGCAAGACTCCATTTCAAATAATAATAATCATCATCATCATCTCTATTATATCTATCTATCTATCTATCTATATGTGTGTGTGTGTGCATCTGTGTGTGTGTGTGTGTGTATACACATATTTTTAAATTGTAAAACTATTCTTTCCTTGCTGGCCACATAAAAACAGGTGACCAGATCTTGCTCACAGGTTAGTTTGCTAAACCATAAAATATTAATAGAATACAATATTTATCTACAACTCTTTTTACATTCATTCACAGCATCATTTCCTATAGTTACTTAGATCATATTTTTACCTCAATCTTTTCAGTAAGATTATATCATACATATATTTTAATTTATTTTTAAGAGACTCAGGTTCTCTAACTTTATAATTCAAGCATAATCAACATCATAAGATCAATCTCCTTTATTTTTACATGTGTTATTTCATAACTCCTTTAACTATGTAACTTGTGAAATCTACTAAATCTAAAAAGAGAAAGAATGGAATATTTACCTGTTTGTTGCAGATAAGCCAACAATTAGGCTAATAATAATGGTTATTCCAATCAAAGACTCTGAAGGAACTGGTCAAAAGAAAGGCAGCCACTCAATTCTTTGATAACTTCCTGTATACCAAGCCCTGAAAGAAGCTAGATTGAGAGCTGGGATTTGAAAAGCTCTGACCTGCAGAATCCTCACACTAAATCTTAGCTCTAAAGTTAACCTTAGAGTTTTTTTCTGTAGATAAGAAACCATTTGGCAGTAAATCCATCTTGTAGTGAAACAAACATTTAAGAGAAACTTCTGTTACTTACAGTATTTGTTTCTCACTACTACAGTGGCAATAAAAGTATTACCTCTCAATGAGAGTGCTATTATTTCATATAAGTGGAATCATACAGTATGTTTCCAATGACTGGCTTATTTCACTTAAAATAATGTCCTCCAAGTTCTGAAATAGTCAAACTTATGAAAGCAGAGAGTAGCAAGATGGTTGTCAGAGGCTGGGGAGAAAGGAAAATGGGGAGTTGTCCTTCAATGAGTATAAAGTTTCAGTAATGCAAGATAAGCTTTCAAAACCAATTGTATAAGATTATGTCAAAAACTAACAACATTGTAGTGTCCACTTAAAAATTTGTTATGAGGTTAGAACTCATGTTAAGTGTTCTTACTACAATAATACAACAACTTTTTAAAAAGTTTTAAAATAATACTGTTATAGTGCTGAAAATGATCATTTCAGGAAGAAAAATCATGCTTTATTTAATTCCCATGTCTGGATTAGAAAAAGCAGCATGGGTCATCTTGATATTACAAAAAATTGCCATTTTATATTGTGGTTGGCAGAATTTCCAGATGTCCCTGAAAATTTTCTACCCACAGTATATTCTCTATATGTAATCTCCAGGAAAATGAATATGACAGATTTTACTTCCATTATTAAGTTATGTTATATGGCACACCTGACCTTCAGATAGAAAGATTATGTGGGCTATCCTGATCTAATCTCATGATCCTTTTAAAAGCAGAGTTTTTGTTGTTGTTGTTGTGTTTGTTTGTTTTCTTTTGCTTTTTCAAGATGGCCACAGAAACCAGAGACTTACGCACAGAAAAGATTTGATGCACTATTGCTGACTTGATGATTAAGTTGACCATGTAGCAAGGAAATACAAACCTCAGTCCTGTGACCACAAAAAACTGAATTCTGGTAACAACAAATACGAGCGTGAAAGTGGGTATTTCCCCAGATCCTCTATAAGAGAACGCAGTCAAGCTGACATGTTGATTTGAGCTTTGTGATACTCTGAGTAGAGAACCTACCATGCCACACTGTAATTCTGCCCTACAAACCTCTGAGCTAATACACTGGTGCTGTTTTTAGTTTTCATGTTTGTGTAGTTTCCTTATGCAGAAATAAATTAATACATACATTGTATAAAATATTTGCTCAATATAATTTCAATGTTAAGATCATTTGCTAATTATGCAGGACATTTTAGCATATTATACAAATTTTAAAACTGTTTTTTTCTTTTTAAAAAATGGATGTCTGAATCTAAATGTGGCTTGATTTATTCAAGAATGTACAATTAATTATATTAGGTCAAAGAAGATAATGCAGTTATCTCAATGCATGAGTCAAGTGCTACCTAACTGATATAACACATCATGAGAAAATGTGTCATTAGATATTATTGTTCTCACTTTTTAAAAATAATAATGCCTTCTATTGAAAAAACTTGGAGAATATGAAATAAAATAATTTGTCATTCTCTGAATTTTGTTTAAGTTATTTGTCTATAAATTCATTGACTTTCAGTAATTAAAATCACTTATGTGGTAACTAAAAACTAATTCATTATGAAGTGCTTTAAAATAAAAACAAATATTTGAGCACCTACTTTATAATGAAAATAATCTGTAGTGATCATTTTTGTCACAAATTAAGTTGAAGGTTGTAGGAAGTAACAGCTAAAACTCATCTTTTAATTTTAGTTTTTATGCTACAATTTGATTCTCCATTTTTCTTAAATAAAAGTAATTCTCCTATTTGAAGTTGGGGGAATTTTGAGGCTGAGTATAATGCAGAGATAAATGTTATACCACAAAATTGCAATATGATAATCACATTCTCATTTTTGAGTATTTATCTAATTATCAAATATTTTCATGCAACCTTATTAAACATATTATAAATGCTTACCAGAACTTTACAGGGTAGCATGGTAGATTATGTTTCCAAAGATGGCTATGATACCGCGTATTCCACACGTTCTGTTACAATATGACTTTGCTGCTCCAATCTGTTTTATCTTCCCTTGAATCTGCACTGGCCCTGTGACTGTTTAGACTAAAAAAATGTGGCAAAAGTGATGTTTATGTGCATGGAAGCTTCTGCTTTTGTGCTGTGGGTGAATTCGGCTCCTAAGTCAGAATTCCCAGCCAACATCAGACCATCATGCATTATGGAAGGCCATAGCTAGCCATGCAAGGGACTATGTAGAAATAAAGAGAGATACATGGTCAAGCTCCAGTTATGTCAGCCATCTTAGCAAAGACATTAGCCCATAAGAGTGAAGAGCCACTTTGGACAGTTCAGCTCCCACAGAAACATGTGGGGCAGAGATGAGCTGTTCTCGGTAATCCCTACCCCAGTTACAGAATTGTGGGAATATAACTTATTTTTCTGTTTCTAAGACACTAAACGTTTTTACTTAGGATCATCAGTTGCCATAAACTCTGCCTTATTCCTTTATGCTCTGGATGAACTTCATATGCTCCTATTGGAAGGAAGATATCCCCCACTTGTGCTCTGTAACCCATCTCCACTTACCAAATAAATGATATGTCTATATTTTTTCTCCCCTTTTTTCTGTCATCATCATTTTGCTTCTGGTTACTAGATAATTCATATTAGTGTATAAACATACTTCCATTTTTCTTATACTCTTAACAAATAGTAAAAAAAGAAATTCTCTTGACTCTCTCCTTTTGTCTATTATCTTTTGTAACGCAATCGTTTGGAAGACTTATCTGTACAAGAGATACAATTCATGACTTACCCTCCTCTCTTGAATTTAATCCAGTCTGGCTTTTTTCCCTGTTTACCTCTAAAAATGGTCTTAAGAAAATTACCAATGATCTCCAGATTGCTAAATCCATGGCTCAATGGTGATAATATTTTTATTTTATCAAAACTTTAAAATTATTCTTTACACCTCTTCTTTGTTATACTTAATCAGGAAAATGTATTATTTCTATTTCTTCCCACCTTTTAACTGGTTCAAACCACCATATTCTTTAGATTGAATCACATCAGTCACATTCTAACTGCTGTCTCTGTTTTTCTACTAATGCCTACTTTTCACAAAGCTCTCAGAATGAACCTGTAAAAAAAATGCCACTCACACCTCTTTCTGTTTAAAACTCTCCAGCATCTTCCCCTTTTCACCCCAAAATTAAATTCAAGAGCTTGTAATAGCTTCCAAGGCCCTCCGGGTTTTGTCCCTGTACAACTGCTCTAACAGAAGCTCTATCTTCCTTGCTAGCTTACTCCGCTCCAGACTCACTGGCTTTCGGACGATCCTCTGAGAAGAGAAAGAGTTTCCGGTTAGAACCCTGAACTTGTTTCCTTGGCTTAAAACGATGTTTCTATTGTTTTCCACACAGGAAAAAATGCAAGGCCTCCGTTATATTTTTCAGATCTTTGTTCAAATGTCATCTCAGGGATGCCTTCTCTGATTTTCTATTAAAATTGACTCATCCCTATGCTAGCATTTTCTATTCCCTTACCTGGTTTATTTTTCTACACAATACACATCATCTAACAATGTATATATTTTGCCTATTTATTTCATAATTATCAGACTCCCCAAATAAGAATGCCATCTCCAAGAAAGTAGGAAATTTGTTGTTTTTTCATCCCTGGTCATTTGATCACTGGTCTAAAACCAAGCCTGATACAATGTGGTGCTCCGTCGATATGTGATAAATGGAAAAATGAATGTGGAAAAATGAATGTGGAAAAATTATCAGCATAGGGAAACTTCAAGGAGCATAATAAGAAACAAAAATTGAAATGGAGGTAAAGCTATCTAGTATTATAAAGATTCAATCTCTTAATGAACTTTCCTCACAGTTAAACCAAATTTTACTCAGTTCATGTGCATCATAGGCTTGGTTGTTTTGTTTGTGTATGTGTGTGCTTTGTGGGTTTTTCTTTAACAAAACCTTGATACACAACTAAACACACATTTAGTCTTGTTTTTTCAGAGTAAATGAGAAAAAAATTTCCAAAAACAAATTGCCATTTTTAAGATACTTTTAAAAAGTCTTATAATACCTCCAAAACTTTAAAATTTTCATGATGATTTTACCTGTTACAAAAATATTTTAACACAAGCTTTAAGTTAGATAACACTTAATGATAAAATATTTTACTTTATAACAACATAGACCACTGACATGTGACATAATTTCCAGAGCATATGATCAGAATTCTAACTACTTTATGCATACTAAATATCTGTTGTAAGATGTTATAAACTAGTATCTAAATTATAAACAATACAATAGCAATAATATCATTACAATTAACAGACTGTTTTGAAACATTGTAATGTCAGTGATTTCTACTTGTACATTCTTGGCATTTTTCTATCTTTTTTTGCAATATTGTTCATGTGCATTATCGTTTCCCTTTTCTAGATGAAAAATAAGGACAGCAGAATTCATATAATTTGTCCAATATCACATATCTAGTTAATTACACAGTTAGATATGGTTATAAATCCATTGTTTGGAGTACAAACTTACCACAAGCTGATCATATTTCCATATTTCCACTTCCTTCCCGGTTTTTTTTTTTGCATTATGCTAATGTCAATAAGCCCCCTAACTTTTAAGTATGATACAAAAAAGATATAGATAGAAAAAATGCATTAATGATTTAATGTAGGTATTAAATGTTCATTTAATAAATAAAGTAAGTGACTACTAGAGTGAAGTCTATTGAACTGGCTCACAGGGATTGTAAAATTTTATAAGCCAGACATTTAAAGAGATATGGCTTCAAATTCAATATTCTTTCTGCCGTGTTTATATATTTACAACCCCCATTCTACTGTTATAGTCTTGCAGATTTTTAATTTCAGAAATTGATTTTTTCAGTTTTTGAATTATATATAAAATTATATATATATATATATATATATATAAACTATCTCTGTATCTGTTTAGATTTCCATCTATTTATTTGTTGTGGCAGTATTTTATTTTATTTAATTTAAGCTACTTGTCATTCTTGCTTTAAAATATTTTCCTGCCAGTTACCATATCTGTCCAATTTTCTCCTTTTACACAGAGTTTGAAATCCATTATCTGATTTGGATTATTAGAATGGCCTCCAATTATTCTTCTGCATTCCATTTTAACTCATGTAGAATTCATTCTCCACAAATAGGGTAATCTTATAAAAATTTTTAAAAATAAAACAAAACAATGACACTTCATATCTTACTTAAAATTTTTCCGTGGCATTCCAGTGAATTTAATAAAATTAAAACTTAATATTTGGCCAACAAAGTCAAACACCTGTTCTATCACAAGCCTGCCTCTGTCCACATTTACAATTCTGTTCCTTTTAGAAGAAGAAATCCGTCATCCTGAGCTACACTGGCTTTCTTTCTCTTCCTAAAACACACAAAGCATAGGGTTTTTGCACTAGCTGAAACTTTCTGCCTGAAACCCTCTTCACCCATATTATTTCATGACTTATCCCTTCTAGACTCTGAGTTATTGGTGAAAATGTCATGTCCTCCAAAGGACTACTTGCTGCCTAATAGTTCCTAATTTCTTTATTAGTCTATTCGTTTATTTTGTGGCTTCCTCCACAAGAATATAAGCTCCACAAGAGCAGGGGATTTTGTCTTATTCGTATCATTCTATCTTCAAAGAGGGTAAGAGTACTTGACACATTATTGGCACTCAGTAAGCAATTATTGAATATGCAACATGCAATGATAGGAGTGCCCCAATTAGTATAGAAAATCATAGATACGTCTTTGTAGGAAAAGACACTTGCAGAATTTCAAGTTAGAAAGATTAAGATTTGCTCAGGTGTCCTTTATGTGTGGGCTGAAAAAAAAAAAGTTATTATCCTGAAAAGAATAACACGGTATGAGGGAGTTCACCTTACATGGATAAAGAAGGCTGTGTTGATGACCTCAAAGGAAAAGGCAACACAAGAAACTAAATGTTTATAAGGTAATGTCACTTCTTAGTAAAGCTTGTGTTTAAGACTGGAAGACGGAAGACACTCTTTACGTGGTGTTCCAGCAATCTTGCTTGATAAAAATGTCTTGGTATAAGATCATGAAGAAAAAGTAAGTGTAATTATTAGGATGAAGGGGAGAGAACTTTGCTTTCTAACCAGGGACCTCAGCCAGCTGGAGAACACTTGCTACACTTGACTAGCAATCACTGAACTGTGTATAATCAATGCCCTTTTGTAATCCTGTGATGGTGACCAAAGCAATACTGAAAATAACTATAGTTATCACTAATTATGAGTAGTTATCCCTCCCTCTGATATTTGAAAACATCACTGAATATTTTGGATTGAATAAACCATGCTTGATATTCTTAAATAATTCTGGACACGGATAGTCTCAAGAGAAAAATAATGGACTTCCTGCTAATAAGATCAGAATAAGGTCAATATGATTAAATGGAATCACGTGACTCTATGTGTATCCTAAACTAGTAAATTAGGTTTTTCTAGTTCCATGTAACGTAGAATAATATGCAGTTATTAAAATTATATCGAAACTATTTTATAAAGTTAGATGATATTTAAATGTAATGATAAAAGATTAGATTTCAAAGTCATAAAAACATTCTGATTACACATACACAATATTGAAAAATCACTGAAATGTTATATATTTGGTTGGTGATATGATGCTGGATTTTAGCTTTCTTTTTCATATTTTCCCAATGCATATAATGCAAATTCATGACTCATAATCAGGTAAATAGATTCAAATTAAAAAAATACAAATCACCAGTATTTTCATACCTTTTAACAGCCTACACTTCCAACTACAGGGACTCAGTTTGCCTGAGAATTCAAATAAATAAACACAAGTTACATTAAAAAATACTTGTTTCGATTAATTCCTTCAATTTTACTTGCATAATAATCACAATTCTTAGTTAAATTCATCTGAATACTTTAGTTCTTTGAAATTTGCCTAGTGGTATATTTTAATTTTATCTCATAATCACATGAAATTTGGATATAAAAGATTCTTCAAGTGTGTGTGCATCTGTTTGCTATTCAAAAAAAGGCACTCTGAGGAGTACAATTTTCCATAGGCCATCAGGCATAAAATGCAAGAAATCTTCTGAATTATTGATATGTCAGAGGCATACAATAGTAGCTTACATGATGTGTTTTGTTCCTTTTACTCTGATGTATCAGATTTTGTTTTAATACACTCATAATCTAAGAAGCATTTTGCAATATAATAAATATTTATTTAACCCAACTTTTCTCCATTCCAGCACCCCATTTTTTTATTACTATTTTCATTTATTTATTTATTTTGAGGGGGGAGTCTCTCTCTCTGTCACCAAGGCTGAAGTGCAATGGCACAATCTGCAACCTCCACCTCCCAGGTTCTCGTGATTCTACTGCCTTATCCTCCCGAGTAGCTGGGACCACAGGCACACACCACCAAGCCTGGCTAATTTTTGTATTTTTAGGAGAGACGGGGTTTCACCATGTTGGCCAGGCTAGTCTTCAACTCCTGACCTCAGGTGTTCCACCCACCTTGGCCTCTCAAAATGCTGGGATTACAGGCATGAGCCACTTTCCACAGCCCTATGTTTTCTGTTTTTTGTTTTTTTATATACTTTAAGTTCTAGGGTACATGTGCACAACTTACAGGTTTGTTATATATGTATACATGCGCCACGTTGGTGTGCTGCACCCAGTAACTCGTCATTTACATTAGGTATATCTCCTAATGCTATCCCTCCCCCCTCCCCGCCCACCCCATGACAGGCCCCAGTGTGTGATGTTCCCCTTCTTGTGTCCAAGTGTTCTCATTGTTCAATTCCCACCTATGAGTGAGAACATGCGGTGTTTGGTTTTTTGTCCTTGCGATCGTTTGCTGAGAATGATGGTTTCCAGCTTCATCCATGTCCCTACAAAGGACATGAACTCATCCTTTTTATGGCTGCATAGTATTCCATGGTGTATATGTGCCACATTTTCTTAATCCAGTCTATCATTGGTGGACATTTGGGTTGGTTCCAAGTCTTTGCTATTGTGAATAGTGCCACAATAAACGTATGTGTGCATGTGTCTTTATAGCAGCATGATTTATAATCCTTTGGGCATATACCCAGTAATGGGATGGCTGGGTCAAATGGTATTTCTAGTTCTATATCTTTGAGGAATCGCCACACTGTCTTCCACAATGGTTGAACTAGTTTACGGTCCCACCAACAGAGTTGTCCTTGTCTCTATTTCTGTTCAAGCCCATTTTAGTCAATCTTGAATGATTGCCTCACAAAGCCTTAAGAGCATAATATTTACATTATAGGCATTAATAATAATCAGTAAACATGTTTTATTTATGTGTTATACTTGATTGTCAACACAATAACTGTAGTATTGTCATATAGAATAATATAAAAAGTTACAACTGAATTTCTGAAAAAGCAAAACACAGCTTCTAGCTAATATCTCAAAATTTTGTTTGCCAAAATGTTCATAATAACAGAAAACAAAAAGACCTGTTTCTTTTGACTGTGGAAAGCATATATATTGATCAAATTAAGGAATATGTAATGTGAAAATACAAAATGTAAGTCATTTCAAAAGTGAGAGTTGTGAGATTATTTTCTTCTGAACAATTATTAATTCAGTGCTAACTATAAGATATCAACAGTGATTTGTCCAGCATACAATACTATATCAAAACTTAGTGACCTAAAATAATAGTTTATTATTATTCTCATGCCAATTGGTTGGTCATGATTCATTTAATCTAGGATTGACTCTGTTAACCTTGACTTAGCTAGTCTGTCTTTCTAAGGGTCAGATGGTGGCTCAATTCCTGGTTGTACTTTTGTTGAAAATCTTTGTTTAGGCAGCTCTATTCTATTTGTCTTTGATCTTTCTCCTGAGGCTATGGGCTAGCTCAGGTGTGATCTTCGTTTGTTATTGCCAGGAGTGAGTAAGCCCAGGGGTATGAGCACTTGTTAAGCTGCCTGTGTTACATGTACTAATATCTCACTGGACAAAACAAGCAAAATGTTGCTACCAAGAGGCTAAGAACTGTACTCTAATCCTCAGTAAGAGGATACTGCAAAGTTATGTGACAAAGAGAATGGATATAGCCTGGAATAAAAATTCGGGCCATTAGTCCAATCTACCAGAGAGGGGGAAAGTTAATCATGCCCATTGTATCCTATAAGATAAAGATAAAAATAAAAATACCAATTAAATTATTTCCAATTCAAAATTGTGAACTGTACCTATACACTTACTTCAAAAAATATTAAAGTGAGTATACTAGAGGGAGAGAGAAAGAGAGAGTAATGTTGGGCTCTAATTGAATACAGAAATTCAGATAAATGTTGCAAGATAGGGGAAAGTGATAGGTCAGGCATGATGAATGGAAAACATGATGTCTTGGTGAAAAAAAACATGTGGTTTGGAATTGGGGAGTAATGGTAAGTATAATTAAAAAATTTTGCGTGGGCTAAATTATAGAAACTGGGCCCAACATTTAAAACTAATTTAGGTAAAGTCATTGCAGTTATGTTTAGCAAAATGAAACAGACAAGAATTGGAAGACTACTTGGAAATTGTTGCAATGAAATCAGGTATTAGGTAGCATTGAAGATGAAGAGGAAAAAAACATAAACACAGCATTGAGATTTTTAAAAGAATTCAACAGGATTGATAGCTATCAAGACATAACAATTCATTCCAAGAGGTCTTAAATACCTCAGAAGTGCAAAATGCTACTTGTAAAATTTAAATAGTCTGCATTCTCTGACCTTAATGGGTTTGGGGATTGTACTAGATTTGGAATGAAAAACAAAGCGTTATGCTGTCTTTGTAAAAACTAATATTTTCTAAGGCAATAATGTCTTATATTTCTGGAGATTGTTGGAATCTGATTGTTGGATTAACTGAAAAAAAAATTCTTCCTTATGGCAAACAAACAAACAACAAAAAATAAACACTGCAGACCAATACACCTGATGAATATAGATGCAAAAATTCTCATAAAAATACTAGCAAACCAAATCCAACAGCACGTGAAAAAGATGATCCACCATGAATAAGTGGGTCTTATTTCAAGAGGGCTTAAATACATCAGAAGTACAAAGGATAATTCAACATATGCAAATCAATAAATGTAATGAATCACATAAACAAAATTAAGGACAAAACCATATGATCTCAATAGATACAAAAAAAGTGTTTGATAATATTCTGCATCTCTTCATGAGAAGAAACCCTCAGCAAACTAAGCATAGAAGAAACATATCTCAAAATAATAAAGGTTGCGTATGACAAACCCACAGCATACTGAATGAAGTTGAAAGCATTCCCTCTGAGAACTGGAAGAAGACAAGAATGCCCACTTTCATCACTTCCATTTAACATAGAATTGGAAGTCCTAGCCAGGGCAATTGGAAAAGTGAAAGAAATAAGCAGCACCCAAATTGGAAAAGAGGAAGTCAAAATATCTTTTTTTGTTGACAATATGATCTTACATCTAGAAAAACTAAAGACTCCATCAAAAAACTCTTAGATTTGAAAAATGAATTCAGTAAAATTTCAGCATACAAAATCAACTCACAAAAATCAGTAGGATTTCTATACATTAGTAATTTTCAAGCTGAGAACCAAATCAAGAGGAGAATCCTATTTACAATAGCTAAATAAAAACTAAAATACCTAGAAATATATTTAATCAAGGAGGTGAAAGAGCTCTACAAGGAAAACTATAAAACATTGATGAAAGAAATCATGGATGGCACAAACAAATGGAAAAACATTCCATGATCATGGATCAGAAGAATTAAGATAGTTAAAATGATCATACTGCCCAAAGCAATTTATAGATTCAATGTAATTCCTATCAAAATAAAACATTATTTTTCACAGAATTAATAAAAATAATTTTTACAATATTAGGAAATCAAAACTAAAAGTCCAAAAGCCAAAGCAACTGTAAGTGAAAACAGCAAAGCTGGAGGCATCATATTATCTGACCTCAAATTATACTACAAGCCTATTATAACCATGATCTTTGACAAAGTGGACAAAAGCGTATACTGAGGAAAGGATACCCTATTCAATAAATGATACTGAAAAAATAGATGTTTATATGCAGAAGAATGAAACTGTACCTCTTTTGCCTCTTCATCATGTACAAAAATCCACTCAAGATAGATTAAAGACTCAAATGTTAAGACCTGACACTATAAAAACACTAGAAGAAAACCCAGGTAAACTCTTCTGGACACTGGCTGAGGCAAATAATTCATAACTAAGACCTCAAAAGAACAGCAACAAAAACAAAAATAGGCAAAGGGCACCATATTAAACTAAAAATTTCCCACACAGCCCATGTAATAATCAGCAAAGTGAACAAATGCCCTGCAGAATGGGGGAAAATATTTGCAAACTATCCTTCCAACAGGGGACTAATACCCAGAATCTACAAGGAGCTCAAACAATTCAACAACAAAAGTTAAATAACCATATTAAAAAGTGGTCAAAGGACATTAATTGACTTTTTTTTTTCAAAATAAGACACATAAATGGTCAAAAACCATATAAAAAATGTTCAACATTAGTAATCAGAATAATGCAGATTAAAACCACAGTGAGATATCATCTTACACCAGTCAGAATGGCTATTATTAAAAAGCCAAAAAAGTAACAGATGTTGCTGAGTATGGGGAGAAATGTGAAAGCTTAGAAACTGTTGTTGGGTATGTAAATTAATACATTTATGTAAAGCAGTATGGAGATTCTCGAAGAACTAAATATAGAACTACCATTCCTTCAAGCAAACTCACTACTGGGTATCACCCAAGGGAAAAGAAATGATTTTGTCAAACAGATACCTGCACTCTTCTGCTTATTGCAGCACTAGTCACAGAAGCAAAGATATAGAATCAACTTAAGTGTCCACTAATGGATTACTGAATAAACAAATGTGGTGTACACTTACACACACACACACAAATACTATTCAGCCATAAAAAACTAAAATCATGTCTCTCTCAGCAATATGGATGGAAGTGGAGGCCATTATCTTAAGGAAACAACTCAGAAACCCAAAGTCAAACACTACATCTTCTGACTCATAAATGGGAGCTGATATGGTTTGACTGTGTCCCCACCCAAATCTTATCTTGAACTGTAGCTCCTATAATACCCACATGTCATAGGAGGGACCTGGGGGGAGGTAATTGAATCATAGGGGTAGGATTTTCCACTGCTGCTCTCATGATAGTGAATAAGCCTCATGAGGTCTGATGGTTTCATGAAGGGCAGTTCCCCTGCACACACTCTCTTGCCTGCCACCGTGTAAGATGTGTTTCTGCTCCTCCTTCACTTTCTGCAATGATTGTGAGGCCTCCCCAGCCATGTGAAACTGTGAGTTTATTAAACCTCTTTTTCTTTATAAATTACCCTGTCTCGGGTATGTCTTTATTAGCAGCATGAGAACAAATTAATACAGAAGCTAAATAATGTTTACACATAAACATAAAGTGTGGAATAATATACATCCTATACTGGGAAGTATTGGAAGGTGAATGGGGAGGGAAGAAAAATTACTTAGTGGGTACAATGTACATTATTTAGGTAATGGTTACACTAAAAGCCCAAACTACACCACTGTGCAATATGTCCTTGAAACAAAACTGCAATTGTACCACTCAGGACGTAGGCATGGGCACGGACTTCATGACTAAAATACCAAAAACAATGGCAACAAAAGCCAAAATAGACAAATGGGATCTAATTAAACTAAAGAGCTTCTGCACCACAAAAGAAACAGGCGACCTGTTTAGAGCGAACAGGCAACATACAGAATGGGAGAAAATTTTTGCAATCTACCCATCTGACAAAGGGCTAATATCCAGAATCTACAAATAACTTAAACAAATTTACAAGAAAAAAGCAACCCCATCAAAAAGTGGGCAAAGGATATGAACATACACTTCTCAAAAGAAGACATTTATGCAGCCAACAGACACATGAGAAAATGCTCATCATCATGGATCATCAGAGAAATGCAAATCAAAACCACAATGAGATACCATCTCATGCCAGTTAGAATGGTGATCATTAAAAAGTCAGGAAACAAGAGACGCTGGAGAGGATGTGGAGAAATAGGAACGCTTTTACACTTTTGGTGGGAGTGTGAATTAGTTCAACCATTGTGTAAGATAGTGTGACAATTCCTCAAGGATCTAGAACTAGAAATACCATTTGACCCAGCCATCCCATTACTGGATACATACCCAAAGGATTATATAAATCAAGCTACTATAAAGACACATGCACACGTATGTTTATTGTGGCACTGTTCACAATAGCAAAGACTTGGAATCAACCCAAATGTCCATCAATGATAGACTGGATTAAGAAAATGTGGTATATATACACCATGGAATACCATGCAGCCATAAAAATGGATGAATTCATGTCCTTTGCAGGGACATGGATGAAGCTGGAAACCATCTTTCTCAACAAACTATCACAGGAACAGAAAACAAAACACTGCCTGTTCTCACTCATAGGTGGGAATTGAACAATGAAAACACTTGGACACAAGGTGAAGAACATCACACACTGGGGCCTGTCACGGTGTGGGGAGCTGGGGGAAGGATAATATTAGGAGAAATACCTAATGTAAATGAGGAGTTGATGGGTGCAGCAAATCAACATGGAAAACGTACACCTATGTAACAAATCTGCATGTTGTGCACATGTACCCTAGAACATAAAGTATAATTTTAAAAATTAAAAAAATTAAAAATTTATTCTTTACGACAGTACCTTGGTAATATATTTTATTTATTTATTACAAGTAATAAAAATTATTTGAATCAAATCAGTGAGTGTGTTAGTCAACATTTGGCAAGTATTTATTGAGCTGTTATAGAAGTGGGCACTGTGCTAGATTAATTCAGAGTTCTGCAATTATTATATGACAGGGAAGAATGGAGCTAATCAGACAATTTCAAGCAAATAAGTACACCTAGAAATCTGAGTATCGTGAAAGAAATTCTAGGATATTACGTAGAATACCAGGAGAAATATCTGAATTTCTTGCCTCGTGGGCCAGTGCAACTTACAGAAAGAGTATAACAGAGTGTTTCTCAAACTTATTAAAAAATGTAAATATTCTAAAATGGCAGATAAGTAGAAAATAATATCACAAGTGCTCTTGAAATTAGATTATATTTTTATTTTAAATGTTTTTTTCAAATTCTTCATTTTAACCCCTTGAGCTTAAAAATATAAATACTTATTGCAATTAAGAATGATCAAGTGGGCTTCAACCCTGGGATGCAAGGCTGGTTCAACATATGCAAGTCAATAAACGTAATCCAGCATATAAACAGAACCAAAGACAAAAACCACATGATTATCTCAACAGATGCAGAAAAGGCCTTTGACAAAATTCAACAACACGTCATGCTAAAAACTCTCTATAAATTAGGCATTGATGGGACGTATCTCAAAATAATAAGAGCTATCTGTGACAAACCCACAACCAATATCATACCGAGTGGACAAAAACTGGAAGGATTCCCTTTGAAAACTGGAACAAGACAGGGATGCCCTCTCTCACCACTCCTATTCAACATAGTGTTGGAAATTCTGGCCAGGGCAGTCAGGCAGGAGAAGGAAATAAAGGGCATTCAATTAGGAAAGGAGGAAGTCAAATTGTCCCTGTTTGCAGATCACATGATTGTATATCCAGAAAACCCCATTGTCTCAGCCCAAAATCTCCGTAAACTGATAAGCAACTTCAACAAAGTCTCAGGATACAAAATCAATATACAAAAATCACAAGCATTCTTATACACCAATAACAGACAAACAGAGAGCCAAATCATGAGTGAACTCCCATTGACAATTGCTTCAAAGAGAATAAAATACTTAGGAATCCAACTTACAAGGGATGTAAAGGACCTCTTCAAGAACTACAAACCACTGCTCAATGAAATAAAAGAAGATACAAAGAAATGGAAGAACATTCCATGCTCATGGGTAGGAAGAATCAATATCGTGAAAATGGCCATACTGCCCAAGGTAATTTATAGATTCAATGCCATCCCCATCAAGCTACCAATGACTTTCTTCACAGAATTGGAAAAAAACTACTTTAAATTTCATATGGAACCAAAAAAGAGCCCGCATTGCCAAGACAATCCTAAGCCAAAAGAACAAAGCTGGGGGCATCACACTACCTGACTTCAAACTATACTACAAGGCTACAGTAACCAAAACAGCATGGTACTGGTAACAAAACAGAGATATAGATCAATGGAACAGAACAGAGCCCTCAGAAATAATGCCACATATCTACAACTATCTGATCTTTGACAAACCTGACAAAAACAAGCAATGGGAAAAGGATTCCCTATTTAATAAATGGTGCTGGGAAAACTTGCTAGCCATATGTAGAAAGCTGAAACTGGATCCCTTCCCTATACCTTATACAAAAATTAATTCAAGGTGGATTAAAGACTTAAACGTTAGACCTAAAATCATAAAAACCCTAGAAGAAAACCTAGGCAAGACCATTCAGGACATAGGCATGGGCAAGGACTTCATGTATAAAACACCAAAAGCAATGGAACAGAAGCCAAAATTGACAAACAGGATCTAATTAAACTAAAGAGCTTCTGCACAGCAGAAGAAACCACCATCAGAGTGAACAGGCAACCTCCGGAATGGGAGAAAATTTTTGCAACCTACTCATCTGACAAAGGGCTAATATCCAGAATCTACAATGAACTCAAACAGATTTACAAGAAAAAAACAAACAACCCCATGAAAAAGTGGGCAAAGGATATGAACAGACACTTCTCAAAAGAAGACATTTATGCAGCCAAAAAACACGTGAAAAAATGCTCATCGTCACTGGCCATCAGAGAAATGCAAATCAAAACCACAATGAGATAACATCTCACACCAGTTAGAATGGCGATCATTAAAAAGTCAGGAAACAACAGGTGCTGGAGAGGATGTGGAGAAATAGGAACACTTTTACACTGTTGGTGGGACTGTTAACTAGTTCAACCATTGTGGAAGTCGGTGTGGCGATTCCTCAGGGATCTGGAACTAGAAATACCATTTGACCCAGCCATCCCATTACTGGGTATATACCCAAAGGACTATAAATCATGCTGCTATAAAGACACATGCACACGTATGTTTATAGCGGCACTATTCACAATAGCAAAGACTTGGAACCAACCTAAATGTCCAACAATGATAGACTGGATTAAGAAAATGTGGCACATATACACCATGGAATACTATGCAGCCATAAAAAAGGATGAGTTCATGTCCTTTGTAGGGACATGGATGAAGCTGGAAACCATCATTCTCCACAACCTATCACAAGGACAAAAAACCAAACACTGCATGTTCTCACTCATAGGTGGGAATTCAACAATGAGAACACATGCACACAGGAAGGGGAACATCACACACCGGGGACTGTTGTGGGGGGTGGGGGGTAGGGGGGAGGGATAGCATTAGGTGATATACCTAATGCTAGATGACAAGTTAATGGGTGCAGCACACCAACATGGCACATGTATACAAATGTAACAAACCTGTATGTTGTGCACATGTACCCTAAAACTTATAGTGTAATAATAATAAAAAAAAAGAACAACAACAACAAAAAGAATATAAGGGAAGTTTTTCTACCGTCTTATAACTTAATTAGCATAATGCTACTGAATCATGCTTATCCTTTGTGGAAAAAATGGGAAAATTGAAGACAACTGAATCAATATTGATTTTATTACTTTATACATTTGTTTTCTCACTTGGTGGCATTATAATTCAGAATTTAAAATATCTAAGTATATGTGAACACAAAGGCAGTTTTTTAAATTTATAGATTATGAGAGGCAAATAATTGAGTTGACATGTCTAGACTGATGACAAAATTAATGTTAGTTCAGTATTTTAAAACAAATAGTAGAGTATATTTTAATACATATATTTTTTATTGAGAGTTTATGCCAATCAAATCATGTTGTTTTTCTGAACCATTTGTCTGTCTCTAACCCATCTTAAGAACTAGTCAAAACACATTTTCCAAGAAGAATTAGTACTAAATATGTATTTTATTTTACTATAAACATTACAAAATCAAACATCTCAGTAAATTTTATGCTATTTTATTTATATTGAAGCAAAAATGTTCTGAGAAGGAGACAGAACCAGACTAACCAAATAAAATCCAAATTTTTAAAGTTCGTCTTTCTTTACTGAAAAAAAATTATTTATATAATCAATGAATACCAACCAAGTTTGGGTACCTTGCTGAGCAGTGGGAGTGTATAGGAACAAAGCAGACACTCTGTGCTGTCCTGAAGCCACATATCCACTAGGGGGTCTAAATATTAAATATGTACTCATACAAATAATTGTACAATTAAAACTCAGCTAGCAATTTCATGAGCAAACTTAGGAAGCTATGACACCAAACTTAGGAAGCTATAACATTAGAGGAATCCTACTCTGAATGGGGGGAGAGTTAGGAAAACTTCCCTGGAAAGTCACATTACACTGTGCATTGAAAGAACAAGTAGGATTAACTCAGGTGAGTTATTTGTCTGGGAAAAGAAAGGAGCAGAGGGTAGCATATTGATATCAACACTTGAAATATCATATTTCTAGTAAGTATATTTTCTTAGCTACTCTTTAACATTAAAATTAATAGTGAAACTATGTATCTTATTGAAGTTTTCTACCATTGATTGTAATATGTTATCTCTGTGAAGACAAGTCACAACTAAACACTCATATGGAAAATGTCTAGCAGCATTTTCAGTTAAATCAGTATTTACCCATGAAACAGAGCACACTTTCAAGGTCACACTTTCTTTTCATTACAAATTTCTATATAAGAATACACAGTTTTGTCTTGGAACAATATTTACAATCTCTCTATTACCTACACTAAAAAGATAAAGGGCCAAAACATTTGGTGTAAGGTTTTCCCAATGTGCAAGCCAATAGTTGGTGAAGCATTTAGGGTTTGCAGTGACCTTGAGGTGGGCTACTGCCCCCACAATCATGTCTTTCATAGGGGAGTTTCAATGTACAACAGTTCTTTTTCTCAGGCCACTCCCACTCCCCAGTTGATTTCAGGGACTTACAGTGGAAGGCTTTTGAGCTCACTCTAGTGTTTTTATTTTAAATCACCATGCCTTGTGCAACAGGAGATTGGGCTGATTTGTGGGATTCTATGGACTCTCGTATATAATAAACGTTTCCACTTTTAAAAAGTTAGGCAGGAAATAATAAATTGTTTTTCAGAAAATGGGCTATAGAGTTCTTTGTAAACTTACCCAGAAATGGCACATTATAGATCATTTGTTCCAGTGAACAATAACACGTATCACCCATGTTTTCAAAATTTTACTGTCCGTGCAAATATTATATTTGTGATTTCATGGAATTGATTAATACAAAAGCAGAACTATGATCATTCTATGTATCTGTGTATGTGAGATAAAGCTTATAAAGTTTGCAAGTGGATATAAAATTTTGCCCTTCATGTGACCCTGACTTCTAGAGCCTTGCAACCCTTCCCAGACTTCTTTGAGAAATGGGATTCAGGAAGCAACCAGACACATAGCCAATTTTTTCTTATATGTTTTACTTTGTTCTTCTTGTTTTTCACAGGTACCTTTCAATTTCAACTCATAGAGACCAATAACCTCATCTATTTAGTGATACAGCTCACTCAGGAATAATATCAATACCTATTTTCAGTTCTGGTGATCTTTGTTTTTCAATGTGACATATATGAATCTCACTCCTTCATCATCCACATCTAATACTTTGCCTACTCCTATCAATTTATTATACTAAATATATTATGAATCTTTCTATATCTTACTATCACCACCATTGATATAACCAACTATCACTCTTACCTAAGCTACTGTAGTAGATTTCTTTCATCCTTTTACTTTTACTTTTATCATTTTTGAATTTGTTTTACTTTTACTTTTATCCAATTTTACTTTTATCATTTTTGAATTTGTTCTCAGAAAAGGTTTCAGAGGGGAACATGTTAAACTATGCATGATATCATGCAATTGAATTATTTATGATAGTTGAGGGGTATTGAATTTTTCCTTGGATGATGACCAAGAACTTTATTTTATTTTATTTTATTATTATTATACTTTAAGTTTTAGGGTACATGTGCACAATGTGCAGGTTACTTACATATGTATACATGTGCCATGCTGGTGTGCTGCACCCATTAACTCGTCATTTAGCATTAGGTATATCTCCTAATGCTATCCCTCCCCCCTCCCCCGACCCCACAACAGTCCCCAGAGTGTGATGCTCCCCTTCCTGTGTCCATCTGTTCTCATTGTTCAATTCCCACCTATGAGTGAGAACATGCGGTGTTTGGTTTTTGTCCTTGCGATAGTTTACTAAGAATGATGATTTCCAATTTCATTCATGTCCCTACAAAGGACATGAACTCATCCTTTTTTATGGCTGCATAGTATTCCATGGTGTATATGTGCCACATTTTCTTAATCCAGTCTATCATTGTTGGACATTTAGGTTGGTTCCAAGTCTTTGTATTGTGACTAGTGCTGCTATAAACATACGTGTGCATGTGTCTTTATAGCAGCATGATTTATAGTCCTTTGGGTATATACCCAGTAATGGGATGGCTGGGTCAAATGGTATTTCTAGTTCTAGATCCCTGAGGAATCGCCACACCGGCTTCCACAATGGTTTAACTAGTTAACAGTCCCACCGACAGTGTAAAAGTGTTCCTATTTCTCCACATCCTCTCCAGCACCTGTTGTTTCCTGACTTTTTAAAGATTGCCATTCTAACTGGTGTGAGATGGTATTTCATTGCGGTTTTGATTTGCATTTCTCTGATGGCCAGTGATGGTGAGCATTTTTTCATGTCTTTTTTGGCTGCATAAATGTTTTCTTTTGAGAAGTGTCTGTTCAAGTCCTTCGCCCACTTTTTGATGGGGTTGTTTGTTTTTTTCTTGAATTTACTTGAGTTCATTGTAGATTCTGGATATTAGCCCTTTGTCAGATGAGTAGGTTGCAAAAATTTTCTCCCATTTTGTAGGTTGCCTGTTCACTCTGATGGTGGTTTCTTTTGCTGTGCAGAAGCTCTTTAGTTTAACTAGATCCCATTTGTCAATTTTGGCTTTTGTTGCCATTGCTTTTGGTGTTTTAGACATGAAGTCCTTGCCCATGCCTATGTCCTGAATGGTATTGCCTAGGTTTTCTTCTAGGGTTTTTATGGTTTTAGGTCTAACGTTTAAGTCTTTAATCCATCTTGAGTTAATTTTTATTTAAGGTGTAAGGAAGGGTTCCAGTTTCAGCTTTCTACATATGGCTAGCCAGTTTTCCCAGCACCATTTATTAAATAGGGAATCCTTTCCCCATTGCTTGTTTTTGTCAGGTTTGTCAAAGATCAGACAGTTGTAGATATGTGGCATTATTTCTGAGGGCTCTGTTCTGTACCATTGATCTATATCTCTGTTTTGGTACCAGTACCATGCTGTTTTGGTTACTGTAGCCTTGTAGTATAGTTTGAAGTCAGGTAGTGTGATGCATCCAGCTTTGTTTTTTTGGCTTAGGATTGACTTGGCGATGCGGGCTCTTTTTTGGTTCCATATGAACTTTAAAGTAGTTTTTTCCAGTTCTGTGAAGAAAGTCGTTGATAGCTTGATGGGGATGGCATTGAATCTATAAATTACCTTGGGCAGTATGGCCATTTTCACGATATTGATTCTTCCTACCCATAAGCATGGAATGTTCTTCCATTTCTTTGTATCCTCTTTTATTTCACTGAGCAGTGGTTTGTAGTCCTTCTTGAAGAGATCCTTCACATCCCTTGTAAGTTGGATTCCTAGGTATTTTATTCTCTTTGAAGCAATTGTGAATGGGAGTTCACTCATGCTTTGGCTCTCTGTTTGTCTGTTATTGGTGTATAGGAATGCTTGTGATTTTTGTACATTGATTTTGTATCCTGAGACTTTGCTGAAGTTGCTTATCAGCTTAAGAATATTTTAGGCTGAGACAATGTGGTTTTCTAGATATACAATCATGTGATCTGCAAACAGGGACAATTTGACTTCCTCTTTTCCTAATTGAATGCCCTTTATTTCCTTCTCCTGCCTGATTGCCCTGGCCAGAACTTCCAACACTATGTTGAATAGGAGTGGTGAGAGAGGGCATCCCTGTCTTGTTCCAGTTTTCAAAGGGAATCCTTCCAGTTTTTGCCCATTCAGTATGATATTGGCTGTGGGTTTGTCATAGATAGTTCTTATTATTTTGAGATATGTCCCATCAATACCTAATATATTGAGCGTTTTTATCATGAACGGTTATTGAATTTTGTCAAAGGCCTTTTCTGCATCTATTGAGACAATCATGTGGTTTTCGTCATTGTTTCTGTTTATATGCTGGATTACATTTATTGATTTGTGTATATTGAACCAGCCTTGCATCCCAGGGATGAAGCCCACTTGATCATGATGGATGATCTTTTTGATGTGCTGCTGGATTTGGTTTGCCAGTAATTTATTGAGGATTTTTGCATCAATGTTCATCAAGGATATTGGTCTAAAATTCTCTTTTTTGGTTGTGTCTCTGCCTGGCTTTGGTATAAGGATGATACTGGCCTCATAAAATGAGTTAGGGAGGATTCCCTCTTTTTCTATTGATTGGAATAGTTTCAGAAGGAATGGTATCAGTTCCTCCTTGTACCTCTCGTAGAATTCGGCTGTGAATCCATCTGGTCCTGGACTCTTTTGGGTTGGGAAGCTATCTATTACTGCCACAATTTCAGAGCCTGTTGTTGGTCTATTCAGAGATTCAACTTCTTCCTGGTTTAGTCTTGGGAGGGTGTTTGTGTCGAGGAATTTATCCATTTCTTCTAGATTTTCTAGTTTATTTGCGTAGGGGTGTTTGTAGTATTCTCTGATGGTAGTTTGTATTTCTGTGGGATCGATGGTGATTTCCCCTTTATCATTTTTATTGCATCTATTTGATTCTTCTCTCTTTTCTTCTTTATTAGTCTTGCTAGCAGTCTATTGATTTTGTTGATCCTTTCAAAAAACCAGCTCCTGGATTCATTAATTTTTTGAAGGGTTTTTTGTGTCTCTATTTCCTTCAGTTCTGCTCTGATTTTAGTTATTTCTTGCCTTCTGCTAGCTTTTGAATGTGTTTGCTCTTGCTTTTCTAGTTCTTTTAATTGTGATGTTAGGGTGTCAATTTTGGATCTTTCCTGCTTTCTCTTGTGGGTATTTAGTGCTATAAATTTCCCTCTACACACTGCTTTGAATGTGTCCCAGAGATTCTGGTATGTTGTGTCTTTGTTCTCGTTGGTTTCAAAGAGCATCTTTATTTCTGCCTTCATTTCATTATGTACCCAGTAGTCATTCAGGAGCAGAGTGTTCAGTTTCCATGTAGTTGAGGGGTTTTGAGTGAGTTTCTTAATCCTGAGTTCTAGTTTGATTGCACTGTGGTCTGAGAGACAGTTTGTTATAATTTCTGTTCTTTTACATTTTCTGAGGAGTGCTTTACTTCCAAGTATGTGGTCAATTTTGGAATAGGTATGGTGTGGTGCTGAAAAAAATGTATATTCTGTTGATTTGGGGTGGAGAGTTCTGTAGATGTCTATTAGGTCTGCTTGGTGCAGACCTGAGTTCAATTGCTGGGTATCCTTGTTAACTTTCTGTCTTGTTGATTTGTCTAATGTTGACAGTGGGGTGTTAAAGTCTCCCATTATTATTGTGTGGGAATCTAAGTCTCTTTGTAGGTCACTCAGGAATTGCTTTATGAATCTGGGTGCTCCTGTATTGGGTGCATATCTATTTAGGATAGTTAGCTCTTCTTGTTGAATTGATCCCTTTACCATTATGTAATGGCCTTCTTTGTCTCTTTTGATCTTTGTTGGTTTAAAGTCTGTTTTATGTGAGACTAGGATTGCAACCTCTGCCTTTTTTTGTTTTCCATTTGCTTGGTAGATCTTCCTCCATCCTTTTATTTTGAACCTATGTGTGTCTCTGCACGTGAGATGGGTTTCCTGAATACAGCACACTGATGGGTCTTGACTGTTTATCCAATTTGCCAGTCTGTGTCTTTTAATTGGAGCATTTAGTCCATTTACATTTAAAGTTAATATTGTTATGTGTGAATTTGATCCTGTCATTATGATGTTAGCTGGTTATTTTGCTCGTTAGTTGATGCCTAAAAGAGCTCCTGAAGGAAGCACTAAACATGGGAAGGAACAACCAGTACCAGCCACTGCAAAATCATGCCAAATTGTAAAAACCGTCAAGGCTAGGGTGACCAAGATCTTTAACATAGTTTATAAGGCTCAGGTTATAATACTTTTCCAACTATCTGTCTCATTCCTCCCTAGCCCTTGCTAAGCAACATTCAGCCATATTGGTTTTCTCAGTTTCTGATGTATGCCAGGCTTCTATCATCTGCACCCCTGTGTTCCCAGCACCTGGAAAAATATGTGACATACAGTAGGCACTCAGTACATATTAGTTAAATCAATGAAGGAGAAAATAAATAGATGTTTATTTTTGATAACACTGGTAGGTTTTTTCAGGGCCATTTTGTGATTCCTCAGCCTCTTTCTATACCCGTATCTCTTTGCTTCAATACTATTGGAGACAATTTTGTTGTGCCAGCTCATCTGTTCAACCTGTTCACACATCATAGGTCTATGGATTACTTTTCTTTAAATAACTTACCTAGTGCTGGTCCAATCAGCTGTGGCCGTGGTGAAGGAGTCGCATAGTTAAAAATATGGGCCTTCTCATTACAAGTTTTTGAGTAAAGAAAAAAGCTAAATTACTCATTTGGTTTTTCTACTTTTCTGACTCTTCCTATTCAGTTTGGTGGTGGTGTTGGTCATGGTGGTTCCTTCTCATCTCCCTAACCTCTAATCTTGGGCTCAGTCCTGGATGTCTTGTCACTCACACTACACTGAATTTCTTGGTAATCTAATCAAATCTCATGATTAAAATAAATCTATATACTGACAACTACCAAATATTGTCAGTTTGATGTTACACTGGATTCCAGAGGTAAATAACTAATGGTTTCCTTATATCTTCTTGTCTACTGGCCCCTCCTGACCATTAACAATCTCAGACACGTTATGCTAAATGTTGAGCTCCTCATATATGTCTCAACTATGCTCTTCCTCCTGTCCTCCTCATGTCAGCAAATGGCAACTCTATTATTCCTGCTACTTAATTCAAAAAGCTTCGAATTATTCTTTGTTCCTTTCTTTCTCTCATACCCAATATCCGATCTACCTGCAAACCTTGTTACTGTACCGGCAGAATATATTTGCAACCACTACCAACATGCAGAATTCTTAATTTAAGACACTACCATTGTTCACCCAGTTGGCCTCCCAACTTTCACCATTGTCCCCTTTAGTCTACTGGAAGCATAACAGCAGCTAGAGTGACTCTTTAGAACATCACTCTGTTCATTTCAATCCACCACTTAAAATCCTCCAGTATCATTCCATCTCAATTATATACATCAGATTCCTTACAATAATCTACAATGTTCTGAAATGTTTTTCTGTAATTTTTGTGACCTCATTAACTGCTTTTCTGCTATATGTGCTCTCTGCTCCAAATGCACTGTTCTACTTCTTGCTTTATAAACACACTAGACATTCTCTTCCTTACTTTTCTTTGCTCAGAATGCTTTCCTTTTCTGATATTCTTCACAGCCCCAGGTCTTTAATTAAATGCCATCTTTTCCTCTGGGGCTTTTTTTCATCATTCAATCTAAAATTGCACCCTACCATCTTTCCTGAAACCTTTTATTTTTGTCGTTGTTGTAAAAATTTATTTCATTTCATTTTATTTTAAACTTTTATTTTAGGTTCAGAGGTACATGTGCAGATTGGTTATATAGGTAAATTGTGTGTCAGGGGATTTGGTGTACAGATTATTTTGTCACATTGGTAATAAGCATAGTATCTGATAGGTACTTTTTCAGTCCCCACACTCCTCTCATGACCTTCAAGTAGACCCTGATGCCAAAAGTTCCCTTCTTTGTGTCCATGTGTACGCAACTGTTAGCTCCTACTTGTAAAACAGAACATGCAGTATTTGGTTTTCTGTTCCTGTGTTAGTTTGCTTAGGATAATGGCCTCCAGCTCCATCCATGTTGCTGTAAAAGGCATAATTTCATTCTCTTTTATGGCTGCATAGTATTCCATGGTATATATGTACCACATTTCCTTTCTCCAGTCTGCCATTGATGGGCACTTAGGTTGATTCCATGTCTTTGCTACTGTGAATAATGCTGTGATGAACACATGCATGCACATGTCTTTATAGTGAAAGGATTTATATTCCTTTGAGTATATACCCAATAATGGGATTTCTGGGTCGGGTGATAATTTTGTTTTAAGTTCTTTGAAAAATTGCATTCCTGAAGCTTGTAATCACTTTTTTTTTGCTCATTTTCATTTTTATCAGTTACTACTATATATTATATATTTATATTCCTTTGTTTTCTTCTTAAGAATATGAACTCCATAATGGTAAAGATGTTATAAAGTTTGCTCCTGATATAATGTAAGCACCTAAAACTGACCAGACTATAGTTCACAATGGTGATAAAATACAACACATTTTAAAACTGAAGAATCATTATGATAGGTTACTTTGTTAGGAAAGAGAAGAGGTTTGGATCTGTTGGAGGGAGAAAATAGATGCTCATTTTCTAGCAATTGACTGGATGTGACCTAGCAGAATTAACAGTGCCCATTAACAAACGTATTTATTTGCATTCACAAATTCATAAAAAGGAGAATAGTGCCTCCTAGGAAAAAAAGTTTTCAGACTGTAATTCATAAGTCCCTTTAAGGATAAGAGTTAAATAAACATTACATTGACTGTAGATGGCTCCTGGATTGAAAAGAACCATAAGACTCATCATCAAGTCTCAATAATTAGAGAAGATATCTAGTTGCATGACAGCACATGATGGATGTAGAGCCAATACGGACTTAATCTCCGGATGCTATAAATTATTATTATTATTATTGAGATGGAGTTTTGCTCTTTCGCCTAGGCTGGAGTGCAGTGGGACGATCTCGGCTCCCTGCAATCTCCACCTCCCGGGTTCAAGCGATTCTCCTGCCTCAGTCCCAGGAGTAGCTGGGATTACAGGCACGTGCCACCATACCTGGCTAATTTTTGTATTTTTATTAGAGACGGGGTTTTTTCATGTTGGCCAGGCTGGTCTCGAACTCCTGACCTCAGGTGATCCACCCTCCTTAGCCTCCTATAGTGCTGGGATTACAGGCATGAGCCATCGTGCCTGGCCGTATGCATTAATTTTTATGTTTTTATTTTATAATAGTTTTATATTTACAAAGTGTCAAGTACATTACAGACTTTGTTTACTCAGCACACTGTTTCTCCTGTCATTAGCAATGTGCTACAGTACTGTTGTCAAACTAACTAATATTTGACATATTGTAATGAACTGAAGTCAGATTTAATTTGGATTTCCTTAGTTTTTACCTGATGTCTTTTTCTGTTCCAGGATCCCATATTAACATTTAGTCATCATCTTTGCTTAGCACCCTATTGACTGTGCCAGCTTCTCAGACTTTCCTTGTTTTTAATGTCCTTCACAGTCCGGAGGAATACTGGTAAGATATCTGGAGAATATTCCTCAATTTTGGTTTGTCTTCCTTCAAGATTTTCATTTTTCTTTGATTTTCTGCAGTTTGTATAGAACATGCCTCTGGCGGGTGTGTCTGTATGTAATCCTACTTGATATTTTCTGACCTTCCTGAATCTGTGTTTTGGCATTTATCATTAATTTTAAACAGAATATTTCGGGGTATTTTTAAAAGAAAACCTGACAATCTCTGTCTTTCAACAGGACTCTTTAAATTTTATATTTGAAGTAATTATAGTGATATATTTAGATCAAATTCTACCACTTGTGTAACTATTTTCTATAATCTGCTTTTTTATTTGTTTTAGTCTCCTTTTCCACCATTATTACTTTTTAATTATTTTTCTCTTTGGAAGTTTCTTTTTAATTCATCTTCAAGTTTACTGTTTTCTTAGCTATGTTAAGTTTACTTAAGCCTGTCAAATATTTCTTTGGTTTTTGTTATTCTGACTTTTAATTTCTAGGTTTTCCCTTTTTTCTTTTCTTATAGTTTTCATTTCTCCATTTACATTATCCATCTGATATTACCGGTCTTCTACCTTTTCAATTAATGTCCTTAACATATTAGTCATAATTTTTTAAAATTCCTTGTCTAATAATACCAACATCTGTGTCATATTAGAATCTGGTTCTGGTGGTTGCTTTATTTATTTGTATTTTGTTTTTTTTTTCTGGTTCTTTTGCATGTCTTGCAATGTTGTCTTGAAAGTAGAAATAATGTATCGAGAAGTAAGTGCTGGGGGTGAATGAGCCTCGAGTGAGCTGATTTTTGTTAATATGGCTGAGTTGAGCTGTGTTTCATGTTTGTTGTCGACATAGGTACAAGATGTTAAATTCCTCTAATGGGTTTATTTCTGACTCTCCTTTTGATTTTCTTATTTCCTTTTTCACTGTTCCTCAGAGAAAGTCTGTGTCTTGTAACTCTTTCAGTTATAATCTATTATAATATTAGAGGCTTGCTGGCATGGTGGAAGGGTGTGGGGGACAGAGACCTCTCTACCATCTCCTGATTAAGTCTTCACCTTTTAGTGGGCCTCTGACATGAAGATGTGGACTTTCAAATATTTCTCTCCCTCCTCCAGAACACATTGGTATTCATTTCCCTTAGAAGTATTTGTTAAAGACAAGATTCTGGGAGGGTTTCACTGTGGTTGAAGAGGGGATCTTTATCAGATCCTCACCATGAAGTCCTAGTAGCATTCCTGAAAAGGTGGTGTAAACCCACTGCCCATCATCTCATGATTGCAGCCTTCCTGGAGTTTCTCACTTGTGCTAGTCCCTACACAGCCCACCAGCAATTCAACATGAGCATGTCAGTGTTCCTACTAGTTTTTGGCTTCAAGTGTCCTCTGCCTCTAGTTAACAATTCTTGGGAGTTGTATATCTCTATATTCTAGATTGCCCAATCTCTCCAAATTTCTCAGTGGCAGTTTGCCCTGAGACCTAGATTCTCTGAAGGGTTCAAGAAAAGTTCTTGACTTTTAGTTTGTACAGAATCATCTTTATAAGAGTGAGGAGTTCTAAGGTCTCTATTTTTTGGAAGTAAAATTGAGACTTCTCATGCATTTATCTTGGGGAAAATGTGTCTATAGATTTGACCTAATAAGACCTATGTCACTAAATATTGTAAACAGTCATTAGCTTGGCCTTTTGAATCATTGTAGAGGGTATCACAAGATCGGTGAATTTTACAGTGGCAGCCTCAGGGGTAGTCTTGATTCCAGTACTGAGCCTAGTCAGAAGGATATAACAATGTAATGAGAGACTTAGAAATCAGAATGCAAGGCTTTCAGTGATCAGCAGTACAGAATGTAGGCTGAGAAACTCAATGAGAGACAGTAGGGTATAGAAGGTAAAATATTCAGGTTAACATGCAATAGCAATTTTTAAAAAACTAAAAATGTATCTAGGTTTAGGTCTTTTTCTCTCTGATATTTTTTCTTTAAATAAAGATATAGATCATAAAAGTATATTATTTGGAAGAAGGTCAGTGGGATAGGTTTTTCTCACTTCATAACATAATGTATCATGCTATAGATAACAGTGTTTCATTGGTTAATATCATGACATATATTTAAGAAAGCTCTAGAAGTTTCTAATTTTTTGTAAGATATCCATTAAGTAGAGTACCAAATGAGTTAATTCAGGAATGTTGATTATCAAACACTTAAAAACTTGACATGATAATATCTGAAAGTCTTCAAACTTGGCTGTACAGGGGTCTCTTCATACATCTATCAATTTATTGATTAACTTTATTAAAAATACAAAATATTTGGGAGCACAGTTCACTACACTCTAGTTATCTACAGATTTTTTTTCAGGTTAAATTACTGTGAACTAAATAGTCACTAATATTGAACTGAAAACAGTATTATTGAAGCAAGCATTTTTTGTTGTTGTTGTTTTTTTTTTTTTTTGAGACGGAGTCTTCCTCTGTCACCCAGGCTGCAGTGCAGTGGCATGATCTCGGCTTACTGCAAGCTCCTCCTCCTGGGTTCATGCCATTCTCCTGCCTCAGCCTCCCAAGCAGCTGGGACTACAGGTGCCCGCCACCATGCCTGGCTTATTTTTTGTATTTTTAGTAAAGATGGGGTTTCACCGTGTTAGCCAGGATGGTCTCGATCTCCTGACCTCGTGATCTGTCCACCTCAGCCTCCCAAAGTGCTGGGATTATAGGCATGAACCACCGTGCCTGGCCAAAGTAAGCCATTTTTAATGAAACTACTGGAGGAATGCACTTTAACAATCCTTTTGAAAATTGACTTGTTTGATTTTAAAACAAAGAAACTAATTTTCAATGACTAGGAAATAGTGAAATTATGGCCAGAGTAAGAAAGTGTGGCTTAATACATAAGTAGAAATGTGCTATGCGTCATTGTATGATGACAGGACCTAAAATAACAAAGACGCTAATCAAGATTAACCTGATATGAAAAGTATCAGGCCTTAAAAGTATTTTATGACTTTCTTCTGAATCCTATTTGTACCAGATGGAATAGTTACATAGAATTACACAAAGTTTTCTAAAGAAAATGTAATTGGACAGTGACCATATGTTTTGTTTCTGCTTTCCACCAATCCTTTGTTACAGGAACATTGGTTTCACATTATTTTCCTAATCAATATCTATCACAGCAGTCTTAATTGAAATACTTCCTACCTTATCTTTTTTGTTGTTTGTTTGTTTTTGAGATGGAGTCTTGCTCTGTCTCCAGGCTGGAGTGCAGTGGCACAATCTTGGCTCACTGCAATCTCTGCCTCCCGGTTTCAAGCAATTCTCCTACCTCAGACTCCCGATTAGCTGGGATTACAGGTGTGCACCACCACACCCAGCTAGTTTTTGTATTTTTAGTAGAGACGGGGTTTCACCATGTTGGCCAGGATGGTCTTGATCTCCTGACCTCGTGGGCCACCTGACTCAGCCTCCCAAAGTGCTGGGATTACAGGCATGCGCCACCATGCCTGGCCTCTTCCTAACTTATCTTATTCAGGTCTAAATTTTACCTTTTCTTGGAGACCAACATAATTATACCTTTTCCATGAAGACTCTTCAGTGGTCTTTTATACTATCTGTAGCTATTTTTTACTGCTCTGAATTTTATCTGCTCAGAACTTGCTGCTTTGTAACAGCATCTTCTTATTTGCATATTGTTTCTGTGCGGGCCAAATAGGAATGCTTCAAAGACAGATATAGACAAAGAATTGCTGCTAGTGGAGATTCAACTTTTTTCAAAAAATTCACATTTTTTTTTGTTTTTAATAAATTTATTTCTTTGGATCATGACAGTTATAATTTTAGAAATCTTATTTTCTTTTTTTTTGAGACGGAGTTTTGCTCTTGTTGCCCAGGCTGGAGTGCAGTGGTGCTATCTCGGCTCACTGCAACCTCTGCCTTCTGGTTTCAAGAGTTTCTTCTGCCTCAGCCTCCAGAGTAGCTGGGACACACAGGGGCCCAGCCAAGATGGCCGACTAGAAGAAATAGCATTTCAAGTCTCCCGTGGAAATAAAACATAACTGGCAGTAAAAATATCCAGGTTCTGTCATCGAAATTGACTAGAAGGCTCACGTGACCCACAGAGAGAAAGAAAAACAGTGTGGTGTGACAGCCGACCTGACAGCCATATGAGGAAGGGGAACCCCCTACTCCTGGCCAAGGGAGGCAGTGAGTGGGCACGGTACCCAGCCGGGGAACCTGTGCTTTTTCCAGGGAACTGTGGAACCCACGGATTGGAAGATTCTACTCGTAAACGCACACCACTGGGGCCTAGCATCTCAACCCCAGAAAGTGCAGATTCTTACAGCCTTTCAGCTAGAATCTACCTAACTCCCAGGAGGAGGGGTGACCAGCACCTGCTGCAGCTCCCTGCGGTCTAAGCCATTTGAGCTCCTTGGGGGAGGGGCAGCTGCCAGCACTGGGACTCACAGCTGCCTAACATGCTAAGCTCTCTGGGCGGGGGAAGGGCAGCACCCATTTTTATAGCTCCAGGTGCACTTTTCCCCTGTTGGGGCCAGGGAAGCTTATGGCTTTGTCCAAAGATTTGCCCCCACAGCCCAACACACTGGCTGTGGCAGTCAGTGGCCAGAGTGCCTCTTCAGGTCTAACCCTGACCCATCATTTAAAAACTAAAAGGCAGAAATGAAATCCACAGGCAGACACCCTGGCGCCATGCCCTAGGCCTGGTAGTTAAAGATGGACCCCTGACCTAACAGGTTATGTTATCTATAGATTCCAGACATTGTATGGAAAAGCACTGTGAAAATCCCTGTCCTGTTCTGTTCCAATCTGATTACCAGTGCATGCAGCCCCTAATCACGTACCCCCTGCTTGCTCAATCGATCACGACCCTCTCACACAGACCCCCTTAGAGTTGTGAGCCCTTAAAAGGCACAGGAATTGCTGACTCAGGGAGCTCAGCTGTTGAGACAGGAGTCTTGCCAATATTCCCGGCCGAATAAACCCCTTCCTTCTTTAACTTGGTGTCTGAGGAGTTTTGTCTGTGGCTCATCTTGCTACAGTAGTTCTGAGGGATCTGGGCAGCCCAAACAAGTGTGTTTTCCCCCAGTGAAGCACAGGCTCTCCCCCAAGGGACAAAGTGCTTTGTTAAATGGGTCCTATTCCCCGTGCCATCCAACTGGATGAGACAGTCCAACAGGGGTTGTCAGACACCCTATACAGGAGCAATCTTACTAGCATCAGGTTGGTGCTCCTCAAGAGCAGAGGTCCCAAAAGAAGGAGAAGGCACCCATTTTTGCTGTTCTCCAGCCTCCTTAAATGACATCTCTGGGCATAGGAGTGAATGAGATGAAAAGGGCCTGAAGTGAAACCCCAGAAAACTGCAGCAGACCTACAGAAGACGGACCTGATTATTGAAAGAAAAACAAGCAGAAAGCGACAACAAGAGCATCAACAACAAACACAAAAAAGGCCCCCACAAAAACCCCAGCCAAGGGTCAGCAGCCTCAAAGACTGAAACTAGACAAACTCATGAAGATGAGAAATAATCGGTGAAAAAATGCTGAAAACCTAAAAGGCCAGAGTGCCTCTTCTCCTTCAAATGATCGAAACATCTCTCCATCAAGGGCCCAGAACTGGATGGCGGATCAGATGGATGAATTTTCAGAAATA
This sequence comes from Homo sapiens, assembly GCF_000001405.40. Lineage (NCBI taxonomy): Eukaryota > Metazoa > Chordata > Mammalia > Primates > Hominidae > Homo > Homo sapiens. The sequence goes on from NC_000004.12 coordinate 66,267,472, forward strand.
GGCTTCAGAAGATGGGTAATACAAAACTATGCTGAGCTAAAGTAGCATGATCTAACCCAATACAAAGAAGCTAAGAGCCTTGATAAAAGGAAGGAAGAATTGCTAACTAGAATAACCAGTTAGTGAGGAGTGTAAACGATCTGGTGGAGCTGAAAAGCACAGCACAAGAACTTTATGAAGCATACACAAATATCAACAGCTAAATTGAACAAGTGGAAGAAAGGATGTCAGAGTTTGAAGACCACCTTACTGAAATAAGACATGTAGACAAGAATAGAGAAAAAAGAATGAAAAGGAATGAACAAAGCCTCCAAGAAATATGGAACTTCATAAAGGACCAAACCTACGATTGATTAAAGTACAAAAAGAAGAGGAGGAGAATGGAAAACACACTTCAGAATATTAACCAGGAAAACTTCAGGAAATACAGAGAACACCATTAAGATATTCCATGAGAAGAGCAACCCCAAGACACATAATCATCAGATTCTCCAAGGTCGAAATGAAGGAAAAGCTGTTAAGCTCAGCCAGAGAGAAAGGCCAGGTCACCTACAAAGGGAAGGCCATCAGACTAACAGTGGCCCTCTCAGCAGAAACTCTGCAAGACTGAAGAGACTGGGGGCCAAAATTAAATATTCTTAAAGAAAAGATTTTTCAACCCAGAATTTCATATCCAGCCAAACTAAGCTTCATAAGTGAAGAAGAAATAATATCCTTTCCAGACAAGCAAATGACGAAGGATTTGGCTACCACTAGGCCTGCCCTGGAAGAGCTCCTGAAAGAAGCACTGCATATGGAAAGAAAAAACAGGTACCAGCCATTGCAAAAACACACCAAAATATAAACACCAATGACACTATGAAGAAGCTGCATCAACTAGTGTGCAAAATAACCAAATAGCATCATGATAACAGGATCAAATTCACAAATAACAATACTAACTTCAAATATAAATGGGCTAAATGCCCCAGTTAAAAGATGCAGACTGGCAAATTGGATAAGGAGTCAAAACCTATCAATGTGCTGTATTCAGGAGACCCATCTTAGGTGCAAGGACACAGGCTCAAAACAAAGAGATAGAGGAAAACTTACCAAGCAAATAGAAAACAAAGAAAAAAAGCAGGGGTTGCAATTCTAGTCTCTGACAAAACAGACTTAAACCAACAAAGATCAAAAAGACAAAGAAGGGCATTATATAATGGTAAATGGAATAATTCAACAAAAAGAGCTAACTATTCTAAATATATATGCACCCAAAATAGGAGCACCCAGATTCATAAAGCAAGTTCTTAGAGACTTACAAAGAGACTTAGACTCCCACAGAATAATAGTGGAAGGCTTTAACACACCACTGTCAGTATTAGACAGATCAATGAGACAGAAAATTAACAAGGATACTCAAAACTTGAACTCATCTGTGGATCAAGTGGAGCTAGTAGATGTCTACAGAAGTCTCTACCCCAAATCAACAGAATATACATTCTTCTCAATGTCACCTGACACTTATTCTAAAATCAACCACATAACTGGAAGTAAAGCACTCCTCAGCAAATGCAAAAGAACTGAAATCATAACAAACAGTTTCTCAGACCACGGTGAAATAAATTATAACTCAGGATTAAGAAACTCACTCAAAACTACATAATTTCACAGAAATCGAGCAAGCTCCTCCTGAATGACTCCTGGGTAAATAATGAAATTAAGGCAGAAATCAAGAAGTTCTTTGAAACCAATGAGAACAAAGAGACAACATACCAGAATCTCTGTGACACAGCTAAAGCAATATTAAGAGGGAAATTTCTAGCACTAAATGTCCATATCAGAAAGCTAGAAAAATCTCAAATTGACACCCTAACACCACAATTAAAAGAGCTTGAGAGGCAGAAGCAAGGTTATTCAAAAGCTAGCAGAAAACAAGAAATAATTAAGAGAAGAGAAGAACTGGAGGAGATAGAGACAGGAAAACCCTCAAAAAAATCAATGAATCCAGGAGCTGTTTTTTTAAAAAAATTAGCAAAATAGATAGACCACTACTAGACTAATAAAGAAGAGAGAGAAGAATCAAATAGACACAATAAAAATGATAAAGGGGATATCACCAATGACCCCACAAAAATACAAACTGGCATCAGAGAATATTATAAACACTTCTACCCAAATAAACTAGAAAATCTAGAAGAAATGGATTAATTCATGGACGCATACACCTTACCAAGACTAAATCAGGAAGAAGTTGAATCCCTGAATAGACTAATAACAAACTCTGAAATTGAGGCAGTAATTATTTCCTACCAACCAAAAAAGCTCAGGGCCAGAGCTGAATTCCACCAGAAATAGAAGGAGAGCTGGTATCATTCCTTCTGAAACTGTTTCAAACAATTGAAAAGGTGGGACTCCTCCCTAACTCAATTTATGAAGCCAGCATCATCCTGATACCAAAACCAGGAAGAGACACAGCAACAAAACTTCAGGCCAATATCCCTGATGAACATCAATATGAAAATCCTCAATAAAATACTGGCAAATGAAATCCAGGGGCACATAAAACAACTTTTCCATCACAATCAAGTTGGCTTCATTCCTGGGATGCAAGGCCGGTTGAACATATACAAATCAATAAACGTAATTCATCTCATAAACAGAACCAAAGACAAAAACCACAGGATTATCTCAGTAGATTCAAAAAAGGCTTTTGATAAAATTCAACATCCCTTCATGTTAAAAACTCTCAATATACTAGGTATTGATGGAAAATATCTCAAAATTATAAGAGCTATTTATGTCTAACCCACAGGCAATATCATATTGAATGGGAAAAAGCTGGAAACATTCCCTTTGAAAACTGGTACAAGACAAGAATGCCCTCTTTCACCACTTGCATTCAACATAGTATTGGGATTTCTGGCCATGGCAATCGGGTAAGAGAAAGAAATAAAGGGTATTCAAATAGGAAGAGAGGAAGTCAAGTTGTCTCTGTAGGCAGATGACATGATTTTATATTTAGAAAACCCCATCTCTTCCAGCCCGAAAATTTCTTGAACTGATAAGCAAACTCAACAAAGTCTCAGGATACAAAATCAATGTACAAAAACCACAAGCATTCCTTTACACCAACAATAGCAAGCAGAGAGCCAAATCATGAATAAACTCCCATTCACAATCACTACAAAGAGAATAAAATACCTAGGAATGCAGCTAACAAAAGATTTTAAGAACCTCTTCAAGGGGAACTACAAACCACTACTCAAGGAAATAAAAGAGGACACAAGCAAATGGAAAAACATTCCATCCTCATGGATAGGAAGAATCAATATCGTGAAAATGACCATACTGCCCCCCAAAATTTATAGATTCAATGTTATTCCCATCACACTATCATTCACATTCTTCACAGAATTAGAAAAAAATATTTTAAATTTTATATGGAATCAAAGAAAACCTCGTATAGCCAAGACAATCTTACACAAAAAGAATAAAGCTAGAGGCATCATGCTACCTGACTTCAAACTATACTACAAGGCTACAGTAACCAAAACAGCATGGTACTGGCACCAAAACAGACATATAGACCAATGGAGCAAAACAGAGACCTCAGAAATAACACAACACATCTACAACCATCTGATCTTTGATAAACCTGACAAAAACAAGCAATGGGGAAAGGATCTCCTATTCAGTAAATGGTTCTGAGAAAACTGGCTAGCCATATGCTGAAAACTGAAACTGGACCCTTTCCTTACACCGTACACAAAATTAACTCAAGATGGATTAAAGACTTGATGTAAAATCCAAAACCATAGAAACCCTGGAAGAAACCTCAGGCAACACCATTAAGGACATAGGCATGGGAAAGACTTCATGACCAAAACACCAAAAGCAATTGCAACAAAAGCCAAAATTGACAAATGGGATCTAATTAAACTAAAGAGCTTCTGCACAGCAAAAGGAACTAGCATCATAGTGAACAGGTAACCTACAGAATGGGAGAAAGTTTTTACAATCTACCCACCTGACAAAGGTCTGTTATCCAGAATTTACAAGGAACATAAACACATTTACAAGAAAAAAAGTAACCCCATCAAAAAATGGGCAAAGGATATTAACAGACACTTCCCAAAGAAGATATTTACATTGCCAACAAACACATGAATAAAGCTCAACATCAGAGAAATGCAAATGAAAACCATAGTGAGATACCATCTCACGCCAGTCAGAATGGCAATTATTAGAAAGTCAGGAAACAATAGATGCTGGCAAGGCTCTGGAGAAAAAGGAACGCTTTTACACTTTTGGTGGGAATGTAAATTAGTTTAGCCATTGTAGAAGACAGTATGGCAATTTCTCAAGGATCTAGAACCAAAAATACCATTTGACCCAGCAATCCCATTACTTAGTGTATACACAAAGGAATATAAATCATTCTACTCTAAAGACACATGCCCATGTATGTTAATTGCAGCACTATTTACAATAGTAAAGACCTGGAACCAACCCAAATGCCCATCAATGATAGACTGGATAGAGAAAATATGGTACATATACACCATAGAATACTATGCAGCCACAAAAAGGAATGAGATCATGTCCTTTTCAGGGACACAGAAGAAGCTGGAAGCCATGGTCCTCACCAAACTAACACAGGAACAGAAAACCAAACCCTGCATATTCTTTCTCATAAGTGAGAGCTGATCATTAAGAACACATGGACACAGGGAGGGGAACGTCACACACCAGGGCCTGTTGGGGGTGGAGGGTGAGGGGAGGGAACTTATAGGACGACTCAGTAGGTGCAGCAAACCACCAAGGCACATGTATACCTATGTAACAAACCTGCATGTTCTGCACATGTATCCTGTTTTTGTTTTGAAGAAATAAAGAAAAAAATAAGGTTAATCCTACCTTGGGGTTTCTAACATGGTAGTGACAGGAACTTCCAGATGGGAGAAACAACCCCAGGTAACAGAACAATTTATTCAGCTATTAGTGCAAAGAAAGTGTATTTACCACTACCTTGATTTCCACACTCAATTCCAATCCCAATTGTAGTAGTATATTCACATTATTGTGATACTTTTTAAGGTATTCCTTCAATTACACATAATCAAAAATAAGAGTCTTCGTAATTACAGTATTGGGTAAGAATTAATACTCATTTGACAAAAATAAAAAAAAAAAATGATGTACTTCCACTTCTGTTAGGTTTGGTTTTGAATTGGCCCCTAGTTTCATTATCCCTTTCTTTCCATCAAGATATATATTTTCTATTCATACTAGTTGTTTCATTTGAAAAATCAGGAAAATATTTGTAAATCAATAAGATTTTGCAGAGAGAAAATTTTGTCAGACTTTTGCATAGCCTTCTGGATGGATATGTTTATGCCATTTCTTTATCCCTGGGAGGAAAATTAAACAATAGTGAGAACATTCCATTATTGTCACTCTAAGTTTTCAGAATAAAGCTGAGGAGTTCTGAATTTATGAAAGAATGTTTTATTCAAGAAACTCAAAAACTCTAAGTCTATTATGTAAAGTAGAAAGTAAGCTGAATAAACAGAGAAAGTTGAATTTCCACCCAGCCTGTCTAGTCTTCTGTTTTAAATACAGTCTTTACTTATGGGCCTTTTTCACATAGTGGTATGTGTTTTCATTGGACATTGATTACTATTATTGTAGGGCTAGTTTGGATCAAATCTCCTTCCCACAACAAATTTCCTATCAGAGCTAATGGGTTTGCAGCTCATTTATAATGATCATAGTGGCAGGAATTTAGCTGATATTTCCAAACACTCAATAGGAGTGGTTTTTCCACTCTCCTGAGTGCCTCTCAGCTGCAGGTAAAGAATGTTACAGCTGGATGAGAGAGCTAATTAGAGCCAATTATAGCTTGAGTGACCAGCAACGGCATTAAAATGTCTGGCAGAATCTACCTTGTCCTTGTAACACAGAGGTTTTGTATCTTTACAAATACTGTCTTGGAACATTAAACATTTTGTAGAATTGCAGGTAATAAGCACTTAAATTTAATAATCAAAAGAAGCATTGCCAAAGTAATCCTGAAAGTAGGACTTCACTAGACAAAATTATACATTGACTGCCAAAGTCATCTCAAAATTAACAGTAAATTTCAGATACTTAATGAGAAGCATTGAAGTTCTATAACAAATTTGAACTTAATGAATCCAGTGACCTGAATTTAATTCAACATGTGTATTCATGTTTTCTCATATGAGACACATTGTCTTAGTATTTTGGAGGAGCTATTGGCAGTCTGTCTTAATTTTACTTTACTTATTTTGTTCCAGTAGGATACACCAATCCTTTGATGAGTGGGAATGTTTTTGGATAACATTTTATTCCTATCCATTCAGTTCACAAGAATGTAGAACTTCATCTGGCCCTTGGAAAGTGGGGAAGGTTGTGTAGGCAGAAGAAGGGTCAAATCATTTTATCTTATATTTTTATAGCTTTTGTTTGAAAAAAATGATATGATGACAAATAGAAGCAGAATACTTCTAAATATTAAATTAAAATTTTGAAGAGACACTGAAGCTATTACATTATATTTAAAATGCAGTTGTGCAAAATTATATTTTTAATCTACCTAATTATTCATCTGTTGTGAATATAGCTATCTCAAAAATTATAGTACTGTGTTCTATAATATCCAGATGTTCCAAATAATGATTAGAAGTAAACATGAGTACATTTTTGAAATATGTCTTTAAAGGGCTAAAAATTGAAAATATCATAAATAGGAAATACATAAAACCATTTTATAATATGCTTTATGCTTGAAAGGTGAATAGTAGGTATAGAAAATTATATGAGAAATTTCTACTGCTTAACTAGTTCAAAATTTAAAATGCAAAGCCTACATTTATTATAATTAGGTATATTTATAATGCACCATTTTCTGAAAGTCATGGTAACAGTATATAGCCATAATTTATAAGGGAGTAATCAATAATTTCTGATAGGTTGAACACAGCAAAATCAATTAGCATCTATATAGAAACAAAAATTGTTTTTCTGGTATGCATTTCTAAACAGCTTTAAAGACTACACGATGAAAATGCACTTCATGGAATTGTTCGTCCTTACTCAAATTCAATTCCAGTTATGACCCTGAGAGATGATTAGTAAATTCAACTTTTTAATTAGCATTTTGCATAATTCATTGAAATTATAATGCACTCATGCATTTGATTGTCAAGGTGCAGATGTGCTAATATGAGGCTATAATTTTCTCATCTAAATAACACTTTTAGTAAAACCTCCAATTTCTCACAATTCTATTATATAAGACCTATTATTGCTCATTTTTAAAAAATGAGTTCAGTTGGATTTTGAAGTCAGCTTGTATTGTTACAATGGATTGCTCAGGATACTAAGGACCAAAATAAACTAACTTTTTAAAAAAAATTATTTATTCCATTTTGGTTAATACTACTTGATCACAGTTAAAACAACTTTTAAATGTACCAAGTAGACTTTATGGATTTATAAATTATATCCAAATAGACCCAAATAGAAATTATAAAATAAAAAATTAAAGGGATGCTGTTTTTTCATTTTATTTCTCTGAAGAAGTATGGGCACAATAATCATAGACTCTTCACCACAGGATGTTCCGGTGAAATTAGCGCTAAACCAAAAACACAGGCTTTTATTTAATGTGTGGTTTCATGAGATGAACCTTGGTACTTAAAAAAATAATTGATTGATATCTTTCTCAAAGCTTCCCAAAGTTTTCCCAAAGGTGTATCTATTTACATTGAATTTTAGTGCTTGTTTTCATATAAATCACAAGCTCCTATCCACTGGGGAGCTTTGCTTCATCAACTCTATAGAAAATGAGAAAAAAAGAAGTAAAATATGGAATGTGGCTGTTCAAAGAAATGGCAGGATGCACTAGAACATTGTTTTCTTTCTGTACACCAGACAGATTGTTAGAATGAATTAAATGTTTCCAAACGAGGTGAGAGAACTTGCAAACCAGAATTCCTGGCCGTGAGTCCTATTTACAAATGAGGTAAACTGCCTGGAATCAAGCAACCAAACACGTGATGGTTGCTGCCTACTCTGCCAGCATAGATGTTTGTGCTGTCGGTCCTGAGAACACTGGCCAGCAAAATTGCTATTATTGCAAACATGTGTGGCAATGCTGAATGAGATTTCTAAGGAATTGTGTGGTAGAATGAATATTAGTGTTTGGGACAAATGCTTTCTTAGGACATAATTTAAAAAACACTTCCTACATTCCCAAACTCTGCTGTACAGAATGTTTATTACATGGATAGTAGTATAAAGAGACCACTGTGTTACTCCTGGCATGGCCTACATAAGTCCCTAGTAGGCAATCCCTCACAGCAATTTTATAGCATCTGGCTCTAGGTAGCTCATAAAACAAAGTGAAGCATTGCAGTCATGGCAATGCTGATGAGCTGAGATTGGCTCATGTTGAGTTCCACTGTTGTACTTCCAAGTGGTATTATACTGTGTCTCATGATTCTTTCATGCTAGGAAATTTTTTTTGTCTTTACTTATTAATGTTTGTATAAAAGATTGAAGTGACTGGCATATTTGTTTGATAATACCTGTGTTAACTTAAAATGTAGTGGATGAAGGTTCTAAAGTTCCCAGAAATTGCCAAGCATTTGGAAATAATCATTTTAAAAATGGTAATGTGGAATTTTATTTTCAGAGGCTATGAAGGTTACTTCTAAATAAGAAAGAATTTGATAAAAACTATGCTTCTCCCTCCCCCAAATCTGTTTTCATGTAAAAGACAAATAAATGATGACTTCCCCCACCCCGCAAAAAAAAAATTTTTTTTTGAACTATGCTTCACTAAGACCTTAAGTGTAAGTTTACAATCCTAAATTGTATCTTAGGTGGACTTCCTAATTGAATTATTTGTATCATTTTCATGCATACATTCATTACTTTTAACTTCATTCAATGATTTTTATTTTTAATAATTATGTGAAAATCAGCAATGGTTAACTTTAGGTGTCAACTTGACTAGATTAAGGAATACTTAGCTGGAAAAGTATTGTTTCTGGGTGTGTCGGGGGGGGTGTTTTTTGAGGAGATTGATATGTGAGTCAGTGGATTGAGTGAGGAAGATTCTCCCTCAGTGTAGAAAGGAACCATCCTATTTGGGGTTCCAGATGGAAAACAAAGTCAAAGGAAGGACAAACTATTGCTCTCTTTCTTGCTTCCAAAGCAAGAGGCTCTTCTATTCCTGCATTTGAATATCAGAACTCCAGTTCCTCCAGCTCTTGGACTCTGGGGCTCACAACAGCAGCTCTGTTTTGGGGCCTTTGACCTGGGACTGAATTCATACCACTGGATTGCCTAGACCAGGGAAGCCAGTTGGCATGGCTCAGTCCAAGTCTGACCACCTGAGGAATGCCTGGACTGAGCCGTGCTACTGGCTTCCCTGGTCTCCAGCTTGCAGATGGCCTATCATGAGACTTCTCAGCCTCCATAATCATGGGAGCCCATTCCGCTAATAAATCTTCTCTAATGTAACTATCTCCATATCCTATATGTTCTACCTCCCTAGGAACCCTGACTAACAGTCATTAACCTTTAACAGTACATTTCAAACGATGAAGCTCTTCGGATTCCAAATATACTTAAGAAGACTTTCTAAATACCATTCAAATGAAAAGATAAAGCCAAAAATTTATAGTACCACTTAGAAATGAGGCCGAAATTTATGGGACATCATTGTAATATTTTCCTGATGAATATTTCCAGAAAAAATTTCATTTAAGGAGTGATTGCATTTTAAAAAGAAGATGCATGGAAGGAACAATGAGGATAACATGAAACACACTTGCAGCATATTGTGGTGTATATAAATTATACTCCCGGACACTTCCTAGTTTGGTAACAAGTTTCATGTTCTCCAAGTTTCCTGTTAATCAGCAATGTTTGAAACAATTTGGTTGCTTCACTGTATAATGTTTCCAAGAAAACTAAAGCCTCACTAATGTACACATAGCTCTCAAAAGAAGACGTGTATATGCATTAGATTCCACTGTGGTTATATGAGCATCCTAGGACATTAAAAAAAGGAAATTACATAGAGAAGTCTCAGTGTGCTACTTTTTGAAGTCACGAAGAGCAAAGTAGTCTTCAGATTGACACGTGTGCACCATATCTGAATGATATAGTTAACTCCATCAGTCCTGTTATTAAGTTTTTCAGCTTTTGATATTTTTAATAAAAAGATTAGTCAATACTCTAATATTGTTCACTTTTTCACTTCATTTTTGTTTTGGTCATATGGTATTGAGAAGGATGAAGTTTTAGGTCAATCAATGGGAAGATAAAATAAAATATGAGGAGGAACAAAGAAATGCACAGAAAATTCCCAGCAGTTGATGAAGGAAAAAGTAATTGGGAAGTTATTCATAAGTGGTTAGCATTTCAGAAATCTCTGTGGCATTGCTTACTAACCCACATAATAGATGAGATTAATAAGTATCCTGTTAATCAGCAGCAGCGCTATTATCATCATTAATAATATAAATGTTTTCCTTTTCTATTTCTTTTTCTTTTTTAAAAACTTTTAAGTTCAGGGTTACGTGTGCAGGTTTGTTATATAGGTACACTTTTGTCATGGGGTTTTGTTGTACAGACTATTTCTTCACTCAGATATTAAACCTAGTAACTATTAGTTTTTTTTTCCTCATTTTCTCCCTCATCCAACCCTCCACTTTCCACCTTCCATTATGCCCTATGTGTTGTTCCCCGCTACATGTACATATGTTCTCATCATTTAGCTCCCTTTTATACATGAGAACATGTGATATTTGGTTTTCTATTTCTGCATTAGTTTGCTAAGAATAATGGCCTCCAGCTCCATCCATGTCCCTGCAAAGACATGATCTCATTCTGTTTTTTTTTATGGCTGCATGATATTCCATGGTGTATATGTACCACAATTTCCTTATACAGCCTATTACTGATGGGCATTTAAGTTAAGTTCATTTCATGTCTTTGCTATTATGAATAATGCTGCAATGAGCATACTCATGCATTTGTGTTTACAATAGAACAATTTATATTCCTTTGGGCATATACCCAACAATGGGGTGGTGGGACTAATGGTAGTTCTGACTTTAGGTCTTTGAGGAATTGTCACGGGGTCTTCCATGATGGCTGAACTAATTTACACTCCCACCAACAGTGTATAAGCATTCCTTTTTCTCCACAACCACATCAGCGTCTGTTTTTTTTTTTTACTTTTTAATAATAGCCATTGTGACTGATGTGAGATGGTATCTCATTGTGGTTTTCATTATCATTTCTCTAATAATCAGTAGTGTTGAGCGTTTTTTAGTATGATTGTTGGCCACATGTATTTCTTCTTTTGAAAAGTGTCTGTTCATGTCCTTTGCCCACTTTTTAATATTCACATTTGCCGGAAAATCAGGTTTGGGGATAAGATAAAGATCATAAAATACATATTTAATGTGCTTAAAGAAATAAAATTTGAAGAAAGAATTCATGGATTGAAACATTAAACAGAAAAAAATTGTAGCAAAGATAAATAAAAATGGATAACTTGAAAAAAGTTAACAAGACATGTAGATGTCTTAATCTGTGTCCCGTTGCTAAAACTGAATACTGCAAACTGATGATTTGTAGGAATAAATGTTGATTTGTTCATGGTTCTGGAGATGGAGAGTTCAAGAGCATGTTTCTGGTATCTAGTAAAAGATTCCTTGCTGTGTCAGAACATAATGAGGGAATCACATAGCAAGAGGCCAAGAGTGTGCCCATTCAGATTTCTCTTCCTCTTTTTACAAAGCCACTAGTCCTACCACAGGGGCTCCATTCTTATGATCTTGTCTAATTCTAATTACCTCCCAAAGTCACCACTTCAAGTCAACATATAAATTTGAAGACTACATTCCCAACACATGGAATTTTGAGACATGCTTAAACCATAGAAATAAATAATAGAATAAAAGTATAGTATGTATCTAATTAGTGTCTGAGAAGGGAAGAAAATTATGTATTGGGCCACTGAGATATACTGGCTGAGAAATTTTTAGAAATGTTAAAACCACAAATGGTCACTTAAAGGGGAGTACGTTGTACATCACGCATGATAAAGCAAAAATAAATAAATAAATATAAATCTTCATATAAAAATGTGGAGATTTCAGGCCATAAAACCATTTTCAACCAATTTCTAAAATTTGATAACATAAAAATTATGTTATCCAAGCACAGTGAAATGTCTTTTTGTTTCCTGTGCTGTTTTGAACTATAAGTTATATATTTCTATTTGAAATATAAGATATGTTTCTATTTGAAATATAAGATATATTTCTATTTGAAATATAATATAAGATATATATTTCTATTTGAAATATAATATAAGATATATATTTCTATTTGAAATATAAGATATATATTTCTATTTGAAATATAAGATATATATTTCTATTTGAAATATAAGATATATATTTCTATTTGAAATATAATATAAGATATATATTTCTATTTGAAATATAATATAAGATATATATTTCTTTTTGAAATATAAAATATATATTTCTATTTGAAATATAAGATATATATTTCTATTTGAAATATAAGATATATATTTCAAAACAGCACAGGAAACCAAAAGGCATTTGAAATATATATATTTCAAAACATTAAAGGTAATTATGCATATATAACTGTTATGAAATGTATTTTAAAAATAAATATTACATTTTCTTCTAACAGATGTTAGTTATGCAGTATTTTTTGAACCATTGCCTTAGAATATTTACTGCACAATTTTCCATTTTCACAATTTATCATTTTTTTATTTTCAAACACAACTAAAGACAATATTACTTTATATTCAATATTTAATCTGGTTTATTGACATAATTTATCAACTTATCTACTCAGCAGTGGTTTTATCACACACTTTCTGTCATTTTTAACTTTCTTCTTGCTGAAATACATTCTTTAATATTTTGTTGTCTTAATTGAGGGTGGCACACTATACACAATTAGTTATTGTATACATGAAAACATCTTTTATTCTCAACTCTAAATGATGCATGGCTAGATATTGAATTGTAAGTTGAGTGTTTACTTTTCTGACTTATTATTTTCTGATCTCAATTCTGCTATTGTTGCTGATGTAGGCTGTTAGTAATGTGAAATTCATCTTGTAGTTTTAAGATTACTTATCTTTGATATTTTTGAAATTTAATTGGCATGTCTACATATGGATATATTTTTATGTAAGTTATCTCATATTTGAAGAGTACATTCTATATGATGTTCATTTTTTTCCTGGTATTTCACATTTTTAGCAATTTCTGTAAATGATGAATCACAGTAATTCTCTCTATTCTCTGTTTGTTGAAATCCTATTAAATTATTATTGAAACTTCCTGATTTAGCCTCAGTGTTTCAAATGTTGCTTCCTATTTTTACCTTATGGTCTTTCTGTTCTGATCCAGGTATGGTATTTTTTCTAACTTTCAGTTTATTTTTATCTGTGTCCCTATTTTTTTTCAATGTTTACTTGTAAAATGCACACAATTTAATTTTTATGACACTTTAGTTTCTTGTTTTATCTTTTATTCCTAATATTCCTTTCAAAGATAGTCAACACTGTCTTTTTTTTTTTTTTTTTTTTTTTTGTGAGATGGAGTCTCGCTCTGTTGCCTAGGCTGGAGTGCAGTGGCGCAATCTCCATTCACTGCAACTTCTGCTTCCTGGGTTCAAGTGATTTTCCTGCCTCAGCCTCCTGAGTAGCTGGGATTACACACACGCACCACCACGCCCAGCTAATTTTTGTATTTTTAGTAGAGACGAGCTTTCACCCTGTTGGTCAGGCTGGTCTCGAACTCCTGACCTCGTGATCTGTCTGCCTCGGCCTCCCAAAATACTGGGATTACAGGCGTGAGCCACCGCCCCCAGCCTTAGTTAAAACTGTTTTTAAGAGTATGTGTTTATTTATCAAACTGGTAGCTTCATTAATTTGATAAATAATATTAAACATTTTTGGACATATTTTATATTATTTTAATTTCTTTGTCAGAAAGAGCCACTAAATGATTTTTTTAGGGAGTGGATTTTCATTCTGATTATGGATTATGTTGATTTTCATGGTTTTAGATTTCGGTATCTATTTTTGAATGGTTTACAAGGTCACATTTGCAGGATTTTTGTATCTGTTTTCTTTCTCAGCTCTTTCTCTCTTTCATTATTTAACCTCTGTGTTAACCGGTCACTGTCTAGCTTTTTATGGCAGCCTACTTCCAAGCTCAAAGCTCTCATCTTATAATATGTGTTGAACGATTAATTATACAGCAGATCACTAGTTAGCAAGTGAAAGCCTTAAGCTATTTTTGATAGTAAGGTTATACTCTTTTCTGTCATATATATTACCATTCATTTGAAACTGTGCCAGTCTAATGAATTGAAAACATGTCACTGTCATTTCTCTGATTCCTGGTGAGGTTAAGCAAACTTTCATGCAGCTATTGTTCTATTTAACTCACTTCTGTGTTGGTTACATGATAAGATACTTGGTCTTATTCACTCTCTCTTAACTAGTTACACAATTCTCACTGCTATTACAGTCTTAATCAACCAAGAGCTTTAGGGTAGTAATAACCACATTGCTGCCAAAAATTATAACCTCCAAAGTCAACTAACCCTTTCCCCAAGCCAAGGCAAAAAAAAAAATCCAAATTTTTGAATGGAGTATAATGCATAGAAATAAAGCATCTTCGAATGTTAAAACACTATGTACATCTGCAGTAATTAAATGATATAGAACTGGTACAAGACTATTCTTAAAGATAAATGAAAAGTGATTCGAAGTCTAGTATATGCACATTGCATATACACCATGTCACACACACACACACACACACACACACACACAAGATAAAGCAGTAATACAAATTGGTGAGATGAAAGAATGTTGCAATAAATTAAAATTAAAAATGAAATTAGTACCCTTAAATCCTCTCTCAATTTAAGTAACAAAATATTAACCATACTCCACATATATTGTTAAAAGTTCCATAGAAAACTGATACAATAAACAAATAAATAAATAAAATATTTGTAAACATACATATAAACAGGGTAAGGAAGTTTATTTCAGTATAAACTGAAGACAAAAAAACATAATAAACTACAAAAAGATTTGAATAATTAAGAAAATATTGGGCATCAGAATTTACACTTGTGTCTATTTACTGTGACACCTGGGTAACAGATTTTTATTTCAGTCTCTTCAAATTTTATGGCTAAATTACTCATGAATTTTCAGAAAATGATAAAATATGTATCTAAAAACTTCACTTTTTAAATATAAAAAGCTCAAAATTATTAACTGAAAATACTCTTTGAATTAAAAATACTAATTAAAAAAATGAGAAAATTAACAAATTTTATGGTTTACACAAATATATAAACATCTAAAATAAATGTGGGCAGATAGTTTTCATGTCTTTATCACTAAAACTCTAAAATTTTATATTGCTAAAAGTATAAAGCTTTACTGAATAATAGAAATCTTGAATAAATGGAGTAATTTTCTACATCTCTAATGGAAAGATACAAAAACAAAAATCAATCCATTCTGCCAAAATTATTGTATATATTTAGTGCAATTGTATTAAAATATTTTGCTTTTGCTGGACAGACACCAAATAATTTTGATGTTTATTTGAAAGAATATAAACAAAATACAGCAAATTCTTACAAGTGATAATCCTTTCATTGAATACTTACAAGTTATAAGTAAGTAGACTTCTCTGAATATGGCACAATGGCACAAATTATAAAGGACAGCAACTATAAGTGTGATTATACAAGTAAAAACTTTTGTATGTAAAAATTATAAACAAAATAAAATTGGTTTTCTACAAGGTAAGAATTCAATAGAATTGTTATGCTATTTTTACTTTTCATATTAGCAAAGCTGATATGAAGGTAATATGCAACATGCAGTGATGTAGGGAAATAGCCATTTTCATGCATTGCTGGCCATAGCAAAATTGGTACCAGCTGTTGGAGAATTTGATGATACTGATATGAACACTCAGCAATTCCACCTTTAGAAATTTATCTTAAGAAATGATAAATGAATTTAAAAAGTAGGAATAGATGCAAAAGTTTGACTGAGGTAATTTTCATCCCACTGTAATCATTTTAAAATGAAAGCTAAATTACTATTTTTAATGTAGAATACTATCCATTCTAGTTTACTCCATCTAGAATACTATACATATATATGTAAGTAGTATTCTATTTTAGATATAGACCAATGGCTTTGGAGACAATAATTTCTTGTCTGGAGAATATTTCACAATATTTTGCTTAGTGACAACATCAGTTTCATGATATGTATAGTATGTTCTTAGTTTTGTTTTTTGAAAGCAATATTTTAATATAGGGAGTATCTTTGGAGATGCTGATTACAAATGGTTTTGTTTTTGTATTTAATAATTTTTATTTGAAATATAATATTCCAACTGGACAGTACATAAATCATAAGAATATACTTAAATAAATTTTTGCAATAGATAAACTCATGACCACTCACAAAATTCAGGAAATATAACATCACTAGCATCCCAGAAATTACAATTATGCTGACTTCTAAACGCTATTCAATGGAATATTCAATGCAAAGAAACACCAACTGTCCTGGCTTCTCATTCCAGATTTTAGTGTCATATGGCTTTGACTTTGATATACATTTATTAACAGATCATGTTTTTTGTGTGTCTTTTTAAATTCAGTATTATACTTTGAGATTCTTACACGTTAAGAATTAATTTGCAGTTTATTCATTGCTTCACGATGTTCAACATACAATAATTTGTAAAACGTTGATCAGTTCTACAATCAATTAATACTTGGGCTAAATCCCCTTTAAGGCTACTACAGTGCTGTAATGAAGTGTAATGAATATATATATATATATATATATATATATATATATATATATATATACACACATATATACAATTATTTCTCTGTATATACTCATACTTCTACACATATTTATGCCATTTTAAAAGTAAAAACTC
Organism: Homo sapiens; assembly: GCF_000001405.40. Lineage (NCBI taxonomy): Eukaryota > Metazoa > Chordata > Mammalia > Primates > Hominidae > Homo > Homo sapiens. Next base: position 66,284,565 of record NC_000004.12, read on the forward strand.
CTGGACAAATGTATATATGTCTTCGATTTTATTTAAAAAAGAAAAATCATTTTTTACTGTGGTTGTGACAGTTATATCAATTTTGACTTCCACCAGCAAGATTATGAGAATTCCAGTTGTGCCACATACTCAACAAGACTTGGTACTGCAGTTTTCATTTTAGTCATTCTAGTAGGTATCTTTTAGTTTTTTTGTTGTTGCCACCTTTGTGCCTTTAATTTACATTTCATTTGTGTTTTTAGAAGTTAAATATCTTTCACATGTTCATTCGTCATTAGGGATATTCTCTTTCAAGGTGCCTTTCTAATTATCTTGCCCAGTTTTTATTGGTTTTTCAGACTTTTCTTACTGATTTGTAGGAAATATCGCAGAATCCTTTGGATGTCACGTCACCACCTGGAAACCTTTGTGGCCGGCAGTGCATCTGCTTGAGTTTTTGCTGGCACCGCTGGGCTCCTACCCACTCTGCCTGGAAGGCTGTGCTAGGCTCACGCTACCAGCCGAGATCCCATGCCCGCCTAGGGCAAGCCAGGTGCAGAGCAGCAAGGGGAGTGTGAGCAAGCGAGCTCCAGGTCTGGTCACTGCACACAGCCAGGCATATCAGCTGCTGCAGCATGGCAGGCAGCTCCAGGTGCAAGCACACATGCCAGCTCCATGCGAGGCTGCAGCTGGACCAGGCCTACCGCAAGCAGCTTCAGCTGCAGGCACTGGCGTCTAGACAAGGCGAACGCGGTGGTGCCTGGAGACACCAGCAACCACAGAGCCCCAGAAGGTGGCAGGGGGACGTGTTATAGCTCTCTTATTCTTGCAACCAGCATGGCAAACGACAGGGGCGGGGGTGTAGGGGCAGTGTGGGGGGAATGGTGTGTGTTGCCGCCTATTTGTGTTGCAGCTTATTCAGTCCTGCTGCCTCACTCTGCCTCACTGTCCCTAGGCTGGCCCTGACCTGCCGCTGCTTCCCATCACATAAGGCAGCTGCCCAGTGCTGATGGAGGGCAGGAGGTCTATAGTGTTACAACTCTGGCTTGAGGAATCCCAAGGTCTTGGCCCAAAGAAGGGTCACTGCTCTTCACTCCTGCAGTGTGGTGTATGGGTGTATATCACCACCTGCCACTCAGCAAGCTGGCCAGGAATGTGTTACAGCCCTCTTTGCACGAGCCATTCAGTGGGTCCTGAGTTCTTATCACACATGCAGGAAGAATGAGGTTATGTGGACAACTGGAGGATAAGCAAGGTGGAGAAGAGTTTTATTGAGCAATAAAACAGCTCTCATAATTTAGGATACCCAAAGTGGGTAGCTCCTATCCACAGTCAGGTAGTTTTGACGTGTGTCTGAGTCCAGCTGTGTCTAGGGTTTTTTATGGTCTCAGAATGGAGGATGTACATGCTGATTGGTCTATAGGCAAGAGGAAGTACATGCTGATTGGTCCATGATGGAGGCCAGAAAAAGCACCATCTGATTGGCTGAAAGGCATCAAGGAAGTTCTCACTCCAGGTTGTGGACTCCATCCGGAACTGGCAACCAGGCCCTCAGGCTTCAGGCCCTCCCTAGCTTCAAGGTTGGGCCTCACCAGAGACCCTTCTCACCTAAGAACCTGTCTGTCTCCACCTGCCATCATCAAAATTGTATAGTATTTATTTGAGTCCTTTGTTTAATACATTGCAAAAGATACTTCTGTTCTGAGGCATGAATATTTTATTCTTTTATTTTTTTATCAGACATTTTTCATTTGCTTGAAGTCCAAGTAACAGCCTTATACTTTTGATTAATTTTTTTGTCTTATTTAAGAAATTCATGTTTTTCAATGTCATGAAAATTAAAGCTAAGCTCGATTTACAACTTGTGAAGTTTCTGTGTATGGTGTGAGGTAGTATGTCCAGATTCATGACAGTATTTTTATATGTATATATATTTAACCTTAATCTGTTGTGTTGACCATGCTGTTTCCACTGCACTGCAGTATCTTAAAGATCATAAATCAATTTTTTTTCTAGTTTCTCTCTTTTGGCCTAATATTCTATTTGGCTATTATTTGCACAAAAATAATATTTTATCTTTATAATAGATTTCACGTTTGGCTTTGTAAGATCAAGGCATATATATTATTCAAGACTGCCTTACTATATTTATTTCCATATACATTTAAAAATCAGATAGTCAATTTTCATAAGAAAAAATCTTACTAGAGGTTGATTGTTTGCATTGGAAAAATATTATATTAATAAATTATATCCAATGCTCAATATGACATTCTGTAATATTTTACACTTCCTTAATTTCTTAGTATCGTATTTTATAGCTTTCTGTGTAGGTTTTCTGTACAAATGGGAGGAGGGAGAGGATCAGGAAAAATAACTAATGGTTACTATGCTTAATACATGGGTGATGAAATAATCTGTACAACAAACCCCCGTGACACAAGTTTAATTATATTACAAACATGCACTTGTACCCCTGAACTTAAAATAAAAGTAAAAACAAAAAACAAAAGACAAAGCACTACTGAAATTAAACTTATTTGGGGCATTTTTAATGGACTTTTTACTGAGCTGTTTTAAGATCACAGCAAAATTAAGTACAGAGTTCGCATATACTCTGCCTAAAACACCCAATTTGTGGAAGGTTAAACTTACTTTATAAAATGAACGCTTATAAGAATTTAATGGCAGAGCCATCTCGTGCTGGAGGTTTCCTTGAAGGAAAGGTAATAATTATTATTTATAATAATGGATTTATTTTCTTTGGTATAACTCAGATTACTGATATCTTCTAATTTTATTGTCCACTTTACTGTTTTTCCCCAAAGTATTTGTGCATTTTAGCCAAATTGTCAATTTTATTGGCAAAAATCTTTATATAATATTACTATATTTTAACATCTGAAAGATTTAGATTGATAACCCAATTCTCCAACTGACATTGGTAATGTCTTATATTTTTTCTTGATTTGCATAGCTATTGATTTATGAATTTCATTACTTTCATCTAAGATCCATATTTTGGTGTATTGGTGTCCTCTATTTTATGTTTGTTTACATTTCATTGGCTTTTGCTCTTACCTGTGTTATTTCTATATTTTCTTATATAGAATGTGATTATTTTGTGTACAGTGTCTAATAAAGAAATTTTAGTCACATATTTTCTGAGTAAACAGTGTGAATTTTTCTTCGCTTCATGGGCTGTTCATAGGCAGCTTTTTAAATTTCCTAGTTTTCAGTTTTTTCTTATTCTCATTTTGTTATTATTCTCTAGCTTAACTCCACTGTGTCAGAAACACACACTATATGATTTCACAAAATATATCAAATTTTGATAATATTCTAGATTCACCTGAAAAAACGTATGTTCTTCCGTACACACTATATAGCATACAATATTCTATTTATATATCAGTAACACCAAGTTTCATAATTATCTTCTTCAATTATCTTTTATCATTACTGAAAATTTATTAAACGGTTGAAAAAATTTGTTAAAGTGAAATATTACAAATATGTCTTCAAATATATAATTAGTCAATTTTGGCTTTACATTCTGTAAAGTTGAATTATTTGACACAGAGATTTAGGATTCATTTCTTCCTGTTGGATTGACACCTTAATGTATTATCATGATGTTATATTTATTTTTATCTTGAATGTTTATAGCGCTAAAGTGTCCTATTTAGTATAGTTCTATCATCTTTGTTTTATTTATTGTTTGTAGACTATATTTTTTCCTTATGTGCCTTATGTGGCATTAATCAATTTTCTCTACTTAAAAATATTATCATATATTAGCTTATTTGTGATATATTTAACTTTTTAAGGTTGTTTACTTAGAAACTAAAGTTAGCATCTTGATTTATTACAAATGTATACAAATAATTACACTTATCACTTCCCCAATCATGCCAGAATAGTTTATTTTTTTACTGTCACAGTAATGGTAGAACCTAAAGTTTAATTTATAAATTAGGCATAGAAAAAGATTAACAAGAAGAAACAGTAAAATAGAACAATTACAACAATACACTGCAATAAAAGTTATGTGAATGTAGTCTCTCACTCTTACTATCTTAAAATATCTTCTTGTGCTACAGTCACTTTTCTTCTTGAGGGGCTATAAAATAATATGACTACATGATGATTTAAAGTGAGGCAAATTTCCTCTCAATTTGTTGTCATCTCCTCTTTCCCAGCCTGTGGTAGTGTTGAAAACCAACAGCTCACAATTACAGTGAACACCAGTATCCTGCCAGCTAATAGTGGGTGCAAATAAGGACTGGGGATTCTTGAACCCCATATTATGATCATTTAACATCTTTGTTTAAGGATAATGCTTAATTGAAGAATTCACAATGCCTCTGCCTTGCAAGACAACTCACTTTAATCTTAAAGGTATTTCTTATTTTCTCTCTTAATCACTAGAAAAGTAACTAAGGTTAAGCCTTAACTAATTCAGGAAAGCCCTGAGTCTACTAAAAGAGCTATGAGACTTAGCTAATAATATAGCTAGAATCAGGATGTGGCGTGAAACCTCATCTTGAGTTTCTAGATAAAAAGTGCTGGAATATAAGAATGAATTATTCAAGGCTGAGATAGCATTTCATTTATGATACAACTATAGAAAAGGAAAAAGAAAAGTTATTAACATGGGAACCTCTTTTTGGGAAGGCATCTGGTGCTAAGATGGTTCTTAGGAGCTTGAAGAAAGAGATGGCACACAATAAATTAGATATAAATGATAGACCTACTTTCACTGATGTTGAAAAAAGTCATCAAACCCTTAAAATAGACATATTAAAGTGGCTATTCTATGTAATGCTGGAAAACCTGGTACATATATTCTTCCAGATAGCAAAGTCATGAGACTGTCTTGATGAGGGGGCACCAGCATCACTGAGAAGCTGGAAGACACCATTTGTAGATCAGGCTAACACAGATGCATAGGGTTGCATTTATTATTGCTGATCAAGCTACTCCTACCACTGTTAAATCAACGGTCTTTTATCCTGGATGTGGCCGAAATTCATCTGAACTAACATCAACATATATTCTAAGTATGGATTTCATTTTCTGCCCACAGAGCTTCCATCAGCACTACTAAGGGCTTTAGTGTGAGTTTAATCCTACAGAACATTGTATCAGGCATAAAGTATCATTTCACAACAACATAAGTGTTGTAATTAGCAAATGACCACTGGATCATCTGTTTTTATCACACACTACTCCACCCAGAAAACTTCCAGTCTAATAGAACGAAGGAAATGGTTTTTGAAGAGGTGCTGAGGTAGCTGATTGGAGATATTAACCTACAATAATCGGATTCTACCCCTAAAAATGTAGGTACAGTCCCAAATTATTTTCCATTATAAGGTTGGGTCTGGGAACAAAGTGTGAAAATAGGACTGGCCCCACTTACTATCATTCCAATGACCCAGTTCAGAAATTGTGCTTTCTATACCTTCTTCTCTGGTTCCTTGAGTGCAAATGTTTTCCCAAGATTACATGGCAAGAATTTGTGGATAAATGAGGAGAATATTAGCAGAATCTGGGAGAAAGGAGAATCAGTTTAGAGCATTCTGATACATTTTGATACCAGTATCATGAATACTGTAAATTGGATGAATCCAATTTACTTCTGTCATTTAGAGCTGACGGTATCTTTCATATAAATCACATTTTAGAGGTCTCCTTAATAGAGTAATCCAAAATGCATGGTCCTGAACAACACTGCCTTCACAAGATGCTCAAAATTCGAATCCAATTTGAATGAGACTGTAAACAGTTCTAGTAGGATGAAGTAGACACATAGACTAATGGAATATGTCTCGCCTTTTAGAATCCCAGACAGTTACATATATTATTATTTGTCCTCCTCAGGAAACTGCTGAGGATAGTGGTTTGTGTCCTAGAAACTTTTTGCAATCATATCCCACAATCTCGATTTCTGAAAAGATATGTTTCATCCTCCATAGTTGCTATCATCATTTATCTCTTTCAAAAGGGTTGCACCTCAAAACAAAAGCATCTCTGAGCTAGTGCCATATTTTAAGGCACCTTAACTCTGAGAGTTAGCTTTGCAACATGAAATCTGTCAATAATTTCACAACAGTAGGTGCCCCAATGTCAGAATATGGAGGATTATTGGAATGGGAGACAAAAGTAAATACTTCCTGTTATTTCTCAAACTAAGAGGAAACAATATTATCTTGTCATGCATAAAACTCACTTAAGTCTAGCATAAAGGAGAGTGAATTGCTTTTGATAAGTAATTATATTTGTTGAGGTAGAGGAAAGAGAATATGAGTGATTGAATTTTCTTAAAATAGTTCACGAAATTACGTTAGGCCCTCAACTAATATAGGAGGGAGTAGGCAGAAAAGAAGAACTATGAAACCAGCATCAACCTAATACCAAAATCTGGCAGAGACACAACAAAAAAAAGATAACTTCAGGCCAAAATACCTCATCAACATAGACACAAGTACCTTCAACAAAATACTAGCAAACCAAATCCAGCAGCACATCAAAAAGTTAATACATCACAATCAAGTAGGCTTTATTCTAGGGATAGCAAGGTTGGCACAACATATGCAAATCAATAAATGTGATTTACCACATAAAATTAAAAGTAAAACCATATGATTATCTTAATAGACACTGGAAAAGCTTTACATCAAATCCAATAGCTCTTCATAATAAAACCCTCAACAGACTAGGCATCAAAGGAACATACCTCAAAATTATAAGAGCCTTCTATGGCAAACCCACAGCCAATATGATATTGAATGGGCAAATGCCCACTTTATTGTGATATATTAACTTTTTGATCTACTTCCAGATTCAGTTTGCTAGTATTTTGTTAAGGGCTTTTGTGTCTATGTTCATGAGGGATATTGACCTGAAATTTTCTTCTTCTGTTATGTCTCTGCCTGACTTTGGTATTAAGCTGATGTCAGCTTCATAGTTCTTCCTTTCTGCCTACTCTTCCCCACATTGGTTGAGGGCCCAATATAATTTTGTGACCTGTTTCAAACATTCTGCTTGAGAACTGGAACAAGGATGCCCACTTTCAACACTCCTATTCAATATATTGCTGGAAGTCCTAGCCAGAGCAATCAGGCAAGAAAAAGTAATAAAAGGTATCCAAATAGGAAAAGAACTCAAACTATCTTTCTTTACTGATGATATGATTATATACCTGGAAAACCCTAAAGACTCTGCCAAAAGCTTACTAGAACTGATAAACAATTTTTGTAAGTTTTCAGGACACAAAATCAATGTACAAAAATCAGTAGATTATTACTGGTATAGTAATGTTTAGGCAGAGTGTCAAATAAAGAATATAATCCCATTTACAATAGTCACAAAGAAAATAAAATACCTCAGAACGCGGCTAATCAAGGAGATGTATGATCTCTACAAGAAGAAATACCAAATGTTGCTGAAAGAATTTATAGAAGACACAAATAATTGGAAAAACCATTCTATACTCATGGATTGGAAGAATCAGTATCATTAAAATGGCTACATTGCCCAAAGCAATGTATAGATTCAAGATATTTCTATCAAACAATGTCATTTTTCAAAGAATTAGAAAAAGAAGATTTTAAAATTTACGTGAAACCAAAAAAAAGAGCCCAAATAGCCAAAGCAATCTTAAGCAAAAAGAATAAAGCCAGAGACATCACATTATTTTAAACTATACTATAAGTCTACAGTAAACAAAGCAGCATGGTACTGGAACAAAAGCACACATAGACCAATAGAACAGAATAGAAAACTCCAGAAATAAAGCCACACATTTACAACCATCTGATCTTTGACAAAGCTGACAAAATCAATGGGGAAATGACTATCTATTCAATAATGGTGCTGAGATAAATGGCTAGCCATATGCAGAAAATGAAACTGGACCCTTACTTTTCATCATGTACAAAATTTAAAGATGGATTACCAATCTGAATGTAAGACGTCAAACTATAGAAATTCTAGAGCAATAACTAGAAACCCTTCTCAAAATCAGCCTTGGCAAAGAATTTTTGGCTATGTCTCCAAAAGCTATTGTAACAAAAATAAAAATTGACAAGTAGGACCTTATGAAACTAAAGAACTTCTCACAGCAAAATATAATATCAATTGTGTAAACAGACAACCTGCAGGTTGGGATAAAATATCTGCAAACTATGCATCCAGCAAAGACCTAATATCCGGAATCTATAAGGACAAATCCACAAATTAAAAAACAAAAAAATGCGTTAAAATATGGGCAAAGGACATGAACAGACATTTCTCAAAAGCATACGTGCAAGTATACAACAAACATATGAAAACATGTTTATCATCACCAATTATCAGATAAATGTAAATCAAAACCACAATGAAATACCTATGCCAGTCAGAATGGCTATTATTAAAACGTCAAAAGGCAACAGATGCTGGCAATGCAAAGAGAAAAGGGAACATTTATACATCGCTGGTGGGGAATGTGAATTTTGTTCAGCCACTGTGGAAAACAGTTTGGAGATTTCTCAAAGAACTTAAAATAGAGCCACCATTTTATCCAGCAATCCCATTACAGGGTACATGGCCAAAGGAAAATAGACCACTATAGTGAAAAGACACATGTAATTGTATGTTTACTGCCATGCCATTTATGATAGCAAAGACTAGGAATCAACCTAGGTGCCCATCAGTGGTAGATTGGACAAATACAATGTGGTACATATTACCACAGAATAGTATGCAGTGATAAAAAAGTGAAATCACATCCTTTGCAGCAACATGGATGGAACTGGAGGTTATTATTCTAAGAAAATTAACACAGTAGGAGAAAACAAAATACTGCCTGTTCTCTCTTATAATTGGGAGCTAAACATTGAGCACACATCTACACATAAACATGGGAACTATAGACACTGTTGCCTACTACAGGTGGGAGAGGGTGAGAGAGGTATAGGCTGAAATACTACCTATTGGGTACTATGCTCACTACCTGGGTGCAATATACCTGTGTAAGAAATCTTTACATGTAAACCTTGTATATAAAATAGAAGTTGAATTTAAAAAATCAAAATAAAAAGTCAGCAGCTACTGTTCTAAACATGATAAACTACCAGATATTAATAAATGGTAGGCCAAGCAAAACTGGAACATTGTTATTTAGGAAGAGAATCGAAACAACATGAATGTGCACTAAGTGCCATGATTACAGTGAATTTCTTTTTTAAGTGCCAGGCAATATTAGAGAGGAAGGAAAGCTTTATTTGGTACATAATCATCATTACGATTATTTAAATAAGGAATCAGTATATAGATTGTCATAGCTGGAAAATACTCAAGGTTCTATCAAGAGATTAGTTGGCTTAGTTTCTCATGGAATTCTATGTATGAAAGAATAAAAGTGTCATTGATAAGCAAATGAGGGCCTGGAGTGTTAGGACAAAAGAATTAGGAAAAGTCAAAGGCCTGGGAGATTTCATCAGGAGGAAGGACAATAACTAATGAAAATGAGAATCAAAGAGAAGTGGGATTAAAAACAGATAGAACACAATGGAGAAAACTCAATGGGTAGTATTAACATTATTATCAGAATTTTGTGATTAATAGGGGTTATCAGGGAATTTCCAGTGGTGAATTATGAGTGTATATGTGGTAAAAGAAGATCATGTAGCTCAGATAAGTACAGATTACAGGTGATTAAATATCTGGCAATGGGACTGAATAGAAGATAAACTAAATAAAAATAAGAATATTAAGATAGGATTAGAAACACATGTTGTTAAAGGTAAGCAGTTACCTATTATGAAAAAATACATACGAGGCTTAGAAACCAGAAGGATGGGGTGGCCCTGCTTCCTAGGTTTCCTGGGAGTGTTTTGATGTATGCCTGATTTTTTTTTTTTTTTTTTTTACTTTTATTTTAGGCTTGGGGGTAGGTGTGTGAAAGTTTGTTACACAGGTAAACACATGTCACGGGCATTTGTTGTACATAGTATTTCCTCACCCAGGTGTTAAGCCCAGTACCCAATAATTATCTTTTCTGCTCCTCTCCCTCCTCCCACCTGCTCCCTTCAGGTAGACCCCAGTGTCTGTTGTTTCCTTACTTGTGTTCATAATTTCTTATCATTTAGCTCCCACTTATAAGTGAGAACATGTGGTATCTGATTTTCTACTCCCTCATTAGTTTGCTAAGGATAATAGCCTCCAGCTTCATCCAGGTTCCCACAAAAGACATGACCTCATTCTTTGTTATGAATGAATAGCATTCCATGGTTTGTATGTACCACATTGTCTTCACCGTCTGTCACTGATGAGCGATTAGGTTGAGTCCGTGTCTTTGCTATTGTGAATAGTGCTGCAGTGAACATTTGCGTGCATGTGTCTTTTAGGTAAAGTGATTATATTCTTCTGCGTGTATACCCACTAATGGGATTGCTACCATTAGGTAGGTCTGCTTTTAGCTCTTTGAGGAATCACCATTCTGGCTTCCACAATGGCTGAAGTAATTTACACTCCCACAAGCATTTATAAATGTTCCATTTTGTCCTCAACCTCGCCAGCATCTGTTATATTTTGACTTTTTAATGATAGCCATTCTGACTGGTGTGAGATGATACCTCATTGCGATTTTCAATAGCACCTCTTTTCTTTTCAAAAATGCCTTGGTTAGGTGACAAATATAGTCACCATATGTATAGGTAACACAAATTACATGATGAAAAGTTTAATTAGATAAAAGACAATAATGGTTTCCATAGAGCACCTTAATATTAGTATTCTTTTATTTTTGCTCTCAATCATTTTTTTTCTAAAGAAGCCTAGACACGCTACTTGTTTAAGGAAGAACCCAAAGAAAAAGACAGAGTCTGTAAGTCCAGTCTAATGTTTTTTGCACTATCTGATGATATTTCCTAATGTTTTGGTGGATCAAAGTGTTTTGACACTTTTGAGAAAATATAAATTTACCTATCATTATTTTAAATAATGAACACATCTTAACATCTATTTTATACATAAAGTGGAGTACTTACAGCATAATTTGTAATAAAACCATAGATTAGTCATATAAACTATTCCAATATTATTTTTCCTTGGTTGTATGATAGATATACATATTTTATACAGATAGAGAAGAACACATTTATAGATTTGTGGCAAGAGGCCAGGGATAATATATCAGAGTTTCAGAAGGTGTTTAACTTCTATCTTTCACCTGAAGGTACCTGGAGATTTCCTACAATAATCTCAGTGTCAGTCTTTTCATCTTGGCCAGCAATGAATTTCACTCAACCTACAATCTCCTGAGAGGAGAAGTAAGCAGGGTTTGACAATGATAAACTATACAGTATATCTATATAGAGCAATTGGACAGAAGTATGTATGATATATGTTCGATGTCTGTTTAAAAGATGAGTCAATAAACAAATGGATGAGAAATAATGCATGGTAAAGTTTGCCTTGAAGCAGGAGCTGCAGAGGAAAAACTGGTATAAGCTGCTAAATGTACCAAAGAATTGTAAAAAATAAAATGGAGAATGATCAATGGAAAAGAAACACATATGAATGTGTACCCTTTTCCAGTACCAATTTTTTATGAGTAATGTGAAACAATGCAGTAATTTTAATATATATCTGAAAATAATTATTTCCTCTCCTTTGTTTAAGTATTAGCAATCAATGGACTTTTTGTCTCCATGAATCTCATAGGAGACTCTGAAACAAAAGTATGAGCACATACATATGTGTGTATGTATGAATGTAAGTTTGTATATGCATGTATTCATATATACATATGTTTATACTTTTATTAAATTGTTCTTAGTATATACTGATGAACACATCATGCTTAAAAAATATTAGAAAGAATCATTTATTGGAAAACAAATTGTTCTGAAAACCATACTTAGAATTGTACATTTCATAATGTGCTGGTAATAAATATATATTGCCTATAGAATGACTCTTAGATCTTCTTCAAGTATGTGGAAAAGTAAAAAAAAAAAAAAAGGCAAAGTAGCCCCGACAATATTAGTTTGGAGATACTGAAATGTAGCTAGGTAGGTGGATAAGTGAATGAGACATATCTTAAATAAAGCATATTTGTGAGGAAACATTTTTAAAGGTAGAACAGGAAAACAGGGTAATGGATGTATTATTTCAAGAACCCATGGTTCTTTTTCTAATGTTATCTTTCTTCTCTTCCTTTGGTGTTAGGGACCTCAGAGAGATCACAATTTGGTGTAGTGAATCTTTCTTGGCAAAGGAAGAGCGAATTGGAATATAAGTTCTGTGGAATCCTCAAAGGGAACAGTCAGGTTTCTTATGCATGCAAATGGAATTACCTTCTAGTCAGTAAAGAGAACATGAAGAAGAAGGACAAGATCTTGCATATAATATTTACCAAAATCTCATTACATAGACTTTGAGCTTTTAGTTTTCCCAGAAGAAGCTATTATCCATTTCCTTTAAATTTACATATTGCTCAAAATTATTCAATTTTTCCTGTACTTTTTATTAAAAATCCAGGAATACTAAGTGTCAGAGTCAGACACTGCAGTATTTTAAAGACCATATATTTCTGGAATGGTAAATATTCTTAAATATATAAATACTGATCTCTTTTTTTAATTTAACATATTGTTGAGTATCACCAGAAAGCTTTCATTCCTGTTTCATAAATTTTATAAAACCATGTAGTATTAAGACATCAATTTTCTTTGAAATAGTTCAAAGAAATGTTTTCCAATTTGTAAAATACCAAGACTGGGTGGATTCTTGGCTTGACCACTCCAAATCTTTTTCCTATGGGACAAGTAACCAATATAATATTTAGTTGCATTGGATGGGAATTCATTTTGTTTGCTTTTGTGAGGTCTGATTTATTATACTCTGATTTATAAAATATTGCTTACTAAAACATGTTGGAAAAATCGCTTAAAGTATAGAAATAAAATTATATAGAAGGATAATTTTGTAATTTGTTAATAATAAATCTATATAGCTTAAGGAATATTGGCTCTTAATAATGCACTGAAAATAAAACAAACTTATTTGGAGCAGATTAGTTTGGAGAGGTTGAGGCCTCAAATTTTGAATGTAAATGGTACATTCAGTATGCAAGGCACTGTCATTTGAACAATCTTGAAAAAGATAAAAAAAAAAGGCTCTCTGTTCAGGAAATAGCAAATTAAAAAGCTGTGTATAGCCTAGTTATGCCAGTAAACCAGTATTATGTGTGTGTTCGACCACCTCAGTGGATGAGATGTATTATAATCAGGATGTTTATCATACATAATTACTGAGCAAGAGCTGTATTATATGGTGCTGACAAGCATGGATCTGTAACTCCAGATTTATGTCATTTTAGTTCCTAAGCAGAGCTTGTTATGTAGTAAACCAGCAGAAGCAGATGGACTGCCCTCCAGAGTATAATAGAACAATATAGGATTTTACAGGGGAGAAAGTTTCCTCTAGCAAAACCACAGAAATACAGGCAGCTAGAGAGACAAATCCCACAACTGACCAGAAAGAACTACTGGTCACATTTAAAATCTACTTAATGTATATCAAAGCTGACAAGAAAGAGAAGAGAGAGAGCAAGAACTCCTTTTTTTGTTTAAAGACTGGCACAAACTAGGCTGTGTTGAATAATGACTGAAAGCACAAACTCTAAATCTACTTCTAACAGGTGTGCGACTTTAGACACATTTGTTTATCTCTCTTTCATTTCCTTATCCAAAAAATTTAGACAACAACCCTATGACCATTAAATGAGGTGAGGATTAAATAGGAAGCTACACAATTGTTGGCTGTTATTACTATCATCTTGATTTTGTTAATGAGGACAAATCTTAGGGTTTAGGAGAGACTTGTCAAACATTACTGAGCTAGTGAGTAACAGAATAAAAAACAGGTAACAAGTGCCTCAGTCGTCTGATGCTGCATAACAAATCACCTTCAAATTTAGTGACTTAAAACAAGAACAATTTTTCATTTTTCATTATTCTACTGGTTGACCAGGTGGTTCTGCTGATCTCACTTGAGCTCACTTTGCAATTGCATTTCTGTGGTAGGCCAACTAGGGACAAGGCTCAGCTAGAACAGCTGAAATGGAAGGACCTTTCTTGTCAATATTTTTATTCATAGTTTTTTCACAGCCTGTGTTTCAGAGGGTTATGAAGCAAGTCACTAGCGTGCAAATACTTTATCACACCTCTGCTTGCCTCACATTTACTAATGTCATGTTGACCAAATGAAATCACATGAGTAAGCCCATAGTCAATATGGGAGGAGATTACTCAAGAGTTTGGACATTGGCAGGCTGTGATTTATTGGAGGCCATTGGAGAAAAAATTATCTGTATCTCTGTATCTGGAAATCCTTTGATTTATTTTATTTTACTTTATTTTATTATTTGGAGTCAAAGTCTCACTCTGTCACCCAGGCTGGAGTGTAGTGGTGTCACCTTGGCTCCCTGCAACCTCCGCCTTCTGCGTTCAAGTAATTTTCCAGCCTCACCATGTTTGCAAAGCTTGTCTCGAACTCCTGACCTCAAGTGGTCCACTGAGCTTGGCCTCCCAAAGTGCTGGGATTACAGGAGTGAGCCACCGTGCTGCCCCCTGATTTTTTTTTTATTGCTCTTCTATTAACTTCAGCTAAGAAAGTTTGCAAAACATAGAATGATCACATATGTAGTTAGAACAAAGAATCTGTGTATTCGCATGTATGTGCATGGATGCACACATATGAGCACTTACAGGAGGGAGTGTTGCTGAAAAAAACTTCTTGAAAGTTACTGAAATGATGATCTACATTTTAAGTGAAAAAAATCTGAACAAATAATGCTGTAAAAGTTTGTGATAATCCAAGAAATAAGAGTAATAAAACTATGAAAAGTGGGGATTTATTTAGAAAACAGGAACATAGAACATAGACATCGAAGTTTTCCTGTGCTATGAACCTGTTAATCCATTACCTTCTGATGGTTTTTTGGTGACAAAAGTGTGTAAAGCAATAAATGTTAAATATCAAATTGAAAGTTTTACCCATCTGGGTGGAGTATGAAATAATGTGTATTTTTAGAAAAATGTGCCTGTGATTAGTCATGTACATCTCTTGAGTGGGTTCACCTTTATGTAGTCCTTTATTTGCACAAAATGGTTGTTAAACAAAGATTTGGGTTCCTCCTTTCCAAAATGCAGATAAGAATACTCACAATAGCGTTTTTTCCTCTATTTTTAGAATTAAAGATGATACACATCTAGAATCTGTCATAGTGTTTGCCACATAGTAGACACTCAATAAATCCTAGCTCTTACATCTCTACTCTTTTGTGATTTCCTGTAGGACAAAAGCAGCAGAAACTTCTCCTCTTCCTCCTTCTATTTCTCCTCTTCCTTCTCCTTCTCCACCACTACCATGACCTCCTCCTCCTCTTTCTTTTTCTGGTTTTGCTTCTCTTTCTCTTTCTTGTACCTTTCTAGTCCTAATGAACTGCAGGTTCAATAGGCATTCAATAAGTATTATTGAATGAATGTCCTTATAGCATTTGTAGTACCTATGTTTGCTTTAATTAAATACTTTATCCAGACAAGTTCAGAAGTGATAATCACCTGAATGGCATGGATAAACCATATTGCCATTACACATAATTTTAAAGAAAAAGAGATTTATATGGTATCTTTGTATTCTTTCTCTTTAATGCCAAAGATAAACTTCTTCTCGCTCAGGCTGTATGCTTGTCTTCTACTAGATAATACTTCCAAATAGACTGTTTCACTGATATATTTTTTCTTGACTCCACCTAATAATATTCAGAGTTTAGGCCTTTTTTTAATCCCAAATGGCAGAATATTAGTCAGTGGTATTAATAAATGCATAAATATTTCTTCCTGGCAGAAATTACACTTGAGAAGTAAATGTTTACTTTGACTAATACTAAAAAAAACTTACTCTTCTATTTAATGGATTTCTATTGGATCATCAATTTTCACATAACTTATGAGTCAGCTGGTGTGAGAGTAAAACCATTTTAAATCCAAGCTGATTTGTGTGTGTATCTTATCTTCCCTTCCCTTTCCCGTCCCTTTCCTGTCCCTCCCCTCCCCTCCCCTCCCCTCCCTTCCACTTCCCCTCCCCTCTCCTCCCTTCCCCTCTCCCCTTCCTCCCCTCCTCCCTCCCCTCCCCTCCCCTTCACTTCCTTTCTCTTCCGCTCTCTTCCCCTCTTTTTCCCATTACCTCTCTCTTTATGTATTTCTTTCCTTTTCTACTTTTCTTTCTACTTTCTCTTGCCTTTCCTTTCTTCTTAAATTTTGATTATGTTGTCTTTTGCTTTGTAATATTTTAAATATTTGTTTAGTACAATATAGCACTATTTGCTTTTGTGGATCTGGGTTACAATATGCTTAGCATGTTTAAAATTATAATTTTTTAATTCTTTCTTCTTCCAATTGTTTATAGCTTTTTAAAAAACTGTGTAAATTTTAAATTCCCTAGAAATTTTTAGACAACTGAGTTTTTTATAAAGTCAAGCTCTATATTTTTTGTTAGAAAAATGTGCAGCCAATTGCCATACAATCATTAACTTAATGTCATCATTATCACATGCTACTTTACCATTTATATATGCTTTTTTATCTAGCCCTAATCATCTGTTCCATTATTGTATTTTTCTTTTCTTACACACACATTTTTAATTACTGTACGTTTAACATGTTATGCCATATGGTACAACATGTTTACTTTCTCTAAATCAAAGTATTTATTTTTCAAAATGTTTAACGATATTTTTGTGCGTTTTATTTTTCATACGATAGTCAATATCTGTTGTATTGATTTTCTTACCTTCAGAGACTATTCTAGCCTCTGGAACACAAATTAGTCAAATGTTGAATGTTCTGAATCTCTTCTCAATTTTATGTAATTTTCTATTATATTTTCTTTCTCTTTATGCTTTTTAATTATGTTTTCCTTCTATTTTGGGGGCTTTTTATTCTGGGTTAGTTGCTTAATTTTATCTATCACACATGCAAACTTCATGTATGTTTATTATATGGTATTGGAAAAATTTCACAAATCATATTTTAATTATAATCTTTCTTATCTGATTTCTCTTATACACAACTGCATTTACCTTTCTTTTCCTTTTTTAGGATGCTAATTAAAATGTTTTTAGGGTCCTTTTGTTTTCTACTATTTACTTGCATTATGTGTTAGATAAGTTATCTAACACATAATGTCTCAATCTCTTCATATTTTCACCAATATTTGTTCTAGCCTTTTCATTATAGCCATCCTAGTGGATGTGAAATGGTATCTCATTACTCTTTTGATTTGCATTTTAATGATGACTAATTAATTTTATCATCTTTTATGTACTCAATTACCATTTTCATGTATTCTTGGAAAAATATGTATTCAAGTATTTTGTCTATTTAAGAAAATTGAGGCCAGGCACGGCGGCTCACGCCCTTAATCCCAGCACTTTGGGAGGCCGAGACGGGTGGATCACGAGGTCAGGAGATTGAGACCATCCTAGCTAACACGGTGAAACCCCGTCTCTACTAAAAAATACAAAAAAATTAGCTAGGCGTGGTGGTGGGCGCCTGCAGTCTCAGCTCCTAGGGAGGCTGAGGCAGGAGAATAGCATGAACCCAGGAGGCAGAGCTTGCAGGCAGCCGAGATTGCGCCACTGCACTCCAGCCTGAGCGACAGAGTGAGACTTCTCAAAAGAAAAAAAAAAATTAAGCTATATGTCATGCCATTATTGAGTTGTAAGCCTTCTTTATGTATTTTGGAGACTAGGCCCTTATCAGATATATAATTCAATATGATTTGCAATTTTTTTTCTCTTTACAATGGGGTCCTTTGCAATACAAAAATTTTTAATCAAGTTTATTTATTTTTCTTCAGTTGATAATTCTTTTTGGTGTCATTTCTAATAAATTACGGTTTAATCTAACATCATGAAGACAAAGACTCACCTTTGTATTTTCTTCTAAGAATGTTACACATTTTTGCTCTTACTTTGAGATTTGTGAGTACTTCTGAGTAGGGATTGGTCTTAGTCTACCTTAAACAGGGTAGCTTATAAATAAGAGAATTTTTTTTCTCATCCTTCTGAAGGTTGGGATTACAAAATCAAGACAACAGCAATATCAGATTCTGGTGAGGACCGGTTTACTGGTTCAGATAAGGCATTTTTTCACTGTATTCTTACATGGCATAAGGTGCTAGTTAACTCTCCAGGGTCTCAGTCTAGACCCTAATTCCATTCATGAGGGCTCTGCCGTCATCTGCCTTAGAGGAGGACTACACCACTCCTCACTTTTGCATTTTGTGTTACGTTTATTTCAGGGAATTTACTCTTTCTGATGCAATTGTAGTTAGAGTTTTTTTTTTTTTAATTTCGTTTTTGAATTGTTCATTGCTAAGATATAGAGATACAATTCAATATTTTATATTTACCATATATACTGCAACCTCACTGAAATTATTGCTAGTCCTAATATTTCCTAATAACTCAATATAATGGGTTTTTTAGATTTTGTATGTACAAGATCATGTTATCTACACTTACAAATAGTTTTACTTATTTCTTGCAAATATGTTTTTCTTGACTAATTTGCTCTGGCTAAAACTTCCAGTACAGTGTTGAATAGATGTGGTAAAAGTCAAAATCCTTCTGTTGTTCCTAATTTTGGATTCATTCTTTTACCATTTCATCATAGCTATAATGTTAGCTGTTGATTTTAAATATACGCTTGTTTTAGACTGAGTAATTCCCATTTATTGTTAAAGTGTTGAATGTTATTATCATAAAAGTGTATTGGAATTTGTGAACTATTTGTGTCTATAGAGATTATCATATAATTTTACCTTGTCTATTAATATGGTATATTATGTTTACTGACTTTCAGATGTTAAACCAAACTTATATTACTGAAACAAGTCTCACTTGTTCATCAAATATAATTCTTTATTTTGTTCCTATATTTGGTTTACTAGAAATTTTTAGAGTTTTGCATCTATAATCAAAGGGACATTAGTATGTAATTTTTTTGTAATTTCTTTGTCTTGTTTAATGCCAGGGAACATAGATATGTGAAGTATTCCCTCCTCTCCCATTTTTAGGAAGAGTTCATGAAGAACTGATATTAAGTCTCTAAGTTTTTGTTAGAATTCACTGTTGAAGGCATGTTTGCCTGGACTTTCTTTTTTCTTCCGTTTTAGAAGCATCCCATTTATTTTTTATGTTGTATTTGGTTTTCACTCATCTTAAAATATTTACTAATTTCCCTTTGATTTCCTCCTTGTCTCATTTGTTATTTAGATATGTGTTGTTGAATGTCCATATATTTGTGAATTTTCCAAATTTCTCTAATGTTTTTGTAATTTAATTCTGCTGTGGTCAAAGAATATACTTTAATATTATTTCAGTCTTTTTAATTACATTGAATCTTGTTTCATGCCCTAACATAGTTTATTGTAGAGAATGTTCTATGTATACGTGAGAATAAATGCATTAGGTCGATGCTGTTTGAAGCATTATATATTGGTTAGTTAAAACTAATAAGCTTATAGTGTAATTTAAACCTATTTATTCCACTGTTGGCATTCTGTCTATTTCTACCCATTTTTAAGCAGGATATTTAAAGTCTTTAACTAATGGCGTTGAGTTGACGATGTTTTCCTTATATTCCATCAAATTTTCTCCTACGTATAGCCATGTCAGTTCTCTTTTGGTTACGGCTTGCATAATCTTTTCTTTCATTATTTCACTTTTGTTCTGTTTGTGTGCATACACCTAAAGTATGCATGTTTTAAATGAAAGGCAGTCATGTTCATTCATAAAAAACAATACTATTATTGGATTTAAAAATCAACAGCTAGCCAAATAGTTTCTAAGGAAGAATACTGAAGTAATTGGGGCAGGCAGAAAAATACATATGAAAAAGTCTACCATCTGTGATATGTAAGGTTTCTACTTAATTAAAAATGAAAATTTTTCTCATGGATTTGCAATACATTTCAATTATGATTATACAACTTTACCAGTGCTTTCAATTTTTTATTTTATTTTTTTACTTCTGAGGACTGTATTGTTTTGGTGTCAGGATAATACAATCCTCATAGATATGTTAAGTTCATTTTTCATAAGAAAATTTTGTAGATGAAATGATTATTGAAATTAGAGCTACCTGTATCATTTTGACCTGTTTTTGCGAAATGCAGAAGAAGGACTTTGGTTTCCTGTGGTGCTCAGGAAGTTTGGAATTATGGAGTTCTGGATTGTTCAGGAGTCAATAGCTCATATCTAACCATAACCAGTGTGTGCTTCACTTATAGGTATAAAGCCATCTTCCCTTTCAAGACTCACATCTCTAGGGACAGATAATTAACATTACTACAAGCTGTAAGTAAAATGTGAATCTCTGTGTTAATGTGTTTCTCTTCATAAAACCTTTCTCCTTACAACATTTGATAACTGACTTTAAGAATGTTATCGATGACTCATGCCTGTTTTTGGTACTGTGGGTGCTGTGGGGGTAGGGGAGATCTTAGGCCCTCTCTTCCATAACCTTCATCTTCTCATTACTACTTGACTTTTTATTTTTATTCTCCCAGAGATGTATCCTTCTTACTACAAATCCCTTTCCTTGTGTCCAATCAAATCTTTAGAAAACATATACTGTTCTTATGAGTATACCAATAAGGGAGCCTGAGAAAATATAAGATACAGTTAAGTCAGTGTCTGCCCCTAAAAATATAGGAGCATGAAAGTGCACATTACCAACTACAAAGAGGTAGCTATCTAGTTCAATTTGGCAAGCTTTCCATTTTATGTTTACATACAGTTAAAACATTTATTTGAATTTTAAGATCCTATGGAAAGCATCCCACAGGTGAACATCCTACATGCTGCATTACTGGAAAAATCCCCCACCATCCTTTGGAAATCTTGTTGATGGATTATAAGTATATAAAATATTAATATAAACATAGAAACCCAGACTTACTAAAATCTTACATTCAACTTATTATTGGTAGCCTTCAGGGATAGGACAATTAAATTTAAACATTGACTATCCCAAAGAATATTGAATTGGTTACAGATACTCATTTACTTACAAACAATAACCACCTCTTCATCAAGGAGAATAGTGAAGGAACTTAAAGGAGAAAGTATTACCTAGGGTTATAGCAGAAACCTGGAACTTGGTCCAGGTGTGTTATGAGGATAAGAATAAAGACAGGGCATCTCAGATCATAAAGGGGTTTCCTGATTGAAGTATAAAATAAAATAGCATGCTGGCAAACAAGTGGTCTAAACATAACCATTAAGCAATTCAACAAACATTTTCACTTTCTCTCAAATACATATGACAGTAGAAACTGTGAAATAAATTGACCCCAATGTGCAGTTGAGTATGAAACCCCGGGGATGATTCTGACCATTTGGGTGGAGACATTTATGCCTAGCAAAAGCTAGCCTAGGATACACTCCTCTAAGTATGAAAACTTTAATAAAATTAGAAAAAGAGAAAATAAAAGATTTGAGAAAGATAAACATTTTGTCTATCCATCAGTCCTACATTCATTTTTCTTTCTATACATCTTCACTTTTAAAGGTTTCTAGAAGAAAAGAACATTTTGAAATTACAAAAATAGTAACAAATTTTACTTTTATGGTTTCAGATTGATGGCTTCTCTAAATGTAGAATCTCAGAAGACACTTAACTTAGGCAGAGAAGCTTCTTTTATTTATCTTAAGTATACTAAGAATTAGAAAAGTGGATTGTTAACATAATAATCTTTCTCTCCTTATCACATTCACTTTCTAACTACTTTTTTCTCATTCCTAAAAAAAATGCATTGTTGGTACTATAAGTTTAAGCCATGAGAATCCTTTTTAGCCTATTTCTAGTTTTAAGAAATCTTTACCTCTCATTTATTTACTCACTGATGTCATGCTCCCTCCCTCTATGGAATTCAAGTTCCATGAGTGCTGTTTGTCTGTTTTATTTACCCTTCTATTGCCAATCTCTAGAGCTATCTATACCTGACATAAATGTTGAGCTCATTAATTTTTAGTAGGTATGTTATTATTTTCTCATAATGATATTGTGCAAATATTATACACAACCAACAAGACCAACAAGCACAATGTTAATATTAGAAAAAGAAAGAAAATGCTCAAGGTTTTTAATTCTTAAAGCTCTAGTAAAAATATCATATTTGTGGAATTTTCCTTCAGAGTTTTATCTGATTGTAAAAAAAAAAAAATCTATTTAGCTTTTACATGCTGATATGGTTAGGCTTTGTGCCCCCACTCGAATATCATCTTGAATTGTACTTCCCCTAATTCCCACGTCATGGGAGGGGCCCAGTGGGAGGTAACTGAACAGTGAGGGTGGTTATCCCCATGCTGCTGTTCTCATGATAATGAGTGAGTTCTTACAAGATCTGATGGTTTTATAAGGGGCTTTTCCTCCTTTTACTCTACACTTCTCCTTGCTGCCACCAGGTGAAGTAGGATGTGTTTGCTTCCCCTCTGCCATAATTGTAAGTTTCCTGAGGCCTCCTCATCCATGCTGAACTGTGAGTCAATTAAAACTCATTCCTTTCTAAATTACACAGTCTCAAATATATCTTTATTAGTAGTGTAAGAACAAACTAATACAGTAAATTGGTACAGGTAGAGTGGAGTGCTGCTATAAGGATACCCAAAAATGTGGAAGCATCTTTGGAACTGGGTAACAGACAGAGGTTGGAACAATTTGAAGGGCTCAGAAGAAGACAGGAAAATGTGGTAAAGTTTGGAACCCCCTAGAGACTTGTTGAATGGCTTTGACCAAAATGCTGATAGTGATATGGAAAATGAAGTCCAAGCTGAGGTGGTCTCAGATGGAGATGAGAAACTTGCTGGGAACTAGAGTAAAGATGACTCTTGTTATGCAGAGACTGGCGGCATTTTGCCCCTGAGTTAGACATCTGTGGAACTTTGAACTTGACAGAGATGATTTAGGGTATATGGCAAAAAAAATATTCCTACATGGGAAAGTACTCAAGAGGAAGCAGAGCGTAAAAGTTTGGAAAATTTGCAGCCTGGTGATGTGACAGAAAAGAAAACCCTATTTTCTGGGGAGAAACTCGAGCTGTCTGCAGAAATTTGCATAAGTAAGGAGGAGCCAAATGTTACTCACCAAGGCAATGGGGAAAATGTCTCCAGGGCATGTGAGAAACCTTGGAGGTAGCCCTACCCATCACAGGCCCAGAGGCCTAGGAGTGACAAATGGTTTTATAGGCCAGGTCAAGGGACGCCCTATTGTGTGCAGCCTCAGGACTTGGGGCCCTGCTTTCCAGTCACTCCAGCCATAGCTAAAAGGGGCCAAGGAACAGCTCAGGCTGTTGTTTCAGAGGGTACAAGCACCTGGCCTTGGCACTTTCCATGTGGTGTTGTGAAATGGCAGTTTCCACGTGGTGTTGAGCCTGTGAGTGCACAGAATTCATGAATGGAAGTTTGAGAACCTCTGCTTAGATTTCAGAGGGTGTATGGAAGAACCTGGATGTCCAGGCAGAAGTTTGCTGCAGGGATGGGGCCTTCATGGAGAACCTCTGCTAGGGCAGTGTGAAAGGGAAATGTGGGGTCAGAGTCACCACACAGAGTTACCACTGGGGCACTGCTTAGTGGAGCTATGAGAAGAGGGCCACCATCCTCCAGAGTCCAGCATGGTAGATCCACTGACAGCTTGTACCATGCACCTGGAAAGGCCACAGACTTTCAACACCAGCCTGTGAAAGCAGCTGGCAGGGAAGCTGTACCCTGCAAAGCCACAGGGGTGGAGATGACCAAGGCCATGGGAACCCACCTCTTGCATCAGTATGATCTGGATTTGAGACATGGAGTCAAAGGAGATCATTTTGGAACTTTAAGGTTTAATGATTGCTCTACTGGATTTCAGACTTACATGAGGCATTTAGCCCCTTTGTTTTGGCCAATTTCTCCCATTTGGAATGGGTGCATTTACCCATTGCCTATACCCCCATTATATCTAGAAAGTAACTAACTTGCTTTTGATTTTACAGGCTCATAGGCAGAAGTACTTGCCTTGTCTCAGATTGAGACTTTGGAGTTGGACTTTCGAGTTAATTCTGAAATGAGTTAAGACTTTGGGGAACTGTTGGAAGGGCATGATTGTGTTTGGAAATGTGGGGACATGAGATTCGGGAGGGACTAGGTGTGGAATGATATGGTTAGGCTTTCTCTCCCCACCCTAATCTCACCTTGAATTGTAGTTTCCATAATCCCCACATGTCATGGGAGGGACGCAGTGGGAGGTAATTGAATCATGGGGGCATTTACCCCCGTACGGCTGTTCTCATGATAATGAGTGAATTTACACAAGATCTGATGGTTTTATAAGGGGCTCTTTTTGCTCTGCACTTCTTCTTGCTACCACCATGTGAAGAAGGATGTGTTTGCTTCCCCTTCTGCCATGATTGTAAGTTTCCTGAGGCCTCTTCAGCTGTGCAGTACAATGAGTCAATTAAATCTCTTTCCTATATAAATTACCCAGTATGTCTTTATTAGTAGCATAATAATGGACTAATACACATGCTTGAATAATATGATTCCTTACTTTTTTCTTTCTTTGTGAAATGGCAAACCATCAAGGTGAAGTGGAGATTTAAGTATCACATACATGTGGCTGAGGGTATCTGCTAATCCTGAGATTTTAGAATTACCTTAATTTCTCAACAAATTTCCAGAGGAGCTTAGCCAATAAGTAATGGCCTAGAAGTAAATGCACATAATTCATTTTAAAATTGGGCCACTTTTATAAATAAGATGAGACGCTTTTACTAAGCACACCAGGACAAAATTGGCATAAAGGATACTGTCCAGGGTAAATTGAAATTTTTTTCACATTACTTAGATTGATGATGCTAAGATAGTTACTTTCAACTATCCAGAAGGGCTGAAAATATTGTAAAAAAAGAGTATTACAATATTTTGCAATATTACACAACACATACATACATACACACATACATGCATGCACACACACACTATATATATATATATATATATTTTCACTAAAAAATGCTGAAAAAGCTGGGAGTTCCTCAGTATCCAAAAGGTCAGATTTAGGAAGATTTACTAAATGAAATATCAAACTATAAAATACAGATAACCGAACAAAAAACTGGAGATATCAGTACAGTTTGCAACCTACCCCAGAGCAAACAGCAGTAAGTGATAATGATAACTGCCTTATAAGCTTGTGAACATGGTAGGATTTTCTAAATGTTTGGTTTTGTGTCTGGATATATGCTTCTAATCCCAGAAGAGGGATTGGTTTGAATTAGGCTTCCTAAAGTAGCTCTGACTTCTATTTTTGCAATAATTGCGGTTTGCATCAGGCGACTACTTGTATATAACATATTTACTGTAATGCTCTGAAATCTGATACTTGCTTCTAATACAGAGTTGCAGTAATTATGCTTACATTTCTATTTTCATTAAATATTTGAGAGTACATTTTACAATGAGAAGAGTGGATAAAGCTCTTGTTTGATACTAACAGGAATCATGTGAATAACTTCAAGACCAGAAGGAAATAGTATTCCTGAGGACTGGGGACTCAGGTTACTTCTGGGGGAAGCCTTGCATAAAATATTAAATTGCCATGGCTCTAATATGGCAAGTTATAGAGAGTTATACAGAGACTGAGTTATAAAGAGACTGAGGCTAATGACAAGTTGTAGTCCTATAGTCATGCAACAAGGAGTACAGAGATTAGCTGAAAGATTGGTCATATGGGGATTGATTATGTTTGCATGCATCTGCAAGTGTTTTTCCGTGAATAGACTTAAGTAGGGGTTCAAATGTTTACAGACCTTTTCATGGATATTATTTTACCATTTTCATCTGTTTGCTCTTGTTTATATTTATTTCTAATTTAGGAGTGCCTACATTAAGTCTTTAAAATAGTTGTTTTATGATTTTATGTAGGTGTTGATATTAGAAACACAGTATGTACATAGAAACATTATTTTTAGATTATTTTGAAAAATATTGTACATCAAGAGAAAAATAATGGAAAATAATACTATGAGAAGACAGCCAAGATGTTATGTTTTATTATTACTACAGTAGGTTCCCATTGCTTGATACATTATTTAACATTTAAATATTATATTCACTAATTAAATACAATAGAAAAAAGCAATAGAAACAAAAAACTTTAGAAAATTAATTTAGCTTAATATCATTGATTTTCAAATATACTTCTTAAGATCTTTTAATACAGTTTTATTTTTAAACTTCAAAATAAAAGTTTAGTTGACCTATTATATAATAGGTGATATAAATAAATGTAATAGTTAAATTTTATTTTATAAAATGTTTTTAAACAATAATTCTGATAAGCATGTAAAATAAAAATATATTTTTCACAGAAATATATTTTACCTACCAACAAGTAATATTAAGCAACTGCAAAAGTCACAAAAGCAAAAACAAAACTCTAATTAATTTTAAAATTAAATATAAGAATGAAATACAAAATATTGTGTTAGATTTGGCAATAGTTAATTTTGACTCACTGAAAATGTAATGGTTATTCAATGTGAATGATTAGAGATAATTAAATTGTATTCTGTGAAGTCAGGTGAGAAAATTTGGAAGAACAGGGATCCAAACCCAGATGTTTTCAACTTATTATCACACTATCAGATTTGTTAGCTGTCCTCTATACTATTATGTATTAGAAATGGGCAATGTGTTCTATAACACAGTGGGAGTAATAATGAGATTCTTTTATAGAATCTTATCAGCTGAAAATGCTGAAAAGCATTAGGTATATATTTATATAAGGAGAGCATATATCTTACCTCGGAATGTATGCATCTCTTTATATCTACATATCTATATATTGATGTTTACCTATTTATATTTATGTTATTTAAACTTTTATAAATGATTCAATATAGTACATTTATTTTCTAATATTTTGATTTATTTTCACATTGGTTCTAGAAAATAACTCCTCTAATTATTTGACAGACCCTAGACATCAGGGACTGAATGTTTGATGAGTTTTCTTGTTTGCATGTTTGAACAATAATATCTGACCCTCTGTAATCCAGAAATCAGTCTATCAATAGTTAGTGGCTATATAATATTCACTATAAAAGTAGTAAAAAAAAAATCAATGCTTTGGGAATATGACGACAATTATACAGATAATTTCAGACATCAGAACCTAGATGAATTTAAAAATTTGTTTCAGTCAAATGTTTGGTATTTGTAATATTTGGCATTTATTTTTATACATAAAGCATACTAACAAAATGATTTAAAAAATAAGAGAGCTGGCCAGGCGGGGTGGCTCACGCCTGTAATCCTAGCACTTTGGGAGGCTGAGGTGGGTGGATTGCCTAAGCTCAGGAGTTTGAGACCAGCCTGAGCGACACGGTGAAAATCCATCTCCACTAAAATACAAAAAATTAGCCTGCTGTGATAGTGTACACCTGTAATCTCAGCTACTTGGGGGGCTAAGCCAGGAGAATTGCTACAACCTGGGAGGCGGAGGTTGCAGTGAGCCGAGATTGAGCCACTGCACTCCAGCCTGGGCAATAGAGCAAGACTCCGTCTCTAAAAAAAAAAAAAAAAAGAAAGAGAGAGAGAGACCCAAGCAGAACCAATGGCAAAAATGGCTGAAATGGAAAAGATATTTCATTCATTCATTCATTCAATAGGTATGTGTTGGGAGACATTGCAACCACTGTGGTTTCATGGGGGTTGTATGTTAATCACCAAAGAAAAATTTCCATTGTCTTGGTATATATATATCTTGCCTATATTGGAGTTGGATTCGAGTTTCACTGGTTTTTTACAGAATTTAGAGTTGTGTTAATATGAGTAAAATGCCATACGAGTTCTGAATAAAAGTGAGTTTCTCAAGGATTTTTTTTTAATTCTAGTAACTGAAGTTTTAGAAGGGTGTGAGTTTGTTTATGTGTGAACATTATAGAGACTCATTCAATACTGTATAATTAGAAGTTTAATCAGGTCAGTGGAGTGTAAACCATTACACAGGAAGTACAGCTCCTGAGGCAATAGAATTCTTATGTAGAAATGTATACTTATTACCTAATCGAGAGTGTTTGGGTTTGCAGTTTACTAAAGTGTACAACAGCCAATGGCTTTTATATGTTATGTGCAACTTGTTTAGCCCATAAACTATACTAAAGTGCATAATAAGACATTCAACTACATACGGTTACTCATTCAAGTCTGTTATCGATTGAACTGTACATAAAATGACATTTGCAGGATAGTGTATCCTTTTATTTATTGTAAGGTTTCTTTGTTTATGTATCAGCACACAAAATTTAGTAATTAGCAATAGGTCTCAGTTCATTTAATGTGAATGAGCAAGATCTCAGCTCTTACTACATTCAATTATGGTGTAATAGCTCTCTTGACCTCCACCTAGGAACAAGGTTTTCATTCACACTGGGGAAAATGAAAATGGCAGTGGCTTCCTTTCTTTTCATAGAGATGCAAAGTGTGTTTTACATCAATTTGTATTAACAAGTGGAGAAAATGTGAAATTACTTTTATTTATCAGAATCATACTGTAGTAAATTATTGCATAAACCTGCACTTTTGTGGTCTGAACTACAAGTTGAAGTAAAAAATAATATTTTCACCTCTTCTTTTATGAATAGAAACTTCAAACATAAAATAAACATTTCAAATTGCTTTTCCTCTCAACATGCAGGAGGAGAAACAATTTTCTGAAGTTAATAACATTTCTGCAAAGGCTGTGGGGAAATCATGCAAAGCTAAACTGCATAGCATGGAAGGCTGCTAAACAAAAAACTTTTTGAAACTTCTATTACTTTTTTCTTTATTGTTTTATGAAGTTTAAAGTACTTTTAAAGAGTAATCACTTTGTAGAATATGGATTCTCATACATCTTAGAGAAGAAGACATTTTAACTGTCATTCACTCTCCCATCAATTGCAGTCATGAAAGAAAAGTTTCTCAGGTATGTTTTTTTTTTTTTGCTATCCTAGAAATATATGTGATTACTTTTACTTTTAATGAATACCTTATTAGATGAAGAAAATATTATTTCAGTAGGTTATAAATTTTTAATAAAGACATTGGTTTTGCAAACTATTGTTTGATAGTTTCAAATATATGATTTGATATATGATTTTACATAATAGGATGGATAAAACCCTTCTCTTTTTCCATGTTCAGCAGTCTTTTAAAAAGGAAATAGCACCTTGTTAAAAAAATGTGATGTAGAATTTTAATATCTTCTGAACAACAAATTCATATGTTCTTGCTTTAATTTTTAATCTGTTTCCTATCTCACTATACTTCAACATATTTTTGCATACATAGTCCTTGCTAAATCCGTTAAGCCTCTCTTGACTGCCCAATCTCCTGCTATATTTCTGGGTTTTTTTTCCTCCAACAACTTTCCTTGGTGCAGTTTCCTTTCATAACTCAACAACTATAATGCTAGCCTAATTTTATAGGTGTTTGTTAGGTTTTGGTCATTCCTTCAACCTACTATTTTTCCAGTTCTACCTAGTGACTTTTGTTTTCCAAGAGCTAGCTTATTAGGGATATAATGATAAAAACAGCAAAGGAAACAGCGATGAGAAAATCTACAAGGTCTTTGTCCTCACAAGCTAAGTGAAGAGAAAAAGTCATATATTAAAAACAATAAGTAGCTTGAGTACTTCCTATTAAAATAATAGTCCATATGTTATGAGTCCCAGTATCAACACACATGGACTGATGTTAGTAGGATTTTGGTTCACTTTCACACATATATAACAAGATTGCTTTTCTTTTTTTTCTTTTTTCTTTTCTTTTATTTTTTTTTTTTTTTGAGAGTGTCTCACTGTGTTGCCCAGGCTGGAGTGCAGTGGCTCAATCTCTACTCACTGCAACCTCCACCTCCCAGGTTCAAGCAATTATCCTGCCTCAGCCTCCTAACTCCCTGTGATTATAGGAGACCGCCATCACGCCCAGCTAAGTTTTGTATTTTTAGTAGAGATGTGGTTCACCATGCAGGCCAGGTTGGTCTTGAACTCCTTACCTCAGGTGATCCACCCACCTCAGCCTCCCAAAGTGCTGGGATTACAGGCGTAAGCCACCGCACTGGGCCATGTAACCAGATTTCTTAACATATTTTACATGATACACCTACTAATACTTCATGTTTAGACTCAATGTTTGATAATGTTTTGTCTTTCTCTGTGTGTGTGTGTGTGTGTGTGTGTGTGTGTGTGTGTGTAATGTCCATTTGTTCCACACAGACTCATCCAAGCAATGTTGTACCAGAATTACTAGATCATTTCATGTCACAGTTTTATGTTAAGAATTGCAGACAAAATGAATATTCAAATGAGCAATGAAGAATTATATATCTATTGTGCACCATGCATCTTCTTAGCACTTTACATAGATTAAATTATTTAATTTTTGTAAGAACCTATGAGTTAGGAACTAGGTTTAAGATTTGTTGTGTTAATTGTTATTGTTATCTTGGGTTTTTAGGAATTTGATAAAAAGTTCCAACAGAAATCCTTTAAGTAGTTTTCAACACATGGATGACAGAAATGCCATGGACAAAATTTCAGGGAGACCTAATTGCAGTGGTCGCTGGCAAATATCAGTTTCTGCATTTCCTCCCTGGAAAGTCACAACAAATGAATATTTTTGTCATATAAAATATCATAATTATGTATCTCTACTATAGAACATAACTTTTAAACTATACTCAAATTCATGTTAACATCTTTCTTACTGGCAATTACTTAAACATTTGGTTTTCTCATCC
This sequence comes from Homo sapiens, assembly GCF_000001405.40. Classification (NCBI taxonomy): domain Eukaryota; kingdom Metazoa; phylum Chordata; class Mammalia; order Primates; family Hominidae; genus Homo; species Homo sapiens. The sequence goes on from NC_000004.12 coordinate 66,315,431, forward strand.
ATTGCATGTCAGACAAAATCTAATTACTAAGTGAGATTTAATGGTGCAAAACCATGTAAAGAGGCGCTGAGAAAAAAATGTGTTAAAATGGCTGATAGTACGTGAAAATCTAACTGCAACACAGTTCATCAGAAATAATAATTTGGTCATGAATTGGTCATAATTGAAAAGTATTGCTATTTAAAATTTTTATTTGTTATAAATAAAAATGTATTAGTGCAAGTGTATCATAGAAAGCAAGGATAAATATTCCTTTAATACTTAGCTCTTTGTGGAGCATTATTTCTATAGTTTCTTGAGACGATACATAAAATTGTTGCATTTCAAGAGAGCAACATTGAAGATATGTAAAGGAATCATTCAAAAAAATAAAATAAATGTTGTTCAGAAAGTTTAATTTTTAAGAGAATGGAAGCAAGAAAAATTTGAACCAAAAATATGTAGAAAAATTAATTATGGAAAAGACTCTTCTGAACTGAATAAAGATGTACTCCTCTGTGTATGCATTGAAAACTCTCAAGTAATCTTTATTTTTATAGAATAATTATGATATTTTCTAGTTTGATATTTTCTACTAGAAAATGTGTTTTCACGACCTAAAGAGGTAGAATGGACATCCTCCAAGAATTTGGTCTAGATGTTGCAATTGATGATGCCACATACACACCAACACCAACAAGGTATGAGACGAGTGTTATGTACATGAAGAGGCTTTTCTAGGCAGAGTAGGGCAGGCATTCCAAGCTGGCCTGAAAATGGCTTAAGAGCCTGGGGAAACGAGACTGCTATTGCGGGTTTTAATATGTTTAGGGGTGTGGGTAGGATTAAGATTCTTATGCACAGGAAAGAACTTTCATGGTTTGAATTTCCCATATAAGCCAAACGGGGTGGCTCCCAGGATTTTTTATTAGGTTGCCCAGAGGTGGGGCGGAAAAGGAAAGAGGCACTAGTAAGGCTTAAAAGAAGTTAACAATCATCAAAAAATAGACTCAGGACCTTTATTACTATTTTTCTACCTAACGCAGAAATTAAAATTAGATAATTAGGGAAATATTTTAGCGCTGTTATGTTATAAATTATCAGAGTCTCATCAATGAAAAGGCATTCTTAAGAAGTCAAATGAATAGTGAACAATTATATAAAGCCTACTATTAGCTAAGCATTGTTCTTAGCACTTTACATATACTGAATAATTTAATTTTCATAAGAATCTATGAGTTAGGAACTATTATTATCCATATTTTACCTAAGAGAAAAGTATAGAAAGTCTCAGTGAGATGTCCAGTGACACATGTCTAGCTGGTAATTGACGAAGTAAAGATTTATACCCAGACAGATTGGTACCAGAATCTGTTCTTTAACAACATATACTGCTACCTGATGATGAGACTGTGTAAGTAACAAGATTCAAATTTGTTCTTTGCTGTTTCTTTCTATTTCCAATAAAGTTTAAAAATATTATGTTATGAATTTTAGTTTAATTTCGTATCTTAGAAAATTGCAATTTTTTATGTAGCTTTAATTTTTTCCATGTCTATGCTTCTATTACTGTATATATTCATGTTATGGTCATTTCAATAAAGACTACTACTATACCATGTATAATTTGTTTTAAAAAAGACAGGAAGAGCTCTTATTGCATTTATTTAACAAATATTTACCCTGTAGTCAATATTTGCTAAATAAATGCAGTAGGAGCTCTTCCTGTCTACTAAGAGTTTGGCTTTTAGTCAAAGCAATGATATAACTAACAATTTTTGCAGAAATTTAGAATATCTAAAAAACTCCCCAAAGACACCCCATATTTTATTCCTTTTAATTGATATATAATATTTGTACATATTTGTGGGGTACATGTGGTATTTTGTTAGATTCGTACAAAATGTGTAATAATCAAGTCAAGATATTTAGGGTATTCATCACCTAGAGTATTCATCATTTCTATGTGTTGGGAACATTTCAAGTCCTCTCTTCTAGCTATTTTGAAATGTACAATTCATTGCTGTTAACTATAGTCACCCTACTCTGCTAGCAAACATTAGAACTTATACCTTCCATCTAAGAATACACTTGTATCCACTAACCAAGCTCTCTTTATCCCCCTACTCTGCCAACCATACAGCCTTTCTAGCCTCTGGTATCTATCATTCTACACTCTACCTCCATGAGATCAATTTTTTTAACTCCAATTTATAGTGAAAAAAATCAGATATGAGATAGTGAAAACATGAGATATGAGATATTTCTGTGCCTGGCTCATTTCATTTAACATAATGTCCTCCATTTCCATCCATATTGTTGAAAATGACAAAGTTTCATTCTTTTTTGATGGCTGAATAATATTCCACTGTATATATTTACCATTTTCTTTAACCATTCACCCATTGGTGGACACAATTTGATTCCATAGCTTTGCTATTGCGATAGCACTGCAATAGACACAAGAGTGCAGGTATCCCTTTGTCATAATGATGCCTTTTCCTTTAGATAAATTAACATCTATTATTTTTGTTTCTGCACCAACTGATTTCATGTTGTTTCATCTAGTTAAAAATCTTGACAGAAACCCACAAAGCTGTTTGCCCTCAAATATAAATATTATGATAACATTTAAATTCAATTGGCACTGTGGCTTGAATGAGTCATTTGATAGGACAAAACTTACCAAAAAGTATATAAACACATAAGTAATAAATATGTGTAGTAGTAAAAATAAATCAATGGTGTAAAGGTAAGGCATTAAATGCAATGAATTAGTCTTAAGTCAGAAGCTTTTATTTCTAATATGGTAAAAGATAATGGTTAAACATTTTAACTACCCAGAAAATCAAAATATAGAATGCTTCAAGCATGTTTTCTTAGGGGAATGTTCTGAAACAGAAAATAAATCACTTTATAATTTCATTAATATGACTCCAAGTTATTGTTGCTCTCAAATATGCTGCACTCTAAAATGCAGCAAGCTATTAGATTTAGTTTCCACTTGCATTCTCTATGAGACCAGTTTCTACATGGTATTTCTGTTAGTAAGTGTGTTGATTCAGAAAAGCAAGCACTAAAATGTGGATATCGTATATTTTATATTTCTATTGGTTATAGCCTTTGCTTTTGGAAAAGACCTTGTATGATCAATTTAAGAAAGTAAAACATTAAAAACAAACAAAATAAAAACCCATGTATTTTTAATGCCACAAATCTGATGATAGGTTTTAATGCATTAGTGTTTATAATTAGAGTAGGCTTAATTAAATACAAAGCATTTATGTCCAAATTGTAGTAAGTTAACCAACAAATGTTTATGAAATACCTATTGTTCTAGTTATTGTCCTAGGCAGAGAGATTGAGCACAAATAAAATAACTCTTATATTCAAGAAGTCTTGTGGGCAAAGGAGACATTACAAATAATTACCAATAATTAAGCACTGCAAATTATATCTTTAAAAATTTTGATACAGTGTGCTATGAAAACATGTAACAAGAGGACTTAACTTGGTCTGATGGATATTGATGCATTTCCTGAGGATGGAACTTAACACCTATTATTTTGTTGAAATTAAATCACTTCCTTAGGCTAAAAAAAAGTAAAATGAATTGCAGCTTTTGTTATTCAATGAATTCTATACTCCTACCAGCTCTGGGTGAGCCAATAGTTCAATAAACATGTCATGTATTTCCTCATTAATGTGATTTGAAAAGATGTTGGATATTATGGAACTGAAAGCATGCCTGAAATTTCCTTCAGATTGACATTGATCTCTAAATGAATATTCTCTAAGCAAAGTTATTCATAAAGTTACATAGTTACTTAATTGTAGATAGACATAGCCTGTTCTTGTGTTTTCTTTATTTATAAGATTATCAGGAAAGATTTATAAAACACTCACAGTGAAACATACATGGTAATTACACAGTATAGCATATCCATGATCTCCCAGTCTGGAAATATCCATTGAGAAAGAGTAAAATTTGCTTGGGATGTGTTATTTTTCTTGAAACTAAAATGCCTTTTAGATATGGATTCTAACTGCACCTGGAGTTTATAAGTCATCGGTTGATAATCTGTCCAAAAAGTGTACTCAGCATTAGAGACTAAATATGATGCCCATTAGTAAATAGTTACTAAGAGGCCCATTAGTAAATCGTTTTTGAAAAATAGACATTTGCTTATCTTTAGTTGTTTTATTTGGTTTTAAATTTTTTCATGGGACAGAGTCTCATTATGTTGTCTAGGTTTGTCTCAAATGCCTCGGCTCAAGCAATCCTCTCGCCTCAGCCTCCCAAAGTACTGGGATTGCTGTCATGAACCAGCACACCTGGCCATCTTTTGCTTTTTTTGCACCAAGTATTGTACTTTTATAGGCACTAGAAAATATTAGAGTAAATAAGCCTTCACGACTTCCTTGGAAGAGCTTGAGGCTTAATGTTTTCTGATTTTTATGGTAAAACTCGACTTCTTCTTTTGATATGGCAGTGAATCAACAGATTTCAGAAGTAACATTTCTACTATATTTTATTTCCGTAAGTACAAATTTCTATAGTATTTTCTAATGGAGTTCATCCATAAGCAATAGCTAATCAAGTTGCTTCTACCTTTTAGTATATTTTTTTCATGGCTGAGCAATCAATGATTCATTAGCAAACTATGAAAAACTAAACTGGCTTAAAGCTAGACCAAAAACCAATTTTTTAAAGAAAATTTTAAAACAAAGTTTTCTTCACATACTTACCATTTATGAAGTGCCTACTATGTATTAGCCACTGTATATGAGTTTTATTTAATACTTGCAATAACTCTGCAAGGAAAATATGATTGCCCAAATTAAATAGAGAGACTGATTTCAGAAATGTTAAGCAACTTGCAAAATTTCACACAGCTAGTAATGTATGATGTGTGTTTGACTGCACAGTCTGTTACTTCTGTTGCTTCCATATCTCTAAAACTAATGTTCCTGCCTGTTTCAGAGAACAGTTTGTATGGTCTTCAGAAAAACTCTTTTTACTATTTTTTTAGAAGCAACTGAATATTTTGGAGTGAGTAATATAACATTGTTAGAAGTATTTGCTTGTACCGAGGAATGCCTGGAAACAAGGTGTATTTTGTGAAACAAGTACCATTACCATACTACTTAGCTCACTGAAGTTGAAACCCTTAATCTATATTATAGTGGCTGGAAAGAGCTAATATACTTTCAGAAGTGTATACATGATTTTCACAGAGTCATTTATCTATTGCAGAAATATACTGATGTCCAAATGGGTTCTGGGAACTGCCAGTGACCCCCAAATTTTATCTTTCCAATACCTGTGGGTTGCAGATTTTTTAATCCTGTTAGACCAACGCTAATAAGCAGCAGAAACTGAAACAAATGACTATCGATTGTTTGACTCAACCATACACATATAGTTCCCTCTATAACTGAATGTTTAATAGTAATAACCTATTAGAGTTTTAAATTTATTAAGCTGAAGTCATGATCAAGTACTTTACTAAATTTTAATCTTTAGATGCTCGTTTTGTGGTGTCCTTGCACCACTTTAATAAGAAACTGTATTATATTGACAAAAATCTTTCTATTTTGTTAAATTATCCATAGATTTTTATTTACTATGTATCAAGTCACTGCCACATTCTCTAAATTCTATTTTTTTTAACTAAATGTCCTTGAAGGTTACTTTCATCACTGATATTTTAAATTTCTGTATTTTTTATTATTTTGCACGTTTTTATAACTGTGTATAAATTTCAGTTTTGTATAAAACTTTTTTGTAACTGTATTTATATATCTGAGTAAATGATAAATAAGAATAATCTCTCTATTTTAGAAATATTAAATATGGCACAAGTGGATATTCTATTTAATTTAACAAATAACATATTTGATGTCTACTATAAGTCAGGAATTCTGCTTGGCGCAGAGGGGAGACTGTTATAAACAAGTCAGATGAGATCTTAGTCTTCACATAGCTTATGTTTTAGTAAGGACGGATAGAAAAAAACCCAACAAAATAATAACTCATTGTAATGTGTGCTATTGAGGAAATAAATAGGGCCCAGAGAGTGAACACAATGGAGCAGAGTGTCCTACTGCATTTAAGGGCTCACACCATAAATTAAGCGAAACAGGTGCTTCTTTGCTGAATGCACAGAAGACCATGCCTTGCTGCTCCATGGAAAATTTTATCTTCAAGTTTCTTCAGCCACTGAATATAGTTATTTTTCTGATGCTCATTAGGTTTTATTTTTTTCCAGCAGTTATACTGAAAATATTACTTTTTTCAGTACTGAGAAAAGGCAAAAAAAAAAACTGTTTTTTTCTGCATAAGTATTGCTCACACTTTAAGAGATGAGGGTTATATTTTTGAATAAATGCTTATTTGGAAGTCGAGAATACTAATTGCTATTCTTGGACCTGGCGTTTTAAGATACTGATTTTTGAACAAGTTATTGAAGCTCCCTAGCTTTGTCTGAATTTATCATTGATATTTCTATAAGATTAGTTACTGTTTCCATTTAATAGGAGGAACTGTATAATTATATTCATTATATTTTAACTGTGAAACATGCCATCAATGATAGAAACTGGACTTCAAGAGTTAAAGTTACCCTTAAAAAATTCACATTACCTGTAAGGCTTGTTTCTTGCAATTTATTCTAGCCTCATCTATTATTTATAAAGGTTGGCTAAACGTGCCTCCTGACTAAGAGTAAGCAGTCCTAATAAGGCTAGTTCATAATAATTAATTATTAATATTATTAATAAAATGAAGAAGCTGGTTTGGTTTGGAGGGGCAGTAAGTTTCAGTGGTTTCAATTGATAGTCTTTTGTTGTATTTGTTGATTATGAGGTTGTAACATGCAAATATACTCTGACCTTCTCCAACTTTGCCCTTAGGAGCCTCCCATTTTCTTCACTTTCCTCTCATTAACTTGACTAAGCACCCTGTGACCATCAGATTTTAGCTCTGAGTCTGCTCGTCTAAACATTTCATAGAGTTGCTTGCTCTAGAATTCTGTGAACTGTATTTTGTAGACATCTTTTTTAATCAGCTTACTGTTAATTTCTGCCAATGGAATGCAGAGAGGTAAACTGGAGGTGAGGGGAAGGGAACAAAAGTTTCTCTTTCAGCGTTTAGTGTCTGACAGTGTCCCTCATCAAAAGAGAACAGCCAACTCCAGCTCCACCATCCAGACTCTTTGGAGTTTCTTTGCTTTTGGCAGTTAGAATTACAGCTATTTACACCCCCTCCTCAGAGTTCTTTATGTGAAACTCATGATACTTTCACCACAAACCCTCTCCCTCTAGGTTCAAGCACTTTCCCTACACGATACCTTCTCCAAGCTCCTAGGTTCTGTACAACCGACTCTTCTTTTTGACATCACCAATCCTAGAGGTGGTGGCCTCTTCCTGCAGTTATTAATCTTTGCATAACCTCAGCATCTCCTTTATGTTTTTGGCTTTCTACTACCTGTATAAACAATTTTCAAGGTTAACTCATTTTCTTTTTTAAATACCTAATATTTCTGCTGCTTTTAAAATTAAATTTGGCCTGACAAGGACATGTTTTTATGTCATGTTTTACTCAGCATGAGATCTTGATTAACATTTACCTGACTCAGATTAGTCCAAAGTGCACTAAAGCAAAAGTTATCTAATTTTTAACTAAAGATATACACTGTTTTAATTTAAATAAATATTTAATTTCAAATTTAAGAGAAACATGGAATACATGGTAACCAATTAAGATGTATTCTTTCACATTAGAAACAAAATAATTACATTCTTGAAAATCAGAAAAGGTTTTGACCTCCAGGTCAGAATCATCAAATTCCTGTTTGAAACAAAGACATAGGAGCTTTAAGAATTCAGCATTGACCTGATTACTGTCCACTTTTACTCACAGGCTCCAGGATAGTTTTTAATCATCTCTCTTGAGTTCTCCAGCCCACTGAGCCAATTCCTTCTCACTACACCACAGAGTTTATAGAAGCCCATTAGCCACCTGAGAAGTTCACTTAGGACTTTTTCTGAAAGATCCACACTTGAATAATTTCTGTTAATATTTCTGAAATTTCTGGATTTAAGAATGAATGAACATTTGAGAAACTTGCAAACAGAAAAAAATAGTTGGGAAGAAAGAGAAGTCTGGCATTTCCTTTCTGCAATCCCTGCATCTGGAAGCTTTATATTACTGAGGACAGAACCAAAACTTAAGCGTGATAAACCCTGTCAATATGTGTTTCATGAGTAAAGATGAAAAGCCATTTATAAACCTTCAAAAATTTAAAATGTATGCTGCCCATACACCTTCTCTAAAAAAGAATACTTGAGGAAATATTCCAGCCTACAGAAAACTGAACCAGAATAAAGTTGAGACAGGAGGTCACAAACACTGAATGCGGCTTGAGGATGACTAGGACATAAGTTTATGTTTGGAAACATGTTTCTTTAACTTTGCTAGGCATTAAGAGTAATAGTAAAGACTATGTAACTTGATAAGAATGTAAGTAAGTAGGTTGGGCACCGTGGCTTACGCCTGTAATCCCAGCACTTTGGGAGGCCGAGACGGGCGGATCACGAGGTCAGAAGATCGAGACCACATGAAACCCCGTCTCTACTAAAAATACAAAAAAAAAAAAAAAAAAAAAAAAATTAGCCGGGCATGGTGGTGGGCGCCTGTAGTCCCAGCTACTCGGGAGGCTGAGGCAGGAGAATGGCGTGAACCCAGGAGGCGGAGCTTGCAGTGAGCCGAGATCACGCCACCGCACTCCAGCCTGGGCAACAGAGTGAGACTCCGTCTCAAAAAAAGAAAAACAAAAGAATGTAAGTAGGTAAATATAGCTCTATACTGCATTTATTTCTTATTGAGGCAAACTTAAGTTTAATGGTGTTTTAGCCACATTTTGGAGGGAAATATCTACCAAGTCAGAGGCAGACTGTAAAGCTAAGGCTTGTTATTTTTAATCTCTCAACTAGCATAGAGAGAAAACTGATACTGTCACTCAAGCAAGAAGTCTGCCATTTTTTCAGGCACTGTCATACAGGCCCAACATCCAGATTTTGAACCTGAATCTGTAAGTACTTAGGAGTGTCCCCTTAACCACATTTGTGTTTCAGGATAAAAATATTCATTTTATGCCTTCTTAGGAGCTATGGGCCGCAATTAGCCCATAGCAATTTCTTGATACAAATATTAAATAGGAGAAATGAGTAATCAATAAGGCCTTTCGATTCAATATTAAAATACTATACTGTGACATGTTGTAACAAGCTGGTTAGCAGCGCAGATGATAAAGAAGTATTTTATCTATTCAAATTCCAGGTCTACCTCATACCACCTGAGTTATCTCGGCAATCTACTATAGCTCTCTTCTCTTTATTTCCTTATATTTAAAGAAATTGTTTAATGATAGTTTCTAGCCTATAGAGTTATTGCAAGGATTAACTGAGGTATTGTACTCTCTTTATCAGGGGCTTAAAAGGTATTCTAAATGATAGCAAATATTAAAGTTTGACATTATTTTTATGTCTCTATTTGATACCTATATAATTGTTATATCTTTATATTATATATGTTTTACAGCTGTATAATGTATCTAAGTTTTTATATATAATGTACGCAAATAATTTTATATCTCTATAATGTAATTTGTAATATTCAAAGAAATTTTCAAAGAAAGCAAAATAGGAATGGCACAATATTAGCAATAATAATAGAAATAAATTTTAGTATGGTGGCAGATAAGTTATAAAATGCTAAATATGTTTTCTTTTTGTATAGTAGTAGCTATAAGCATATGTATAGTTATGTCTTCATAGTTTGATGTTGATATAAAAATATTTGTTGCTATAACCACGAGTGGAATAAAAATACGTAAATAAAACATTCAGCTCAATAGACAAAAAGAAAATAAGAAATATGTGAACATATATTCACTCTATAAAGATGAACATTTCTCTCAAATGTATAAAATATAATCAATAATTGATTAACAATTGGCCACACACACACCCCCTCACACATACACACACACACAAACACACCTTTGTTTACTCTAAGTAGAAACCTAATTGATTGGGTTAATCCAACGTCAATGTGATAAAACGGTATTAGTAAAGCAAAATGAAAATTAGGTTTATAGGTGTTTCTATAAAGCAAAATAAACTCTAGATCAAGAAAGAAATGAAAGTATAAAATGCTGATTATTTACAGACTCTTCTTGTAACAAAAATCTAAAGAATGTAGGTTAAGCATTAGTCTAAGAAGCCTTCATAACTTTAAGTTATTCGAATACAAATGAATGAAACCTTCATCTCAAGAAGTTTGGGAAAAAAATAGAAAAATAGAAGGAAGGAATAATTGATTATTTTAGCAGGGAAAATGACTACCATAGGAAAATACCAGTAAAAATACTATATATTGGATTTGTATATTTTCTTTAAGAATTTAGGGTAAAGCACCCAGAATCTTGGTTACACAGATGAAAAACAAAGAGAGAAAACATAAATTATGGCATTACAAATAATAAAGATAATGAAACTACAGCTTCAAAGAGAATGCATCATGTAAAGCAGGTTATTATAATTTTACATAAATGTTTTTGATAATAATAATAAACCTCAACTGGAAATTACTGAAGTTACTTAGCAAGATGGGGGAACACAGACTAATTTCCATGAATAAATTAAAATAATTATCAAAGGTATACATTTAAAAAACTGTAGTGGTCTCACAAATAAATTTTAGCAAACTGCAGGAAGTATTTTATAGAATATAAATATACAGAATAGTTATAAATTAAATTTATGAAATAAACATATAATTCACAGAGTTAGGAATAGGCTTGACCTATTATTTTCAACCAAACTGATAAAGATTCCAAACCAAGAAGAAAAATATTATAGATCCCTATTGTAAATGTAAGTTGAGAGATCTCAAAAGTAATAGTTACACAATCACATGGAGTAACAAAAATAGACAATGGCCAATTAAATTTCAACATAGGAATAGAAGGATGATTCAACATTAAGAGTTTTATTCACATAGATCACTGCATTAATGCATTATTCTAAAATGTATAATAATATCAGTAAGTACTATAATACATTAGTTATATAAATAGTCTTTCCTGTTCTGAACAAAAGACAACATTCTTAAATTATGCCTTAAGCATATTATCCATATTAAAATTAAAGGTATAATTCACTTCCTAAGAGTAAACACCATATTAAGAAATTGCAAACAATTCTCAGTGAAATTAAAAACAAAACAGGTTTTCTAACTATTTAAATTTATTTTCAGATTTTATCCAGTGTAATAAGGCAAGAAAAGAGAAAGTGCTGAATAGCATGTGTAGAAAAAAAATTACATACAAATTTGGATGATGCTAGTAAAAGATCTGTTATACTTACGTTCAGCTTGGTCTTCAATTCATCTTGGAAATGTTTCACATAACCCAGTAATGTTTTGTCACATTCTGCTGAGGAGATAATGCTAATCTTTTGTGTGCTCCTTAAACTCCCCTGTCATCACCTTCAAGAAACAAAATCACTGTATTCTATCAGAAAAGAAAATATAATTATGTGGAAACTACTTCAACTGATTTCCTTTTTACATAATTTGCTTTTATCTAAGATCATCCTTTTCACCTTTTCCCCCAACACAGTGGAAGAAATCTCATTTTTAATTCAATGTTAATAAGTTTCTGAAATAGGGATTCAGATAGTTGTATTAAGATGAAAAACTAAAACTAAATATGTTTATACACCACACTTAGAGAATATGATTGATAGAGCAAGGATACAAGAGGTAGCTGGAGAAGATGAAATACAATCAAGAGAAGGTTCTATGAAAATTCTTTCCTGGTAGCCCCCAAACTAGAATTAGAAACTTCACTACCATTCTCCCATAGTACCCTATGCCTTTTTTTTATCATATGGGTGGTTATTTTTATATTATAATATTGTGTTATGTTTCTTGTTCAGTATTTTAAAATTTCCCTAAAAGATCATCCTATGCTAATAGATTCATTCATTATTTTATTTATATAAATTCATATATTTACTCTACCCTTACCGTGTATTATGCACTGTATTGAAAGGTGGAGATTTGATGGTAGGAAACAAAATAAATGACCTCATTCAATAAGTCTGCATTTCTCATAAAAAAAAAAAGAGTGAAGTTAGTCAATTGCTTACATGAATAAATGTAAAGTTCTAGGCAGATTGAAGAGGAAATAAACAAAGTATGTAATGTTGAAAGTGCTATGGTCTGAATGTTTGTGTTTCTTCAAATGTGTAAGTTGAATCTATCAATATGATATTAGGAGGTGTGTCCTTTGGGAAGAAGATGATTAGATCACTAGGTTAGAACCCTTGTGAAAGAGATTAGTGCCTTTATAAAAAAGATTTCAGAGAGCCACCTGGTCTCTTTTTATCATGTAAGGACACAGGGAAAAAGCACCACCTATGAACAAGGAAACAAGCCCTCAACAGACACTGGATTCATTGGTGCCTTCATTTTGGACTTCACAGCCTTTAGAACTGTGACAAATAAGTTTCCGTTGTTTATAAGCCATCCAATCTATGGTATTGTGTTATAGCAACCTAAACTCACTTAAAAGACAAGAAATTATAATGGAAATATCTGTATTCAGTCCTGGAGGGTAGGAAATATAACTCTAAAATGATATATGAAGTGAGATCTTAAGAACTACTAGGATTTAATTGGGCATTCATAATAGGTAATCATAAAATGTACTCATGGCTGCCAAATAAGTATTTGTTAAATTTTCTATTGTAAGTGGAAAATCACATAGGATCCTATGTGATTGCTTGGCTCTTATTTACAACACTAAAGATATAATAAAAATCATGTAATTAAATAATTCCCAAATTAACCATCTAATTATCAGTCTGTGTTCTATATAAACTAATCAATACTACTTTTTCCACTGGGCACTCATATTACTCCTATTCAGGTAGTTACAAAGAGAATCACAGCACAGACAACAGGTAGTCAATAAACATTACATAAATTCATGAATTAAGAAAATATATATAGTATATTCTTAAAATAATTAAATATAATTACTTTAACAAAAATAAAGGGAGCTAAAGAAATTCAGAACCCTGAACAGCCTTCCAATTGTGATGCACACTGGATTCTTCCTTTATCACCTGTAAGCTACAGGCAAGGCCCAGTTAGTACTATTTCTCATACTAATATAAAGCTCACATCATATCTCTCACTTGTCATCTTGGCTTGCACAGTTTCTAGAGTGAGGAGACCAATATGGTCTTTGGAATCAGCAGGCTCCCCTCCTTGGAACAGAGGAATTAAATATCAACCAAAAACCTATAAAATGATTTGTTAAGAAGTCTGTGTGTGTGTATTTATTTATTTAATATCATCAAAATCTTAAAGAGATATCTGGCATCTCTGAGATATAAAATACAAGAGGGAGAGAGCTTACTGTTTACAAACATACATTAACTTTATGCTTAAACTCAACGTATACTACAGTGTAGTGAGTAATGGAATGTCACAGCGGATCCAATTTAGATGATATAAAGCCTCTTTACTAATTAGTCATAGCAGTATTCCTTCCTACCTCCCCCTGAACATTTATTCAAATATTCTTCAGAGAGTAGAAGCAAGCTGTGATACAGTGGAAGCCGATATAGAAGGAACAAACTTATTCACACTTTACTATTCCATTAGGTCTTTAAACACAGCTGATGAGGTATTTGGTAATTTCCACTTAACAATGGCAAACAAAATAAGCAGCTGCACCTCAGATCTCATTAGCACCAGTATTCTCAGTACATAGTGACAGAAAAAGCATCATGTTACCTTCAAATTCATTTTTTTGTCAGTTAAAATTCATGCCTCTAATCCCCTTACTGGATCGCTGCTTGTTGAAAAGTGGCATCATTTACAATCCTGACAGCAGGGGATTGGGGTGCCAGGAACTGCAAATGTGTTGTCATCTGACTTCAGCAATGGGTTAGGAATCCAAAGAATAGTGCAACATATTTTCGACAAGGAAAAGTCCCTTAAAAAGAAAAAAGCAAAACAACAGCAGCACAGATTAGAATGGAAGTGAAACTTGTTTAAGGCCTCTGATGAAGAGCTTTTCATCTATCCTTTCCTATTTTACCTTTCTTGTTTATTTCTCCAAATAATATTTTAACTGCTTTCTCCCTCTTCATTCCAACAACTATTTTTGCTAAATCCATCCATCCACAATAGAAGGCTTCAAATAAAGATTCATTATTAATTTTTGCCTGAATTTAGTACTTTCCAAGTGCTTATTAATCTAAAGATATATATTTTTTTACATATGGTGATTATCTAAGAAAAAATTGTCAAGGGCTTTGAAATCCAAACCTGCTATCTCCTCCAACGCTACACATAGGTAAAATCAATGTGTTAATTAATAGATTCTTTAAAATATAAGTAGAAATATGAATTCTAGACCTTATTCCCTATACGTTTAAAGGTGAGAAAGGTATTCAAAATTTCTACCTCTCCTCAACTTTCTTCAGAATTATTCTTCTCTATTTACACTAATTAGATGAGGAGAAAGAATAATTAATTGATTGTTCAGCTTCCTAGACATTGACAGGCCCAGCTTCCGAGTAGGTACAGACATTGTGGCCCAGCCAATTTACATTCTCTATAGACTCTTGTCCTTCCGCAGATTTGCATGGATGGTTATAAGATTCGGGATCTGTCTTGGGTGGGAGAAAAGTGCACGTGTTCCCACCTACTTAATCAGAGTTTCCTACATTGGAGATTTTGGCTTTGCTTTTTTAATTTTTTTATTTGTTGTTATTGCATTTTAAGTGAATAATTCTGTATGGAACAGTGGTGGTGATATGAGTCAGAATTCAGGTATGTCTGCATCTATTAGCCAAATATAAAGGAACATCCCTAACATCTTGGATTAGCTTCTACTCTGGCAGACTCTTTTAAAACATTGATAAAACTAAGTCTATAAACTAAGGCATGCAAAATAATATTACAAACCCAACTTGGTTTTTAAAATTTAGAATTACCCTTACTACTGAGTTGAGAATATTTAATTCCTACCAATATAAATATTTTCTAGCATCATAGTGGAGATACAAATTCTAATACTATATAAGACAACAAGGTGTTTTGAGGAGGATGGGGGAACCATTGGTCCTTAGCTATACATTGAGGTTTCATACTCTTATTCTTCCACCTACATTACCATTGGTATCTCCTGGGCAGATCTTTCTTGTCTAGTAACTCTCTTAGGTATTTCTTTTCTATACATGAGAGTTACTTTCATATACATATTGGGGCTTAAATCCAAGGCTTTTAAAAGCTCAACTTGCCCTGAATTACTGGGACAGATGTTCCTTTTCTGGGACCCTACCATACAGAGCCTCTTTCTCAAATCAGCCTCTGATTTCATACATTTCTCCACCTCATAACCTGTTGCAAGCCCAAGGAATTATTTGTTAGCCTGGAACAGAATTGTCTCTTACTCATAAAATGCCATTTCCTCCATGCATTTTATTTATGTCCTCAATCTTTGTTGACTCCCTAAATATTTAGGTATATGTAAACCTCTTACATTCTCTTTCTAAAGGCAATTTATATGGAAACTCTTATTTCTTGAATTAAAGGTGGGATGTTATGGGAGAGAAAAGAGGGGAATAACAAAGAGAGAAGAAAAATAGTTGATGTTTAAGAAACACCTGGCTATGCTCTGCCTGTTATATGGCCAGCTATAATTCAAGCAATAGTCACCAGTCACTGAATGATGAAAAAACCAATCATTGGGTGAATGGGAAGTCAGTACAATGTTTGCTTATTTTGAAAAAAAGGAAAAACTTTGCATATTATTTTTTTTCTAAGTTTGTAGCATTTCTAGTTGTCACTGAACTCAAAATATTATTTCTTTGCTATTCGTGCCTAACTTTCTGTTAGAGTGATTTAACTTGGAATTGGTGAACAAAAATTAGGTAATTCATGAATTAGAGAGGAAAATATTAGTTATATCTATATTTTTACTAACATTCAACTGAAATCAATATTCTCTCGCACTATGAATATCAATAACAGACTACAGTGATATTAATAGATATGAATTTTTAACCTACATAAATTACAATTATATTCATATACTATTACATTGATGTAAAAAACCTTAAAATATGTTTTCACTTATTATTATAAAATTTCAGTAAGTTCCAGAACTATGACTAGATATTGTTTTTCATTACATTGGTAAAGAAGCACATATATTATTCTGTCTCCCTGAATTTTGGGTTTAAATGTCTTGATAACTAAATTTCATTATAACTGATTTCCTTTGTAATTGCATGAAATTTATTTTTTTCATTTAAAAACATTACTTGAAGAAGGACTGCATAATCTTTACCAGACAGCCAGAGGACAACCTGACACACTCAGATGTTATGAGCACCACATGTGGCTAAAGTTTCTGACAAAGCTAGAAATATTTCTATATCACCCACATCACTAGCAGAGCAAGATTATGACCTCTCCACTAAAAACTCTGGGAAGCTGGTTTTAATTAATGAGTAGATGCTTTTTGACCCTTGGTTTGAAATTTGCTCATTTGTAAACATGACTAAACAAAAGAAGCAATAGTGTAATGCCTACTTATATTTATTTTTACCAAAATTAAGAAATAAATTAAGCTTTGCTAATCTTCAATGAATGGAGAAAAGCTGGTGCTTTCACCAGATCCACATCTCTCTGGCAGTCACTTGTCACTTACAATGTGGAAGTATTTCCTAAGGAAGTTTGAGTAAGTTTTAAAGGTTAATGATGGTGGATTCATTATTTTTTCACTAGCAGAAAATTTCAACTGTATTTTGTATAAGATTTCTCTAGTATGGCTAAATATTATTTGGAAATAATTAAATAGTAAATTCTACAATAATTGGTAATGTAATGGGATTGAGTTTAAAAAGGAGTCACTCATTGTTCTTTGCAAAGAGATAAGTACATGACTCAAATTTGATAACCTTTTCTGTGATGTCAGTAGTTTGCTACCAAGCAGATATATTCAAAAATAATAAAGCTACTTAATCTGTCATTTCAACAAAGGTTGCATTTTAATACCAAGGGGTAAAATGATTGCTTTTCTAAGGGAAGTTTTGGTATAGAGAGAAGTTTAAAAGAAGATGGTTGAAAATTTGTTCATATTTATGTGACTTTGTTGCCACAATGTCTCCTATATTACAGTTTTAAAACGCTGAAACAATATTTAGAAGCTACACAGCTTCTAATTAAAATATTTTCAATTTGTAACTTTTGGTAAAAATATAAATATGCAACATCTTAGTTTGAAAGAACTGTCCAGTATCAGGGAAATGAAAATTTACTCTCTGTAGTTCAACAAAAATCTATGTAATTGGAATATGAGATCAAAATTTATAATAGTTTAATAACTGCTATCGATTATGCATTTTTTCATTTTTATATATGGATTTTTGTTATTCTATCATAGTCATTAATTACAAATATTATACAAAAATAAGCAACTATGCACAATATTTCTAAATTTATGTATTACCAATAGGTAAACTCAAATTTTCAAAAATTGTGAGGTAATCAAAGACCTTCTCTCAACAGAAATATTAATATTCACTTTAGTGAAACCAAATGTTTTGTACCATTAAAACATAATTAATGATTTTATATCATATATTTAACCCCTTTAACTTTTTATGTTTAATGTAATTCCGTATACCCCTATTATATTAGTTTGGTGGTATATATATGTACAACTTCAAAAAGTTAACATACATTCAATGAGTAAACATACATTGAGATTTAAAATTTAAAATATTTTCATGAATATAGTGCATAATCCAGAAATCTGACACATCACTGGAATAAACATGTAAGAATTTCCACAAATAATATTTATTTAATACTCTGTGATAGAATATTTTTAAAAATTCATTTACTGTTACATTGACTGATTTCCTTTACATACCCTAAGTGGTCATTTGGAAACCATTTCCTCCTGAAAGTCACTTAAAAATGGCTTTTATGGCTGGATGCAGAGGTCCATGCCAGTAATCCCAACACTTCGGGAGGCCGAGGGAGGTGGGAGGACAACCTGAGGTTAGGAGTTAGAGACCAGCCTGATCAACATGGTGAAACCCTGTCTCTACTAAAAACGCAAAAATTAGCCAGGCATGGTGGTGAGTGCCTGTAATCCCAGCTACTTGGGTGGCTGAGGCAGGAGAATCACTTGAACCCGGGAGGCGGATCTTCAAGTGAATCAAGATCTGAGATTGGGCCACTGCACTCCAGCCTGGGTGACAGAGAAAGACTCTGTCTCAAAAAAAAAAAAAAAAAATTTTTACTAGCAAGGCTATTTGTTTTATGTTTCAAATATTTCATGAGTTCTTGTCATTATGGGGATATTTTGCATATTTTGCACGGTCTGTGTTACATGCCACGGAGGTTCTCTTGTATGTAAGTGTGATCTCCTAAGTGGCTATTTTAGCTACCCATGGAGATTTTTACTAACTTTAGAGATTCTGTCTCATCCCATCACCACAATTAATGCCTTAGGTCTGGCTATTAAGATCTTGGGCCCAGATTACTGCCAGAATGTTCTAACCATTGTCAATATCCATCATTGTAGGCTTTGAAAAGTGCTACCGGAATATATTCAACAAGTAACTCCATACTTAAACCTCTTCAACGACTTTTCCTCACCTTCAAAATAAAATCCCACCTCATTAGCCTGAGACAAAGCTTCCTCATGGCAGGGCTCTGGTCCCCGAGCCTCTGTTGGACCTTCTGCACTCCCACATGTGTGCCACATTGTCACCACATTGTTGCGCACACAGTTTCCTCTGCTGCCAACCTCATTTTCCATCCAAATGACATCTAATGGCTTCTTTCTGAATCTAGAATCTTATCTTCTTACACATCTGACAGTCATTCCTCCTCTGTTTCATTTCATTTGGTTAAGCTCATCTCATTTATTGTATTTTAAAATAAGTTCTATTGTTGGCAGGAACACCTAGGCAAGATGTTTGTCTAGAAATCCCGAAATGGGTAAATTCCCTGAATTCACCCACAGAAATGGAATGTTGAATGTCTTTGTGAAATTAGCTGAAAGAATGGTTTTATTTTCACTCTCCATCAGACTAGCCATTGAAGATAGAGAAGAAACAAGTACCTAAAAACAAATGGAAGGATATGCTATGTATATTGATACTGATTGAAGTACGTGCATGTATTTTTAATATCTGAAGATTTTCCCTTTTATGTTTTTAAAATAAAGATAATTTACTCTTTTCTCTTTACTCAAGAATGAATATTCTTATTTTTAACTATCAGGAGAAATGAGTCAACCTTATTTAATGAAATAAGTACTCCAAAAACAGATAAAATCCATTCCAAGATAAAATTAATAAGCAATAGAAAAAGTAGAAAATGTTCTTCATTTAAGAAAATCAATCTATACTCTCTGTCCAGTGATTTAACAAATGTAAAATGTTATGTTTTTAAAATATGAATATACAGTGGGAATAAGACTAATACATTTACTCAGATGCTAATTTAAAAACTAGAATTATTCTCAAAATATATTGTGGTTAAAACTTTCAGACAAAAGCTAAAAGTATCTTCAAAATTTGTATTGTTATGGAATCCTGCTGAAGCAGGATCTACTTCTGACCCATTTCTACTTCAAATAATTTATTTTCAGAGTGAATTGGAAATTGAAACATTAAATTATATTCTCCACAAGGCTTTTCAAATATTGTCACATTAAAAATGGATTATTTACTAAATAAATACTTCTGGCTATGGTGTTTTTGTGTGTGTGAGTAAATGTCTCTGTTTTATAAAAAATTCAATATTCATATAATAAAATAAAGATTAACTTGCTAAATGAAAATAAAACACTTTGACTATAAATCTTTTACTATATTTTTTAAGGTTTGCTGTTTGTTTCTTAGAGCCAGGGATACATATATGTATTTCTTATTAATAATATTTACCTGCTCCTTCCCAAATTCACTTCTGTCTGGCCTCTTTTTACTAATTCCCTTTGAAGGGAAGGATTGGTATTTCTGCTCTACCAACATAAGGTCATTGACTTGCTTTGGCCAAGGCAATGCGAGTGGAAGTAATGTGTCCTCATTCCTAGAAGAAGCTTTACAGGCATCACATGTTTCTGCCATAGCTCTATTCCCTCCAATATGAGGCTAGCATGTTCCAGATAAGGCCTTCAGTTTCATCTTTAACTAAGAATATAGTTCTGGAACACCCTGCAAAACACACTAATGTAAAAGAGAAGACCCGGCGCAGTGGCTCACGCCTGTAATCCCAGCACTTTGGGAGGCCAAGGCGGGCGGATCACGAGGTCAGGAGATCGAGACCATCCTGGCTAATACAATGAAACCCCATTTCTACTAAAAATACAAAAAAAAAAAAAAAAAAAAAATGAGCCGGGCCTGGTGGCGGGCGCCTGCAGTCCCAGCTACCCGGGAGGCTGAGGCAGGAGAATGGCGTGAAGCGGAAGGCGGAGCTTGCAGTGAGCCGAGATCCTGCCACCGCACTCCAGCCTGGGAGACAGAGTGAAACTCCGTCTCAACAAAAAAAAAAAAAAAAGAGAGAGAAGTAACCTTTGTTATTGGAAACTGTTGAGATATGAGAACTCTTCGTTTCCGCTGCAACCTAATTTTTAAAAATACTGATATTTCAGGGGGTTGCATCAAAGTCCTGCTTGTAACAGATGTAAACTAGAAGCAATACTTTCTTAGAATTTTCTTCTCTTCTGAACATACTTTTGTCTTATACATCAAGTATATAATTACACTTATTTCACTTTTATTAAGATGTGTATCTTTAGGAAGACACAAAACGGCTCATTGATTTCAAACAAAGTCTTGGAATTTTAATGAATATTGCTTTATTTCCTAGTTGTATCAACTTTGGAATGCTGCATTAAGTGTTTGTGCCCCTATTCCTTCATACAAAAAAACAACTTACTGCTTGTTGTGAGGATTAAGTGAGAAGATGTTCATTAAGTGCTTAGTGAAAGAATTTGTAAATATAAGCCATTGTTACAGTTTATTCATGTATGTGTATATATATACATATCTATCTATATAGCTATGTGGATGGATAGGTAGCAATCTCTAGAACAGATTTAACTTCTTAAATAATCATTTTATTTCCATCCCTGTTACTTTTATTTTAGATTCAGGGGTATATAAGCACGTTTGTTACATAGGTATATTGCATTACGCTGGGGTTTGGGCTTCTATTGAACCCATTACCCAAATAGTGAACATACTACCGTGTAGATAGTTTTTCAACCTTGTTGAATTCAATTACTAAATACTTTGTTGCACCTCTGGGTATAATGAGATATCAGAATAAATTTTAAAGTGTTATGCAAAAAACAAATTGATTTTTTTCTAGTGGCACGTATGTCTTTCTGTTATGATACTCATTTATTAACCAAAGTATTCAGGTTTCAGGTTTTTTTGTTTGTTTGTTTGTTTTGAGACGGAGTTTCACTCTTGTAGCCCAGGCTGGAGTGCAATGGCGTGATCTTGGCGATCTTGGCCAACTGCAACCTCCGCTTCCAAGTTCAAGTGATTCTTCTGCCTCAGCCTCCCAAGTAGCTGGAACTACAGGCGCATGCCACGAAGCCCAGCTAATATTTGTATTTTTAGTAGAGATGGGGTTTCACCATGTTGGCCAGGCTGGTCTTGACCTCATGACGTCAGGTGATCCACTTGCCTCAGCCTCCCAAAGTGCTGGGATTACAAGAGTGAGCAGGAGAATGGTGTGAACCTGGGAGGCGGAGCTTGCAGTGAGCCGAGATAGTGCCACTGCACTCCAGCCTGGGTGACACAGCCAGACCCTCTCAAAACAAAAAAAAACACGTCAAAGTTCTAAATAAAGACCCAAAGCACTTTGATATTAAAAATTGAAATAAATGTGAGCTATACATACACTTAAGAATGATTAATAAGATCAAGTAAATTAATTACCCAAATTTTGGTTACTCACTGAATGACTATGGTGGAGCTGTTGTGTGTTAAACCAATAAATAAATGTTGCAAAATGAAAATTGTAAGGAGCACCTCCTGCCACCATGCAGTTCAAAAACAAATAGTAACAAATACGGCATGTTCTCTGAGTGCTTTCATATCCATTGTTTATAGCAGGGAATTTGTATGATTATTGTATACTTTATGAATTTTTATTTAACAATAATTTGTATGCATGATTCCTTTATTTTCCAACCCGTTTATTTCGGTTCAGGGTTGCGCTTCGCCAGAGCCTATCCTGGAAGTTCGGGATTTAAGACCTAGCCAGGATGCTGTTGAACTCACAGTCACACTCACTCAGACTGTGACCATTTAGACACTCCAATTCACCTAACACACACATCTTTGGGATGTGGGAAGAAAGTGGAATACCAGGAGAAAGCTCACACAGACAGGACATACAAACTCTACAATCCCAGTGACCTGGTGGGAAATCATTTCTTTTTTTCTTATCAAGGTTACAGCACAAAGATGTTATACATGGACCTGCTGTATATCAAGGAATTGTTCTTTAGTCTTCCCCGTTTTTCACGTATTTGTCTTATTTCTTCAAGTAGAAAGTACAGTTTGGGGCTAGTAAGACTTGCATTTCCATAATGTACAGAACACTGGACTAGATCTTGCAATCTTGAATTCGTAGTCCTGGTTAGCCGTTAATTTTTGAGTAAGTCAGTTACCTACCGTGGTTATCAGTTGTTCTCTCTTTGAAATAAGAAAATTGAATTTGATTGTTTCTTATATTATTCTCAGACTTCTACTGGAAGGACATGTGTCTCTTTAAAAATATAATATTACCTGATTTTATACAAATTCATTTTACAGGTTAGGGCATTTTGGATTAGACCTCTTAATTAGTCTTCATCCACCATTTTTGACCTATGCCATTTTTATCAAGAATTTGGAAAAATGGTCATTAATAATGATATATCTCTAAATCTTGAGGCTTATATATTAGAATAAAAATTTTAAAATATGTTTTATGAATTATTCTATCATTCATACCAAACTGGAATTACCTTAAGGGCATAGTCATTGACTAATTTGTCTTTCTATTTTCATAGCACAAAAGCAAACTGCCTTAAAACATTCTTTAAAGTATCTTAAAGCATTCTTTAAAAATGTTTATTGAGTAAAAGAAACAAAATGAACAATTATTTCAATTTCTGGCACTGTCCACATTGAAAAGACAAAATTTTCTGAAGTTCTCAAATCAGAAACGTAAGTTCAGTTTGATGATAAATATTCAAATTAAAACTAGAAAAAAATTTCCCTATCGTCAAGCTTTTAGGCTTATTTTCATCAATTAAAGACAAGACTTTACATTTGGGAAAGGAGATAAGAAGATAGAAGGAGTGGAGAATCAGGTATTAGAGGTCAGAGATAATCAAGATAACATGAGATATCAAACATTCACTCAACCATAAAAAAGATGAATATTTAAAATATTTAGCTTTTTACATTATCTTAGGAGTTTATCTTTTCTATTTCTATTACAAGTTATTATTCATGTACATGATAATTTCAGATATATTTTTAAAATCACAATCCAAAAGTTCACGATTTAATTTCCAGCCTCCTTTCCTGCTGCTGCTCCTGTCTGTTCTGAACGTGAGTGATGATGTGGAGCCTCTGCAACATCATTGCCTTATGCAGTTTGTATGCGTGAAGCAGATGTAATCTCAGATGATCAGGCATCCATTACTCCTGTGAGGAAATATCTACAACCAACAATTAATTGCATTTCAGATCCTCCAGTTAGTCATTTATAGAAGATTTAACAATACTCTTCATGGACATTCCATTGATTTATATTTTGTAGCTAATTTATCTTTGCTTTGCTATGACTGGAGATCATGTAGAGCATTTTTTTCCTTTCTCTTTTCTTGCAGCAAATTATCCTGTACTAGACTTGCTTTTTTACCCTGCTTCTGATGTTACTGGATTTATTTATGAAGTCCAGCATTGATAAGTATGTGAAGATTTTCATTCTTGTTATTACACAGAGACATTTACCAGAATACAGAAGTGGGATCCTTATTCAATAAGTAAAGGACAGCTGTAGTGCCCTTGAAGTTCTCTTCTTAGATAGTCATGGTTGCCCCTCATAACACAGAGCACAAAGGCTTCAAAGAAATGTAGCTTCCTTGCCTTTTCTTGTTTTCTCAACATACACAAAGATACTACAGAGGTTTAAGATTGTCCAGTTACCTTTCTAAAATCTATCACAGTCTAAGACTATTTCGTGACCAAGAAAATTAGGGCTACCAGAACGGTAATAGAGATGGGGCTCAAACAATTTATTATGATTTTTATTTTCAAGTGTACTCCCTTCAGCAAATGATGAACAGCCTAAGGATGGGGAAGCCATGAGTTTGTGCAAATCTTTTTAAGTTTTTTTTTTTTTTTAAAGGGAAGATAGATAGCATTTGGAAATAAATAGAAATAACTTAGTTAAGCAAATAATGAAAAATAATGTGTGTGTGTGTGTGTGCACACCCTCACCCAGAAAGCAACCTGATCTTCACTGTTTAGGACTCTTAGTTTAAACTTAAACCGTTTTGTGGGAGGGTTCCACTTAATGACTGTCATATTAAGTTTTTTAATGAATGGTAATGAATGGTATCATATTAAGTTCTTTAATGAATGGTAATATATATATCACATATATATACGATATATATGATATATCATGACATATCATGAACTGTATTTTTTGCTTCTGTTTTTATCATGTATATATGATATATATCAATATCATGATATGTGATATATATCATGATATATGATATATCATGTATATCATGTATATATACATGATATACATGATATATATCATATGTGTATATATACATTATATATCATATATCATGATAGGCAATATAGAGCATGTACATATGCACATATCATGACATTATCATATATCATGATATATCACATATATGTCATATATCATGATATATCACGTATGTGTCATATATCATGATATATCACATATGCCATGATGTGTACATGATATATCATGTTATGATATATCATATGTGTCATGATATGTCCATGATATATCATATATTATGATATATATATCATGTATATCATGTATACATGTATCATACACATATATATCATATATATCATGTTATATCATATATATCATGTATATATACATATATCATGATATATCACGTATATATAATATATCGTGATATATCATATATATATCATGTATATATACATGATAAAAACAGAAGAAGCAAAAAAATACAGTTCACTTCCTAGTTAAATGATAACTCAAATTTGGGGAGTTTCATTTGTTATTCCCTTCTTTTCCTTCATTGCAAAGTACACCTCTTAGTATTCCCAAAGAGACCCAAGATTTGCATATAAATCTAATTGTGTGTATTCATGCAAAACTTTTCAATTCATCACAAACTATCCATAGATACTAAAATTAATTTGTGAGTGAAGAGTCATTGTGTTCAGACATAGAAAGTGTCAAGCTTTCTGCTCTTCCTTACTTTCCTGCTACTTAGCTGTCCAGGGCATGGACTTATGAGAAGTGCTAAACATTTACCTAAGAAAAGAGTTACACATCTGAGACAGATGTATGTACCAACCTGTTCTTGTATATCTGTGTACTTTTGCATGTGTCCTCATTTCATTATTGAAGGGAAATATAAATCTTTCTATATTTTAAGGCAATTGAATCAAATAAAAGTCATTTCAGTTTTGTGATACTTGGAAGTTATTTTATTACTTGTAGCATGTAGTAATCCATTAATATGTTTAATACAATGGATTCTTATATTTAATACAAGGGAGGTGTAATATTTTGTCAGCGACTTCTCCATTTCCCACTAACTGTCTATAATGGTGAAATTCCAAGGCTCAGTGATAGACTTCACACTATTTCTATAGTTGAAATTACCAGAAAAACAAACCAAATCAAGAAATACAAAAGAAAAAGAGTTTGACAAAGTATTTGCTGATACAATGAAACAATAATATCAAAATTGGAAAAGGGAATTTTACTATTAAACACATAGCAGAAAAACTTTTTTTTTTTTTTTTCCTGAGGTTAGAGTCTTACTCTGTCACCCAGGCTGGAGTATAGTGGTGTGATCATGGCTGATTGTAACCTTGAACTTCTAGGCTCAAGTGATCCTCCTGCCTCAGCCTCCTGAGTAGCTGGGACTATGGTCCATCCCACTACTACCAGCAAATTTTTTCTTTTTTTATGGAGATGGTGTCTTGCTATGTTGCGCAGGATAGCCTCAAACTTCTGGCCTTAAGTATTCCTCCAGCCTCAGCCTCCCAAAGTAATGTGATTACAGGCATGTGCCACCATGCTGGCCCAAAAGAAAAAAACTTTAAGGTCATCAATTTTTACATTATGTTTATATCTTTCTCAAAGCCACTGTTTAGGCCCCTAACTATCATCATGGAAGAACGAAAGAGAAGTTAAGACTACAATTCTGTCTAGAACTTAAGTATTAGAAGTGATGTCCTTAGCAGCACTTTATTTATTATATTCTCCTTATCTTCTTGTTAGAGATTTTTCAGACTATGTAGTGATGTTTTTGATGATTCCATATTTATCAGACATGATTTTATCCCTTGTAATGTAGTTACTGTCATGAACATAGGAGGAAAAGAAGATTATATGTTTGGCCCAAAAATTTAGATGAAAGTTTTAAAAATACCACTTGTCTCTCTCTGGGATTCAAATTTTTAAAACCATTTAACTTTATTCAATTCAAATGAGAAAAAAAATTAAGATTTAGGAACCATCATTGTTAACAAAAGTCAGAAATTCTGTACCTTCAATTATTCTTTGGTAATGAGTCATCTGGGTTGATTCCACATCTTGACAATTGTAAATAATCCTGCAATGAACATGAGAGTGCAGATATCTTTGCTGAGGCAGGAGAATTGCTTGGACCTAAGAGGCAGATGTTGCAGTAAGCCAAGACCATGCCATTGCACTCCAGCCTGGCCAACAAGAGTGAAACTCCATCTCAAAACAAACAAGCAAACAAAACAAGATAATGATTTCATTTCCTTTGAAAATATGCCCCTATAGTGGTATTGCTGGATTATATGGTAGTTCTGTTTTTAATTTTTGAGCAACCTCTGTACTGTCTTCCATAATGACTGTACAGATTATATTCCCACCAACAGTGTAAAAGGTTCCCTTTTCTTCACATCCTCCCCAGCACTTGTTATATCTGATATGGTTTGGCTGTGTCCCCACCCAAATCTCAACTTGAATTGTATCTCCCAGAATTCCCATGTGTTGTGGGAGGGAATTGAATCATGGGGAAGATAATTGAATCATGGGGGCCAGCCTAATAGTGAATAAGTCTCATGAGTTCTGATAGGTTGATTGGGGGTTCCACTTTTGCTTCATCCTCATTTTTCTCTTGCTGCTGCCATGAAAGAAGTGCCTTTCACCTCCCACCATGATTCTGAGGCCTTCCCAGCCATGCGGGACTGTAAGTCCAATTAAACCTCTTCTCGTTCCCAGTTTCAGGTATGTCTTTATCAGCAGTGTGAAAATAAACTAATACATTATAGGTAAATTATCACAAATTTGACTCTAAAATAATTATCTGATACCAAATAAAATTTTGAATAATGTTTGAAAATGCCCTGAAGGAGATATAATAATACTTGATATATATATATGATAAGAAGTGATTTTCAAACATGAATAGGAGCATAGGTGTCTTTGTTGTTAATTAGAAAGACTCTGAAATAAGTGTGAATTTTAAAGATGTAGAGAAAATAAAATTAATAGATGTTTATTTTATGCACATTGGTGATCGGCCTCAATGTGTTATTCCATCCAAATATCCTATTTTTTAGCTGTTAATTACAGAAATATCAGAGCCTCTGAAAAATAAAAGAAGTCATTGATAGCATAAATCACTTAAAAGTCCCACTTTAGAGTTAGAAATAGTATGTTGCTCCTGACAGAAGCACTTCCCTGAGGGAAATTAAATAAAGAAAACATGGATTTTCTGCCAAATTAAAGTAAGGGTGACTATGAAAACCTAGAATGTAATGTATACTGGAGTGATTATAGTACATTGAAAGTAAGTTTCAAGAAGTGGGTTGACATAGGTTTTTGCCTTTGGGGTGGGGAGACTTTATTAAATTCCTTATGTTTTAATTTGTCAGCTTCAAAGACTGTTCAAAAGAAACTTATTGTTATATAAATCTGTAAAAGTAGTAAGAACAATTGTTAGCAGGGGTAAACATTAAACCCCAAATTTTTTTATTAAACCATTTCAATATATAATAAAATGTCATAATGCACATTATTCTATTTAAAAGGGTTTTTTTCTTTCCAGATTATTTGTAGTTGGGATTTTAAACATGCTTAATGACCTGAAATGTTAAACTATCACATAAAATTAGGTCAGAAAATCACAGTGTAAGTAAAAAATAAGGATAAAATACTACATTACTATTTCTAACATAATTAACTGGTTGTTTAGATCCTCTATTGATGAAATCATAACATAAATAAGTCAACAGTTTATATTGTCAAAAAATTGAACCATTATTGGACCTGTTACTTGTAATAGAAATATGTATTCTAGATCTAACAAGGACTCTTTTTTTATTCTTAGAAGCAAATAAAAAAGTAACTACTTTACACAAAAGGGGCTTTGTTGTTCTTACAGTTTCTAGACTTTTTGTCCATTTCAAATGGAAATAACAGAATATTTCCAGACCCAGTTGGCAAATTAATCAAAAAAAGGCTCTGTCATATTCAATTTGTTGATGCTTTTGTTTAATCTGCTGCCCTAACGGTAAGAGGCATGAGACGAATTAATGTATTTTAGAACACAAGTGAACCGTCATAGGGTGTAAATGGGTAAGTGCACTTGTGAATTTGTTGGAATGCAAACAATGTAAGTGTTATAGTGATCATTTAAAACAGATTATTGAGATTTGGCTTTACTTTGTGGTACGATTTCCCTATATTGTAATCCAAATATAATTTTTAAAAAAATGCCACTGTGAAGAGGACCAGACTCAAAGGAAGACTAGAAATCAGCACAGCTACAGCTTTTTCTTATCCTTTATAACTATCTACTCAGATAAATCCTGACAAAACAACAGTTTGTTAGACTGGCTGAGATGAATGATGTGTTTTACATTGCTTTTTCAATTCTATACATAATCACAATAAAAACATTATTTATATAACTTATTGGAATTAATTAGCATCTATAATTTCCCAAAGGGTGGGATCTTGTTTGTGGGTTAAGAGGGTCATTATTTTGAGCAATCCACTGGTAATCTTCACAACTTAACTTCAGGACAATTAGTTTGAATGTACTCTAATTTCCAGATATATGCTCTCTTCTAGTGCAAAACAATATTATTTTCCAAAATTACCTATTTAAGAAGCACTTATTTCCTGGATATGTTAGATTGTACAAAAAATTATTTTCACTCATTTTCTAACATATAAGGTAGCTTATATTTGAATGTTTGAATGTTGAAACCTGTAATAGGGTTCTCTAGAGGGACAGGACTAATAGGATTGATATATATGTAAAAGGGAGTTTATTAAGGAATAGTGACTCACACGATCACACAGTGAAGTCCTACAATAGGCTGTCGGCAAGCTGAGGAGGAAGGAAGCTAGTCTGAGTCCCAAAACCTCAAAACTAGGGAAGCCAACAGTGCAGCCTTCAATCTATGGTTGAAGGTCCAAGAGCCTCCCACAAATCACTGTTGTAAGTCCAAGAGTCCAAAAGCTGAAGGATTTAGAGTCCAATGTTCGAAGACAGGAAACATCCAGCATGGGAGAAAAATGAAAGCCAGAAGACTCAGCAACTCCTTCTAACTTCTTCTGCCTGCTTTATTCTAGCTTTGATGGCAGCTGATTAGATGGTGCCCACACAGACTGAGGGTGGGCCTGCCTCTCCCAGTCCACTGACTCAAATGTTAATCTCCTTTGGCAACACCATCACAGACACACCCAGGTACAAAACTTTGCGTCTTTCAATTCAATCAATTTGACACTCAATATTAACCATCACAGTATCACATAAATCATTATTATGTTTTCTTGGGAATGCTTAGTCATTTTTCAAATATATCAAATTTAATGTTTTTCCATTTAGGTATGTTATACTGCCAGTTGATAAATTATACCCAAGTAGTCACTGTAATAATTTTTTTGAATATTTAAAAGAAAAGGTAAAAGTAAATTTAAAATCTATAACTTTATAGTGGTCACATGCTTTTTTAATGGATTACATTTGATTAATCCAATAACACCATTAAAAAAGAGGTGATATAATAAAACAATTATGGGTAAACCATGTCTATATTACCATAAGTTGTATCATATCTTGCTATTGTCTATTCTATGATATGTAATGATCCTCATTGTTCATATAACTAGGTAAAGTAATTCACAGCTTATAAAGAATTGCTTTTATTATACTTCCGTAAATGCATCAGATGATTATATATTGTCCTTTTTACATTTGAAAGTCATTTTTCAAAATGCTTACTTTTCAGAATTTATCTTATGCTGCTTAAATCTGTCAATTTTGAAAACAGATGTTTAAAAAAAGATGACACTCTTATCTTCCTTTGACTTTTAGTCTCTTATACACTGTAATTATTTAAGTTATTTATTTGCCCTAATATTTTACTTCCCAAGAAACATGTGTAATTCTCTATTTTTCAGTCCATTCTACTTTATAGTATTATCAAATCAGTAGAAATTTTTAAATATTTTATGGCTACTGAGTTTAGAATTCTGAGAGTCACATTATTTTTTGACAGAAATTTGATACTGATAAATGACCAGAAGTTTCTTTCACTTTCTGGAAGGCATTTTCCCTTATGACAAATATCAATTTTTTAAAGACTATGGCTAAAACTTATTTTCTAATTTAACTCCTGGAAGCATTTTCACTGTCTTAAATAACTGAAAAAAAATTCTCCTTCTCTCACTTTCTCTCTCTATATATATGAAAATAACATATAATATTATCTCAAATATTGCACATTATCCCAAATTGCATGGTCAATATTAATGTCTATATTATGGCTGCAGGCTGCCTGCTGCTCCTGTCAATGGGTTTTTAAACACATATCTTTGTTTTACCTAAAACTCAAAAAAAAGTATCACAGTTAATTGTTCTTTCAAAAGCTCAAGTAAAGTTTGTCAAATCAAAATCAAAGTTGATGCCAAGTAAACCATTAGTGATTATTTTCATTTCACTGTCCTTCATTATTCATATATGAGCTGCAGTCAAATTATTCTATTAAAAATTCATTTTAATGAAAGAATTTTCTCTCTCTCATAAGTATTATATAATTGCAAGGAGTTCTTTGTAAATATTTGACAGAAACTTCTCAACTTTCTTGAAAAATGTTTGAACTATTCTAAAATGAAATGATAACTCTCTCTATTGAGTTTGGAATGAGTGGGAACTTGCTAGACTTATTAAAGAACATCATTTAGTTATTCTATATAAAATAACTTTTATGAAGAAAATGTCATCCGTATACATCATGGAATACTATGCAGCCTTAAAAAGAATGAGCCTGATGCCTTGTGCACCAACATGGATAGAACTGGAGGCCATTATCCTCCAGGAACAGAAAACCAGCACTGCTTGTTTTCACTTACAAGTGGAAGCTAAAAATTGGGTACATATGGACACAAAGAAAGGGAGCAATAGACACTGGGGCCTACTTGAGGGTGGAGGGTGGGAGGAGGGTCTGCAAAACTACCTGTCAGGTACTATGTGTATTATTTGACTGATGAAATAATCTGTACATCAAACTCCCATGACATAAAATTTATCTATATAACAAACATGCACCCATACCCCTGAAATTAAAAGTCTAAAAAATTCACTTGTATGAAGATATAGAGGGCAAGATATCAAAAAATAAATTATATTGAAGTCTGTCTGCCATTCATTTTTTAATCTGGTTTTCCAGTTATTTTCATGTCACTACTAGCCAAGGCTAAATAGAATTCTGTTGCTTAATAGAATTACATGAGAAATAAGATGTATGAGGTAAAAATTACTTCGTAATTACAAAAATTATGATTTAAAAGAAAAAAGGAAAGTCTAATTTGAAAGGTAAATATTGATAACGATAGCTTAATGTTCTTGCATGCTTGGTACCCAAAACTACTCTGAGTGGCTTATATGTATTAATTCATCGAAATTTCTCAATAATCTAATGAGGAAAGTACAACATTATGTCTATTTTATTATTGACATGACTGATGCACAAAGAGGCTAACAAAGCTGTCTAAGGTAATGATAGATGTGGTAGAGCTATGATAGGAATTTACCTAGTTCCACTGAATTGTCTCTACTCATACTGAGCTTCATTGTCCATGATGAAAAAAATTGGTTAATTAATTTTATGACATAAGTGAAAATAATTCCTTAAGACAGTAGCAGTTAGCTATGGAAAGTCAAGCATTTGCTTGCATTGTGAAAAAATTGGAATAAAATGAAGAGTAAAGCACATTAAGAAACGGGAAATAGAAGAGGTGAGGGTGACTTCCAATGGCTGACTAAAGTGATCTGGCATTCACTTCCTCCACAAAGTAGGACCAAAACAGCAAGTACACAATCGCACATTAAATAGAGCATCAGAGATAACACTGGAATCCAGCAGGTAAGTGCAAGGAAACCACTGACACATGAAAGGAGAAGAAAGTAAAGCAGCTGGCCCAGCTAGGATCAGTTAGAAACCAGGAGAAACTGCCCACTGCAGGCAAAATGTAAGTGAGAGAGTCCCCAGCCATCAACTTTCCCACTGTGGATTCCTGCAATCTCAGCCACAGGAGAGTCCCTCAGCTCTTACGGGTCATGAACTACTACAGGGAACTACCTGGAGTCCATATGATAATATTTTTCCAGACAAGTAGTTCATACTGGATGTCACACACACTCTGAGACCCAAGCAGCTGCATCATAGCACCATTTTGAGAGCACAACTCCCACCAGACTACATCCTGTCTTGGGGCACAACAGCCTTTGCATCTCCACGTTAATATGCTCCAATGTCGACCTAGAGGGTTGCATGTCATGACACCAGCTGGGGCCAGAGTTGCAGGGTCCAGAGATATGACTGGGTCCTCAGCACTCTAGTTCACATAATGTCCTACATCCCAGGAAGTGGGCAGTGCAGCATGCGAGGGAGGCTTCTCCTGGGACAAACGGTGCTGAAGCATTAACTCCCCAGAGCCTGATAACAGCCTGCTGGGGTTGCTTCCACTGACAGCCAACCCATCTCTTCCAGAAGCAAGGCCACCGTACACTTATAAATGCCTTCAAAGGGGCTGGGAACAGGTCTATCCAATTGCTTCCCCAGGGCCTGAGAAGAGGCCCGCCATGCCCAATACTGCCACCTGGGCCTACACTTGCCTTCTCGGGGCCTGAGTATGGGCCCAACCCTCTCACCATTGCTGCCCACAAATGCCTCCCAGGGGATCAGGGTCTGTCCAGCCCAGCCTGGTGCTGTCATTGCCACTGGTACCTGCCTGCAAATGCCACCTGGGAGCCTGGCCTCACAGGCCAGGAGAGAAGGTAATTATATATTCAAAGTGATGAACAACAACAACAAAAAACCCTGCCATTCAAAAATACTATAAACAGCAAAGCTATCCGTCAACAATGAAAGAGAAATTAAATATTTTCCACACAAGCAGAAACTGAACGAATTCATCACTAGACTGTCCCTAAGAAAAATCCTTAAGATAGTCCTACATCTGGATGAGAAAGGACAATATCTACCATCACAAAAACACGTGAAAATATGCAACTCACTGGTAGGATAAATACGGAAATGAGAAAAAGAAATGTGTCAAGTATTGCCACTACAGAGAAAAAACAAACTTCAATAACAAAAACTAAAAGAGAAAGGAAGGAAAAAACATATACAAAACAACCAGAAAACAACAAACAAAATAACAGGGTTAAGTCCTCACCTAATCTTTTCAAAGATAAACAGAATATATTTCTCATTTAAAATATATAGATTAGCTAAATGTGTAAATAAAATAACCTGACTGTATTCTGCTCACACACACACAAAAAAAATCACTTCATCTGTAAAGTCACATATATAGTGAAATTGGAAGTTTAGGAAAAGATATTCCATGCAAACAGAAACCAAAATAAGTAGGAATACCTAAACTTATATAAGATAAAACAGATGTTAAGTCAAAAACTGTAAAAATAAAACCCCCAAAAAAGGTCATTATATAAGAATAAAAAATAAATTCAGCAAGACGATATAAAAATGTTAAATATATATGCATCCAATACCAGAGCACCAGGATATATAAAGCAAATATTATAGATTTAAAGGGTGAGATAAACTCCAACACGATAATAGTTGGGGACTTCAATACCCCACTCTGAGCATTGGAGGGATCATCTAGACAGAAAAACAATAAGGACACATTGGATTAAAACTGTACTTTAGGCCAAATGACCTAATAGACATTTATGGAAGATTTTATTCTACAGCTGCAGGATACACATTTCTATTATAAACACATGAAACATTCTCTAGGACAAACCACATGTTAGTCCACAAAACAAATTGTTTTGTGAAGACAAATAGTCTTCAAATTGTTTTTTAAAAAATCAAAATTCTATCAACTATCTTCTCAGACCTCAATGAAATAAAACTAGAAATCAATAACAGGAACTTTGGAAAATCTACAGATACATAGAAATTTAACAGCATATTCCTAAGCAACTATTGGATGAATGAAGAAATTAAGAAGGGAATTTAAAAAATATATGGAAATAAATGAGAATGGAAGCAGCCATATCAAAACCTATTGGATACAGCAAAATCAGTGATACCAGAAAATATTACAGCAATAAATGCTTACATCCAAAAAAATGAAAGATTTTGAATAAACAACCTAACAATGCACATCAAGGAACTAGAAAAGAAAGAACAAACGAAACCTAGTATTAATAGAAGGACAGAAATAATAAAGATTAGAGCAGAAATAAATCAAATAGATACTAAAAAAAAAAACAACTAAACAAAGGATCAATGAAACTAAAAGTTGGTTTTTGAAAGGGTGAACAAAATCAATAAACCACTACCTAAGCTACCAGAGAAAAACAAAAGATCAAAATAAATAAAAACAGAAATGAGAGATATTACAACTGATAGGACAAAAATACAAAAGATCGTTATATAATATTATGAACAACTATATGTCAACAAACTGGAAAAGCAAGAAGAAATAAATTCCTGGAAACATACAAAGTCAATAAAAAAAGGTCATTATATAATAATAATGGAATATCTTACACCATGGATAAGATACTTGTTTGAAAGATGCAATAATGGGTCAACATATGCAAATCAATAAATGTGATAAATACATCAACAGAATAAAGAATGAAAATTTGGATGGGAACACAGAGACAAACGGTATCTGACTGTATTAAACTAAAAAGCTCCTGCACATAGGAAACAGAGTGAGGAGACAACCTGTTGAACGGGAGAACATATTTGCAAACTGCATCTGACAAGAGGCAAGTATCCAGAATACACAAGGAACTGAATCCACTGAACAGCAAAAGAACCCCAAATAATTTGATTAAAAATGGGCAAAGGAGTTGAATAGACACTTCTCAAAGGAAGACATACAAATGCCCAACGGACATATGAAAGAAAGCTTAGCACGCCTAATCATTAGGGAAATGAAAACTAAAACCACGATGAGATATCACCACACATCTATTAGAATGGCTATTATAAAAAGATGAAAGATAAATGCTGACAAGGATGTGTAGAAAAGGGAACTCTCAAACAGCATTGGTGGGGATGTAAATTAGTACAGGCATTAGGGAAAATTGTAGAGAGGTTTCTCCAAAAACTGCGAATCGAATTACCATATGATCCAACAATCCCACTTCTGGGTATTTACCAAAAAGATTTAAAATCTGCTCATTCAAAAAATGTCTGCACTCCCATGTTTATTTAAACATTCTTTATGATAGCTGACTTATGGAATCAACCTCAGTGTCCATCAGTGGATAACTGAATAAAGAAAATGTGGATCACACGCCTGTAATTCTAGCACTTTGGGAGGCCAAGATGGGTGGATCACTTGAGGTCCGGAGTTCAAGACCAGCCTGACCAACGTGGTGACACCCCATCTCTCCTAAAAACACAAAAATTAGCCAGGTGTGGTGGCAAGCACCTGTAATGTGGGAGAAATGGGGAGATGACTGCCTAAGAGTAAAAAATCTCAGCCAGTGGAAATATGTTTTTTAGTTCTATTGCAGAGTATAGTGAATAGAGTTAATAATAGAATATTGTACCTTCCAAAATTGCTAAGAGAGTAAATTTCAAATGGTCTCATCACAAAAAATGTTAGGTATTTGAGGTGACTAATACATTAACTAGTTTGATTTAACGATTCCACATTGTATTCATAAATCATAGCATTCCTTTGTACCTCACAAATTTATAAAAACACACTGTCAATTTACAATTTTTAAAAAGAGAAAAATACAGTAACTCCTGATTTTTACTTTTTATAGCATTCTCGATTTTTGAAATATTGACCAAATTCATGAATCTCTTACATTAAAAATTATATTGAAATATCTGTAGAAATTTTCATAAAATGTGGTTAGAATGATGGACTGAAATATTTCAGATATCAACAACATGCATTGCTTTCAACTAAAATCATACTGATCAAAATATATTAAATCACACAAAAAAGTGTTAAAGTTTTGTTATATATTTGTGGAGCCATGCAGTAAATTTTGTTCTAAATTATATATTTAGTATATTGAATTTTTCGCTGTTTAAATTTGAACTTAATTAAAGTATACTTTTTAAAGAAAAGGTGGGTCATGGCATTTTTCTTTTTTCGTTTTATGTTTCTGAGGAATATTAAATAATTGACGTAGTCAACAAGGTGGTAGTAGGTATGACGGGGCATACATGAATACAGAGAGGTTTCCATGTTAAACAATAATACCTGTCAAGTTTCTACGCTCAGCAAATGACACCAACACGCTTTTATTTTCAACATGCAATACATTATCTGACCTCCTCCAGCTACCTTGTTTTGTTAGAAATTTTCTCTTTCCTTGTGATGCCTATCAATAAAGGCACCAAACACATATATTTTAGCATGAATTCATATTGCTTTTAGGTATGATAAAGCATAACAAAACAGTTTAGTCCACATGGGATATATAATACAATCAATTTGCGAGAAGAGCAAACTTGTACTAACTTCACACTATTACTGATGTGAATGTTTTTTCTGTTATTGCTAGTCTTAATACAGGGATTTTTTTTATGTCTAAATACAAATGATGTAGCAAGGGTATATATTCAAGTCCAAAGGGAAATGTTTTATTCAGCAAGAAATATCTTTAAAGCACTTGATGTGTTTTACAAATGAGTTCTTGTAGAAAATAGGATTTTATTTATTAGGAAGAAGAATTGGCAAAATGGTAGTACTCTAATACCATTTTGGCAATGGCTAGGTCTGTAATGAATTATTTGTTTTACAGGAAGTACTGTAAAATTATAGAAGTAAAAGACATAGTCATTTATCATTTTTCCCTTCATCAGGGCAGACTAAGTATTTTTCAACATATTTCATTCTTTTGGCAGTTTTAGTTAATTTATTTATCTAGTGCATTTCAGCTAAAAAGCAATATCCGCTTTCTTTTTTACTTTTCTATAATATTGACAGATAAATCACAATAATTATTATAAAGCTATCTACTCATATTTTTATAGCATATGTGGTAGAAAATTTACTTGAAACTTGAATTGCATAGGGAAAAATAAAGATAAAAAGTCCACAAGTATATTATACATAAGTGATGCATGTATTTGTAGAGTACAGCAACAAGAGATTATTCAGTAGGCAATCCAAGATCTAAGATTTGTGCAGTTTTCAATTGTGTGGAGGCAGAAACAAGGAGTAGTAAATGGATTTAGCATGCTGAACTCTTGGACACTGAACTGTAACAAGAAAATTGAACATATTTTGTTTTGTGCATATAAAAGAAGTACTATTGAAGATGAGCATTCATTTATTTACTTAACAAATATGTATAAAAGGTATGCTCTATGCCAGGCAATAATCAAAAGGCAAAACAGACAAAACTCTCCATGACTGTAGAGCTTACCTCCTAATTGAGAGTAACAGGTCACATACACTGTTTATTAAAAGGGGATAAGTGTTTAAGAAGAAAAGGAAACAGACAAGGGGAATAGGAACACAGGTTGAAGCTAAGGCATGTGTGGGAGAGTGCAATGTTGCCGCTGATATTTGGGAAAGACTTTCAAAAGATCTTTTAAAATTCTACAAAAGTATTCTGACATGAATATTCTTGTTACAGCCTTCCTTAAGCCTGCCTTCTTCATCACCTTCAGATATTGCCACAAAGTCACTTTCTTTGTATTCTTTTCAGATTTCTTCCTTCCTTTTAATGTTTGTTCAAATTTCACCTTTTCAATGACTCCTATACTTAAAATTTTAATTCTGCACTCCTACATTTAACTCCACTGTCTACATATTTTCCCTTGAGTTTATTTTGTGCAGTTATCACCATCTCTTGAACTATATATTTTACTTCCTACTTAGTGTATTCTCTATCTTTCCCAAACAGAATGTAAATTCCATGAAAGTAGAAATTTCTTTTTTTCCCTGATGCTATATTTGGACCCCTTAAATAGCATTTAGAAGGTGCTGAAATATTTATTGAATATGCATTTGAATAATCAAACTATCATCTTTGGCACAGTCTTTTCCTTCACTTTTGTTTGTTTGTTTTTTGTTGTTGTTTTTGTTTTTTGTTTTTTTTGAGATGGAGTCTCGCTCTGTTGCCCAGGCTGGAGTGCAGTGGCCTGATCTCGGCTCACTGTAAGCTTCACCTCCCGGGTTCACGCCATTCTCCTGCCTCAGCCTCCTGAGTAGCTGGGACTACAGGTAGCTGCCGCCACCAGGCCCTGTTAATTTTTTGTATTTTTAGTAGAGATGGGGTTTCACCGTGGTCTCGATCTCCTGACCTTGTGATCCGCCCACCTCGACCTCCCAAAGTGCTGGGATTACAGGCATGAGCCATTGCGCCCAGCCTCCTTCACTTTTTATATCCAGTAAACTATTACATCTTGTTTTTTTTTCTTCTAAATATCTCTTTAATTTGCACACATACCTGAATTTTTTTGACATCAAGAGACCGTGCTTTCTCATCTTGGCTGCTACAACTCCCTACTGCTATTCTCGGCCTTGACCTTTGCCCTTTCAAGTCCCTTCTCTTCATTTTAGCGAAAAGGACCGTGTTATAACCCATATATGATTAATTCATTTCCATTTTTAAGAATCCTTAGTTGAGTCCTGTGGTTCTTAAAATAAAGTCCTAAACCCAGTATAATATAGCTGTGCTGACCGCTCCAGACTCATGTTCTGCCATTTCCACTCTTTCTTGATATCAAGATCATAGTGACACTTTTCAGTTGACAAAAGTCACAATGTTTTTTTTTTCTTTTCCCCCTTTCTCTGGTGTTTTGCATATAACAAACCTACTCCTAGAATATCTGCTCATGTTCACTTCCCCTCAGCTTCCCCCCCTTTTATGGCAATTCATTTTCTCAGGTAAGGTTTCTCTATCCCCTAGAAATTTGATCTATAGTATTACTCATATCCCTAAGCTTTTCATTTATAGCCCTCATCTCATCTTATAAACATAGATTTGAGAGATTGTTTTATTAATTTATGTCTCCTCTATGGGTTGTGTGCTTGATCAGAATGGAGATTATTTCTGGTATGTTCACCATTTTTGCCCTCGGCACCTTGCACAGAATAGATGTTCAAAAATACAACCAACCAATCAACCAAACAAACAAAGATGAACAAGAGCAGTTTGGATTCTTTGCCAATAGAGTGATAAGAACAGGAAAATGTGACTGGATTAACACTGGCAAAATCAACAATGAAAATCCGGTGGAGTCACTACCATCTGATGCTGGTTCAGGTAGGGTGGCTGAATAATACTCAAATAGTAAGACCATATGAAGTAAACAAGTAAATGAAGTTTTGAAACTTATGTAAGTCCACATATAAAGAATATATAAATCCAATTGAGGACTTACATATTTCTGTTATTATTTTTTCTTTTTCATTATGCTTGACATTTTTGAAACTGAATTTTGATACAGTCCATTAGCCTATCGTTACATGCTGGTATGATGAGATTGCACTGAGATGCATAACGTAACATTTTTAGCATGAGCAACTGAAATTACAAGGTTTCATGGATTGTATGTTGTGGAGATTGTTTCGGCTTGGCCTTGATGCTGAGTTTGTGAGCAGGTAGCTTGTTGTGATAGAGTGAGATGAAATTGGTGCCCAATCAATGGAGAAAGTTGTAATGATGTATGAAATGAAAAATCCCGGCCCACCCAGTGCAGAGAGAATACAAACTCTCCTTTGCAATCACTGCTATGCTATTTTCTCTAAATTAT
This sequence comes from Homo sapiens, assembly GCF_000001405.40. Classification (NCBI taxonomy): domain Eukaryota; kingdom Metazoa; phylum Chordata; class Mammalia; order Primates; family Hominidae; genus Homo; species Homo sapiens. The sequence goes on from NC_000004.12 coordinate 66,356,087, forward strand.
CATTCAACTGCAGAAAAATGAAAAGTCCATGGCAAAACCAAAACTTGGAGTTTTTAAGGGAAAGTGAGAGGTAAGATTCATTGGGGGATTTGGGAAAATGAAGAAGTAGGTATTTTACTGTAAGCAAAGGTTTATTTTTCATCATGAATATACCCCCACTTAAATAAGCTCCAATGATAATCCAATAAAGCACACATGTGCACACACAGTGCATGCATACATGCACACGGCACACACCATAGAAAACTACCTATCCTGAAAAAAACACTTTGAAAGCATTTATGTGGAAACCTCAATTCTATAAACTATTTTAAGCAAACTTTATGTTTTTTTTTCTTTATAATGCTTTGGAGAAGATAAGGGGAGTTCTTAATTAATAAAATCATTCATTAAGCAACTATTTGTTAAAACTATTACGTGTCATACAAAGTACGCATCACTGTGACACAACTGGGTAAAACATCGAATATCTCTTCTTTACTGAACTTTACATTCTAATTCTGGCAATAAGGAGAATGAAGTCTATAATATGTTTGTAGTATGTGTTATGAAGAATAATAAAATATAGACGATAATAGAAAGAGTGGCATGAAATTTTTATTATAAGTAAGTTACCCAAAGAAGTGTTCACTGAGATTTTTCTGAGAAAAGTCTTGAAGAAGGCAAGGGAGCAAGCCATTTCACTATTTGGGAAAAAGTACATTACAAGCACAGAGAAACAATTTTTTTCTCTACTGAAGTGTTGTTTTATTTTAGCTTATTTATTTTTTAAATTTCAACTTTTAGATACAGAGGGTACATGTGCAGGTTTCTTACATGGTATATTGCACCCAGGTAGTGAACATAGTACCCATTAGTTTTTAAACTATACCTGCCTCCCTTTCTCACCCCTGCAGTAGTCCACAGCATGTCTTGTTCCCATATTTATGTTCATGTGTGCTCAATGTTTAGCTCCTAATTACAAGCAGGAACATGCAGTATTTGGTTCTTTGTCCCTGTGTTAATTCACTTAGGAATATGGCTTCTAGCTTTTTCCATGTTGCTGGCAAAGGAAATGATTTCATTCTGTTTTTTTTTTTTTTTTTTTTTTTTTTTGTGGCTGTGTAGTAGTATTCCATAGTGTATATGTACCACATTTTCTTTATTCAATTCCACATTGATAGGCACCTGGGTTGATTCATGTCTTTGTGAATAAATGTTCACTTTATTATGAACAGAGTGGTGATGAATGTATGAGTGGATGCATCTTTTTATACAATGGCTTATTCTCCTTTGGGTATATACCTAGTAATGGGATTGCTGGGTAGAATAGTAGTCCTATTTTAACTTCTTTGAGAAACTGCCAAACTGCTTTTCACAGTTGCTGAACTCATTCACATTCCCACCAACAGTGTATACGTGTTCCCTTTTCTCTGCAGCCTCATCAGCATCTGTTGTTTATTGACATTTTAATAATAGCCATTCTGACTGGTTGAGATGGTATCTCATTGTGGTTTTGATTTGCATTCTTCTGATGATTGGTGACGATGAACATTTTCATATGTTTGTTGGCTACTTGTGTGCCTTGTTTTGAGAAATGTCTATTCATGTTCTTTGCCTATTTTTAGTGAGGTTATTTGTTTTTTGCTTATTGATTTGTTTAAGTCCCTTATAGATTCTGGACATTGGACCTTTGTTGGATATACAGTCTGCAAATATTTTCTCCCATTTTGCAGGTTGTCTGTTTACTCTGTTGACAGTTTCTTTTGCTGTGCAGAAGCTGTTAAATTTAATTGGGTCCCACTTGTCCATTTTTGTTTTTGTTGCAATTGCTTTTAGGGACTTAGGCAAAAATTCTTTGCCAAGGCTGATGTCAAAAAGGGTATTTACTAGGTTTTCTTCTAGGATTTTTATAGCTAAAACTACTTTAAATGAGAAACATTACTACACTGAATGAGAAAAAGGAAAAAAGGGACTAATCCAGGTAACTTTTAAACATAGAATTTTTATAACATATCCTGAAACTAATGAGAAAAAAATTTCAAACAATTATAAAATTTTAGTTACTATGTTTCGCAGGCCTTTGTTTGTTGCTGTTGTTGTTGTTGCTGTTTTTCACAGTAGTTTGAATTACGGACTCTGAGTTAATATTCTGTGTCTTCTAGGAAGGATGTAATAAATAAATATATTGAAGATAATATAATATGAGCCAAGTTTCTCATTTTTGGAGAAGGATGCTACATATACAAAAGGGGGAGGAAAGTCTAAAATAAATCTTAGGGTATTAGATTGGAATTTAATGTATCAGCATAAATTCAAATACAGTCATGTGGCACATAACAATGCCCAGGTCAACAATGACCAAATACATGATGGTGTTTTCATAAGATTCTAATATCGTATTTTTACTATACCTTTCCTATGCTTAGATACACAAATACTTATTACTGTGTTATACTTGCCTAAGTATTCAGTACGATATCATGTTATACAGGTTTCTACCTATACAAGCGTAAAAAGCTATTCTCTGTAGCCTAGGTGTGTAGTAGGCTATTCCATTTGATTTGTGTAAGTACACTCAATCATATTTGCACAATGACAATATCACCTAACAATGTGTTTTTTAGATGTTAAGGGATGTATGGCTATAATGGATATAGAAATAGATACATACATAAGCACACACATATTTGAAGGGGTGGGTTGCCCCTTCACACCTGTGGGTGTTTCTCGTTAGGTGGAACGAGAGACTTGGAAAAGAAAGAGACACAGAGACAAAGTATAGAGAAAGAAAAAAGGGGGCCCAGGGGACCGGCGTTCAGCATATGGAGGATCCCACCAGCCTCTGAGTTCCCTTAGTATTTATTGATCATTCTTGGGTGTTTCTCGGAGAGGGGGATGTGGCAGGGTCATAGGATAATAGTGGAGAGAAGGTCAGCAGATAAACACGTGAACAAAGGTCTCTGCATCATGAACAAGGTAAAGGATTAAGTGCTGTGCTTTAGATATGCATACACATAAACATCTCAATGCCTTAAAGAGCAGTATTGCTGCCCGCCTGTCCCACCTCCAGCCCTAAGGCGGTTTTTCCCCTATCTCAGTAGAGGGAACATACAATCGGGTTTTATACCGAGACATTCCATTGCCCAGGGAGGGGCAGGAGACAGATGCCTTCCTCTTGTCTCAACTGCAAAGAGGCGTTCCTTCCTCTTTTACTAATCCTCCTCAGCACAGACCCTTTACGGGTGTTGGGCTGGGGGATGGTCAGGTCTTTCCCTTCCCAGGAGGCCATATTTCAGACTATCACATGGGGAGAAACCTTGGACAATACCTGGCTTTCCTAGGCAGAGGTCCCTGAGGCCTTCTGCAGTGTTTGTGTCCCTGGGTACTTGAGATTAGGGAGTGGTGATGACTTAACTAGAATGCTGCCTTCAAGCATCTGTTTAACAAAGCACATCTTGCATAGCCCTTAATCCATTTAACCCTGAGTTGACACAGCACATGTTTCAGGGAGCACAGGGTTGGGGGTAAGGTTACAGATTAACAGCATCTCAAGGCAGAAGAATTTCTCTTAATACAGAACAAAATGGAGTCTCCTATGTCTACTTCTTTCTACACAGACACAGTAACAATCTGATCTCTCTTTCTTTTCCCCACACATATTTCTTGTTTTTGTTTTTCCTCCGAGAAAGCATACAAACAATGATATCTTGGTAACAATGTATATCCCTGGTGCCAGGTGTTGTTATTTAAATACTACTTGCCATAGAAACAAGGAAAAATGATTCCAGGGCTGTGTAATAAAGTGTTGAGGGACTGACAGGAACATGTCAAAGAACACAGAGGCTAGCTTGAAGTGGGCCTCACTGACCAAATCAATTTGAACATCAGATCAAAAAATGATAGTAACGCGTTGTAACCCATAAGCTAATATAAAAATCAGTAAGTCCATAATAATATAAACATAAACTTAATTAATAGGGAAAGAAAAAAATTTATTTACAATAGACTTCCAACTAATTAACCAATAAATGTAGACAACAGGATGTAGTTAATTAATCACAATTTGGCAGTCATCAGTTATAATTGATTCAATCAGGAATCATCAATGGAAGCTAAATACAGTAAGTAAAAATTTGATGAGGAACAAACAGGATGTTGATATAGTATCACAGTATCTCCCCACCAATTACTCACTAATTGCAAGGAATAAAACAGTATCTTTACAGAGATAAACCTGACAGGCACCATTTGAAACCAGTGATCAAAATTAACATCACCAATAATGAGACAAACTTACATTATGTATTTTCTTATATTATGCATTGGCAAATTCACAGCATCACTGTACAGCACTTGTGCCAAAAATTGATAACCTGAATTGTTGGGAGCAAGCCCTGCAAAATCTGGCCATAAACTGGCCCCAAAACTGGCAATAAATAAAATCTCTGCAGCACTGTAACATGTCCATAATGACCCTAACGCCCAAGTTGGAAGGTTATGGGTTTGCGGGAATGAGGGCAAGGAACTCCTGGCCCGCCCAGGGCGGAAAACCGCTTAAAGGCATTCTTAAGCCACAGACAAAAGCCTGAGCGATCTGTGTCTTAAGGGCATGTTCCTGCTGCAATTAATTCGGCCCATCCCTTCGTTTCCCTTAAGGGATACTTTTAGTTAATTTAATATCTATAGAAACCATGCTAATGACTGGTTTGCTGTTAATAAATATGTGGGTAAATCTCTGTTCAGGGCTCTCAGCTCTGAAGGCTGTGAGACCCCTGATTTCCCACTTCACACCTCTATATTTCTGTGTGTGTGTCTTTAATTCCTCTAGCGCCTCTGGGTTAGGGTCTCCCCGGCTGAGCTGGTCTCGGTACTGAATCAAAATGAAAAAATGTTAAGACAAATTCTACCAAATGACCACCTCTTACTCTGTAGGTCAAGACAGTGACAGACAAAAATAGGACTTAGGAAGTATCCTGAATTGTAGGTGACTAAAGTAACCGAGCAAGGAAATGCAGTATTATATTTCCTGATTTTAAGAATTATACTGTGGTTATGTCAAGACATGTAATTGTTAGGAAATACACACTGAAATATTTAGAATAAAAGGCATAATGCCTGTAACTTACTCTCAGATGGTTAAAGGTTAATAAATACTTGCAGAGAAAGATTAAGGCAAGTAGGCCAAATTTAAATAAGCGCTCGGATCTGTTAAAAAAGGTTTATAAAAGTTCTATGTACAATTCTTGCATCTTTTTTTGGAGTTTGAAGTTAAATAAAAATAAAAGCTTAATAAAAAAATTTATTGGACTTCTTTATTCTTTTAGGAAGAAATAACATCTTTGCAATATTGAATGTTCCAATGTGGGAAGAGTCTACTTATCGCCTCTGTTCTTTTTTTGTTTTTTTTTTTTTTTGAAATATTTCTCTTTTTTTTGTTATTTCACAGCAAGATTTATTAATACATCCAAAAGAAAGAAATAAAAATCATTTTGTCACACTATATACAGATAATACATACAGTGTTTCTTATACACGCATTACATCAGTTTTTACACAAGAAAAATATACATAAAAATGTAAACGTTTGCATATAAAAACCCTTAAATTAAACAAGGACGAGGTGACAAAAGGAGACCAATCCATTATTACTTCATCAAATTTTTTAAACAGTAATATAGTACATTCATTGAGAAATATTTCTATTCCACTCAGTACAGTTTTATAGTTTTCTAGAAAGATATCATGTTCATACTTTATAAAGTTATTTTCAAGCAGTTTTTAGTTGTGGCTTCCACTGTAAATGGATTTTTGTTTTTTTTTTTTTTTTTTTGAGATGGAGTCTCGCTCTGTCGCCCAGGCTAGAGTGCAGTGGCGTGATCTTGGCTCACTGCAACCTCCGCCTCCCGGGTTCACTCCATTCTCCTGCCTCAGCCTCCTGAGTAGCTGGGACTACAGGTGCCCGCCACCACACTCAGCTGATTTTTTATATTTTGAGTAGAGATGGGGTTTCACCGTGTTAGGCAGGATGGCCTCGATCTCCTGACCTCGTGATCTGCCCGTCTTGGCCCCACAAAGTGCTGGGATTACAGGCATGAGCCACCGTGCCTGGCTGTAAATGGAATTTTTTAATTAAAAGTTAAATTTTGATGTTTATATATTTTCCTTATGTATAGCTATTCAAATAATAATGTCTTAATAAGTCTAATAGTTTGTCATTTAATAATTTTTTATTTTGTGGGTATATAATTATATTATCTGAAAGAAACAAAAATATATGTTTTATTTTTCTTCTTTTTAAAATATGTTACCAAAACATTCATAACAATCTACCACAGGAGGGATAGGAAAAAACTCTTTATACTGATGATCCTAATTATAAAAATTCTAATATTTATTATGACTACATATTTACAAATATTTATATTTTTTAAGAAATGAGAGAAGACTTATCTGTAAGGTTTCTTCATGCAAGAAGAAGAAAAAATGTTGGGCTAAGTAGTCATTTTGACATTTAGCAAATATTTTTATAGAATGTACATGAACTTGATTTATCTTTCTTAAGTTTATTTATTTATTTATTGAGACAGAGTCTCACTCTGTTGCTCAGACTGGAGTGCAGTGGCGAGATCTCTGCTCACCGCAAACTCCGCCTCATGGGTTCAAGTGATTCTCCTGCCTCAGCCTCCTGATTAGCTGGGATTACAGGTGCCCACTACCATGCCCAGCTAACTTTTGTGTTTTTAGTAGAGACAAGGGTTCACCATGTTGGCCAGGCTGGTCTCAAACTCCTGACCTCAGGTGATCCACCCGCCTCCACCTCCCAAAGTGCTGGGATTATAGGCATGAGCCACTGTGCCTAGCCACCTTTCTTAAGTTTTAACATTACTTGGCCATATAAACTTTTAAATTCTTAAACACAAATACTTTTTATTTTATGCAACATAAAGCAGGTGAGCTAATATTTACTAAGTCCTTTGCTTCTTTGAATAGGTCTTAGGACTAAATAAGTCATTGGTTATGTTATCAATGTTTCTGTTGAAATAACCATGGACCAGAAAGCAGCAGCTTTTGCTCTGACAGAAAGGAGTAGGGAAAAGAAGCAAAATAAAAGGGAATGAGACTTGGTCCAGGAATAAGACTATTGGGATTGGCACGTCTGCCTTTTTACATGATAACCCTGAAGTCCAAACTGTCCTGTAACAAACATGCTTGAGATTTCTTGGAAATAGTTTCTTTCTGATAAAAAAAAAAAATGTAAAAATAAAGTTCTTTAAAACCCCTAAAGCCTTACGGTTTAGAACTCTCATCATCTAAGAATGTCTTGTTAAAAGCTGCTGTAGCCATCTTGGGTCCCTAAATAAAAAGACAAGAGATCATGGAAATGGGAATTTAGCACACTAATGCCTTTGAAGTAGTGTATAACCACCTCCAAATTCTGAAGTAATATAACTAACCCATTATTTGCCAGATATTGTCCTGTTAGAAGCTGAACAAACCTTATCTGTAATGGTAAACATGGCAGAGATCCAAAACAGTGATATCAGTGCCAAATAGGGTCATTAACATGGTAGCTACCTCCAGCCTCAACCATCCCAAGTGGGATAATGTGAGATCATAAGAATCCCTTAAGCTGGCACTGGTTAAAAAAAAAAGAATATGGGGAAGTGGGATAAAAAGAAATTGATACTTTTCAGATGTCAATTTTAAAAGTTGGCTTTGTTTTTGTTTGTTATTTGTATGCTCAATGAATATATCATTTTGATTTTAAATACTTATATGCCAGGACTGGAGAGTGAAAGTCAATTAATACGAGTAGATAAATAACACACTCTCTTTAATTAATTGCTCTAGCCATGCTATGAAATGTTATAGGAAATTAACCCAGTCGCAGTTATTGGGTGTACCTAATACTGTTATGAGGAAGAGAAAGAGCAAATATAAGCAAAATATAGAAGAACACAGATATTTTATTAACTTTAGCACTATTGTAGCAAGAGATTATGTTATGTTTTTAAGTAGTTATTATCTCATTTAATACCTAAACCACTTCTACTGTAGGCATTACAAGCATGTTTTAAGGTGGGAAACTCGAGGGTTAGAGAGGTCATGTAATTTGTCATGGATCGCACAACTAACAAGCACTGGAATCAGGGTCAGGAATCTGTTCTCCACATCATCAAAGTCAGCACTTTTAACTGCCATGCTACAAAAAGCTTACATTACATTATCTTTTTTTCTGACCCCTGGGAAGTTGAAACAAAATGTTTTCCTTGACTCTATGCTGCAAAACTGTCAAACTGAAGAATGTCTTCTTTAACAATATCATTGAGCTGCCTTTATTAAATAAGACTGCTTAAGGTCTTCAGAACTCTGCTAATTCTCAGTTACTTTTCGACTTACTGTCCATAATTCAATAATCAAACCAGTTTATTAGGGCTACAGTTTGTTGTTATTCTTTGGACAAAAACAGACAGATGATACTTATATTGCTAAATAATGTTTGTCTCCAGGCCTAAAATAATTACAGACATATTAGAGAAAGAAGCAAAGGGACAGATCAGAAGAAGGGAGGTTGTCTTTAGCTGAAAACAAACAATTAAGAAAGGAGGCAAAGATGAGTTTCAGAAAATAGAAATCAAAAGATGATGTGTTAATAAATGTGTTTTTTTAACAATTCATTGAGATTACGTATATGTAAGAAAATAAACGGCTAAACTTTTAGGGCAGCATAGGTTCAATAAATGTGTTAGTTCTATACTGTTAGATTAGAAGAATATGTATGTATAATATTTCGTGATTTTATAAAAACATTTTGCAAATTTATGTTACTATACATAATACCAGAAACTAGAGTGGATTAAATACATATAAATTCAGATAAAAGAATTCGTGAATTATCTCTAGAGACTGACATCATCTGGCTTTAGATATAATGATTTCAAAATATAAATCAATCATTAAATTCTAAGAACAGAGATCCCAATTTGTTGAATTACCTGGGCCAAACAAGTTAAATCGTTTAATAAAAGTTTGAGTTGATTTAAAGATTTAAGAGTTAGAAAAATAGTCTGGAATTGTAGCGTGAAACAACAACAACAAAGATAGCAATAATAATGTTACGCAGTTTAGATAAAATTTAAGTCATATGAAAAAGATAGGATTGGTGATGCTGATTTAATGCAATTTGTGTGAAAGAAGCAAAGAGATTTCAAATAAATATAGTATTAAAGTGCACCAACATTATAAATTTTCTCTGCTTTCTTCCTAGGTGACATTGCTGCTACCGAGCAATTGTACTCTTCTAATTCTCAAATTAATAGGCCTTTGATTTTCCTGTATAGTCCCTGGTTTTATGTGTGGACCAGATGAGATGTTTTGCATGACAAGTAGACGAGAAGCAGGAGCTGCATTCTTTATATGCTTGTATCATTTCAGGCCATCAAGTGCTGATACAGACTATGCACATTGCCACTTATCTGTGGAGCAGCCATGCCTCCAATTTCTTAAGGTACTTCCAGGTCTACTCGGTCAGCTTCTCCAACCCTGGGCGAGGAGTTTGGCTCCGTGGTGAAGGATGTCATTGTCACCTTCAAGTCACTTACATCTCAGAAGTTGGATACCCAAAGATGGTAAGAGATCAACATGGGGTTCCAGTCCAACCTCATAGGTTCCAGCTTATTATATCAGGTTTCAACTAATATCTGTCTTCTCATAATTAGCCATTATCTTTCCTTCCTGACTGCCTCCTCTTCTTCCTATAAAGCCTAGCATTACAGGCAGAAAAATCAAATTTACATAGAAAGCTTTACTGGAATAACCAGTACCCAAATTGTATAAAGACAATATGTATGCATGTATATACATATATTATATTTACATTGGATATCACATTAACATTAGAATTACTGTATGTAGATATATATCAATTATACTTGAATAAATTTTATGTTAAGTCTTCAATAACTGTTTCTCTTTTATGTTATGTTCTATTATTATGTCCTAAAACTTTTTTATTATATTCAGAAAAAAGTTATAATTCTAGCTTTAAGAAAAAATAATACTCTTTGACTGTTTCTACTCTGCTGTTAAGAAAACATTTATTTTCCAATAACTCAAATAGCTTTAAAAATCTGGAAGACTGTTTTCATTCATGAGTGCAGCATTCTTCGTTATCCTCCTGAGTCTCCATTAATTATACCTGTTTTAAATTCTCTTCTAATACTACTTGGTCCTTTCCTCACCTTACTGGATTATTGTGAAGAATTTGGTGCAGCTAGGTGTGGTGGCTCATGCCTGTAATCCCAGGACTTTGGAAGGCCGAGGTAGACAGGTCACTTGAGCCCAAGATTTCAAGACCACCCTGGGCCACATGGCAGAACTCCATCTCTACAAAAAATACAATTATTAGTTGGGCCATGCCCAACTAATTGACGTGTGCCTGTGGTCCCAGCTAATTGGGAGGCTTAGGTGGAAGGATCACCTGAGCCTGGGAGGTCGAGACTGCAGTGAGTATTGATCATGCTACTGCACTCCAGCTGGTGTCTCAAAAAAAAAAAAAAAAAAAAGAAAAAGAATTTTGTACTGTTTATTCATTTCAATTACCTATTCATTATTATTATTTTTCCTATATATTTAACAATTCGTGGCTTGGTGTTTTACACTGTATATTCATTTCTCATATTCCTGATTGAGGACACCTGTTTTCATGTCAAATGGTAAAAGGGAAGCAGGAGAGGCTCTGGGCAATGTATGCGGTGGTCCTGTTTCCTTTGGTGCCTACAATGCCTGCCATTAATCTCAGCCATGCCTTTTCAGTCACTGCTTCAGCATTTGAGTGCATGTTCCTGCTATTTAATATTCTTTAATATGTGACAGTGTTGTGTGGGGCAGTCCATCTGGTACCCCAAGTTACCTCCTCATTTCACCCTCTTTTATTTGCCACAGGTTCTGCCCCTAATCTTTCTCCCATTCACTTGTGCCTGTTCCTCATTTCTGCAGTGTCTAATGCATAGCAGAAGCATAGTAAATGTTCATGAAATTGAATTGGACGTGTCGAGGTAACACTGGCTGAGCATACAACACAGATGTTACTGAAAGGGTTTCTCACTTGGGATAGGATTTAAGTGGATGATTCCTCAGTGTTCTTGTAATGTTTGAAGTGTATGATTCAAATCACTGTGTATGATTCCGTGTTGCTTGGGACTGTCAAGGTAATATCTTCCTTACTGCTTTGTCTCTTTAAACCTTCTTGATAATTAAATTTAAAAAAAGAACATAAATAAAGGAACGCGCCCCCAGAACTTTTCATTATTAATGTTCTATGACTAAATTGGAAATCTGCTACTGTATCCCAAGGGGGTGATTTAGCAGACTAAGAGTTTTGATTAAAACGGAATGAAATGTCTGACACGTAGTCTATTTATCAGTTATTATGATATGAAAACGCTCTAATCATTGTGGTGCCTAAATTAAGACTTCACAGCCTAAATGTCACTTCATTTTGCTTCTTTTGGTTTGGTGATGTTTTATGGGCTTATTATCTGCGAATGTGTATGCATGTGCGTGTGTGAATGGCACACATTCTTACTGATCTTCAAAGAAAAATAATGCGGCAAGAAAGCTTTCTAACACAAGCACTGTTCCCTATAGCTCCATGCTTCAGGAGAAATGAGGAATATGCAGAGAATCTTACAATTCTTAATTTAGCTGATTATTTTAAAAATTCGGATGTGATTGTGAAATATATTCTATTGGTATTAAGCAGCAAAAAATATTAATTAGAATTTATAATTTAAAGTTTTCTTTTCATATGAGACTGATTTTGTTAGACACAAATACTAAGATAAAAATTATATCATATCAATAATTTTAATGTTATCTCCACTTTCAAATTAAACTACATAGAAACAAGGAAAAAATCAATATAAGTTTTTAGATAATGCTCATTCAATAAGTATAACATGGTTGGATTCTTTTAAGCCTATAGAATATGCTAAATATTCAAGTGTTAATGAAAACATAAAAAAAATAGCATAACATAATTTTGAATATTGATTTTGTAATTTACAAAAATATTTGCCCTATTTTAACCTCTCTCTTCCCAAATAATTTTACTACCTATCCCCACTTGAAGAATTAAATAAAATAGTATTTCCTTATAATCTCTCTCTCTCTCTGTCTCTCTTTTTCTTGCCTCCCTCAATATGGAATCACAACCAGTGTTTTTTATTGATTTCTAAGCAACTTTCAAAACACGAGTTAAGTAAGAGTGATTGACTGGGTTGCTCTTTCTCAGTCTTATTTCTAAGCCAGTTTTAAAGATTTAAAAGGCTCAGACCTGGAACAAGACAGGTTATATTTGGAGGAATAATGATCCAATTCTTCACACTTCTTCCCACCCCAATTTATAGATTCAAAAATGATTCCTTATCTTGTGATTAAAGAAGCAAGAAAGCAGTAGGATCCCAGAATAAAAATAAGGTCATCAGAAAAAACAAAACAAAACAAAAAAAAACGCTCACTCAGTCTGAGACAATATTCGACTCTTGTGGACTCCAATTTCAAAGGCTCAAGTCATTCAAAATCCCCAAATAAAAGATGGACTAGGATACTCAAGAGGTGTGTGAAAAGTAATCATAATTAAAATAATGTAACAATAATTAATACTCATCAATATCTCACCATACTGTATCAAACACCATGAAAATTAACTTCTATATATTTTATTATTCATATTTTATAATGAGGTAGATAATAGCGTTGTCCTCATTTTATAGCTTCATTGCCCTTCATAAGTAAATTATCCACAATCAGATAACTAGGCAGAAGAGAGTGGACTCCTATTACCAAAACCCAGGCTCTTAATTGCTACTAACAGTATATATGCTCTGAGTACTAGTAGCTGGTAATTGACTTACACATAGACTTCTCCCCAGTATTGTGCAAATTGAACTACTAATCTGGGACTGCTCTATGATGCAAAAATCATAGACCAAATACTATGTATCAGAGAACCTTCAAGTCAGATGTTTGGCATCTGACTTGCTTGTTGGTCTCATCTATTCAGTTTTAGAGATGGTCTTAGATTAATGTGGTATAAGAGTGATGAGAGGACTGGTTTTATAATTCTAAATACCTGAGAGGGAATCATGTCTATGCCACAAACTAGCTATATGAGACTTTTATCAGTCACTTCTCTTCCCTGGCCTTTCAGTTTCCTCACATATAACATGCCTTCTAGATTAATCTGTAAATGTATATGCCTTCTAGATTGCCTTTTAGATTATTCGGTAAATGTATATGATAATAAATGCAAGCTGTGTCATGCTGTGATTGACACAGAATAAGAAATCAAATATGGTAGATATATTACTAAAGATTCCCTATTTCTGAGAATGGAAGAGAGTATCAGCCACTTCACTTTTTCTGCTTTATTTTGGATTCTAGCTGAAATTCCAATCTAGATACTATTTACATGTGTTTTTGTTCTCTCTTCTGTCTCTCTCTCTCTCCTTTTTTTTCTTTGAGACAGGGTCTCACTTGGTAGCATGTGCTAGAGTGCAGTGGTGAGATCTCAACTCACTGCAACCTCCACCTCCTGGGCTCAAGTGAGCCTCCAACCTCAGCCTCCCCAGGAGCTGGGATTACAGGCACACATCACCATGCTCAGCTACTTTTTGTATTTTCTTTAGAGACAAGGTTTCACCCTTTTGCCCAGGCTCTCAAAGTGTTGTCACTACAGGCATGAGCCACTGCATCAGACTCTGTTTTCTCTTTTAATCTTTACAAGAGGTTGGACATCAGGTTGGATAAGGAGGAAGTTGAATGTTGGAGATTTTACAGAATGCAAACAAAAATTAAGGGTTTCCTAATCTATATCCTGTCTGTTCAAATTGTACTTCACAGTATTTCCTTGTGCCCATCGAACTTGTGCCACTCCCCTCTGAAATATTCAACAGCATTTCAAGTCTCTTCTACCTTAAGAGCTCCCTCAATAACTGCTGATAAAGAGAAGTTTGAAAACTGCAAACCTAGACATTGAGTATTCTAAAAACTTCCCATTTTTTGGTTCCAAATTCAACCTTACCCTTCTTCACAACAGAAAAAAATAGGAAAGTCTTGAGTGGTCTATGATAGGCCATTCACTCTTAATAGATCTTGTATTAGATTTAGATTTAGTACTTGCCTCTGGATAACTTGTCTGGATAAGTTGTTTCTCTCTTTTTTTTTCAGTCCCCCCCATTTATTCTTTTACTTTTTATCCTGTGACAATTTCTAAGCAAAATTAGTAAAACTAAGTAGTTAAAAAATACAAGAAAAAGGAATAGTGTTCACGGACATGCAAAACATGAACAGATCTGGAGCAAATAAAAAGAAGCAGCCTTGAGATGGTCAAGGGAAAAAAATAACCAGCTACAACATAAATTACTGCCAGGTTCTGCATTTGAGAAAATAAACTGAAATGGCCCAGGTTGGAGAGAGATAGTTCTACTTTTTAGGCAAAGTTTCAGACAGCTGGTTAAAATAACGTAGATCCATTATGCTCTCTTGATCTTGAAAGGAAGTAAGGAGCGTTTGTCTGAAAAAGATATTTTTTTTTTTGTAAGAAGGGAGCAACTCTGACTTGAGAACACCTTTCTGTCATAGACCAGCAGAGGCTAAATATACTCTCAAAGTAGGATTTCTGTTTTAATTCTATAATAAATGCTTTCAGGAAATTCTGGAAAATGTAGCCCCTTTTTCTTCTCACCTCAAGGTTGCCTTGGGTTTATTGCCATCATTAGTGGAAACTGTAAAGCTAAGCCAATGATTCCATGTGTATTTCAAGATCTGAAGAGCTCAAAGAAAGGTCAGTTACCTTCCTTGCCCCTCTTCTTTTACGGTTATTGGGGTCTGCAGTGCAAGCAGTGATTGCTGGTGATCCACTTGCATTTCTCTGCTCACTAGATTAAAACCTGGGATGAAGCCCAGAGTGGCAAGAACTTTACATTGGAACTAAACAAGAATTTAAAATCTACAAGCCTGTTGCCATTTCACGTTTATTTAATGCACAGAAAGTTTGGTATTCAGACACAGTGTGGGGATAGTGTGATAAGGATCATGCTAAAAAAGACCAGTTCTTTCAGATATTTACATTCATATGAAACACAAAATCATACCTACAACAGCTGTGGATTTTATGCTTGGGCTATTTTGTTTTGTTGAGTTTATTTTCTTTATCACTATTTTTCCTTTGCTAAGAGCAGTGTTTCAGGGAAAGGGAACATGGATAGCCTTAAAACAGATTAGTAGACATTTGATTGGAGATACATTTGGAATGAAATGAAAGTAAAGTAACTTATTGTGTGTGATCAGAAACAAATAGGCAAGTGTGACACAACAAATTACATATGATAGCGCTAATGGGAAAGGGGGAGAAGAATGTCAAGAGTAGTCCAGAAAATAAAGTTGTTTCTGGCTGTAGATTGAATTGCTATTTGAGTATGCAAAGAAATAAATGATATTGAATTGGACAGCACTAATATTATGGTTTCTATTCTGACTCCACGGATAGCAGCTTATCCTTTTTTCTAAACATCATTTTTAGTTCCCCATGGAACAGACATGGGGAAATGATAGTGCTATTGTCTCATTTTTATTTGTGCCATCATCATCATATTACCTTTTAAGAAGCATCATTCCTATCCTCTGGGATACTCTGGAGGAAAGTAATGAGAGATTACAGTAATCTCTGTTCACTGGGGCAGCAGAAAATACCTGTAACTCTTTGTCTTTCTCATATCTATTTAAATTTGAAGTTACTAGATGAAAAGTCTGTAGATCAACAATATATACTCCCTTACATGATGATCACTCAATTCTTTTTTTTTTTTTTTTTTTTTTTGAGACGGAATCTCGCTGTCGCCCAGGTTGGAGTGCAGTGGCGCGATCTCGGCTCACTGCAGGCTCCGCCTCCCGGGTTCACGCCATTCTCCTGCGTCAGCCTTTTGAGTAGCTGGGACTACAGGTGCCCGCCACCTCGCCCGGCTAATTTTTTGTATTTTTAGTAGAGATGGGGTTTCACCGTGTTAGCCAGGATGGTCTCGATCTCCTGACCTCGTGATCCGCCCACCTCGGCCTCCCAAAGTGCTGGGATTACAGGCGTGAGCCACCGCGCCCAGCCTCAATTCTTATCAGTAATGCTCAAGGTGGTTCTGGACTTCGTGCATTTTCATACATTCTAACCTCATGTAAGACATGGAACCAAACACCAGGGCGTTTGGGTCTTTACTTAGAGGATGAGCAAAGCTTTTGTTTTCATCACCTTTTTGGTCTTAATATCACAGTGTCATATATTTCTGTATATTTTTGCAGAAATCTTTGAAAATGTTTTTCCTTGACATAAGAAAGAAAACAGAGAGAAAAGATCAAGACAGTGGGTTAAGTATCAGCGACAAATTTAACTCAATGTTCACTGAAATCTTTTCCTCTACTTCCTCAAAAAATGGAAATCTACCTTGCATATTTCAGTTCGATATCATTTTCATTATAAGCTTGTTAGTAAATAAGGGTTTGTTCCGTTCTGCCCCATTCCGCCCCACCCCCCACACACCCCCAGCGAAGAATCATTTTATTTGTATCTTACATATGTGTTATAAACAGAATAAACATTCTGACAGTTTGCATGGAAGATTGATTTCCCATGCTGAAAACAATATAGCAAGCAACAATGAGCTCTGTCTCTGGCAGGAGAGTTAGAAACAGCGTCAAAAATCCCAGGGAAATGAGCCTCTGCAGAAGACTTTATAAGATATGAATGTTTCCCTTTATCGTGACTCGCAATGATGCTGCAAAACAGAAATATGCGTTTTGCATAATTGCCAATGCAGCTGCAGCACTCTGTCTGGGATTCTGACTTCAAATGGAGATGTAATTGCGTATATCAGATAGATCCCAAAGGTACAGCAACAACCCCGATTTAGTTATTCCAAAAATTTCTTAAGAGACTCCTGACAGCATTTTGAAATCTATGTAAATTGTTGCTTGGTGTCCAATGGATCGAAGTGAATATGACTCCATTTGAACTGTGCTCCGAAACTTAAAAGAGCATTTTAGAAACACACTTAAAAGAATTTTCTGGATTTTCTTAATAATCAGAAAGGGGAATAATTATAAAAAGTACTTTTTGTATGATGTCTTTTAATATATCTCAAACACTGTAGAGGCACCCTTCTAAAGACCAGGAAAGCTGTTTCTAATTGTTGTAGTCAAAATACAAACTATACATAGTAGGTGTCTAACAAACAAGTACTGGATATCAATTTCTGCTTGGTCAACCCAAGAAACTCCTTTTATTTTTTATTATAAGAACTGTGTATACTTGAGCCTCACTAGGATCAGTGATTGTTAAGTTGCTGGCAGCACATTTCCACTTGCCTGATAAGAAGAGAGCCAAAATTTTTTACACAATATATAAAAGCAACTTTTGCTTCTCTATTGTGTGTATCTACTTCTAAGCCTCAAATTCTTCCTAGAAGCACCTTTGCCTTATACAGGTTTTCTCATATAATTCTAGTTCTTATGCTTATCTTTCTAAGTGAAATAACTTCACAAAACATAACTTTGTATTGCAATTGTTTTTTATAGACATTTCAATTTGACCAAGACACTATTATTTAAAGGGAGTTTAAGAAAAATGAAGGCAGAATTTTAAACGTCCAATGGTCAGTCTATCTTAATTTGTATGCTGAAGCCTCCAAATAAAACAGAATAAACTCTGTACACAATTGGGCTTCATAAAAGATTTCTTGACTAAAGCTAAAGAGAAAATGCATTTTAATGATCTCTCTGAATGCTTCTCTTATCCATTACCCCTTTTGAACTTGTCTATACTATATCCACATTATACAATTCACCCATGGATTATGCTGAGAATTTACTCTGTGAATTATTTTTTCTTTAATATTATAGAGCTCTTAATTAAATATTGCTCAAATTCCTGGAGGTAGAGCTGCTTAATTTGCAGTAAAATATACCGTCTGGCTTATTGCAGAGCTACATTTAAAAACTTTTGAAAATCAAGATAGAAATTTAGACAAAACTTTAAAAATTAGATGCCAATATCTTGTGTCACTCAGACCTCTGGTAATTGGTCCACTTGCTGGATCAATCAGAAGGAGAAAAATAAGCAAAATCTGTCAATGGAATCCAATACAAATCATACATAGCCTAATATGCCTAATACAAAAAAGAAAGTATTGTAATGGCCAAAAGATAAGAGAGTCTCCTGTTCAGGCCTACCTTTCCTTAATGAGATATTGGACAAAAATTCAGAACTATAAACAACACAACCACTTATGAATCAAATTATGAGGCAATCTTATAACCAGAGTATATTAAGCCTTTAGGTAATACTTAGAAGTCAACCCAGACGCAGAAGTAAGGGAGCAGTCCCAATTCTATTTGTCATTGCTTAAAAGTGAAAAAGTGAAAAAGTCAAAAGTGATTTGACTTAGACCTTTATATCTACAGAGCTATAATGAATAGACAAACCACAACCCAAAAGAATTTTCTCACCTTAAAAACCAGGCAACTGGGTCATGTTCGAAAGGAAGAATTTACTGAAGCTCAACTTTTTAGTTGTTCTAAAGCCAATAGATTAAACTAATATCTTCTGATAATGTAAAACGAAAGGATATTGGATACAAATTAAGCCCAGCCTTAATAATTATTTCCAGTTAAAGATGTTGTAGATAAAATACAATGATCATGCTTTGAAGGGTTATAAGGATCCCTACAGCGCTCCATTTTAACTTGGGACTAGCATAGGTGAGTTAACAATAGTCAAAAGAGGACATAAATATAAATACTAATTTGCTTAGGTGACACTATACAGCCTAAGTCCCACACTTTATAGCATGTATTTATTGAAGTATGCAAAATCACCAATATAGTTGTAGGTATGTGCAAATATCAATCATTCTATCTCAATCAATATATTTCCCTTTGTGTTCCTTACTGAAAACATCCTTTTTGTATGTAATACCACTTGAAAATTTAATTGAAGAAACTTACTATGTAAAAGGCACTGCTAAACTAAATGTGCCAAAAAATTATTATTATTTTTTGAGACAAGAAACTTAAACTAGATAACTTGTCATTTTCTTTTTTTTTTCCCTGGGGTAGAGCTGTCCTGCAAGCAAAAGGGATGAATGGATCTCAGACCAGTTAGTTTCATCCCTTCTTTTCAAGCTTCTATGAGAAAGCTTCAATTTTGCCAAAGGTCAATATACTACGTAGGGCAAGATTTATTAGAACACAGTTGAAACACTCTATGATGAAAGAACTAAAGCTAACCAAAATTTCTCCAGAGCCATCAACTAAGAGGATTCCTAGAACTAACTAGATATTCTAGACTGTGGGTCCCAGAAGTTTCAGCTCTTTTTAACCTCTTTAGGATTATACCAAATTGATTATTCTTATATATTACCATGAAAGAGGCTTTTATGTCTCGTACATTGTTTAGTATCAATGACAATCATAACTTTTTTAGCCTCTATGCACACAGAAAAGGAGACCATGTGTTAGTAGTACTTATGTAACAACATGGCCACATAATAGAACCCTGCTTCCTAAGCGTTTCTTTGGATGCTGTAACTACAACATTTCTTCCTTTTTGAAAAGATCTTACCAAAAAAGCTGCAGCATTTTAAAATTTGTTTCAGGTGACCCCTCAACTTGATAGGTCCTCATTTGGTACACATTTTCATAATAATTTATTTATCATCTATCTACTCACCTAATCACCATAAAATTTTGCATCTCATGTATAATTATTTATTCCTAAAAACTTTCCTTCACACAATTATAATATTCTGACTAAAATGAAAGCCCAAGTTTTTCAGTTATTATCTATGCCATTAACTAATGTTTTAGTTTCAGCACTTGACAATCCAGATTTAATTCTCTTTCTACGTGGACAATCTCTATTCCCATTTCTTTTATTGCATTTTTCTACTGTGATCCTCAACTGGATCACAGTAGAACTGTGAATTAAAACAACTGGAATTATGACTATTCCTTTGATAAGCAATGTTAGTCTAACATTTCATGGACTTGGATTTTATTTTGCCGGAGTCTCAGATTATATTTCTTTGTTTCCACAGCATTTCAAACACCCTATAATATATAAGAGGCCTATCTACTGTTTGTGTGATTATTGCTTCTATTATTTTGAATATTGTGGCATGGACTTGGACACCTGGAATGATTTTACTTGGAGAGAAAACTACATATCCAACAATAAATATTCCCAAGTCAGTCTTTAAATTCAGTGCATCTTGATTCAGCAAGTATTTATTGAGTTCCAATGGGTTATAAATAATTATTAAGAAAATATTTATTGAGTTCCCATTAAGTGAAAGGTAATTTTCTGTTGTTAGAATTTAAGCAAAGAACAAATGTACAATTTAAGCAAATCATAAGTAAACAGTTTTGGCAATATGAGATTGTTATGCCATGGGAATTGCAAAAGAAATGAGACATTGCCCAAGCATAAAAGCAGTTTATTCAAAACAGAGGAAAACATGAAGTATTACAAGACAGTATGAAAATGTCATGGTTGGAGCACAAATTAGTAAAGAGATTGAAAATAAAATGTCAGCTAGATAATAAAAAGTTCAGTGAAGGAAAATTTTAAAAGTGGATCAATTTTTAGTTAATGATGTGGTGCTGTTTTATATAGAGGGCTAATTCTGATAAAATTACATAAATGAAGTGAGAGATGAATTATGTGATTATTTGAGGGAAGTACTTTTCAAGAACAAGCAAATGTAAATGTAAATGCTTTGATAAGATAAAATGGCACTCCTCTCCAATGTTTTATGTATTTATTTATTTTTGAGAAGTAACAAAGATAATGCAGACAGTAGTGAATTTGAAAAAGTGTGTAGGGGCTGGGGCCAGACTATTCAGAGACACCATGATAATCACTTCAAGTTTGGTTTTTTGTTTCATTTTGTTTTGTTTTTCTAAATGTGATGGAAGCTGGAAGCTACTGGAACATTTTGATAAGAGAATGATGCAATCCTAGCCATAAAAAAGAATGAGTTCATTTCCTTTGGAGGGACATGGATGAAGCTGGAAGCCATCTTTCTCAGCAAACGAACACAGGCAGGCACAGGAAAAACACCACTTGCTCTCAGTCATAATTGGGAGTTGAACAATGAGAACACATGGACACAGGGAGGGGAACATCATACACCAGGGCCTGCTTAGGGTTGGGGTGCAAGGGGAGGGAGAGCATCAGGACAAATAGCTAATGCATGTGGGGCTCGAAACCTAGATAATGGGTTGATAGGTGCAGCAATCCACCATGGCACATGTATACCTATGTAACAAACCTGCACCTTCTGCTCACGTATCCCAAAACTGGAAGTAAAACAAATTTTAAAAAACAGAATGATGCAATTCTATACTTACTTGTGACAAAATAGAAAATGAAGGGTTGGAATTATTGGATATAGGCACAGTTATTAATAGTCTGTTGTAGATGTCCATAGAAAAATGATAGTTGCTTGTCTAGAATGATGGAGGCTATATAATGGTAGACTTGTGATGTGTTTAGAAGGTAGAGAAAATAGGGTACCTACTAATAGCTTAGATGTAGATTGTTAAATAGGCAGAAAAGCCAATGTTTCAAGGACAATAGATAAGAAGAAAACAAAGAAACCAAATCCCAGACAGAGAAGAACTTTAGAATTGAGTATGGAGCCAAAGTAGCACCATATACTGAGGAGTCCCTGGTCTGGCTGATATAGAAAAGGGGTAAGCCTGTCATAGACTTTATAGAGTAAAACAGAAATTGGAAAATCCTTTGATAACTGTAAGTGGGCAGGACATACCAGAGATTGCAATAGCCCAAAATTAAAAAAATATATATATATTTAATTGAATAATTTACACTCCTTCCTCACATCAGAATTTTACATAGTAAGCAGCCATGGGCTGTAAAATTAGAGAATATATGAAATATTGAACATGTTTGGAATTATTGGACTTTGATTCTGCACAAGATATATATATATATGAAATGATAATATTTATGTGCATATATATGTATGTGTATGTATGTGTACATGTACATATATATCTCCTACATATATACATACATATATAACATATATAACTATATATCTATATGTATGTGTGTATCCTATCAGTTCTGTTTCTAGGAATACTCTGAAAAAAGTAGTACAAAAATCGGGAGCTGAACTGTCTAAAAGTGAACTCAACATCATGAAATACATATGCCTCTCACCTAGAATTTCTACACAAAAGGAAGCATGTGCACTCTCTGCACTCTTTGGAAAAAAAAACAAGAAAAAAAGCAAAATATACTTTTCTTTGAGATTATGTATTTATTTCAGTATATACATGTATATATACATCAGTGTGTTTATGTGTGTATATTATATATGTATGAAGTAAAATAATATTAGTAGTCATGAAAAAAAGAAAAATGTAATACACACTCAAAGAACAAGTAGAACAATGGAAACATACCTATTATACTTTGCAAAACAGACCAAAAATGAAATGTAAATATTTTATAAATATGGGTTTAGCAGGTAAATATGGGAAATTATAGGACACCAAAAAAATAAGAAAATAATATGAACAACTTCCCAAGACTAAACCAGGAAGAAGTTGAATCTCTGAATAGACCAATAACAGGATCTGAAATTGTGGCAATAATCAATAGCTTACCAACCAAAAAGAGTCCAGGACCAGATGGATTCACAGCCGAATTCTACCAGAGGTACAAAGAGGAGCTGGTACCATTCCTTCTGAAACTATTTCAATCAATAGAAAAAGAGGGAATCTTCCCTAACTCATTTTATGAGGCCAGCATCATCCTGATACCAAAGCCTGGCAGAGACACAACCAAAAAAGAGGATTTTAGGCCAATCTTCCTGATGAACATCGATGCAAAAATCCTCAATAAAATACTGGCAAAATGAACCCAGAAGCACATCAAAAAGCTTATCCACCACAATCAAGTGGGCTTCATCCCTGGGATGCAAGGCTTGTTCAACATATGCAAATCAATAAGCGTAATCCATCACATAAACAAAACCAACGACAAAAACCACATGATTATCTCAATAGATGCAGAAAAGGCCTTCGACAAAATCCAACATCCCTTCATGCTAAAAACTCTCAATAAACTAGGTACTGCTGGAACGTATCTCAAAATAATAAGAGCTATTTATGACAAACCCACAGCCAATATCATACTGAATGAGCAAAAACTGGAAGCATTCCCTTTGAAAACTGGCACAAAACAAGGATGCCCTCTCTTACCACTTCTATTCAACATAGTGTTGGAAGTTCTGGCCAGGGCAATCAGGCAAGATAAAGAAATACAGTGTATTCAGTTAGGAAAAGAGGAAGTCAAACTGCATCTGTTTGCACATGACCTGATTGTATATTTAGAAAACCCCATCGTCTCAGCCCCAAATCTCCTTAAGCTGATAAGCAACTTCAGCAAAGTCTCAGGATACAAAATCAACGTGCAAAAATCACAAGCATTTCTATACACCAAGAACAGACAGACAGTCAAATCATGAGTGAACTCCCATTCACAATTACTACAAAGAGAATAAAATACCTAGGAATCCAACTTACAAGGGATGTGAAGGACCTCTTCAAGGAGAACTACAAACTACTGCTCAACAAAGTAAAAGAGGACATAAACAAATGGAAGAACATTCCATGCTCATGGATAGGAAGACTCAATATCCTGAAAATGGCCATATTGCCCAAGGTAATTTATAGATTCAATGCTATCTCCATCAAGCTACCACTGTCTTTCTTCACAGAATTGGAAAAAACTACTTTAAAGTTCATATGGAACCAAAAAAGAGCCCACATTGCCAAGAGAATCCTAAGCCAAAAGAACAAAGCTGGAGGCATCATGCTACCTGACTTCAAACTATACTACAAGGCTACAGTAACCAAAACAGCACAGTGCTGGTAACAAAACAGATATATAGACCAATGGAACAGAACAGAGGCCTCAGATATAACACCACACATCTAAAACAATCTGAGCTATGGCAAACCTGACAGAAACAAGCAATTGGGAAAGGATTCCCTATTTAATAAATGGTGCTGGGAAAACTGGCTAGCCATATGTAGAAAGCTGAAACTGGATCCCTTCCTTACACCTTATACAAAAAGTAACTCAAGATGGATTAAATTCTTAAATGTAAGACCCAATACCATAAAAACCCTAGAAGAAAACCTAGAAAATACCATTCAGGACATAGGCATGGGAACAGTCTTCATGACTAAAACACCTAAAGCAATGACAACAAAAGCCAAAGCAGACAAATGTGATCTAATTAAACTAAAGAGCTTCTGCACAGCAAAAGAAACTACCATCAGAGTGAACAGGCAACCTACAGAATGGGAGAAAATTTTTGCAATCTACTCATCTGACAAAGGGCTAATATCCAGAATCTACAAAGAACTTAAACAAATTTACAAAAAAAAAAAAACCCCATGAAAAAGTGGGCAAAGGATATGAACAGATACTTCTCAAAAGAAGACATTTATGCAGCCAACAGATATATGAAAAAATACTCATCATCACTGGTCATCATAGAAATGCAAATCAAAACCACAATAATATACCATCTCACACCAGTTAGAATGGTGATCATTGAAAAGTCAGGAAACAATGGGTGCTGGAGAGCTTGTAGAGAAATAGGAATGCTTTTTTTTTTTTTTTCCTCACTCTGTCTCCCAGGCTGGAGTGCAGTTGTGCAATCTCGGCTGACTGCAACCTCTACCTCCCGGGTTCAAGCAATTCTCCTGCCTCAGCCTCCTGAGTAGCTGGGATTACAGGTGCACACCACCATGCCCAGCTAATTTTTGTATTTTTAGTAGAGAAGGGGTTTTACCGACTGGTCTCGAACTCCTGACCTCGTGTTCTGCCCACCTCGGCCTCCCAAAGTGCTGGGATTGCAGGTGTGAGCCACTGCACCCAGCCAATAGGAATGCTTTTACAATGTTGGTGGGAGGGTAAATTAGTTCAACCATTGTGGAAGACAGTGTGGCAATTTCTCAAGGATCTAGAACTAGAAATACCATTTGACCCAGCCATCCCATTACTGGGTAACCCAAAGGATTATAAATCATGCTACCATAAAGAGACATGCACACATTTGTTTATTGCAGCACTATTCACAATAGCAAAGACTTGGAACCAACCCAAATGTCCACTGATGATAGACTGGATTGAGAAAATGTGGCACATATACATCATGGAATACTATGGAGCCTTAAAAATGGATGAATTCTTGTCCTTTGCAGGGATATGGATGAAGCTGAAAACCATCATTCTAAGCAAACTATCACAAGGACAGAAAACCAAACACCACATGTTCTCACTCATAGGTGGGTGTTGAACAACGAGAACACATGGACACAGTGTGGTAAACAACACAAACCAGAGTCTATCGGCGGGTGGGGGTCTGGAGGAGGAATAGCATTAGGAGGAATACCTAATGTAAATGACGAGTTGATGGGTGCAGCAAACCAACATGGCACATGTATACCTATGTGACAAACCTGCACGTTGTGCACATGTATCCTAGAACTTAAAGTATAAAAAATAAAAATAAAAAATAAAATAAAATAAATATGTTATATAAATCTGATTAAAACAATCTTAGGAATTTAAAAGTTTTCTAATCATTTTGCATCCTGATGACTTTTGATACTGTCTCTTGGAAATGATGACCTTCCTTTTGATTCAGAATGAATATAAAAATCCCCTGGGTAGATAATGAGCACATTCAGTGAGGATAGAAATAATTGTAAAATATTTTTTAAAAAGGAAGAACTTCTTCTAAGATATGTTGTGGAGCTCACGCAAAATCCAGGCACTGACAGTGGGAAAACTCATTTTTCGATCTTGAGAACTATGGCAGTAGGTATGTATCATCTAACATTCACAATCACTGTTTTTGCTCGGAGAGCAATGTATATCATGTGAAAAGAAAATAATATTCTTATTATCACCCTCATTATCACTGATTGAGAAGATGTTATTTGATTTTGTAGAAATTCTTTTGAAAGTTTTTTAAAATAAAAATTTTGAAGGCACACAGAGAGAGAGAGAGACAGAGACGGAGACAGAGAGAGAGAGAATATTCCATAATTCCATGTACTTAATGTGGTTTCTTCTGAATTAATTTTTCAGTTTTTGTTGTGAATTAGATATGGTAAGGTAGATTTTTATTTTCTGGTTTCACACTGCTTAGAATAAAACTTTATCAATTATCCTTTCATATGCTCATACTTCTAAAATGGATGAAGACAGAAGAAAAACTAAATGGGAAGATTCTGTCATTACTTATATAAATATATGCTATACATGCAGTCATAAAGCATAAATGATTCAACTCTGAGATGGAATCAAATATAAAATTTTGATATTAGAACATTTGCATTGCTTTAATAAGGAATATAACAAACATCTCTTTTGTGTTTTGAATTTGTAGATATTATTTGACAGATTCAGGGGTAAATATAGATTAAGTTTCTTAGAATATTTTAAATTAGATTTATTATTTTTGTTCATCTTCAGTCTGGTTATTAGTAAACATTTTTGCTTTTTTCAGATTTCTCTTCTCATTAACATATTTTTAGTATTTGGAAATAGAGGTTAAATAAAATAATTTTAAACTTGAGAAGTAAAAATAGCCAGTGTGAAGGGTCTTAATATTTAATTCATCCCTACTTTCAGATGGACAACTCAGTTGCTTTCTTGCTGTTTGTGACATTCTCAAGTTTAGAATTAGAATAACCCAAATAATTCTAATATTTAAAATAAAGTGCAAAGTGGTTAAAAATGACTCATATATGATTAGAAGACATAAGTTCTAGGATTGGCTCTATTAAAATTTAGTTAAATTTTATGTAACTCAAATTTTTCATTAACAAATTAAAAAAATGGAATATTCTTTACCTCCAATCTTTTCAACTGTGAATTTATTTGTTATTGATTCTATTTCATATAACAGAGATAATTCAGGAATCTAAACATCCAGTGAGGTGTTACAGAGCAGCATTAAATAAATTGGCATCAGAAAGAATACCTAGATGAGGCCCTCCAACAGAGGTTGTCAGACACCCTATACATGAACGGTCCTACTGGCATCAGGTTGGTCCCCCTTGAAGTCAGAGGTCCCAGAATAAGGAGCAGACATGCATCTTTGCTCCTCTCCAGCCTCCTTGAGTGACACCTCCAGGCATGGGAGTGAATCAGATGAATAGGACCTGAAGTGAACCCCCAGAAAACTGCTGCAGCCCTACAGAAGAGGGACCTGACTATTGAAAGAAAAACAAACAAGCAGATAGGAACAATAGCACCATCAACAACAACAACAAAAAGGTGTCCACAAAAACCCCATCCAAGTGTTAGCAACCTCAAAGACTGAAACTAGACAAACACACAAAATGAGAAAGAATCAATGAAAAAATGCTGAAAACCCAAAAGGCCAGAGTGTCTCTTCTCCTCCAAATGATTGCAACAGCTCTCCATCAAGGGCACAAAACTAGATGGAGGATCAGATGGATGACTTGGCAGAAGTAGGCTTCAAAGAATTGGTAGTAAAACACTACATTGAGCTAAAGGAGCAAGTTCTTATCCAAGGCAAAGAAGCTAAGAAATTTGATAAAAGGTTAGAGGAATTGCTAACTAGAATAACCAGTTTAGAGAGGAACATAAATGACCTAATAGAGCTGAAAAACAGCATGAGAACTTCGTGAAGAATATACAAATATCAACAGCCAAATTGACTGAGAGGTGGAAAGGATATCAGAGTTTGAAGACCACTTTACTGAAATAAGACATGCAAACCATAATAGAGAAAAGGGAATAAAAAGAAATGAATAAAGCCTCCAGGAAATATGGAATTTCACAAAAAGACTGAACCCATGATTGATTGGAGTACCAGAAGGAGACTGGGAGAATGGAAACAAGCTGGAAAGCACACTTCGGGATGTTATCCAGGAGAACTTCCCCAACCTAGCAAGACAGGCCAACATGAAAATTCAGTAAATATGGAGAACACTATTAAGATACTACATGAGAAGATCAACCCCAAGACATATAATCATCAGATCCTCCGAGGTTGAACTGAAGGAAAAACTGTAAAGCTCAGCCAGAGAGAAAGGCCAGGTCACCCACAAAGAGAAGCCCATCAGACTAATAGCAGACCTCTCAGCAGAAACTCTACAAGCCAGAAGAGATTGGGAGCCAATATTCCACATTCTTAAAGAATAGGATTTTCAACCCAGAATTTCATACCCAGACAAACTAAGCTTCAGAAGCAAAGGAGAAATAAAATCCTTTCCAGGCAAGCAAATGCTGAGGAATTTCATTACCATCAGGATTTCCCTGCAAGAGCTTCTGAAAGAAACACTAAATATGGGAAGGAAAAACTGGTATCAGCAACTGCAAAAACACATCAAAGTATAAAGACCAATGTAAAGACCAGTATAAAGACACCACAAAGAAACTGCATCAACTCGTGTGGAAAATAACCAAATAGCATAATGATAACAGGATCAAATTCACACATAACAATACTAACCTTAAATGCAAATGGGCTAAATGCCCCCAATTGAAAGACAAGAACTGACAAATTGGATAAGGAGTCAAGACCCATTGGTGTGCTGTATTCACGAGACCCATCTTGCATGCAAAGACACACACTGGCTCAAAATAAAGGGATGGAGAAAAATTTACCAAAAAATTGGAAAGCAATGAAAGCACTGGTTGCAATCCTAGTTTCTGACAAAAGAGACATTAAACCAACAAGGATCAAAAAAGACAAAGAAGGGCATTACATAATGGTAAAGGGAACAATTCAGCAAGAAGAACTAACTATTCTAAATATATATGCACCCAATACAGGAGAACCCAGATTCATAAAACAAGTTCTTAGAGACCTATAGAGAGACTTAAGACTCCCATACAATAATAATGGGAGACTTTAACACCCCACTCTCGGTATGAGGCAGATCAATGAGACAGAAATTTAACAAGGATATTCAGGACTTGAACTCAGCTATGGATCAAGTGGACCTAGTAGACGTCTACAGAACTCTCTACCCCAAATCAACAGAATATACGTTCTTCTCAGTGCCACATGGCACTTATAATAAAATAGACCACATAATTGGAAGTGAAACACTCCTCAGCAAATGCAAAATAACTGAAATCATAACAAACAGTCTCACAGACCACAGTGCAATCAAATTGGAACTCAAGATTGAGAAACTCACTGAAACCCACACAATTTTCTGGAAATTGACAAACTGCTCCTGAATGAATCCTGGGTAAATAATGAAATTAAGGCAGAAATCTAGAAGTTCTTTCAAACAAATAAGAACAAAGAGACAACGTACCAGAATCTTTGAGACACAGCTAAAGCAATGTTAAGAGGGAAATTTATAGCACAGAATGCCCATATCAGAAAACTAGAAAGATCTCAAATTGACACCCTAACATTGCCCTTAAAAGAGCTAGAGAGGCAAGAGCCAACAAATTCAAAACCTAGAGGAAGACAACAAATAACTAAGAGAAGAGAAGAATTGAAGGAGATAGACACAAAATACCCTCCAAAAAATCAACGAAGCCAGGAGCTGTTTTTTTTTTGAAAAATATTAACAAAATAGATAGACTGCTAGCTATAGTAATAAGGAAGAAGAGAGAGAAGAATCAAATAGACACAATAAAAAATGACAAAGAGGATATCTTATCTGACCCCACAGAAATACAAACTTTCATCAGAGAATACGATAAACATCTCTAAGCAAATAAACTAGAAAATCTAGAAGAAATGGATAAAATTCCTGGATGCATACTCCCTACCAAGACTAAACCAGGAAGAAATTGAATCCCTGAATAGTCCGATAACAAGCTCTGAAATTGAGGTAATAATTAATAGTTCACCACCAACAACAAAAAAGCCCCAGACCAGACAGATTCACAGATGAATACTACCAGAAATACAAAGGGGAACTGCTGCCATTCCTTCTGAACTATTTCAAACAATTGAAAAGGAGGGATTCCTCCTTATGTCATTTTATAAAGTCAACATCATCCTAATACCAAACCGGGAAGATACACAACAAAAAGAAAACTTCAGTCTAGTCTCCCTGATGAATATTGATGAGAAAATCCTCAATAAAATACTGGCAAGCCAAATCCAGCAACATATCAAAACACTTATCCACCATGATCAAGTCAGCTTCATCCCTGAGATGCAAGGCTGGTTCAACATAGGCAAATCAATAAATATAATCCATCACCTAAACCAAAACAAAGACAAAAAACACATGATTATCTCAATAGATACAGAAAAGGCTTATGATAAATTTCAACATCCCTTCATGTTAAAAACTCTCAATAAACCAGGCATTGATGGAACATATCTCAAAATTCTAAGAGCTATTTATGACAAACTCACAGCCAATATCATATTGAGCAAAAGCTCAATATCAATGAGCAAAAGCTGGAAGCATTCACTTTCAAAACTGGTACAAGACAACGATGTCCTCTCTCACCACTCCTATTCAACATAGTACTGGAAGTTCTGGCTCAGGCAATCAGGTGAGAGAAAGAAATAAAGGGTATTCAAATAGCAAGAGAGGAAGCCAAGTTGCCTCTGTTTGCAGATGACATGATTTCATATTTACAAAACCCTATCATCTCGGTCCCAATACTTCTGGAACTGATAACCAAAGTCTCAGGATGCAAAATTAGTGTGCAAAAATAGTAAGCATGCCTTTACACCAACAATGGGCAAGCAGAGAGCCAAATCATGAATGAACTCCCATTCACAATTGCTACAAAGAGAATAAAATACCTAAGAATACACCTAACAAGTGATGTGAAGGATCTCTTCAAAGATAATACAAACCACTTCTCAAGGAAATAAGAGAAGACACACACAAATGGAAAAAATATTTCATGCTCATTGATAGGAAGAATTAATGTCATGAAAATGGCCATACTGCCCAAAGTAATTTATAGATTCAAATGCTATTCCCATCAAACTGCCATTGACATTCTTCACAGAATTAGAAAAACACTACTTTAAATTTCATATGGAATCAAAGAAGACCCCATATAGCCAAGACAATCCTAAGCAAAATGAACAAAGTTGGAGGCATCATACTACCTGACTTCAAACTATCCTGCAAGGCTACAGTAACCAAAGCAGCATGGTACTGGTACCAAAACAGACATATAGACCAATGGAGCAGAACAGAGACCTCAGAAATAACACCACACATCTACAAACATCTGCTCTTTGACAAACCTGATGAAAACAAGCAATAGGAAAAGGATCTTCTAATCAGTAAATGGTGCTGGGAAAACTAGCTAGCCACATGCAGAAAACTGAAACTGGACCCCTTCCTTACACCTCATACAAAGATTAACTCAAGATGGATTAAAGACTTACATGTAAAACCCAAAACCATAAAAACCCTGGAAGAAAAACTCAGGCAATGGCATTCAGGACATAGGCATGGGCAAAGACTTCATGATAAAAACACCAAAAGCAATGGCAACAAAAGCCAAAACTGACAAATGGGATTTAATGAAACTAACGAGCTTCTGCACAGCAAAAGAAATTATCATCGGAGTGAAGAGGCAACCTACAGAATGGGAGAAAATGTTTGCAATATACCCTTCTGACAAAGGTGTAATATCCAGAATTTTCAAGGAACTTAAACATATTTACAAGAATAAAGCAAACAACCCCATCAAAAAGTGGGCAAAGGATATGAACAGACACTTCTTAAAAGAAGAAATTTATTTGGCCAACAAATATGTGAAAAAAAGCTCAACATCACTGATCATCCAAGAAATGCACATCCAAACCTCACAAGATATCATCTCATGCCAGTCAGAATGGCAATTATTAAAAAGTCAGGAAACAACGGATGCTGGAGAGGATGTGGAGAAATAGGGACGCTTTTACACTGTTGGTGGGAGTGTAAATTAGTTCAACCATTGTGGAAGACAGTAGGCAATTCCTCAAGGATCTAGAACCAGAAATACCATTTGACTCAGCAATCCCATTATTGGCCATATACTCAAAGGAATATATAAATCATTCTACTATAAAAACACATGCACACATATGTCAATTGCAGAATTATTTACAATAGCAAAGACATGGACTCAAATGTCCATCACTGAGAGACTGGATAAAGAAAATATGGTACAGATACACCATGGAATACTATGCAGTCATAAAAAGGAAAGACATGTCCTTTGAAGGGACACAGATGAAACTGGAAGCCATCATTGTCAGCAAACTAACACAGGGACAGAAAACCAAACACCACATGTTCTCACTCATAAGTGGGA
The DNA here is from genome assembly GCF_000001405.40 of Homo sapiens. Taxonomy (NCBI): domain Eukaryota; kingdom Metazoa; phylum Chordata; class Mammalia; order Primates; family Hominidae; genus Homo; species Homo sapiens. The sequence continues at coordinate 66,388,512 of NC_000004.12, forward strand.
GTTGAACATTGAGAACACATGGACACAGAGAGGGGAATAACACACACCAGAGCCTGTTGGGGGTGGAGGATGAGGGGAGGGATGTTAGAGAACTGGTCAACAGGTGCAGCAAACCATCAAGGCACACATATACATATGTAACAAACCTGCTTTTCTGCACATGTATGTTTTTTTTTTTTTTTGAAAAATATTCCCACCCCCTCCAAAGGAAAGAAAGAACACCTAGTGTGATTAGCTCAAATTTCTAGATACTCTAGTTTTTAAGCCTTTGTGTAAATTTTAGATATTTCAAATAAGAACACTTATTTTCCTGAGAGCCATAGATGAAGAAATATGGGTCACATTTTTTATACAAATCTATAAATATTAATAAAAACTTGCCTATTTAAAAGGCTTCCATGCTAAATTTTCCCTCTTTAAAAAACTTTCAAGCTTAGGAAAGTGAAGTAAGAATTATTGACACAACCTTTTAAGGATGTTGAATTCAGTTTATATTTAGAAATTAAAATAAAACCTCTTAATTGAAGTCATTATAAAGAATGAAGAAAAAAACTCCTTGTGTTTGGAATTTTTAAATAGTGAACAGGCCAAGTTCAGACATTTTGTCCACATCTAGGCATATACTAATTCATGGTATACATTAATGCAGCTAATGTAAAGGGGATGTTATTTGAATTAAATGGATACTGTTATGTGACAATACCAGAGGTAAATCTACATATTAACATAAACTGAGCATGATTAGACAAAGCTTTACTTAGTAAAAGCAAAAAGTCAATTCATTATCCCAAGTGTCTAGGACAATTATAGAAATAGAGAATGTATTCAATTTACAACAGTTATTATTTTACTGTCATAAATTATTTGAACTTTTTCCACCTTTTTTTGAGACAATGTCTCACTCTGTTGCCCAGTGCCATCTCGGCTCCTCAACCTCCACCTCGCACCCTCCTTCTCCATACCCTGACATTCAAGTGATTTTCATGCTTCAGCCTCCCGAGTAGCTGGGATTACAGGTGTGCACCACCATGCCAGGCTAAGATGGGGTTGTGCTATGTTGTGCAGACTGATTTTTAACTTCTGGCCTCAAGTAATCCACCCACCTGGGCCTCCCAAAGTGCTGGGATTACAGGCATGAGCCACCATGCCTGGCCCACATTTCTTAAATAATAAAATTTGCTGTTTTATAGAGTGGCGCTGGACATTTTGTATCGCATTTCCAGACCCTAGCTCTCTCCTTTGAGCTCTGTGTGTGACTTTCTTTATTATTAATAGACAAACAATGCTCACCTACATCGGCAGCCAAAGAGGACTTCTTGGAAATAGTTTCTAAAAATCAAATGTAACCTGTCTTTTCATTCAAAGGACTTTATTCTCTTTGTGCAAGTAAGCATGTGCCTATGAGTATATGAGAAAAAGGGAAACTGGGAAATGGGATAACTTGCATTACCCTCCCCATCATCTGTGTCCTCTTACTGTATAGCTTGCAGGAGATTCCTGGTAATGTGTTTGTAGGACAAAGTCGTATTGCAAGGAACTCTTTTTGTAGACATTTGCCATGTTATTCTAGAGTCTAACTGGTGGAGAACAGACTCTTGGAAGTGGATGATGGTGTTTGGAAAGCACTAAAGAAGAAAATAAGCCGTCTACTACAGGAACTTCTTGGAGTATTTCTTAAATTTTATTATGTGTATCATATTATGCACATAGTGTGAATGGGGTAATCTTGAATATAGCGTGCCTTGAAAAATTATAGAAACAAGCTGTATAAATTTTCGAGGGCCTTAAGTATTCCATAATAACCTAACTTAGCAACACAACTGGAATTGAACACATAAGTAACTCTCATTGGTCAGAAAAATATGCTCTGCCAAAATGTCATCTCCAAGTGAAGCTATTAAGGTTCAACCTTGATTTTTTTCTAATTTTAGAGTTCTTTTTATGTTTTTGCCTTCTTACAGCTATAGAATATAGAGGTGGATGGTGAGCATTGCAGGGCTATAACTATGCTGGAGCATTGCAAAAATACGTTCTTCGACCAGCTTTTGCCCCAGCCACCAACATGTCTTGCAAACATATGCAAATAACAGAATTTTTTGTTTGTTTGTTTTGTTTTGTTTTCTAGATGGAGTCTCACTTTATTGCACAGGCTGGCATGCAATAGTGCGATCTCAGCTCACTGCAACCTCTGCCTCCTGGGTTCAAGCGATTCTCCAGCCTCAGCCTCATGAGTAGCTGGGATTAGAAGCATGCACCACCACGCCAGGCTAATTTTTGTATTTTTAGTAGAGACAGCGTTTCAATATGTTGGCCAGGCTGTTCTCAAACTCCTGACCTCTTGATCCACCTGCCTCAGCCTCCTGAACTGCTGGGATTACAGGCATGAGCCACCGCGCCCAGCCAAATAAGGGAATTTGTAAGTAATTATTGAGAAAACATTCTATCATGTAATTAATAGGAAATACCATTAAAGTAAACTAAAATTAAGTGTTTACGTAGGCATGATGACTCTGCTGATTTATAACAGAACTCAGATTTCCTATTTTCCTAATTTTTCTGACATTCACACATCAAATTTGATATCTCTTAATTCAGTTCATCTGTAGTCAAAATTAAGTATCTTTAGTTTTCTCTTTAAGTCTTTTAGATCTTTTAGATCTTTACTATCTGAATGTAGGTATTATCATTAACAGTCCCTGCTCTAATTGTCACTAATATCTGAGAAATATTAAGGACATATTTTGACTAGCAGCAAAAACATTTTTATGTTGTCTGTGGTAAGTTCTCCTTTTATAAAACAATATTTAAAGATAAACAACATGCTGTTTTTAAAGAAGTAATTGTCACTATGCCAAAGAGCCAGCTGGAAAGGAAGATAATCACAAATGATTATGACCATTATAATAATTTGCTTTCTAGAGAATTAATTAAAATGAAAATACCAATATAATAGTATTAAAATTCCTCATAAGGCTTCATACCCCACCACTATCACATACTATGATGTTTTCCTTTTTAGATGTCATTCTAATACTTACCAGTATATATCATTTATGGCCCTAATATCTACACTTATTTGTAATGACATTATATTATTTTTGTGGGGCAAATTCAAAAGGTATTTAATAATGTGATTCCTCTACTACTTACTTCTTCTCTTCCTCTATCCTTTAAATGTTAGATAATGTAAAGCCTATTTAAATGTAAAGGGGGCATATAGACATTCTACTCGAAGAAACTTATAGATGAAAATGCTGGAAGTATTGAGAATAGGAATGTATATAGAAGGAGATGAAAGAAATAATTTAAAATGTATTTTATTGTGAAACTCATGTGTAGAATTTTCCATGTCTTTTGACAACAAGGAATGTTTTTTAACATATTATATCTAAAATTAAAATACAGTTTCCTCATCGATGAACCTTCCTTCATTAACAAAATTTTAGTGACTTCTGTGTCAAGCAATATTTTTAGCTGAGAAAATATTAGCAGTAAAAAAAGAGAAAATTTTTGCTTTCTGAGAGCTTTCTTTAGAATACATAGATCGATATAATAAACAGATATGTTGTCACAATCGTAAGAAAAATTTCAGATTCCTATCATATAAGAACTTTTCGAGGAATAATGTAAGTTGAAATATACAGACTACAAAGCTACATTGGAGAGTGGTATAAGGGAAGCCTCTCTAAAAGGGTAACGCATCATCTGAGACCACAGTAAAAAGAAGGAGCTAGAATTCAAATATCGGGTGAGTTTCCAGGGAGATGGGATAGACTTAAAATTCTCTATGATGGTAAAAGTCTTGGCAAATTTACATTAGCAAAGACATGGATTCAAATGTCCTTCTTTGTTTGGAAAAATTTTAGAAATTTACTGTAGTTTACACAAGAAATTCTGAATAAATGGAAAGATATGTTCATGGATGAGAAAATATACATACCTTGAAGTTTCGATTCTGCCTGTATTAATCAATAAATTCAATAAAATTTCAATTATAAAAATTCCAAAAACTGTTTAGGGGACTTGCCAAATGATCTTAAAATTAGTAAGAAATTATATATGTGCAAAATGGCCAAGACAATGTTCAAAACCATGAGAAGAACAACAATAATAAAAAAAGAAGAAATTTGCTCAACCTAATCAAAACTACTACAAAGCTACATACTTAAAAACAAGAGATAACTGCAAATAATAAACAAATAGTTCAGTGAAGTGAAATCTGAAATTTTGAAAAAGATTGTGGGGATGTGGATTCTGGTGTATGCACAGATGACTTGTGAGAAAAACATTCTATTACTATAGGGATTTTAATATTCGTTGCTTATTTAGAAATTAAATCAAGTTACATATTTGTTAGGTACAAGTCAGAAAATTGAATTTGAGTTAGACTATGATGTTAAATTTCCATGAAAGTATTAAACATTATAAAGAGAAAAAACTCATATTAAAATGTGCACCAACACCAAAACTACCAATTCAACATAAAAACCCTTGATAAAATAGAATTTGGACATATGCGTTTGTGTATCTCAGTTGATAGAGAAAGGTGCCATATGTATATATGTAGGTTATATATTTAGACATTGTATATCTAGAAAATCAAAACCAACCTATTAAAAAACCATTACAAGTAATATTTCTACTAAAAAGAATTGTATATTGCAATATAGGAAAATCCATGTATAAAACCAATGGATGTCATATATGAAAAGCATAACCATTTAGATTATTAAATGGAAATGAAGATCTAATTTGTAATGGCAACAAAGTTGCTAAAATATCTAGATATAAAGTCAATAAGAAATCAGCAAAGCCTCTATGACTGTGATGTTAAACATTTAACCACTGAGAACACACAAAAGAAGAGATAAACCAATGAAGGAGATATCACATTCTTAGACAGGAAGCCTCAATATTCTAAAGATTTTATTTTCTTCACAGTTAATTTACATATATGTCATGAGCACAGGAAAAATAGTCACATTTATTTCTTCACCTGGAACAAAATGAGATGAATAAAATTCTGATAGAAAATTAAATAAAGATCATTAATCAGAAAAATGAGGAAAAAACGAAAAAGGTGGGTGTGTTAGTCCATTTGCATAGCTATAAAGGAATACCTGAAGCTGAGTAATTTACCAAGAAAAAGGGTTTACTTGGGCTCACAGTTCTGCAGGGTGTACAAGAAGCCCAGCGCTGGCGTCTGCTTCTGGTGAGGGCTTTAAGAAAGCTTACAATCATGGTGGAAGGCAAAGGGGAGCTAGCATATTCTATGGCGAGAATGATCGAGAGAGAGAGAGTGGGGAGGTGCCACACTCTGTTAAGAAACCAGAACTCACATAAACCCAAAGTGAGAATTCACTCATTAACATGAGGAAGACACTATGCCATTCTTGAAGGATCTGGCTCCATGACCCAATCATCACCCACTACGCCCCACCTCCAACATTGGAGGTCACATTTCAACATGAGATTGGGAGCAGGACAAAACATCCAAACCATATCAGGGAGATTAGACATACCAGAAATTGAAACATTTTATACAGTCTCTATAGTTAAGAATATATGGAAATTGTTTACAAATGTTGGAAAAACTCATGAAACAGAATAGAGATCCAACAAGATACCAGGATTTATAGAAATGTAGTATTTAATAAAGGTAGCATTTTAAATAATTGGTGAAAATATGGATGGTGTAGCAACATTTAATATGGATGTCATAGTAACAATAAGACAAAGGTAAATAAAGCAAAATGTAAATGCCACCAGCTAAGTCAAAAGAATATAATTATAATTTTGGAAAGGTTATTTGCACACTATAATATTTAAGGTGAGGTAGGATTAATAATACAAAAGTCTGTGAAAAATTGAGATGAAAATGACAAAAAATGGTACGAATATGGACAAAATATATGATAAATCAAGTAACAGAAAAGGAAATTTGGATGAGCATAAATATATAATTAGGTGCTTATACTATATCATAAAATGAGAACTAAAATTTAAAACACTGAACTAACATCACTCACTCACTGCATTTGCAAACATCTAACATTTTCATAACACACTTGTTAGTGAGGTGGTGGAAATCGAAGGTTGTTAACACATTGCAGTGGAATGCAAAAATTGCATAATTAATATGGAGAAAAAATTGGCAAAATTTAGCAAAATTATATATTTACTATTTTATATTATAATTCAATTTTTAGGAATCTATATCATACATACACTTGAACAATTACAAGATTATATATCAGCAATATTGTTGTTTTTGATGATACTTATTATAACTAAAGATTAAAAAAACCCATATTTCCAACCGAGTTCTTCATGAATAATAAAGGTCCATCTTTACAATCTAGTATTATGTCATTTTACACAGAATGATTTCTAAACAGAGTATAAAATATTATTCAAAAACAAACTAACAAAAGACATGTACCATGTTAATAGATGAGAAAATAAATATCATAAATATATCAATTCTTCCAAAGTAAATTGACCAATTTTGTGCACATAAATGACAATCTTAACAAAATTTTCTGCACAATTTGATAGACTACTGATTCCAAACTTTGGCTGAATAAAAGCACAGAATAGAGAATTCAATTCTGAAAAACTATACCAGATGAAAGAAATTGTCCTAACAGATACCAGGTTTCAAGATATGAAAAAACAAAAATTAGATTGAAATGTTAAGAAATCGAGATTTCACAAAATTACAAAAATCACTTCCTACAGTTAAAGACAATATAAATTCAGTTAAAAAAATCAAAAGAATGGAAGAAGGTATTTTCTACATATGTAGAACAAAGGATTTGTATCCAGAATATTAAAAAAAAGTATACAAATCAGGAAAGAAAAGTGAAATCTCAATGGAAAAGTGGGACTGTAGTGGCAAACAGGCAATACACAGAAAAAAAATCCAGAAAAACAATAACACATAAAAAGATAAGTCAGGCCAGGCGTGGTGGCTCACGCCTGTAATCCCCTCACTTTGGGAGGCCAAGGTGGGTGGATCACGAGGTCAAGAGATCAAGATCATCCTTGCCAACATGGTGAAACCCTGTCTCTACTAAAAATACGAAAATTAGCCGGGTGTGTTGGCGGGTGCCTATAGTCCCAGCTACTAGGGAGGCTGAGGCAGAAGAATCACTTGAACCTAGGAGGCAGAGGTTGCAGTGAGCTGAGATCATGCCACTGCACTCCAGCCTGGGCAACAGAGTGAGACTTCATTCTTAAATTAAAAAAAATAATAATAATAATAAGTCAGAAGATTTGATTTTCTCTATCTCCAAAATATATTCATAATAGAAACACTTCTCAATTTCTCAACATTTCTACTGCTATATTTATAGACAAAACAATATCATCTTTCATTGAATTATTTTAAAAAGTTTGTGCATACACATTAGTTATCTAAATTTATGGAGTGTATGAGATATTTTGATACAGGCATAAGATGTGTAATAATCACAATAGGATAAATGGAGTATCCATCAACTGAAGACTTTATCCTTTATATTACAAACAATTCAATTATATCTAGTTATTTTTAAATCTACAATTAAATTATTATTGACGGCCGGGCGCGGTGGCTCACGCCTGTAATCCCAGCACTTTGGGAGGCCGAGGCGGGTGGATCATGAGGTCAGGAGATCGAGACCATCCTGGCTAACAAGGTGAAACCCCGTCTCTACTAAAAAATACAAAAAATTAGCCGGGCGCGGTGGCAGGCGCCTGTAGTCCCAGCTACTCGGGAGGCTGAGGCAGGAGAATGGCGTGAACCCGGGAAGCGGAGCTTGCAGTGAGCGAGATTGCGCCACTGCAGTCCGCAGTCCGGCCTGGGCGACAGAGCGAGACTCCGTCTCAAAAAAAAAAAAAAAAAAAAAAATTATTATTGACTACGGTCACTCTGTTGTGCTATCAAATACAAGACCCTATTCATTTTTCTCTTTTTTATATCCATTAACCATTCCCACTACCCTACCCAAGTCCCCTATTACACTTCCTGGTGCCTGGTAACAGTCACGCTACTATTTTCATGAGTATAATTGTTTTAATTTTTAGCTCCTACAAATAAATGAGAACACATGAAGTTTTTTCTTTCTGTGCCTGGCTTATTTCACTTAATCACATGTCATTCCATTCATGTTGTTTCAAATGATGGAATCTCATTCTTCTTTACAGCTGAAGAGTAATCCATTGTGTATGTGTACCACATTTTCTTTATCCATTAATCTGTTAATGAACACGGGTTGCTTCCAAATCTTTGCATTGTGAATACTGCTGCAATAAACATGGGAGTGCAGCTATCTCTTCGATACACAGATTTCCTTTCTTTTGGGTATATACCTAGCAGTGAGATTACTGAATCATATGATAGCTATATTTTTAGTTTCTTGAGGAACCTCCACACTGTTCTCCATAGTAGTTGTACTAACTTATATTCCCACCAACAGTGTAGAAGGGTTCCCTTTTCTCCACATCCATGTCAGCATTTGTTATTGTCTGACTTTTGAATAAAAGCCATTTTAACTGGAGTGAGATGATATCTAACTGTAGTTTTAATTTGCATTTATCTGATGATAAGTGATGTTGAGCAATTTTGATTTTCATTTATCTCATGAACAGTGACGTTGAGCATCTTTTCATAAACCTGTTTGTCTTTTGTAGGGCTTCTTTTGAGAAATGTCTATTCAGACCATTTGCCCATATTTAACCGGATTTTTAGATGTTTTTCTTGTGGAGTTGTTTGAGCTCCTTATATATTCTGATTATTAATCACTTGTCAGATGGGTAGTTTGCAAATATTTTCTCCCATTCCATGGTTGTCTCTTCACTTGGTTGATTGTTTTCTTTGCTGTGCAAAAGCTTTTAAACTTGATGTCATCCCATTTGACCAGTTTTGCTTTGGTTGCCTGTGCTTGTGGAGTATTGCTCAAGAAGTTTTTATCGAGACCCATGTCCTGGAGAGTTTCTCCAGTGTTTTCATGCAGTGGTTTCATAATTTTAAGTCTTAGATTTAAGTCTTTAATTCATTTTAATATGAGTTTTGTATATGACAAGAGATAGGTGGCTAGTTACATTCTTCTGCTTATAGATAATCAGTTTTCCCAGAGCCATTTATTGAAGAGACTGCCTTGGCCCAATATATGTTCTTGGCACCTTTGTCTAAAATGAGTTTACTGTATGTGTGTGGATTTGATTTCTGTGTTGTCTATTCTGTTCTCTTGGTCTATGTGTCTGTCGTTATGCCAGTACCATGTTGTTTTGGCTAATATACCTATAGCATAATTTGAAGTTAGGTAATGTGATTCCTCCAGTTTTATCCACCTTGCTTAGAATAGTTTTGGCTTGTTATTGGTTTATTCAGGTTTTGGATTTCTTCATCGTTCAGTCTTAGTAGATTGTATGTGTCTAGAATGTTATTCATTTCTTTTTGTTTTTCTAATTTATGGGCATACAGTTTCTCATAGTAGTCTCTAATGATCATTTGAATTTCTGTGGTATTTGTTGTAATGCCTCCTTTTTCATCTTTTTTTTTATTTATTTGAGTCTTTTCTCTTTGTTTTATAGTTAGTCTGGCTAAAGGTTTGCCAATTTTGTTTATCTTTTCTAAAAGTCAACTTTTAATTTATTTGACCTTTTGTATTGTTCTCTTTGTTTCAACTTCGTTTATTTCTGCTGTTATCTTTATGATGTCTTTTTTTCTACCACTCTGGGTTTGGTTTGCTTTTGGTTTTCTAGTTCTTTAAGATGCATCTTTAGGCTGTATATTGGAAGTTTTCTACTTTTTTGATGTAGGCATTTATAGATATAAACTTCCCTCTTAGTGTTGCTTTTGTTGTCTCCCACAGATTTTGTTGTGTTGTGTTTCCATTATATTTTTTTCAAGAAATTTTTTAGATTTCTTCTTAATTTCTTCATTGACACACTTGTTATTCAGAAGCATATTGTTTAATTTCCATGTGTTTGTATAGTTTCCAAAATTCCTCTTGGTATTGATTTCTGGTTTTATTCCATTGTGGTCAGAAAAGATGCTTGATATTATGTCAATTTTTTGAATGATTTAAGACTTGGCTTGTAGTCTAACATATGGTCTCTCCTTGAAAATTATTCATGTGCTGAAGAGAAGAATGTTTATTCTTCAGACACGAGAAGAAATGTTCTTTAAATGTCTATTATGTCTATTTGGTCTATAGTACAGATTAAGTTCAATGTTTCTTTGTTGATTTTCTGTCTGAATGATCTGTCTAATGCTGAAAATGAGGTGATATGTCTTCAGCTAGTGTTGTGTTGAGTTCTATCTCTCTCTTTAGCTCTAATAATATTTGCATTGTATATCTGGATGTTCCAGTGTTAGATGCATATATGTTTACCATTTGTTAGAATCTCTTGCTGAATTCACCCCTTTATCATTATGTAATTATCTTCTTTGCCTCTTTTTGTAGTTTTTGTCTTGAATGTTATTTTGTGTGATGCAAGTACAGCTACTACTTTTTTAGGTTTTCATTTGCATGGAATACATTTTTCCATTCCGTAATTTTCACTCTGTGTGTGTTTTAACTCATTCAACTACTCTATGTCTTTGATTGGTGAGTTTAGCCCGTTTACATTCAATGTTATTATTAATAAGTAAAGGCCTACTTCTGCCATTTTGTTATCTATTTTCTGGTTGTTTTGTGGTCTTGTCTTACTTCTCTCCTTTCTTGCTGTCTTCCTTTCAGTGAAGGAGATTTTCTCTGGTAGTGTGTTTTAATTTCCTGCCTTTTGTTTTTGGTGTATCTATTATATAATTTTAATCATAAGGCTTGCAAATAACATCTTATAACCCATTATTTTAAACCGAAGACAAATGAACACTTATTACTTAAACAGAATAACAAACAACCAAAAATAAAACTAATGAACACTCTACATTTTAACTGCATCCCCTCACTTTCTTTTTATGTTTTTTTTTTTATTTTTTATTTTTTTGTACTATGCATGTCTTGAATAGTTGTTGCAGTTATTATTTTTGGTCAGTTCATCTCTTTATCTTTCTACATAAGATACAAGTATTTTACACACCACAATTGCAGTGTTTTCCTGTGTACTTACTGTTCCCAGTGAGTTTTGTATATTCAGGTGATTTCTTCTTGCTTATTAACATGCTTTTCTTTCAGATTGAGGAGTTCTTTTTAGCATTTTTTGTAGGAAAGATCTGGCATTGACAAAACTTCTCAGCTTTTGTTTGTCTGAGAAAGTCTTTATTTCACCCTCATATCTGAAAGATATTTTTGCTGTATATATTATTCTAGGATAAAAGAAGGGTTTTTTCCTTTAGCATTTTATTTGAATTTCCTCAAAACAGCTATTTTGAATTCTCTGCCTAACAGGTCACATTTCTCTGTCTCTCCAGGATTATTCTCCAGTGCATTATTTAGTTTGGTGAGGTCATTTTTCCCTGGATGATCTTAAGGCTTGCAGATGTTTGTTGATGTCTGAGTATTGAAGAGTTAGGTATTTATTGTCATCTTTGCAGTCTGGGCTTGTTTGTACCCAACCTTCTTGGGAAGGCTTTCCAGGTATTTAAAAGGACTTGGGTGTTGTGGTCTAAGTTTGTGGTCACTGAAGTCCCATCTGCATTAGGAGACACTCTAAGCTCAGTAACACTGTCATTCTTGCAGATTTGCAGAGGTACCACCTTGGTGATGTTAGACAAGATCCAGAAGAATACTCTGGATTACTAGGCACAGACTCTTTTTCCCTTGCCTTAATTTCTTTCAAACAAAAACAGTCTCTTTCTTTGGGCTGAGCTGCCTGAAGCTAGGGGAGAAGTGACCCAAGCACCTCTGTGGATACCACTACTGGAACTGTACTGGGTCAGATCTGAAGCTAGCGCAGCACTGGGTCTTGCCCAAGGCCCTCTGTAACCACTACCTGGATACCATCTATGTTTTCTCAAGCCCTTAGTTCTCCACAATTACAGTAGGCAAACCCAGCCAGGCTTGTGTCCTTCCCTTAAGGACAGCAATTTCCCCCAGGCCTTAGTGAGTTCAGAGGTGCCATCTGGGAGCCAGGGCCTGGAAACCTTAGAAATCTACCTGACGCTTAGGATTGACTTGGCAAGGTGGGCTCTTTTTTGGTTCCATGTAAACTTTAAAGTAGTATTTTTCCAATTCTGTGAAGAAAGTCATTGGTAGCTTGATGGGGATGGCATTGAATCTATAAATTACCTTGGGCAGTATGGCCATTTTCACGATATTGATTCTTCCTACCCATGACCATGGAATGTTCTTCCATTTGTTTGTAGCCTCTTTTATTTCATTGAGCAGTGGCTTGCAGTTCTCCGTGAAGAGATCCTTCACGTCCCTTGTAAGTTGGATTCCTAGGGATTTTATTCTCTTTGAAGCAATTGTGAATGGGAGTTCACTCATGATTTGGCTCTCTGTTTGTCTGTTATTGGTGTATAAGAATGCTTGTGATTTTTGCACATTGATTTTGTATCCTGAGACTTTGCTGAAGTTTATTATCAGCTCAAGGAGATTTTGGGCTGAGACAATGGGGTTTTCTAGATATACAATTATGTCATCTGCAAACAGGGACAATTTGACTTCCTCTTTTCCTAATTGAATACGCTTTATTTCCTTCTCCTGCCTGATTGCCCTGGCCAGAACTTCCAACACTATGTTGAATAGGAGTGGTGACAGAGGGCATCCCTGTCTTGTTCCAGTTTTCAAAGGGAATGCTACCAGTTTTTGCCCATTCAGTATGATATTGGCTGTGGGTTTGTCATAGATAGCTCTTATTATTTTGAGATACGTCCCATCAATACCTAATTTATTGAGAGTTTTTAGCACGAAGGGTTGTTGAATTTTGTCAAAGGCCTTTTCTGCATTTACTGAGATAATCATATGGTTTTTGTCATTGGTTCTGTTTATATGCTGGATTACGTTTATTGATTTTTGTATGTTGAACCAGCCTTGCATCCCAGGGATGAAGCCCACTTGATCATGGTGGGTAAGCTTTTCAATGTGCTGCTGGGTTGTATTTGCCAGTATTTTATTGAGGATTTTTGCATCGATGTTCATCAGGGATATTAGTCTAAAATTTTCTTTTTTTGTTGTGTCTCTGCCCGGCATTGGTATCAGGATGATGCTGGCCTCATAAAATGAGTTAGGGAGGATTCCCTCTTTTTCTATTGATTGAAATAGTTTCAGAAAGAATGGTACCAGCTCCTCCTTTTACCTCTGGTAGAATTCGGCTGCGCATCCATCTGGTCCTGGACTTTTTTTGGTTGGTAAGCTGTTAATTATTGCCTCAACTTCAGAGCCTGTTAGTGGTCTATTCAGAGATTAAAATTCTTCCTGGTTTAGTCTTGGGAGGGTGTATGTGTTGAGGAATTCATCCATTTCTTCTAGATTTTCTAGTTTATTTGTGTAGAGGTGTTTGTAGTATTCTCTGATGGTAGTTTGTATTTCTGCGGGATTGGTAGTGATATCCCCTTTATCATTTTTTATTGCATCTATTTGATTCTTCTCTCTGCCAAAAGAACAAAGCTGGAGGCATCACGCTACCTGACTTCAAACTATACTACAAGGCTATAGTAACCAAAATAGCATGGTACTGGTACCAAAACAGAGATATAGACCAATGGAACAGTACAGAGCCCTCAGAAATAATGTCACATATCTACAACCATCTGATCTTTGACAAACCTGAGAAAAGCAAGCAATGGGGAAAGGATTCCCTATTTAATAAATGGTGCTGGGAAAACTGGCTAGCCATATGTAGAAAACTAAAACTGGATCCCTTCCTTACACCTTATACAAAAATTAATTCAAGATGGATTAAAGACTTAAATGTTAGACCTAAAACCATAAAAACCCTAGAAGAAAACCTAGGCAATTCCATTCAGGACATAGGGATGGGCAAGGACTTCATGTCTAAAACACCAAAAGCAATGGCAACAAAAGCCAAAATTGACAAATGGGATCTAATTAAACTCAAGAGTTTCTGCACAGCAAAAGAAACCACCATCAGAGTGAACAGGCAACCTACAGAATGGGAGAAAATTTTTGCAATCTGCTCATCTGACAAAGGGCTAATATCCACAATCTACAGTGAACTCAAACAAATTTACAAGAAAAAAACAAACAACCCCATCAAAAAGTGGGCAAAGGATATGAACAGACACTTCTCAAAAGAAGACATTTATGCAGCCAAAAGACACATGAAAAAATGCTCATCATCACTGGCCATCAGAGAAATGCAAATCAAAACCACAATGAGATACCATCTCACACCAGTTAGAATGGCGATCATTAAAAAGTCAGGAAACAACAGGTGCTGGAGAGGATGTGGAGAAATAGGAACACTTTTACACTGTTGGTGGGACTGTTAACTAGTTAAACCATTGTGAAAGTCAGTGTGGTGATTCCTCAGGGATCTAGAACTAGAAATACCATTTGAACCAGCCATCCCATTACTGGGTATATACCCAAAAGATTACAAATCATGCTGCTATAAAGACACATGCACACATATGTTTATTGTGGCACTATTCACAGTAGCAAAGACTTGGAACCAACCCAAATGTCCAACAATGACAGATTGGATTAAGAAAATGTGGCACATATACATCATGGAATACTATGCAGCCATAAAAAATGATGAGTTCATGTCCTTTGTAGGGACATGGATGAAGCTGGAAACCATCATTCTCAGCAAACTATGGCAAGGACAAAAAACCAAACAATGCATGTTCTCACTCATAGGTGGGAATTGAACAATGAGAACACTTGGACACAGGAAGGGGAACATCACACACCAGGGCCTGTTGTGGGGTGGGGAGAGGGGGAAGGGATAGCATTAGGAGATATACCTAATGTTAAATAACGAGTTAATGGGTGCAGCACACGAACATGGCACATGTATACATATGTAACTAACCTGCACGTTGTGCACATGTACCCTAAAACTTAAAGTATAATAAAAAAGAAAAAAAAAATCTATTCTACTGTGGCAGAGCTACCACCCAAACCCCGAGACAAAGTTCTTCCCATGCTTTTCTCCCCTTTTCCCAAGCAGAGGAGTTTCTCCCTATGTCCACCACCACCACCAGCCCAGGTGGAGTGCCGCCAGGCAACTGCAGATGTTCCCTTGAAGCCCATGGTCTCTTCAGTCAGCTTATGTTGAATGCTTCCAGGCCTTGGACTCACACTTCAGGACAGAAGGCAGTGGGCTTCCCTCTGTCCCAAAGTAGGCCCAGAAATGTCTTCTAGGAGCCAAGGCCTGAAATCGGGGACCCTAACGGACTGGTTGGTGCTCCATTTCACTGTGGCTAAGCTGGTACAGAAGCTGTAAGACAAAGTCCCCTTTACCCTTCCCTCTACTTTTCTAAAGCAGCAGGAGTCTCTCCCCATAGCCATCACAGCTGTGAATGTGTGGGTCACACTTGAAACTTTAGGTCTACTGCTATTTTATTTCTGATTTTAAAAACTACATCAGAAATATGACCTCATAAAAAAATAAACTCATCAAACTTGGAACCAAAAACAATAAACTATAATTGGAGGTCCACTCAAAAACCTTTCTAAATACAGGTGTTTATTGAGAGAAGATTGATTAAACTTGAAAACAGTGAACTAAAGAAATGTGAACTCCATTTTCAGAAACACATCTTTGCAAAGCCAGATTTTTTAACACATAGCTATCAAACAGAAAAACAAAGTAATTTAGGTGACTCATATAATATGTATTTTCTCTTGTCAAAAGATGAATACCATCTTGAGATGACTATGACGTGTTTCCAAGTGTTTTCACATTTTTATTTTCTAAAATATTGAAGAATTTTGGGTCTTACTCCTTAGTAAAGCACTTGTTTCAGCTTTGGAAAGTTGACAAGACTGCCTGCATGTACTGTTTTTTTCAACGTTAGCAATTTATCCAAGAAATATTATGTTATGCCTTATTTTATGTGCCAACTTCGCTGGGATAAGAGACGTCGAGATAGCTCATAAAATATTATTTCTGTGTATATCTGTGAGGGTGTTGGTGGAAAAGATTAACATTTCAATCTTTTGACTGAGTAAAGAAGATTCACTCTCACGAACGCTTGTGGGCCCCATCCAATCCCTTGAGGTCCCGAATAAACAAAAGAAGTGGGAAAGGGTCAATTTGCTCTCAAAACTTAAGATGGGAAATCCATCTCCTCCTGCCCTTGGGCATCCATGTTCCTGGTTAATAGGCTTTTAGACTTTGACTGGGACTGACATAATTTGTTTTCTGGTTCTCAAGCTTTCAGGTTTGAACTAGAACCACACATTTGCTCTTGTGGGCCTCCAGCTTGCAACTGACGGGTCATTAGAGCCATGATTTGAATGTGTCCCATTGGTGTTGCCAATGTGATAGTACTAATATGTATAGTTTTCA
This sequence comes from Homo sapiens, assembly GCF_000001405.40. Lineage (NCBI taxonomy): Eukaryota > Metazoa > Chordata > Mammalia > Primates > Hominidae > Homo > Homo sapiens. Next base: position 66,404,931 of record NC_000004.12, read on the forward strand.
AGAGGTAATTAAACCATGAGGGACCCTCCTTCATGAATGGGATTAAAATCTTTATAAAAGAAGCTTTAAGCAACATTTGGCTAGCTTTGCTTCAGCTCTTCTACTATGTGAGGACACAGCATTTGTCCCTTTTGTCTTCTTCCTTCCACCATGAGAGAATGCAGCAAGAAGGCCTTAACCAGATGCTGGTGCATTGGTCTTGGACTTGCCATTCTCCAGAACAGTGAGAAAACAAATTTTTCTTCTTTCTAAATTACCCAGTCTGAGGTACTTTGTTATAGTAAAAACAGCAACAAGAAAACTAAGACAGTGGGACCTCTCAAACTCCATAATCACATAAACCGATCCCTTATGATAAACCCCTTTGTATATTTCTGTGTGTGTGTGTGTGTATGTGTGTGTGGGTATATATGTGTGTGTATATATGTATATATCTCCCACTGATTCTGTTTCTGGAGTATTTTGACTAATACAATTTACAAGTGTTCAGTAGTTTCTATGATGGTGACCCCAAGACTTTGATTATAAACATGTTCAGATATGGCAACCCATGAATAAAATTCTATTCTTTCAAAATGTCTAAAGTACTTTTTTCTTTTTTCTTTTCTTTTTTTTTTTTTTTTGAGACAGAGTCTCACTCTGTCGCTCAGGTTGGAGTGCAATGATGCAATCTCAGCTCACTGCAACCTCCGCCTCCCAATTTCAAGCAATTCTCCTGCCACAGCCTCCCATGTAGCTGGGATTATAGGCACCTGCCACCATCCTCAGCTAATTTTTCATATTTTTTTTTAAGTTGAGATGGTGTTTCACCATGTTGGCCAGGCTTCTCTCAAACTCCTGACCTCAGGTGATCCACCTGCCTCAGCCTCCCAAAGTGCTGGGATTATAGGCATGAGCCCCCGTGCCCGGCCCGAGTTTTTCGTTTTCTTTCAGATAAAAGGTAAACATTTGGATTTCCTTTAGTTTAAGTAAATGCTTCCAAACTTTTTTAAGTCAACAGTTTTCTGTGTGGTATAGAAGATGTCACATACTATTACTATATCTTAAAAAACGTTTTCAAAATATGGTAATTCACAGACTTGTTTCTGATAATTTTGATGACTTTTATAGTGTTACTATTTTTTTCAGGGCTATGGTAGAATAAAATGCATTGAGGTGATGACTGATTTGAGCAAAACAAGATATATTATTATACAAAGCATCAAACATTAAAACCATATATGCAAATGAAATAATATGCAACATTTTTATTTTTTCTGGTTGTACTAGTTTTCTGTGGTTACTGTAAGAAATTACAATGGATTTGGTGTATTAAAACAATATAAAGTTATTCTTCCATAATTCTGCAGGTGAGAAGTCTGAAATCGGAATCATTGGGCCAAAATCAAGGTGTTGACAGAGCCACACTTCCTCTAGAGGTTCTAGGGGAGAATCCATGCCTTGTTTCTTCTAGCTTCTGATGGCTTCAGCATGTCTGGCCTATGACCACATTATTTCAAACTCAGAGGCCAGGGTCTTCAAATACTGCTCTTTTCTATTTTCATATTGCCTTCTCCTCTGTGCATTTCAACTTTCCCTTTGTCTCTCTCTTATAAGGATACCTGTGATCATGTTTAGGGCCCATATGGATAATCCAAAACAATTTCTCCATCTCTCAATTTTCAACTTGGTCCTATCTACGAAGACCCTTTTTCATAGGAACTAGGAGATAATATCTTTGGGTGACAATAAAATGTCATTATTTTATTATCCTACCAATATCAACTGTCACACTTTCATTTGGGAGAAAAAAATATTTCTAATTTCTATATTATAATAACTTTTTGAAACTTGAGTTCCTAGAAGTGATTCATAGTTACAAGTTAAAGAATTTTCCATTGATGGCTACTATCAGGAGGAGAAGTAGGTATGTATTCTTTTTTTCAGCTCAAACAAAACAAGAAGAAATTTAAGATTACAGGTAAGAAGGATTAATTACTATTTCTTGAAGTTATGAGGGCTCAGTGGACTAGCATGTGACTCCTTTATGAAAACTCTAAAGGAAAGTTAACTCGAAAAGGAAAGTGAAGGACTGTTTACTACTGTGCCAAATTACCCAGAACACTCGGGGTTTTTAAGGGCAAAGAATGGAGAAAGAGTGTTCAATAGACAAAATATGGACCTTATATACAGGATGGCTGACTGACGGGACCCTAAAAATGAAGGAAGGAGAGATTTAGAAATTGGACCTCAAGAACTAGAGACGACCAAGAGAAAAGTCTTATGATGCAGGAAGGAAAGCACATCACTTATATCAAGTAGCAGCGATGAGGGACTTTTCTCAGAAGAAGTTGTAAAACTCTCCCTCAAGAGAAAGAGTCAGATTTCAACAACTTCCAAGACCAGAAAGCACAAGACCAGCTTCTGAAACATAATTCAAAAAATAACATTGATACGTCTATAATTGCTTCTCTCTCACTTCAACTCTAACCATGAAAAGGTCAGAAATTAAGGGCACATGTAAGAGAAAAGCATATGGAAAATAATTCAAAGAGTTCACAAAAGATGAGCTAATTGAGTATTTGATTTGGCTGAATTTCATTACTCTAAAAATAAATGGAAACAATTAGATTTAATAGATTGTTTTCAATTTCTAGTGAAAAAATATGTTTCTATGCATAGATGACCTTTTTAAAAATTGTGTCCATAAGTTACATCATGAATAAAATAAAGTTTGTATTTTGCTGGAAAGCAGGTATTTTTAGTGACCGATATATTAGTATTTATATCCATGACAAATAATGACTTAAAAACCATCATTCTCTCAACATGTATTACATTCTTATGCCAATTTACTACCTAGTAATGTTCAATTAATAAAAATATTGCTGCTTGTATTTGGGTCCAGGAATTTTTAATCAGTCAAGAAAATAATAATTATACAACTAGACATTATAGACTAAATTTGAAAGCTAATGTCTTTGAAGTTTCCATGAAACTAATGCTCATGCCATTCAAGATGAGAAATTTATTAATTTCTAAGGAAATATATGCACCATCTAGATTTCTAATAGAGTTGTTGCAGTTATTTCACAAAGAAAATAATAGACGAACATGATTAAGTGCTTTCTGTTCATATACCATCTCAAGGATATAATTTGTTTCCACAAATAACCATGTGAAAATAATAGCACAACACATCACTGTTAACCGTCACAAGCCTAGAGGCTCATGCTCTTAAACTGAGTTGCTGTCCAGCTGCTTACTTGAAAATTCATAGGATATAAAAAGGAAAAATGAAAATCTCAAAATATAATTACCTCCTAGTGGTAATACAGAGTTATATAGCAGAGATTGTGTCTAGCATTTAAGAAGTTGCAGCTACATTCCATTATCAAAGATATATTTGTTAAAACATGCATATAAAAGGATTTGTAATTGAAGCACAGCTTTGATATATTTAATAGCATGTATAACTGCCATCTTATTTTAATAGGCAATGTTTTAGGTGCATTAGCAGTAATATAATGTCTTTTCCGTGTGCTCTTGCCATTAGCACTTTTTCCCTCCCTTTCTTTTAGTTAATCTTAAAACTTTAATGTAATCCAAATACATTAACATATTTTCTGCCCTCACAGTTCTTGAACAGAAGGGAGCTTTGAAATGAATTTTCCATAATTGAAGGAAGGATAGTTACTATACAACTAAATCATCAATGCTTTTTCTCAAATTCTGCCTGCCCAGTGGTTCATGTATACTTTTTCCAGGCTTAGACGTGCTTATGATCACTAAAAGTGTTGGACTGGAGCAATGAAGAGATAAAAATGAGCTAGAATGCAGAAAATTGACAAGGAGTGAATTTCAAGCATTTAAGAGAAACTTCATTCTATTATGTGCTATCAGGCCATACTATGTCTGATGGCATTGAATTAAAATGAGAAATCTGTACATATGTCCCTGTATGATTTGATAAAGGCAGAGTTTGGGGCATTATTACAAAAACTCGTATCACACCTTTTTTTTTTTTTTTAATCTTCTTAACTGTTTCAAAAGATTCATTCAGACTATACTGTTTTTCTTTATGACATTTCAGTATGCCTTTTAACACTTTTCTTGGAGAGTGTGACCTATAGAAATATGAAGAAAAGTTAATCAAGTGAATGGAAATTACCTGATTGATTTTCCCAAAGTAGTCTTATCTGGATTGTAGCTAAATATGCACACATAAAATTCTGACATAGCAATACAGAAGGGAAATATCTAGCTTTCAAACAGTAACAAAGCTGTATGATTTAATAGTCTTGAACTCTGAGCTTTAATAAACTGCATCTCAAATGTAATATTTTCATATTCTTTCAGGAATAATTTTGGTACACGTTTACTTGCATAATAAATATGTTGGAGATGCTAAGCTCAAAGACAATTGAGTAGGCTCTCATGTTCAATTCCATTAAAGGTTAGGTAGCCTGGGGTTTCTGGGATCAGATATGTTAACCTCAAACTCTTTTTAAAATAAAACATGACCTTAGATCCCAGGGGAATAATTCTATATTGCGACTTCTCTAAGGAGGCCCATTAATGTAATTGGAAATTCCCAGGACACTTGAATGTTGTTGCTACCCTAAAAGTTTCCAGTATCAGGAGCTTATTAAAAGTTAAATGATATATTTGAACAGGGCTGTCAAACTCATGAATTTTCTATGCATTTAACTAAGTTGTGGTTGTTTATATTAAAATAAGTTTCTAATCAGTAGCAACAAAAATATTTTCTTTTCTTTTTTTTTTTAAGAGATGGGGTCTTTCTATGTTGCTCAGGTTGGTCTCAAACTCCTGGGCTCAAATGATCCTCCCCTCTCGACCTCCCAAAGGTAGTGGGATTACAGACATGAGCCACTGCAACTGGCACCAAATATTTTCCTGATGTAAAATTTAAGGTTGATGACTATGTTGTCCACAGGATTAGGAAACAAATTTCAAACCTAACTTCATTTATTCATGAAATAAATTTTGAGCATCCGTTGGTAAAAATACAAATATTTCTCACAACCACATTTCATACAAATATAGGAGAAAAAAAAAGCAGCTTAATAAAGAAGGTGTTACAGGCTTGTGTTTTTTTCAGTACACATCACACTTTTTCACAAGACTAACATTGGCTTTTAATCAAAAAATTCCTCTTCAATACATCAACCCTCACTTCTGAGCTTAAACACTTAAAAAATAGCTATTTCTTTGTTTCAGTATCTTAAGGACAAATGACATGCAGTGTATTTTCCATTCTGTAGTCCCTTATTCAATATGTGCATGCCCTTTATATTTTTTAATGTTTCAAGAATAAGAGAATTATATAGAAATGCAAATCATGTGAATTTTTACTCTGCTAATTTCATGACAAATTATGTTCAGAAAGACAGATGATGGATAGACAGATGAATAAATACATAGGCAGATAGAGATATTTATGCCTGAAATTCTTGTGAAATTATTTGTGGAAAGTGTGAGAAGTGTTAGACATTACAAAAATGCCTTGAGTTGTATGCACACAGTATTAAGAAAAAACACTTATTTCAGAGAATAAAAACATAATTCCTAAGTCTGATGTACCATAACTCAGGATAGTAGAGAAGCTTACCTGGAATACTAAGTTCCAAAGTTTTGAATGTTATATGTAAATAAATTAAGAAAAAATATAATGATAAAGAAAATGCACAGATGAAAATTCAGAAAATAATCCAAAAATTAAACAGTGGACATTTGTTTTAGGTAGTCTTATGAAACAATGCCTTCTCCTTACTTTTCAAATCATATGTTAAACCCCAGTTAAAAGAACACTTAACTATGACTAGATCAAATTTAGTAAAATTAATCTGGCAATATGGCAGTACAACAAATCAAATCCACAAATATGTAAAAACAATAATATTCATACAAGAGAGGTTTGTTTCATCGACACAGGTTTGATTTACCATTCAACAATTAATCAAGGTGAATCACTATCTTAACAAAGAAAATAATAATATGATTATTTCCACAAACAGAAAAAAAATAAAGTTCAATACACATTTTTTATAAAATATCTCACAAAAACTGTAATGGGCATCCATGCGTTATTAAATAAGGTACAACATAAGTATAGAAGTGAACTTCTTCAGTCTGCAAAAGGAAATATAAGAAATATCAACAACTAATATTCTACTCTATGGTGAAAAACTAGATGTTTTCTTCTTCAGATTTAAAATAAAGTATATATGTCTGGCTTAAATGTTGGTATTCAATATTGTACAAGAAAGCAAAATCAGTGCAATAACACAAGAAAAATACATAAAGAGTTACAGGCTGAAAGCAAGAGTAATATTGACTTTATTTGTAAACCACATAATCATCTACGTAGAAAATCTTAAGGAGTCCACAAGAATATTTACTGGTTCTGCAACGTGAGTAAGCTCACAGAATACAAGATCACTATATGAGTTCACTGTATTTCTATAGGTTAACAGTGAACAATTAGAAATTACAATTTGTACATATCTTCTGCAATAATCTCAAAAATAAAATAGTGATAAATTGAATAAAGAATGTACAAAACTTGTATGAAACAAAATATCCTTGGAAAAGTTTAAAAAGATCTAAATAAAGGAAGGGATTTTATATTTGTGATCAGAAGACACCATATAAATAAGGTGTCAATTGTCTTCTAACCAATCTTTAGATACAATGCAATCCCAATCAAAATCCAGTTAGGATATAGCAAAAATTGACAAAGTGTTTCTAAAATGTGTGTGGAGATGAAACATTATATGAAATAAGTAATGAAATTTAAAGAAACATTGGAGGAATTACACTAATCGATTCCTAAACTTAGGATACAACCATAGCAATCAAGTAAATATTGATGTTAAGATAAATATGTAGACTAATAGAACAGAACAGAGTGTAGAGTTTGTCAATTAATTTTTGACAAATGAATCAAGGTAGTTTAGTGGGGGATTAATAATCTTTTCAACAAATAGAGCTAAGAAATTAAACATTCATATTTTTAAAAGGATCCAAATTCTTATATTAAACTATTTGCAAAATTTAACACGAAATGAAATATAGACCCTAAAGTAAGTGTTTAAACTACAAACCTTCTAAAAAAAAGGTTTTAAATTCTGCCTGGCCATGAGATAGGCAAATGAGTCTTAGATAAAACACAAAATGTATGAACCAAAAAGATAAAAAAAAAAAAGGATTAGATTTTATCCAAAAAGTAAACGTTCCTCTTTAAAAATACACTTAAGAAAATGAAAATGCAATACACAAATGTTTAGGAAATATTTGGACACCATCTATTTTACAAAGAATTTATATCAAGAATATGTAAAAAACATTATATGTTAAGAACTTTATGAAGTTTAAAACTTTATAACTCAAATATAAGAAAATGAACAAATCAATTTAAACCTAGAAAAAAGTCTTAAACATAACTTCCATTAAAGAAATACATTAAAAGATACTAAATATCATTAGTCATTAGAGAAGTGCAAATTAAAACCTCAAAGGGATACCACTGCATACCCACTGGAATGACTAAAATTAGTAAGACTGATAATAAATTGTTGGCAAGGTTGTAGAGTAAATAGAAGTCTCAAAGATTGATGATAGAAGTGAAATACAAATTAGCGTAGCTACATTAAAAAAGTTTGGCTCCATACGAAATTTAAAGTAGTTTTTCTAATTCTGTGAGGAAAGTCATTGGTAGCTTGATGGGGATAGCATTGAATCTATACATTACTTGGGGCAGTATGGCCATTTTGACGATATTGGTTCTTCTTATCCATGAGCATGGAATGCTTTTCCATTTATTTGTGTCCTCTCATTTCCTTGAGCAGTGGTTTGTAGTTCTCCCTGAAGAGGTCCTTTACATCCCTTGTATGTTGTATTCCTAGGTGTTTTATTCTCTTAGCAGCAATTGTGAATTGGAGTTCCCTCATGATTTGGCTCTCTGTCTTTTATTGGTGTACAGGAATACTTGTGATTTTTTGCACGTTGATTTTGTATCCTGAGACTTTGCTGAACTTGCTTATCAGCTTAAGGAGATTTTGGGCTGAGACGATGCAGTTTTCGAAATATACAATCATGTCATCCTCAAACAGAGACAATTTGACTTCCTCTCTTCCTATTTGAGTACACTTTATTTCTTTCTCTTGCCTGATTGCCCTGGACAAAAATTCCAATATTATGTTAAATAGGAACAGTGAGAGAGAGCATTCTTGTCTGTCACCAGTTACGAAAGGGAATGCTTCCAGCTTTTGCCCATTCAGTATGATATTGGCTGTGGGTTTGTCATAAATAGCTCTTATTATTTAGCCAAGACAAACCTAAGCAAAAAGAACAAAGCTGGAGGCATCACGCTACCACACTTCAAAATATACTACAAGGCTGCAGTAACCAAAACAGCATGATACTGATACCAAAGCATATATATAGACCAATGGAAAACAACAGAATCCTCAGAAAAAATGCCCACATCTACAATCACCTGATCTTTGACAAATCTGACAAAAACAAGCAATGGGGAAAAGATTCCCTATTTAATAAGTAGTGTTGGGAAAATTGGCTAGCCATATGCAGAAAACAGAAACTGGACCCCTTCCTTACACGTTATACAAAAATTATCTCAAGAAGGATTAAAGACTTAAATGTAAAACCTAAAACCATAAAAAACCTAGAAGAAAACCTCGGCAATACCATTCAGGACATAGGCATGGGCAAGGACTTCATGTCTAAAACACCAAAAGCAATGGCAACAAAAGCCAAAATTAACAAATTGGATCTAAGTAAACTAAAGAGCTTCTGCACAGCAAAAGAAACTATCATCAGAGTGAATAGGCAACCTATAGCATGGGAGAAAAGTATTGCAATCTATCCATCTGACAAATGGCTAATATCCAGAATCTACAAGGAGCTTAAACAAATTTACAACAAAAAAAAAAAACCAACCTCATCAAAAAGTGGGCAAAGGATATGAACAGACACTTCTCAGATGAAGACATTTATGTTGCCAACAAACATATGAATAAAAGCTCATCATCATTGGTCGTTAGGGAAAAGCAATTCAAAACCACAATGAGATACCATCTCATCCCAGTTAGAAGGGCAATCATTAAAATGTCAGGAAACACAGATGCTGGAGGGGACATGAAGAAATAGGAAGGCTTTTACACTGTTGAGGGGAGTGTAAATTAGTTCAACCATTGTGGAAGACATTGTAGCTATTCCTCGAAGACCTAGAACCAGAAATACCATTTAACCCGGCAATCCCATTACTGGGTATGTACCCAAAGGATTATAAATTGTTCTACTATAAAGACACAGGCACACATATGTTTATTGCAGCACTATTCACAATAGCAAAGGCTTGGAATGGTCCCAAATGCCCATCAATGATAGACTGGATAAAGAAAATGTGGCACATATACACCATGGAATACTATGCAGCCATAAAAAAGATGAGTTCATGTCTTTTGCAGGGACATGGATGAAGCTAGAAACCGTCATTCTCAGCTAACTAACACTGGAACAGAAAACCAAACACTGCGTGTTCTTACTCATAAGTGGGAGTTGAACAATGAGAACACATGGACACCAGGAGGGGAACATCACACATTGGGGTTTGTTGGGGAGTTGGGGGGTATACATTAGGAGAAATACCTAGTGTAGATGACGAGTTGATGGGTGCAGCAAACCACCACAGCACATGTATACCTATGTAAAAAACCTGTGTGTTCTACCCATGTATCCCAGAACTTAAAGTATAATTACAAAAAAGAAAAAAAAAAGAGCTTGGCCGCTTACTATAAAGTTAACAAATATTTACAATATGACTCAACAACCTCCCTCTTATTTACTGAATTGAAATAAAAATGCATGTCCATTCAAAAATTAGTATTTGAAAGTTAATTACAACTGTATTTATTGTAGCTCAAACATGAAAACAACCCAAATGTTCATCACCTACAGAATGGATAAAGAAAACATTGTGTCTTTATCAAATGAAATACCACTTAGCAATGAAAAGAAACAAGTCTGTAATGTATGCAAAAAGTGAATGCAAATATATGGAAAGAATGAATTTGAAGAACATTAGTCTAAATGAAAGAGGTCTGACACAAATGACTGTGTATTTTATTTATTATTGTATTTATATGAAATTCTCAAAAAGACAATATGATTGTGACAGAAAGCAGATCAGTGGTTTCCAGAGGCAGGGGGTGGTAGAAGGAGATGGACTGAAAACGTACAAAGGACATTTCTTGGGTGCTGGAGATTTCCTGTCATTACTGTGTTGGTGGGCTCACTACTGTATAAAATTGTAAAAACTCATCACCTTGTACAATGAAGTGTATAAATTCTACTGTACTTAAATTATACCACAACAAAACAGGCAAAAAAAAAAAAAAAAAAAAAAAAACAGCGTTAGAACATAATACCACTCCCGACCCCTCGAGAAAAAGTAGAAAATACATAGTATCTAAATAAAATATTTCCTTTACTTTAAATAAATTTGTCTTAAATAAACACCCACTGCATTAGCCTTTTAAAACAATTTTAATATTTTATAAGAACCAGTAAAAACTTGATCATACCAAGCATGCTTTCTGAAAAACTGCTCTAAAGTCCTTTTAAATTTACGCCTTTTGAGTTTTATGCTCCTGTCAGGGACCACTCTCCCTCTCCCAGTCCTACTGTGAACCATAGACTCAGAGCCTTGACTGCCCAGATTTTCTCTGGAAATCCTAGGTATTCTTCCTAGGCAAGCAACCTGTGTCCAAAGCTATCTTTTTCTTTTTTTATTAACTCTGGTCTGCTCAAGTCAGGTTTTCTTACAAATTCCACAATCATGAACTAGATTCATAATATGATATTGATAATTCATAACAGATAAATGTGTCTCCAAGAGCTGTATACATTCACAAATTTTATATCTTAAGTTAAATTTATATAATGCGTTAAGGTTTACAAAATAGTTTCACAAGAATGATCTCATTTGATTCCTACAACCTTGTGAAATAAATGGCAGGCAATATCACTATCTTCATTTCACAAATTATACAGGAGAGACTCATAAAGGATTGGAAGAGACTTTATGCTATGGTAATACTATAGTTTACCTAACCTAATGATATTTCAGTGATAGCCTGGGGCCCTTGTGAAGGTGTGACATTTAGGGGCAATCTGTCAGATGGGTTTAAGTCTGATTTTCTAGGCAAACATGCACATTCTCTTCTTATACTTAAGCCATTCTGAATAATAGATACATATTACTTGGCAGTCAAAGGTCTAAGTTGCAGATATTAATAAGATTATCACAAATTAATATATTTGTTCTAAAAATTATCACACTATGATTTTTCTTTCCTTTTCTTAGAAACTCACTAGTACAATAGCAAGAACTCAGGATATGTCTGCAAGCCTAACAGTTTAGAAAGTTACACGATATATTTCAAACCATCAGACTATGCTAATTTTATGGCCATGTTAATTTTCTAAGTGACAGACATTACGAAAGTGCTGAACAGAATAGATTGTGATTAGGACAACAATGATTTTAATGGAAAAAAGGTCAGCAGCTGCATAAAAAGCACAATGCAAATGGAGAGAATGATGCCGGAAGTGAAAACCTTCTGACATGAGGATGGATTATCTAATGATGGGGACAGGCGACAGAAAGCAGAGAGTTCTGGTCCAGACCCTCCAGTGACCTTCATTATCACTGCACTGAGGAAGGCAATAGTCAACTGCCACACTACTTTAGAACTCAATTATAAAAATCAAGTAATTTATCTGACTAGAGTATCAGCTCATGCTGGAATCACTCCACAAACTATACAGTCATTCTGCCTTTCCTAAGACTCAACGTCCCCCAAGGCATTATGTTTGGGTATTACTCAATTTGTAAACACATGAAAGAGTTAAAAAAAACTGTTTATCAATAATTTCTAGCACTTTTTTGCTGTTTTCTTATTGTCTCCTAGAGACAAACAATGTATAATGCAGTCCCTATTTTACAGGATTGATGTTTTGACAGTCAAGGAAAACAACTCTGTCCAACCTTTCCTGTTCTTATCACGTAATGCCAGAGGTTAATCGACTCACAGTAATCAAATCTAATGATCCTCTTTTTAGATTTATTCTTTTGTTTGTTTGTTTCTTCTGCAGTATTGATCCCTTTTGGCCTTGATTCTTGAAACTTTCTCTTCCCATGACTCCCGAGACACTATTACCTCCTAGACTTTTGCCTGCGTCTTAAGAAAATGCTGCGTATCTTCTCTGTTGCTTCTGTCTTCTTTAGTTCCCCCAATAAAGGCAAGTTTTAAAGGTCTCTTTCTCTTCTGTTACATTTAATTCCACTTTCTACCTCTATATTTTCCTGGAAGTATTTTTCTTCGTGAAAGCCTTGACTATCTATGCTTTGTAGTTGTTTCATAATATGTAGCCCAGTCATCTTTTCTTAATTCTATCCCTACATTTTACCTACATCTTGCTACCTGTGTCAGTATCAGTAGCATTCTGACATTTGTAATGTAATATGTCTAAAATAAGATTTATTATTTTCTTCTCATACATAATCGACAAATGACTTTACCATATTCTTTATCATACTGACTGAAACCTTGATTTGTTTCTCTCTTCACTTGTTACATTCAATTATTTGATACATTCTGTTAATTTGATTTATTCAATATCTGTTGAAATTCTACCTTCCTTCCACTCTGACAATGGTTTCTCTCTCCCACCAGTCAGTTTTGATTTATTCAATATCGGTTGAAATTCTACCTTTCTTCCACTCTGACAATGGTTTCTCTCTCCCACCAGTCTGTTTTGCTGAGAGTTCCAAAAATCATCTTCCTGAAACCCGAATCTTTTATTGTCACTTCATTATATATGTATTTTCAATATGCAATTACCTGACAATAGGATGCCCGATAAAGCACACACTCTATTCTTTCACCACTGCCTATGATATTTTATTTCCTTTCATAAGCCTTTTGCTCTAACTAAACTCCACCATCCACCGAACCTCCTGAATCAAGGTCAATTGATATTGGCTGGGTGCAGTGGCTCATGCCTGTAATCCCAGCAGTTTGGGAGGCTGAGGCGGGCAGATCACAAGGTCAGGAGATTAAGACCATCCTGGCTAACACTGTAAAACCCCATCTCTACTAAAAATACAAAAAATTAGCCCGGTGTGGTGCCATGCATCTATAATCCCAGCTACTGGGGAAGCTGAAGCAGGAGAATCGCTTGAACCTGGGAGGCGGAGGTTGTAGTGAGCTGAGATCACGCCACTGCACTCCAGCCTGGGTAACAGAGCGAGACTGTCTCGAAATAAATACATAAATACATACATATGTATTAATTGATATCAATTCTACTTCCTAATTTCTCTGACTTGTTGATGTTTGTTCTTTTTGTTTTCTGAACTAACTGCATTTTCTTTCCCTCTTGCACATAGCAAATCTTGATCTCCCACACAAATGCTGCCTCTTCACATTAATGCCTTTTTATATTGTAGTCAGGTGTACCTAATCCATTTGAATGCTAATATCTCAACATTTTTTGTCTATAAATTTTTTGTGTGTGAGTTTCTGCCTTGTTTGATAGTTTTGTAAATTTCTTTTACCAGTTATCTAGGTATAGTACATCTTTCAGTGAGTTTTTAGTAGGACATGGTCATTTCTCAACTGTGTTTAAATGCAGAAAAATTTGGTCAGTCTCAACCAGCACTTTATGCCCTCGCCAAACAACGAAAACAAAACCGAACCAAACAAACAAAAAAACAACAATAGAAAAAGCTAATAAAAATTATGTCCCATGTCAAATTGTATGAAAAAACTATAGGATAAGCACCTACTTTTCCGTCATCAGTCTTTGGTCTTGTTATTACTGAAAGTTGCTCCATTCTAAGATTAGAATAAAGGAACAAATAAAAGGACCACCGGACCTAGTAGGCTGGGAGGGAGGTCTGATCAAAAACATTTTTCAGATATTTTTTTTTTTGTAAACCTCATTGATACATAAGAATGTCAAGGATGTTAAAAAATTAGGATGTTAGTAGATAATACACTTTGAAATATGGGGAAAGGAGAAAATGGATCAGATTGCCTTGTTGAAGGATCTGAAAAAAAAAAGGAATACGCAGAGAAGGCAGTAGTAAAAGTGGGAGTCATGTCTCTAAGAGGAGTTTTGGAGAGAATAATAATACTACTACTAATACAGAATCTGCAAAATCATAGTATTGAAGAAGGAACTGGAAGAGCAAAATCCACATGAATAACTGAGAGGGGCAGCAAAGAATAGAACTTTTCTATTTTAAGCTCCTAAGTGTTCTCCTTCCCATCCCATATATGCAAAAGTCTAGCAACTGTTATTTTTTTCATTATAAACTTTATATGAATCAGAGGATAAGTAAAAACAATTCATAATTAAGGAGGTAAGAGAATTAAGAGGTATTACAAAGAAGGCATAAGCTTCCTGCCTTATTAAGAATATAACAGAGTGAAGATGTTAATTACCTTGATCTAATAATTCCACAATGTATACATGTATCAAAACATCACATTGTATGCCACAAATATATACAGTAATTATCTGTTCATTAAAAATAAAAGAAAGAATATTAAAAAGATGATTTGAAACTCCAGAAAACTAAAATTCTGCCCTAGAAAATCCATTTACATGGTGTAGTAGGTGCTTTTACTTTAATTATCTAACTTTTATATAAGGACACAGCCAAAACTATGAGACATTCAAAGAAAAAAAAATGTGTCATGAAAGGAAAAAACTACAGAAAACTCACACATACTTATTTTGAAAAAAGGAAGTACAAAAACACAGAGGAAGAAGAACATTTTGAAATAAAATTGAGAACACATTTCAGAAAGTTGATATAAAAGAGAAAAAGAAAACTAGAAGATTAACCTAAGCAGCCTAACATTTTAATAATAAGAGCTCCTTAAAGAGAAAACAAATAAAATAGTAGGAGAGAAATTACCAAAGAAGTATATTATTCCAAAATACAGAAATAAAACATATTTTCAAGATTAACAGTGTCTGCCGAGTGCTCCGTTAAATAAATTAAAAAACTCTCATGCTGAGACAAAATGTAATGAAATTTAGTAGCACTGAGGATGTAAAGAAAATATTTTAGAAAATCTTGCAGAGGAGAAAAAAACCCATGTTTCATAAAAATATTGAGAATCAGGGACATTAGACTCCTGGGCAGCATGCAATACTAATGGCTAGGATACAGCAGAGAGTGGAATACTGAAAAAAGATGATTTTTAAGAAACAATTCTATGCCCAGTCAAAACACATAAAGATAAGATAATTACAATTCTAATATGAAAGGTCTTAATAGTTTTATTATTTCTATACCTATTATTATAAAGCTGAAACTATAACCATATTCTTAGAAGTGCAATAAGATAAAGGGAATTGTGGTAGAATGTTAGTTGAGCAATTAATAACAAAGCCTAGATTATGTTTGAAAGCCAAAATACTAATTTAATATGCATGTTCCAGATGCCTATTGCTCCAGAGCAAACCACTCCAAAACTTACTTGCATGAAACATCAATTTTATTAAGTTTGTGTATTCTGAGGGCCATTAACTCAAACAAGGTACAGTGAGGGTGTCTTGCCTTTGTTCTGTAAGGTCTGGAGCCTTATGTAGGAAGACCCAGTGCTGAGGTTCTTATTATCTGTAGGAGTTTCACTCACGTATCTTGTGTTTAACTCTAGCTTTCAACTTAGATATCAGCAAAAGATGTCACAAATCTACACATGACCTCTATGCAGCTTGGGCTTCCTCACAATATGGTAACTGGGCTACAAGAGCGGAAGTACCAAAGGAACTAGAAATACATTGTATTGCCTATTGTAAGCAGATGTGGAATTTACTTGGGACTATTTTTGCTACAATCACAAGTCTGGTCTGGATTCATGGAAAGAAAATATTGATGCCATTTATTGATAGGAGTGACCAATATTATGAAAGTGGATGCCTTTTTTTTGTTTCTGTAAAATTTTGGGGGAAGTTCCTTCAAGTAAAAACAGGAATTGGGCAAAGCCTATTCTATCATTTTTTCTTGTTCTTTTTCAGGCCTAGAACATTGATATGATGATTAGAATAACAATAGTCAATTTAGACCATAAGGCAACTTGAGTAGGCATGTGACATTTGCATTCGGTCATTTAAGAAAGGAAAAAATATCTAAGCACATATTATGTGCAAAACACTATTCTAGGCAGCAGAGATAGAATTTTGAACAAAACAGAAATTCGGCCCTCTCAATTTATACTTCATTGGGATAATAGGGACATCAAAAATAATAACTACAAAAATCAATAAAGTGATGTTAAGTACAAAAGAAGAAAGAGTCACAAGCACAATAAAGCATAAGGCTGGTAATAAGGAAAGCATGAAGA